>NC_000007.14:31490242-32115242 GCF_000001405.40 Homo sapiens | reverse complement strand
TCCAGTCCATCACTGATGATGGGCATTTGGGTTGATTCCATGTCTTTGCTATTGTAAATAGTGCTGCAATAAACATACGTGGGCGTGTTTATTTATAATAGAATGATTTATATTCCTTTAGGTATATACCCAGTAATGGGATTGCTGGGTCAAATGGTATTTCTGGTTCTAGATCCTTGAGGAATCACCACGCTGTCTTCCACAATGGTTGCACTTATTTACATTCCCACCAATAGTGTAAAAGTGTTCCTATTTCTCCATAGCCTCGCCAGCATCTATTGTTTCTTGACTTTTTAATAATTAGCATTCTGACTGGCATGAGATGATATCTCATTGTGGTTTTGATGTGCCTTTCTCTAATGATCAGTGATGTTGAGCTTTGTTTCATGTTTGTTGGCTGCATAAATGTCTTTTTTTTGAGAAGTGTCTGTTCATATTCTTTGCCCACTTTTTGATGGGGTTGTTTATTTTATTCTTGTAAATTTGTTTAACTTCCTTGTAGATTCTAGATATTAGACCTTTGTCAGGTGGGTAGATTGCAAAAATTTTCGCCCATTCTGTAGGTTGTTCACTCTGATGACAGTTTCTTTTGCTGTGCAGGAGCTCTTTAGTTCAATTAGATCCCATCTGTCAATTTTAGCTTTTGTTGCAATTGCTTTTGGCATTTTCCTCATGAAATCTTTGCTCATGCCTGTGTCCTGAATGGTATTGCCTAGGTTTTCTTCTAGGGCTTTTATGGCTTTGGGCTTTACATTTAAGTCTTTAGTCCATCTTGAGTTAATTCCAAAGGTGTAAGGAAGGGGTCCAGTTTCAGTTTTCTGCATATGGCTGGGCAGTTTTCCTAGCACCACTTATTGGATAGGAGATCCTTTCCCCATTGCTTGTTTTTGTCAGGTTTGTCAAAGATCAGATGGTTGTAGATGTGTGGTGTTATTTCTGAGGCCTCTGTTCTGTTCCGTTGGTATATATGTCTGTTTTTGTAGCAGTACCATATTGTTTTGGTTACTATAGCCTTGTAGTATAGTTTGAAGTCAGGTAGCATGATGCCTCCTGCTTTGTTCTGTTTGCTTAGGATTGTCTATGGGGTCTTCTTTGATTCCATATGAAATTTAAGTAGTTTTATCTAATTCTGTGAAGAATGGCAATGGTAGTTTGATGAGAATAGCATTGAATCTATAAATTACTTTGGATAGTATGGCCATTTTCACGATATTTATTCTTCCTATCCATGAGGATAGAATGTTTTTCCATGTGTTCGTGTCCTCTCTTATTTGTTGAGCAGTGGTTTGCAGTTCTCCTTGAAGAATTCCTTCACATCCCTTGTTAGCTGTGTTCCTAGGTGTTTTATTCTCTTTGTAGCAATTGTGAATCGGAGTTCATTCATGATTTGGCTCTCTGCTTGTCTATTGTTGGTGTATAGGATTATCTTTTCTCATTAGGACTATTTGGTCTTATGGATTTTAGAAATTAGAAATATAATAAGCTCAACTTTGCAAATTTTGGTTAAAAATTTTCTCAGAAAATATACCATCTGAGTAGGGAAAAACGACTACTGCCAATCTCATTTCTCAATATAGATGCAGAAATTCTAAAAGCATTACTAAATTGACTGTAGCTATATCATGACCAAGTAAATATGCCAGAAATTCAAAGATGGTTCAGTATTAGAAATTTATTTCATTACTAGATAAATTGATGTTAAAAGGTAATATTTATTTCTAAGTAATCTCATAAAATTAGAAATAAAAGGACAGTTATTTTTAAGAAACAAAGAATACAATGAGGGAGGATTTTTGCTATTAGAAAAATATATTATAAAGCTATAACAATTAAAACAGTGTGCATGGATTCACATGTAGACAGACAGAGATGAATAAAACAGAATAAAGAGCCCAGAAATTGAGATAGATATATATATATAATATTTATATATGTAAACATAATAAATATATATATGGATCCAAATATATCCACATCCATATATATATATATATATATATATATATTTAAGGACAATATATTTATATTTATAAATATAACTCTTCCCTCGGGTGGAACTACAGGGTGCTTTGAAACTTCATGTCATGATTTGATAGCATCTTAGTCAACCCATTTCTCCTTTTATTTCTATACCTATAACTGTTATGGGGGTGCTCATATGCTATTCAATTTGTAGAAGATTTGATGCACTTACCTTCCTTCTAGCACAGAGCTATACTTACCTCATTGCCAAAGGATGCTCCTAAATGTACTCAGAAAACCTCATAAGATAATACTGCTACTCTTAGGGGAAGAGGAGGAGTATGTCTTTACTGCCTCTGATCAAAGTTGAAGCATCACAATAACCAAGAAGCAGGCAGGAGTTTGAGATATATATATATATATATATATATATACACACACACACACACACACACACACACACACACACACACACATATATGTATATATATGTTTTATATGTAATCAAGAAAGCTTTTTAAGGCTGAGCATAGTGTCTCTTGCCTGTAATACCAACATTTTGGGAGGCTAGGGCAGGATGGGAGAATTGCTTCAGGCCAGGATTACAAGACCAGCCTGGGCAACATAGCAAGATCCCATCTCTAAAAAAAAAAAAAAGCAGCTAGATGTGGTGGCATGTGTCTATAGTCCTAGGTACTTGTAAGGCTGAGGCAGAAGGATTGCTTGAGCTCAATGTTGCCATGAGCTATGATTCTGTTACTGCATTCCAGCCTGGGCTACAGAGCGAGACCCTGTTTCAAACAAACAAACAAACTAAAAAAAGAAAACTAAAATTAGGTTTTTAAAATTGGTCAGGAAGGGATAGTTATCTCAATAAAATGTGTTGCAGCCATTGGCAAAATATTTGTCAAAAATGAAGTTGGATCATTTATCGTTCACATAATAAATTTTGGAAAAATAAAGAAAAAGAAGAAGAGGAGAAGGAGGAGGGAAGAAGATGAAAAAAGATGAAGGAAGAGGAAAATAAGGAAGCAGGAGAAGATAGAAAACATCATTTTGGAGGTGACAAAGGCTGAGTAATGAGGGCTCTCCAGCAATCTAAGATGAGTTTCCCAAGTCCTGGGAAAACCCACAAGAGATCTCATGTCCATCTTGAGAGAGACACGTGCTCTTCAATACAAGGATTCCCTTATGATTCTCAGTGTGTTTAGAAAGTTTAGGTTTCTAATGGCCCATCTGTTTGGGAACAGAATTATGGTTTCACAACTGAAGGATAATATTATTGCCACAAATGAGTTAAGGCAGAATTGTAAGTAACTCTCACTTTGTGTGAAGATACCAAAATGAGACTGGGAGAACATCAAGGAAAATCAGCTTCATTTATTTGACCATCTATATTATCTTGCAGAGTGGGCAAGCAGGTAACTGATGTGGATTTCTTACTGAATTTTGTTTTGTCTACCCTTCTTCTCTTTAAGACAGTGTGAGTTACACTCTTATGGCATTCATATACTGATTCATAAAGTGAGCTACCAATCTCCACATAGTAGGGGTACACCTTCAGCATTTCCAAGCTTTTTTTGCTCACAATCTGCCTTATTAGCTCTGAACTTAGTTCTAGCTGCTGTCTGACTATGGTCCAGAGGTCTCCTGGTCTGAATCTCAGTTTCCCCAACAGACATTGACCTGGTGGGCTCCTGGCTCCCAACACCTCTGTGGCTCCAGAGGAATCCAAATCCCAACCATGGTTCCACAATCCCAGGCTAATTGGTTGTGATCAAGCTATCCTTGCCTGCCACCTCATCCCACCCCTGTTTCCTGCACCATCTCATGATGGGGGAAGGATTCTGACAAGTTTCATATAACCAATCCTTTGTACCTTACACAATTTTGTGTCTTTAAAATGCTATGAATGTGGTACTATTCTTTAGAAGATTTTAGAATCTGTGTTCAAACCTACTGTCTTTAGTGTCTCAGAAACAGATTCTTATCATCACTTCACATCTGCTCCTCTGCTCAAAGCTTGAAAATCTAGGGATGGTGAACTAGTTATATATAATTTTGGTACTTACTGATTTAATTTTCTTATATTTTTGCAGGCTTTTAAGAGTTTTGGTCCTTATGAGCCTGATTTGGAAAATGCCCTTGAGTTTTCTCTTGAAAAGAGACAGGAAGACCCGAGTCTTTTAAGATGGGAATAGCTCCTCACTCTCAGAAGCCCTGTTTTGCCATCTGGTTTATGTGAAACCCTCTTCCCTGCTGTGGTATGTCTGTGAAAGGCCTCACTATCAAGTTTAATTTGTGTCAGTCCACTGCCTCCCCTTGCATTCCCTAACAGCACCCTCCAATTTGTGAAAGTATGTTCAATGTGAGATGTGTTCAATGTGAGAGTATGTTCAATGTGAGATATTTTACTGGTAGCTATTTTACTGGTAGATATTTTCATGTATCTCAATGTGAGATATTTTACTGGTCACCAATGTGTAGTTGTGCTCAGAGCTGCTCTGGAGTTTTTGAAATTTCTCTGGGGAGTTCAAGGAGAATTGTAGTTTCTTCTCAGGCAATTAAAGTCATCTTCCAATAAGCTCAGTTGTTACTTCCCACCTGCCTCTGATCTCAGAATTCAACGCTCAGAAAACACCACCCATCTCTGTGGCTTAATCAGAGGGAAGTCTCTGAAAGGCTGCTAGGTTGGTGGCAGAAGTACCATCTTGAGGGATGATGATTCATTGGCATCTTATTAGAGTGGTGCATAGACTGAGGTTAGTCCTTCAATGATATGGTTTGGCCGTGTCCCCACCCTAGTTTCATCTTGAATTGTAACTCCCACAACTTCCACGTGTCATGGGAGGAACCCAGTGGGAGATGATTGAATTATAGGGGTGGGTCTTTCCTGTGCTAATCTCATGATAGTGAATGAGTCTCATGAGATCTGATGGTTTTAAAAACGGAGGCCACCAGCCAAGGCCTAATGTCCTAGAGGAGATACCTGCACATGGAGAGAGGATGGGTACAATCCTTCTGCAAGGGATCAGACAGTAAATATTTTAGGCTTTCTGGGACATACAGTCTCTGTGGCAACCACTCAGTTCTGCTGATGTAGTGTGAAAGCCACCACAGACCATTCCCATGGTTGGATTCCAAAAAATGTTATTTACAAAAGCAGTAGCAGGCTGGATTTGACCCATGGCCTTAGTTTGTCTACCCCTGAGCTAGAGGAATGCTAGAGGTCTTTTCCAACTCCAAAATGCTGTTATTCTCTGAATTTAAAAAATCATCTCTTTCAAATATATCTAAGTTGAACATCCCAAGTCCATGTGCAGAAATAGTACATTTCACTTTGAGTTTATTAACAAACTCTGTTGACCAAGTGAGTTCTTTGTTTCATCTTGACTGTGCAGTATTTTTAAAATAATAGCTTCTCAGAAAACCTATGCTTATGCCATGAAAATCTTTAAAGACACCTCAGAGGCCCTCTTCCCTCTAAAGAAAAGAAAAGAAAAGAAATGAAATGAAAAGACAAATCACCTGTTATTCTACCAAGCAGAGAGAGCAGCCATGGTGAAGACTTTGTTGAATAGTGAGAATCAAAATCTCTGCTGCGTGCCCTTCCAGACTTCTTCATTTAGACCAGTGATTCTCAGCTGCAGACAGTTTTGCCTCCCAGGGACATCTGACAATGTCTGGAGACATTTTGGGTTGTCATGACTGGGGAGTTACTACTGGCACCTATTGGGTAGAGGCCAGGATGTGGCTAAACATCCTACAATGCACAGGACAGCCCCCACAACCCAGAATTATCCAATTTAAAACATCAGTAGTGCTGAGGCTGAGAAATCCTGATTCAGACGTATTAGATGGGCTCTCTGTGCTTTTTTAAAAAAACAAAGTTGGAATCAAAAATAGATTCTATTTTGCCATCTCTTCCCTTGCTCAGTGATAAACATCTGTCCTTACATATAAATCCATCTCTCTGTGATTATTAAAGCCTATGTTATCCCTTTCTTCATATGGCTCTACCATGATTTAAATAATCTTTTTTAAAATTTTCAAATATTTAGTTTTTATCTAGTTTTTCTGGCCATCATAACAACACTATGAGGGGGTCCCTTGTCATAAATATGAGTACATTTTGTTAATTTTGTACCCTCAGTGACTCATGCTGTGTCCAGAGAAGGGTGGGCCCTCAGTAAATGTACCTGAATGCCGAGCTTCCATTTTTCTTCATTCCTTTGCTCCTATAGTATTTGTGGCCAATTTTATGCATGTTCTTTTGGCCAAAGGTCCTTATTTTACCTGAAGTCCTGGAGTGAAGGCCAGATGAATCAGAATATATATGTGCCAGGGGTAAGGCTGAACTGACAAGAAGGCACGAATATTGGCACAGAAGCTTGTGTTAGCTGGCATACTGTACTGAGTGACTCAGATACCATTTACAATCTCCATGCTCTGGCACTGCTTGCCTGCCTGGGTCTGTAGGCATGGACCAGGCCAGAGGGCACTTGGGCTTATATCTGGCAATGTGAAATTCAGGAGGAAACCATGGCTAGATTTTCCAAATCATGAACATTCATGCAGTGCACCTTACACACTTATTAGAACAAGGAAGGAACAATTTCATACGGGTTTTGTGTCAAATGTTGGTCTTTGTCATGGTACAGGTATGAAATGAGTGCCCAATAAATGTTTAGGGGAGGATTGAGGTTGTGGTATTTTGAATCTCTAGAATTTTCTTCTGGAATTATGGCCTGGGAAATACTTTTAACTTTTACTGTGTCCTGGATGGATTTTCTAATTTTCTTATTTTTTTCTATTTCTCCTTCTGTGTGTGTGTGTGTGTGTGTGTGGTTTTTTTTCTGTACTCTATGGAAGACTTTCTCAACCTGTATTTCAATGTTTTGACTGAATTTTTAATTGCTTTTATCATATTCTTAATTTCTAAGACTTCTTTTTTATTCCCTTCTCTCAATGAAGGTAAATGTGATAGTTTCTGTTGTTTTTGTTGTTGTGGACAACATATAGTTAGGTCTTGCTTTTTTTTTTTTTTTTTGTCTTGCTTTTTTATCCATGCTGACAGTCTCTGTTTTCAAATTAGCATATTTAAGTCACTCACTTTTAAGGTGATTACTGAGATAGTTGGATTAATGTCTACCATATTTGTAACTCTTTTCTATAAGTCTCCCTTCTGTGTTTCATTTTTATCTTCCATCTTTTTTGTCTTCTCTGGTTTTAATTTAGCATTTTACAAAATTTTATTTTATTTTTTATCTTAGTATATTAATTATACTTAAAAAAATTTCTTTTTGATTGCCCTAGAATTTGCAATATACATATACAACAGATCCAAATCCACTTTTAAGTAACACTCTACTGCTTCATGATTATAATAGAGAATTCCCAATCATCCCTCCTGTCCCTTATAAGATTGCTGTTACTGATTTCACTTTTTCATAAGCTATGATCCTTAAATGTATGATTACTATTATTACTTTTAACAAACTTTTATTTGATAATTAAGAAAAAAGATTTTATCTCGTCTTCATTTATTTCTTCTTTAATATTCTTCCTTTCCTTATGTAGATCTGAGTTTGACTTGCATAATTTTCTTTCTTTCTGAAGAAATTATTTTAACATTTCTGGCAAGGTAGGTCTACTGGTGATAAATTTACTCGGTTTTTGTTCATCTGAGAAAGCCTATTTGTTCTTCACTTTTGAAGAGTAATTTTGCTGGCTACAGAATTCTAAGTTGGTATTTTTTGACTTTGTTTGCTTTTTTTCATTCAATGCTTTAAACATTTTACTTTTCTTTCTTCTTGCTTACAGGGCTTCTGATGAGAAGTTCAATGCAATTCTTATCCTTGTTCCACTGTAGGAACAGCCATTATTACTTTAAATTCCTTCCTTCCCTCCCTTGCTCCCTCCTTCTCTCCCTTCCTTCTTTCCTTCCTTTCCTCCCTCCCTTCCTTCTTTCCTTCCTTTCCTCCCTCCCTCCCTCCTTCCCTCCCTCTCACCCTACCTGTCTCTCTTTGTCTCTTTCTCTTTTTCTCATGCTGGTATTCTTGCTACACATATATTATACCTTTTGTAATTGTCCTAGGTTCTTGTATATTCTGTTCTATCTTTTTTTTTTTCTTTACATTTCAGTTTTGAAAGTTTCTAGTGACTGACATATATTTGAGCTCACTGATTCTTTCCTTGGCCATGTCCATTCTACTGATGAGTCCACCAAAGTCATTTTTCATTTCTTTTACACTGTTTTTTAAAATTTATTTCTGGCATTTCCTTTTTTTTTTTTTCTTAGAGTTTCCCTCTCTCTGCTTACATTATCCATCTATTTTTGTATACTGTCCGCTTTTTCCATTAGAGCCATTAGTATATTAATTTTAGTTATTTTAATTCCCTGTCTGATAATTGCAAAATCTCTGCCATATTTGAGTCTGTTTTTTATACTTTATTACTTCAGATTATGTTTTTGTCTTTTAGCATGGCTTATAATTTTTTGTTGAAAGCCATATATGATGTATCAGATAAAAGAACTGATGTAGAGTCTAATTCTAAGGCCTAATTCTTGAGGAATTGGGTTGCCTTATTGCAATAAAATTTCCTCTAATGTTCTTGTTTCTGTCTCTCTGGTTGTTTTTGAGTTTTCCTAGAGACTCCTTAAATGGGGTCTGCGGCTTGGAGTTCTTTTAGCTAAATCCCCTGTTATTGTACAGGAGCCCTGTTGATGTGGTGGTAAAGTATGGAGGGTAGTAGTTTTTTTAAAGTTTCCATTTCCTTAAAAAATCTCTTTCCTCTCAGTTTCTCCCCTTTCCCACTTCTCTCTATCTCTGTCTCTCTCTAATCTCCATCTATTTCATTATGTATTTTTTGTCAGATGTCTGGCGTTTCCTGACTGCTCATATTTAAGAGAAGGACACTAGAACTCTAGTTGTAAAGCTGGGCATAGTGGCTTGCACCTATAATCCCAGTACTTTAGGAGGCTGAGGCAGTATTGTAATCCCAATACTTTGGGAGGCTGCCTGCTTGAGGCCAGGGTCATGAAACCAGCCTGGGCAATGTAGCAAGGCCCAATCTCTGCAAAAATAAATAAATAAAAGATTAGCCGAGTATGGTGGCACGAGCTTGCAAGTCTCAGCTACTCAGAACGCTGAGGCAGGAGGATCGTTTGAGCCCAGGAGGTCGAGGCTGTAGTGAGCCATGATCAGAGCATTGCACTCCAGCCTGGGCACCAGAGCAAGACCTTGTCTCTAAAAAGAATAAAACTAAATACAAGTAAGTAAAACTCCAGTTGTAAGCTGTATACATGGATAGAGAGAAAATGGTGGGGGTGGTTCTTATGGATTGTGGGCTTCTCTGTTATCTAGTTAAGCTGTTTTGGGGCAGAATTTCTAATATAGTGTAGTTGGACTTTTCTCTTGGACTGGTCTAAATTGCTAAGAAAAAAATTTTCCAGACCAGGTGTGGTGGCTTACGCCTGTAATCCCAGCACTTTGGGAGACCAAGGCAGGAGGATTGCTTGAGCCCAGGAGTTTGAGACTAGCCTGGGCAACACGCAAATACAAAAAAAAAAAAAAAAGTCAGATGTGGTGGTACATCCCTGTAGTCCCAGCTGCTTGGGAGGATGAAGAGGGAGGATGGATTGAGTTTAGGAGATCCAGGCTGAATGGAAGCTGGACGCTTATCTGCCAACATTCTGGGAGCTAACGGGGAAGAGGAGTGTATGTCCTTCTCCCTCCAGAGATGTTCTACTTTATCATCCACAAAGACTAAACCTTCAGTCTTATTGGGATAAGGAAATTGTCTATCTAGGTGGAATAGGTCACTGAATCTAGATATCTGATTCTTCATCAGATTTTTACCCAATTTTCCATTTCCACCTTTCTCTTCCAGAGGACCATGTTGCTACCAGTTACTGTGCATTTTAATTTTTCCATGGGTCTCCTGAATCAGTTATTACTCATCTCTTTGCTTGTCAGGTTCCTAAATATTTTTGCTATTGTATCTTCTCTCATTTTCTTTGTTTTTCCAGGCTTATACCTTAAAAAAAGAAAATTATCTCATGTCCCTTTTATTGGAAATTTAGGAGAGAAAGGGGGTAAGTGTGGTTTCTTCCATCACCATTAGCTAGAAATGTGCCTTTTGTCTCCATTTCCCACTATCCCGTTGGTCAATGCAACCATGGAATTTTTGAGCATGCTGAGATCTTCTTTTGTAGTTTGACCCTTATTTTCACCAGCTTGGGAGACATGAAGTTTTTAACCACAATTCATATGGGAGGACTTTGGCAGGTTCTTGGAGCTAAAAATATATATCTATTTTTTCCTGAAGCCTTGAAGAGGAAAACCAAATTGAGTTCAGATCTCAAAGAGATGTTTGAAGGGTTCCTTCTGCCATGCATTTGAACTGGATCATTAGTCACTTATACTTTGGACGTGACCAGTATAAATTGCATGGTGAGTCATAGTTCAGCTTTGGTCCTTTTTATTTTAAATTAATATAGATTTATCAAAATAATACATGCGTGTAGCACCGTTATTGCTTTCTTTAGTTTAGACATAATCCATTGACCTCCTCTTCTGGTAAACAAAGATTCAGTTTCCTTAGACCACCAGTCCCATTTCCCCACTCTGTATCCTCCCAGTGTATTTACATTATCCATTGGCCTCCATCGTCAATATTTAGTGTGTATATCATTTTGACATGGGACCCAAAAAACAGAAAATCCAAATCAGGAGAAAAGTCAAGTTGAGCCCTGGGGAGAGCACATCCTCTATTGCTTCCTGAGAAAAGGGATACTTTTCTTTTTCGAAAACTTGCATGTCTTAAAATGTCTTTATTCTACTCTTACATTTGTTTGAAATTTTAGCTAGGCATAAAGCTCCAGGTTGAGAAATATTTTGCTCAAAACAAGGCATTGCTTTTGGGTTTTTGTATTATAATTGAGAGCTATGATTCTGATTCTAGTTCTTCTTATGCCAACTGCACTTTTTTCACCCTCTCTGGAAACTTCTTAGTATATTCTCTCTAGTTCTGGTCCGAACTTTCATGATGTTGTACCTTGATGTGTGTCCTATTTCTCTTTACACTGGGCAGTGTGAGGACCCTTTTAATATGGGAATTTATGTCTTATTCTTGGAAATGTTACTGCACTATTCCTCTGATAATTTATTTCCTTCTATTCTCATTTTGCTCCCTCTGGAACTCATCTCAGTCAGATGTCTGAGCGTAATTGATTGTTTTCTCATTTTTAAAGATCTTTTGTATTATTTTCCATGTCTTTGTCTTTTTGTCTTCCTTTATGTTAGACTTTTTTCAAGCTCATCTCTACCCTTTGTGTTGAATCTTTTTATTTCTTCTAATGTACTTTTCGTTTCTAATAGCTCTCTCATTCTCTTCTCCTATTATTTGGGTAGCATCCTATTCTTGTTTCTTCTCTGCAATATTTTATCTTATCGCTGTAGATATCAGTTACTCTTTTTCTCTAAAAGTTCATCTCTTCCCTGCATTGTATTGATTTTTCTTCCAGGTTCCTTTTTGTTATTTGTTTTTGACTCATATCATTTAGAAGGCTTTTCTTAAATGCATGACAATCATTGTCCGTTTGTATTTAAGAGCATTACAAGCTAACAGCAAGCCCTCTCTATGTGGGTGGGTCTTGTCGATTGTTGGGCTTTCCTGTTTCCTGTAGGGCAGTTGAGCAACTTTTTAGTCAGTCTCTTTTTGGAGAATCATGAATGGTACATTGTGTTATTTTCTCTAGAGCTCCTCAGTTTCTCAAGAGAAGAATGTTTTAGTCTGCTACCTGGGCATAAGTGGGTGGGAGAGGCATCCGTCTGGCTGCCAGCATCACGGGGATAGGAATGCAGGCTAAGACCTCTGTCCTCCAGTCCATCCTCACCCCTACTTTCCACTGAACTTGATTCCTTCAAGTCTTGGGGGTCTTCTCAGGGTTCTGCAGTGAGAATCAACAAACTCTTATTTAGCAGAGTATAGGCATTTAGATTATAGCATTCTCTTCTCTGGTAGAATAGCCATATTTTACCTTCTCCCCTCCCTTTTCTGCTTCCAAATATCTGTTGAAATTTCTCACTCTCTAATGTCTTCACCACATTCTTTTTGTCTCCTTTTATTCTTATAGGATATTGCATGAGATAGTTGAGGTGATAAAACTCTGAACTTAATTGATGTTATTTAACTGACAACCTCTGGACCTGTGCTTTTAGCCCAAGGAATTCTCCCTTATTTGTAAGTGGCAACTGAGTTTCAGCTGGCCAAAGCAGGAGCCCCTCTCTCTCTATTGAATAGAATATGGTTTTATGTGGGTTGTCATGCACTCCTAAGTCATCTGGGGAAGCCTCACAATTCTGGCTTCTCTATGTGAAGCAATGCCACCGAGGCCAAGGGAGAGCTGAGAGGCCTCCGTGTATGCATGTACAGAGTGCAAAATGCCCATAATAAACCAGCTTCTCCATGGCCTGCTCTTGGGAGCAGGCAAGTGGCCAGTGCCTCTGCCATTAGTCTCCAGGAGACAACACCAGGAACACAAAGACTAAACAGCATTCACCTCAAAAGTCATCCTTTGTGCCTTTGTCTCCCATTTGGCAGTGTGCCATGCTGTAGAAGCAGTTGTCACTCCAGACCTCCCAGGAATGAGTTTTATTTTTCCTGGACAATTGCCTCTTCCTAGATAGGAAAGAAAGCAGGGAAGGGAATTGACATTTAATGAGGGAGGCATCATGCCAGGTGCTTTATATAGGTTTGCTAACCTCATTCTTGTAACAACCCTTTGAGGATAGTATTATTACTGTCACTTCACAGATAAGGAAGCTGAGTTTCAGGGAGGTTAAATAGCTTGCCAAGGGCATGGCAGCTGAGTGGCAGAATAGGGATTTGAACCCAAATATGCCAAGCAAAAAAACTAGTAGACCTCCAGTATATCACTCTGGATGATGTTCTTTGAGGTTTCTTTCCATTCCCAAGAAACCTCAAAGAAACCATGCTCTTTTTTAAGTGTGTACCCAGGAGGGCCTCAGTCAATGTGGTTTGAGGGAACAAACAAGACGGAAGAAGGATTCTGCCTTTCTAACTACTATAAGATCTTCAAGAATACTGATAGGGTTTCGATGTTTTGTCTCCACCAAATCTCATGTTGAAATGTGACCTTCAATGTTGAAGATGGGCCTAGTGGGAAATATTTGGGTCATGGGGGCAGATCCCTCAAGAATAGCTTGGTGCTATTCTCACAGTAATAAGTGTGTTCTCACTCTGTGAGTTCATGTGTAATCTGGTTGTTTCAAGGAGCCTGGTATCTCTCTCTTTCTCTCACCCTCACTCTATTCCCTCACTCACTCTATTGCCATGTGACACACTGGCTCCTCCTTCACCTTCCATCATGATTGTAACTTTCCTGAGGCCCCCACAGAAGCAAATACTGGCACTATGCTTCCACATCTTCAGGTATCTTTATAGAAATGCCCCACTACTTTGTACCAATTTTCTATGTTAGTCTGTTTGTGTCACTATAAAGGAATACCAGAGACTGGGAAATTTATAAAGAAAAGAGGTTTATTTTTGGCTCACGGTTCTGCAGGCTAAGAAGCATTGTGCTAACATCTGCTCCTGGTGATGCTTTAGGAAGCTTCCAATCATTGTGTAAGGCAAAGGGGGAGCTAGCATGTCACATGGTGAGAGTGGGAGCAGGAGAGGTTGTATAAGGCTCTTTTATACAACCAGCTTTCAAGTGAACTACCAGAGTGAGAACTCACTCATTACCATGGGGACAGCACCAAGTCATACATGAGGGATCCATCCCCATGACCCAAAAACCTCCCACCAGACCCACTTCCAACATTGGAGATTATATTTCAACATGAGATTTGGAGGGAACAAAACTTCCAAACCATAGTAAATACCTTGAATTATAGGTCATGGTTTCAAAGAATCCAGAAATCCAAACACACAACCAACTTTCAATTGTCCTTGGCCAAGAAATATATCTTGGGTATCCGGTATTACCCAAATCAAATTTTTATCATTACTTTTAAGGCCACGTGTGGGGAATCCCTGTGAGAAGAACTTTGCTGGTTGATGTCACATCTGTGTTTGATGTGACAGGTTGACCTCCTTTTGCTATAATTTTCAAAAGAATGTTTTAGAAATGAACAAGGAAAAGAACAACTTATATTGAGGGGGCAAGCAAATTTAGATCTGGGTCTTGCTTCTTAATTTCCAGTATGGTGGTCCCATATTTAGCAAGGGGGGTCAGTGTGGGAAGTGACATCAAAGGTGACCAAAACATTCAATGGGTCTGATCTACTGTGCTATGTGGAAATTCCAGTAGTTGTATTTAGGCCAAAGTGATGGTGAATTGAATCAACCCTTTCTTACAGGCATGTTTGTCCAGTTCTTTTTTTTTCCTCTGGCACACTTGTTTGAATACTAGGGAGAACATGGAAACACATCTGGCCTTCAGTTGGAGTGCAGCTTGGGTCTAAATTTTTCATCAAAGAGAAATTCAGGAGCAGGAAAACAGGTGTGTACATATCTGTGTGTATGCACATGTGTGTGTATAGGTACACGTGGTCATCTCATGCATTGCCTCAGATACCATTTGATGTTTTGGGCTGATTTATTGGGCATTCTTATTGTGGTAAGTAGGTGGGTTATGAATGAGTCAGTCTAAGTTAAAGGGGAAGGCTGATCAATGTTTGACTCTAACGGCATTTACACTGCCTTAGCCAGGACTGAAGTAATTACATGGCTTTCTGAAAAATTCAAGTAATTTTCTTGAATGATTTTCCATATCATCTTTACTATTTCCTTAATTTAATAGAGATTGGTAGCTTAAAGCATATGGCATGAGTGTGTAATTTAAGGGAAAGTAGATTAATATGCCACCAGGCAAAAGTTTAATTTATGGCACTGGATGACTAATGGGGACAACTAGAACTATGGATTTATTTTTCTCTCAAGCATAGCAGAATTTATTCCACTTATTTTTACAAATAAGAAATTATTCTTTAGAAATGTCATAGTAAAACAGCCTGGAGTTTGTTGGGACATATAGAAATGTTGATTTCCTTCATTCTTCCCTCCCTTCCTTTCTTCTATACTGTCAATAAAAACTGAAAAGTTGCCATGCACTACCTGTGCTATGCTAGACACTGGGCATGGGATGGAGTCTAAGGGACTCTTCTCTGACACAGATTCACTTGCTGTGGGGATAAGCATATTACCAAAAAATGCTTTTTTTCAATGTGAGTGCAGTGGATAGTTGAAAGTAGAAAACGGGGATGTAGAAGGTACAACAACTGCTTTTATGTTGGTGATGCTGACAATGAGGGGTGGGGGCATGGGAAAGTGAAGGTCAGAGAGGAGCTCACTGAAGGGGTGATAATTGAGTTAGGTTGAAGGAAATGTCAGAGTAAAGCAGAGGAATGGGTACCCATGTAGAGAGTGGGTGTTGGGAGAGAGGAGGCATTGCAGGGGCCTCTGGCCCATGGAAAGAGCATATGTAAAGGCATGGTGTATGGTGCACTTGAGTAAAGGCATATGATTATAGTCTAGGAAACGTAAGAGTGATGGGAGATGAGGAGGCTGGAACTGTAGGCATGGGAGGCCTTCTTTGCCATGCCAAGGAGTTCCGACTTGATTTGCAAATAAAAGGAATCCAGAGAGGTAGGTTTGTTGGGTTTTTAATTAGTTAATGTCCTCATTATCTAACTGTATAATGTACAAGGACTTGTACAGAACATGAAAAAGATGGCAAAAATATAAAATGTTAGAGGTGAAAAGGACCTGGAATATCTCTTAATCCAACATTTTTCTTCTAGATGACAACATTAACACGGAGGAGTAAGACATAGGTGAAGACAGTGCTTTGAGGAACAGCACACAGTTATGTATTGGAAATTCTTAGAAGTAACATCCTATTTCCTCATTCCCCTGAAGGTTCTTTATAATGGCAAAGATAACATTTACTCCTGTAGGTACTTTCTATTATTGAAAGCAAATAATCTGTGTATAACTTTCTTTTTTAGAAAATAAACTATTTTTGGGGTCTGGCTTATTTAGTGTATTTTACTTCATTTTTTTCATGTTTATATAACAATATTTGTAAATCTCTCTACTTTTGTTTCATCTTTTCTGTGTATTGTCAAGAGTAACCATTGTTGCTATAGCAAATTTTCAGAATAATTAATTGCTGTCCCCCAACATTTTAAAATTATTTATTTTTAATGTGGCAAAATATATATAACATAGAATTTACTATTTTAACCTTTTGAGTATACAATTCAGTGGCATTAACTACATTCACACTATTGTGCAACCATCACCTCTATCCATCTTCAGAACTTTAAAAATCATCCTAAACTGAGACTCCTGTCCTCCTCCTCAGCCCCTGGCTGCCACCATTCTACTTTCTTTCCCTGTGAATCCTCAGCATTTCAAATGAAAAATTTCAAATATATAGTCAAGGTGATAGAAGAGAGATGATGGGGATGATCCCAGAGGAAATTACTTGAAGGCCTGCTGCAGGCCCAAGATATATGTCTGGATGTACCCTAGAAAGTCCACAGGGTGCATAAACAGAAACTCCAACAAAACAAAAACTTTGTTCAGCTAAATATCTCCAACGTAATAAAGTAAAAAGAGTAAGAGCTTTGGAATCAGTTAAATGTGGATTGTCAGTCCAGATGTCCTGTGTGTCTACCTTTCTACTTATCTTTCTTTACTTTGATTCACGAAGGATTTGATGTGGCTTGCAAGAACCAAAGAAAAAAATAGAGATTAAATAAAATCCATGAGCAGGGATTGTGTTAAGATCATTAGAATTTGAGTTTCCTATTATTTTTAATGAAGGACAAATATAATCACTTATATGATTTCTCTGTCCTTAAAGAGAAAGGCTCGCCAAGGTCATATAACCTTGGGCAAATCACTTAACTTTTGGGAACTTCATCTATAAAATGGAGAAAATAAATGATTACCCGCTTCAGGGTTGTGGTGAAAATTATGTGGATTTATGTCTTTTTTTTTTTTTTTTTTGAGACGGAGTCTCGCTCTGTCGCCCAGGCTGGAGTGCAGTGGCGCGATCTCGGCTCACTGCAAGCTCCGCCTCCCGGGTTCACGCCATTCTCCTGCCTCAGCCTCCCGAGTAGCTGGGACTACAGGCGCCCGCCACCACGCCCGGCTAATTTTTTGTATTTTTAGTAGAGACGGGGTTTCACCGTGTTAGCCAGGATGGTCTCGATCTCCTGACCTCGTGATCCGCCCGCCTCGGCCTCCCAAAGTGCTGGGATTACAGGCGTGAGCCACCGCGCCCGGCCGGATTTATGTCTTTAAAGGGCTGGGCACAGTGTGGCACATGGGCACTCAGCATTATTAGCACCTTTCCTTATCTTGTGACTTGTGTTCCTATTAAGAGTACCATAGGATGAAGGCTTACTTTCGTTAATCTCATTAATTGAGGTTTTAGTGCTTCTAGCAACTACGCTTTTCTGTTTACCTACCCATTTCCCAGTGTGAGTCTCAGTTACACATTTTTATCAGTGTTGGCTGAGGCTAGCTGGGAGGCTTCATCATTTTTTCTTTTAAAATGCACCAACAAGGTAAGGTTATATGATTAAAAGAAAATAAAACAAAACATCCCTCTCACCATGGGATGCTTTGTCTGGTGGCTTAGAGCATTTTCTCTCTCATTTATAGTTCTCCAAGTATCGGCAATGAAGTTGGAGCCGTGATCTACTGACCTTTGAGGGCCAGTCAGTGGGCAGCAGACAAAATTGCTGAAGAGTTTACTCCAGCTAGGTTATTGAATGTTTCCTCCAGTTATTTAGGCATCTGAGCCCTGGAGTTGGGTTGTCATTTGGCATTCCAACTTGCTGTTTGGCACTTTGGTCTTCTGACAGCCCCAAATCCCAGATTTACTCAACCTAGTTAATTCAGTAGCTATATTTAAATGTTGTGATAGTTAATTTTATGTTTCACCTTTACTGGGCTGTGCAGTGCCTAGACATCTGGCCAAATACTGTACTGACTCTGTCTGGGAGGGTGTTTCTGGATGAGATTAACTTTTGAATCAGTAAACTGAGTAATACAGATTGCCCTCCCTCATGCAGGTAGGTCTCATCCAACAAACTGAAGATCTAAATAGAACAAAAAGGCTGAGTAAGGCAGAGAACCTCTCCTCCCTGATTTAAGCTGGGACATTGGTCTTTTCTGGACTGGATGTGGATGGAAATATTAGCTCTTCTTGAGTCCTGAGCCTGCTGGCATTTGGCCTGGACCATCACCATTGGTTCTCCAGGGTCACCTGTTTGCCCATTGCAGATTTTGGGACCTCTTATTTTCCATAATCTTTGAACCAATTTGTTATAATAAATCTCTTTATGGCTGACTGTTGATCTGTCTGTCTATCTATCTATCTATCTATCTATCTATCTATCTATCTATCTTTCTATCCCCTACTGGTTCTGATTCTCTGCAGAACCCTGACTAATACAAATTTGTCCTGGACCAGGACATACCCCAGAGCTTGCAGTAGAACAATTGCTTCTATATAAATAAAACATAGGTTATGTGCAGAAGACATAGTGGGATGTTTTCCATGCCATAGAAACACAATAATTTTAAGACATGTTTTAATTGCTTATTATTATGTAATAGTGTTCATTTGATTCTTAATACAGCCCCACAAGACAGATTTAGAACTGATGAATAGGAGCAGAGCCAAGATTTGAACCCAGGTATACCTAATTCCCAATCCTATAGTCTTTCCACCATGGTAAGATTGACAAGATGTCAGGGGAAATAAACAGTTTATTCTCTTGACATTTTATGCACCCTATGGCCCTACAACTGAAGATTTAAAAAGTTTGTTTTGGAGATACTTTAAGATTTTCTGTTTAGCATTCTGTTGTCTGACTTCACCCTCTGACGTGGGCTTTAAGAAACATTTTCCAAAACGCACTAGTTCTTCCTCTCCCCGGCTTTGGTTGAAGTGCACTGCCTGCTTAGTGAATGAATGAGCATGAAGGTAGAGTGCAGTTCCCAAAGTTATACTGGGAGCACATCAATGCTTCAAGATGATCCATAAAAGGCAGGGCTGAGTAGAGTTTTCCATGGTCCATGAAGTCTTGGAAACACTGCCTGCTGTACCCTATTTTGGAGGTTCATAATATGCTGTAGTAAGTTAAAGCTCTCAGATGTCATGTAGCAAAGGTACCATCTTAATATTTTGTAACTCAGCATTTCTATAACTTATTTGAGCAAAGGCCATGTTTGTGATGCCAATGACTAATTATATGCAACATAATATTATGGGAAATATTGGCCTAAGCATGGGGTCGATGTTGGGACTTGGCACCTGTTGAGACTGGAGAGGAGCTAGATGTGGGGGACCTCACATCATTCTGTAAGTCGACTGCCTATTCTGCAGGCAGTGTTCAGTTAGGTCTAGTTTGGGGTAAAGGCCTGGACAGTATATTCACATCGCGTAAGGATAGTCAATGTGTGAGGCACCCTGTTTCTCAAGTTCAGGAAACAGAGAAGCACCCCCAGCAGCAGCTTTCTAATTCTGTAAACTAAACTGATGAAGATTGCACATGCTAGAAGCAGCATATTTGGTATATTGAAAGGATGAAGAAAAGCCACACATATATTTGAGGCCCAAAGTGGGCTGGAGAAATATAATAAGAACCGTGTGTCCCTCTTGGCATTCCCTTGGCCCAGGTTAGGGCTGGTATGATTCTGGCCAACCCATATACCTCTGCAGCTGCAACTGAGACAGTAGCAAAGGGTGAACCAGTTTTAGCAAGGAAGGCTGCTAAGTGTGACACATCTCAAATGCCATTGTCTGGAAGGAAGGGACTGAGGATTAAGGCAGGAGTCCATGTCCGGCCATGGAAGGGTGCTGGATCTGCCTGTCATGGGCACATAACCTGATTGTTGTCTGACTTCACACTGTTTTTCCCTCTGACAAGGGTCTGCCCCTCATCGGAAATGCCACTGATGGGATGTCTGGTTGCTTTCCCAAGATTTTCAGTCTTCAGGCAAGCTGAGCATGGAACATTGTTTTTGAGAAGCAAGGCTGTTTTTTTTGTAATGAAATAGAATGATTCAGCAAGCATTTATTATAAATTTCCTATATATTCTAGAGGACACATTGAGTCTGACCTTGGCCTTCAAGGAGTTGATTTATAGTCTAGAGGGGCACATTACTTTCTATAGAAATAAGGACCATAAATTAGTGGAAAGATATGCAGATCTTAGCAGGGGCTGGGAGAGGGCACAAGGAGGAGTGTTCCAAATAGTGGGGAAGAGGAAGGTATAGCTAGAGGCCAGAGCTGTGAAGGAGCTGCTCATGCTAAGTGAACTCCAAGCAGTGTGGTTGGAGGTTAGACAAGTTTGCAGGGCTGGTGAGGAGATGGGCAAAACAAGAGATGGAGCTGGAGAGAAGGTGGGGGTCAAGGCAAAGACAGCCTTTGTGCCATGCTATGTATCTGGGACTTCATCCTATGAGTAATAGGAAACCACTGAAAGCCTTAAAACTGGGAGCCCATCATCACGAACTCACTGCTGAATGGACCGCTGGACTCTTCCTTAGGGAGATGAGGGCGGTCCTTGCACAAACGAGTAAAGAAATAATGATAGAGCTTGGGACTCAGATTTAGTTGTTTGGTTGGCACTCTCTTAGCCACTCTCTGAGGCTGTTTGCTTATCTGTTCAACAATAACTGCTGCTTCTCTTTCACAGCAGTTTGTCAAGTTGCTCTGAAATCATATATGTGAACTTGTTTAGCAGTAAAGGGAGAAAGTACTTAAAGTAGTAAAAATCCACATACCCTCCGCTACAGTCAAGCAAAATATCATGTGCTTCCTCATGTTTTTACAAGCACAAAATTTCCCTCCTCCCTCATTCAATAATCAGAAGATAGTGTGACTAAAGATAAGGGGTTGAGTTCTTGGTGTGGGTTTTTGAGAGGAGGTGGGCTGGAGGCAGCTCTGGAGAGGACAGCATCTTTTCCTTACTCTTTGTGGCATCTCTTCCCTACTCTGTATTCAGTGCCATCATGTTGGTAGCTTGGAATTGGCTACAGTGGGCCACAGGTATCAGTAAATGCTACAAATAAGAGTTTCTTCCCCCACTTCCAATCTTGAGAGCCAGTTGTTAGACATTTACCAGCACACCTATGCCATGGGGGACACTTGCGAGAGTAAGACAGTGATAGGCAGAGTGGCTCACACATTCCTGCTGGAGAAGGAGGAGCCCTTTACCATCTATTCCTGGGTCAGTGACGCATTCAACCTTCTCTCCCTTTTGGGTATTATCCCTGAGATTGAGAGGTGATCCAGAGGGTTGTTCCTTCCTGTGCTCCTGGCCTGTGGAGAGAAGTGTAGAGAGGGCCCATCTGATAAAGAGCTCTCCTTGCCAGCACTGTCCCAGAGCACACAGCAGCTTTCAGCGAGGGGTTCTGGCCCCTGGCACAGCTGGGCTAGCTGCTCAAAGCCACAGGGTCCATGGCAACACTTCAACTGTTTTGGCTTATTTTTTGCAACTAGTTTCTTTGAACCATGCCAATGAGACTCCTTGAAGACAGGGCTCTTTGCCAAATGACAAAGTCATGTAAAGATAACAGCCCCAGGCCTGGCCCAATGTTGGCATAAGTGTTTGTGGGAGGAATGCATGAGCAGGGCCAGCAAATGGTGCAACCCAGGCTCCGGAGAAGTAACACCACATTTCTAAGCAGTTGAATCTTATCCCAAGCCACTGAATTCATTGACATTCCCTCAACAAGATACTGGGCCAGAGTCCTTGGGTAAATGAGTCAGCAGTATAAATTACAATGACCAAAGCAGGAGATGCAGTTGACATTTTGCAGCAAACAGATGCAAAAGGGAATGGGATTTTGGAAACACAAGTGACAAGCTTGCTTTGAGAGTCAGCTGGAAGAGGTGATCCTGGTGTGGGGTTGAATGTTTGGGAAAATGGGGATTAATGCTCTGCAGTAAATTCTCACCAAGGACTCCACTCTTGTGACTGCAGAAGACTGGCCATTAACTAGGTGGGAAAGAGCTTGCTCTTCTGAAAGGTAAACCCTCTAGGCAGTCATTCTACCTACCCTTCTATGTATTCTTGAAATGACTGCACTTTCTATGTGCATACTTTAGTTTAATGAGACAGATAGGGTGATCGTCTTGTTCTGGTTTGCCAGAGACTTTCTTGCATTTAAACCTGAAAATCCCATGAACCCTCTTAGTCCCCAGCAGACAGGATAGCCTGTCACCTTAGAGACAGCTGTGGTGAAAGCTGTAGTTTGAAGTTAGACATCTGTACTGACTAGTGGATCACTTTGGGCCAATTGCTTGCCTTTCTAAACTTTCCTTAGGAAAAAAAAAGTAATAATGCTGAATTCACAACTACAAGTTGTGTAGATTCAGCAAGACAGTGCTGGTAAGAATACTCAACATAGTGCCTTGCACACAGTGGATGTGCAATACATTTTTTTCCTTACAAAACTATAGTTTTTGTGCCATCTTGGCTTTTCCATTTTAGTATTTTAAAAGGCAAGCCCTGAAAGCAAGTAAGTGGGAGACTTATCCTCTGTAAAAACCTTTGGTAATTTCTGCTTTAACCTCCCATAGACTATCTTCCTGGCTGAGCAGTGGGATCTGGAAGGGACCTCCAGATTCACTCTTGATTGTGTTCAGAGCTGATGGCTCAACATGTTCCTGGCAGCCTAGGCTAGCCAGAAATGCCTGTGTTTTTTATGTAGAGGTCGGGGGACAGGAGAGAGGAGCCCTGGCCTCTCAATCTTGGTGTCAGATTTGGGTCACTGGGAAGTCAGCATCTGCCCAGAGCTCCTAGCTTTAGAAAGCTGTTTGAGGCCCCAGGGTTTAGTGACCAGCAGGGCTAGGTCCAGGTAACCCAGCATCCAGTAGTGCAGGAGAGAAGATTATGCAGCCTCCGACATGAAGGGAGGGAACATTTCAAAGCACACACTTTACTCACAAAACTCAAATCCAGTGAAAAACATGCTCTTTAAGGAACTCTTTCCTTCCTCTTTTTCTAACAGGCTACACAGAGTAAGTCTCTCTCTCTCTCTCTCTCTCATGAACAAAAGGAAACATCTTTGGAAATGGCAAAACATCTTATTGTTTCTCTCAGATTGGCCTTGGAGCCTTGGGAATCAGCCCTCAGGCTTCTGCCCTCTTAGAACATAGGGATGAGCCTGAACATATGTTGGTTTTGTTCCTTGGGCCAAAAACCTTGGAGTCATCTGTAAGTCTACTCTTCTCTCACGTATCCAGAATATACTTCTCTCTGTTTCCATGGCTACCGCCTGACTGAGCCACCACCATCTTTTGCCTGGGAACTAGATGTAGCCTCTTACCTGGACTTTCCCTTCCTGCCCTTGCCCCTATCATGGTCTATTCTCAACCCAGCAGCCACAGTGGTTTTTATAAACGGAAGTCACATCATGTACCTGCTCTGCTCCAAGTCTTGCAATGAGTCCTCATTTCACTCTGAGTAAAAGCCCATGCCTTTGCAGTGACTGGAGAGGTAATGGTTTTTGCTTAGCCTCCATTTTCTCTCCAGCGTCATTTCTTATTACTCTCCACTGGCTCTTCCAACTCCACCTACATTAGCCACCTTGCTTCTTGAACCACCAGCCATACTTCTGCATTTGAGGCTGGTTCCTATGCCAGCCTCTAATGATCCGGCTGTTGCCCCTTCCTGACTTACTCTTCTGCTCACTTGCTCACCTTCTTTGAGGCTTGGCTCCCATCTCACCTTCTTGATGAGGCCAACTCTAACCACCCTGATGAATATTGCAATGTGTCCTTCCTGCTCCATATACTCCAAGTCCCTGACCTTACTTTGCATTTTTTCCCACAGCTCTGGTCGCCAATGTAGCACATTATTTGGTTACCTATTATGTTCATGTCTTTTATTTAGTCTCAGAGAAGATTACATCTAAAGTTCATTGAAGCACAGGGGAAAGTTGCACAGAAAGACTTGAGTTCAAATTCCATCTCTCCCATTTATTCCCTGTCTGATTTGTATAAGTTACTTAACCATCCAGAGGCTCAGTTTCCTCATCTATGAAATACTAATAATTAATTCATTCAAGGAGTATTCAATAAGCACTACTGCTATGAAAGGCATTGGAGATAGGTGAATATGAAAGGCACAGTCCTTGCTGTTATGCAGCTGTAAAGAGGATGTAATGCAAGAACACATATAACATGCCTGGTAGAAAACAAGGCATATATTTGGTGCTCATTAAATAGTTCCCTTTCTGAAGAACTTGAATATATCTCTGTTAGTTATCTGGCCCCTTTTAGTTTATGCCATTTTCTTGTAATGCTAAAAAGAGCAAACTAGGTTAACACACACATCGCATGCACACATATGTGCTGGCTTGCACGTCATTGAACTGCAGCAGGATTTTTGGGGAAGGCAGCTTTTGGATGGTCTCCAGGAGGGTCCAAGAGCCTCCTAAAATATATGCAAATCATAGTATAACCTATTTTGTTCAAATAGGTAGAGACAAAGTTTGTAACTTTTATCAGATTCTTAAAGGGTGTCCTTGATACATCCATCCAAGGACATCTAAAAGGGCATCCTTGATCCATCCTTGATCCAAACCGTGGGGTTTCCTTTCCCAAACTCCATTATTGGTCTGCTATCTGGGTTTTCCTAAAACAACGATTTGAAGTGGAAACTCTGAAATAATGATTAATTCCAGAGTGGAAGATGGTTTTTGGCTGATATTGGTGCTGAGGCCCCTGCTTCCTGGGTGGTGAGAAGAAAGCCCGCGCATGTCAAGGTCATTGCCTTCTAAGTCCCTGGTACTGCTGGAATTTAGAGGCTTGCTCCCATGTAGATAAAACCACCCCTGAGATGGCTGGGAAGGCAGCATAAGAAATGTCAGCACAGGTGTTAGGAATGCCTCATTAATCTAGGGTGAGTACAGATCACAGAGGGCAGAGCCCTTTAGGCACTCAGCATAATTCTATGCTCTGATTTGGGAAGCCTGTGAAAAGAAGGGAGATAAATGTAGGAGTGTTGTTATTTTACTATTTTTTTATTTATGTTATTAACAGTAAGGCTGCTGGCTCACTTAGCTCCATGCATTATTTTCAGCTGTGTAGTATTTAATCCAAGCTCCCTTGTCTTCATTTCCATGCATTGTATCAGGAAAACATTTTCTTTTGATTTCTTGCATCTGTTGCTAGATGCAAGAAATAAAAACTAGATAAAAGGAATAGGATAAGTTTAAAAGACAAGAAAATGGTACCAAGAAACTATTTTTGTCCTGCCTTAGTGAAGCAGGCAAGTAACATTTTTACTGTGGTCTCTTGACTCCTTGTGGAGAGAAGGAAAAATGCTGTTGAGGCAAAAACAAGAAAATGGATTGTGGTGATAGAGAGTTTCCCAGATATGTGATTTGTAGGTTTCTTATCTGGGGTCCCTGACTCTGCTTCCAATATTCCACACATTGCTCAGCATGCTTGGACATTTTCTTTTTTCAGTGGAAACTCTTGTGAATACAGCATTGCCTCCCTGTAAAAGCTGTGCAGTATGCACTCCCTGAGGTCTCGGGAACCATTATAGCATGGCCGTGCAGACCCTCAAATGAATGATTGAAGCAGTTCCTATCACGAGAACTGCGGGTTCCTTTTTGTTTCAGCATTGCCAGTGTCTGCACTTGTAGCCTTCGACTAGTGGTTTCCTCTCTGCTTTGTCTCCTCATTCTCAAATCTTTAAAGCTGCTTAAAGATAGCTTGACGTGGTTGGTAATTGCAAAATCATAGTACCATTGTCAGAGGGCTTTGAGTCAGAGGGCTGTTTGTTGATCAGACACAGAGCTAGCCTCTCAACTCACACCAAAATACCTACTTCTGAGAGGCCCCAGGGTTCTGTAGGTCAATGACAGGCTTTAGTTCAAATCCACTTCTACTACCTACTATATGACCTTGATTGAGTTACTTAAAGCTTCAATGTGAGGATTTTCTAGGATATCATGCTTGTAAAAAAAATAGTACATACAACATACCAAAAATAAATAGTACTATACTTCTATTACTACTACTGCATGTGTTGGTAGCAGTATTTATGTTTAGGGAAAGAAGAGACTTTGCGATATGCCCTCTGGATACCATCCAGGGTTAAACCTGCCCTTTCAGTATCAGTGATGGCTCTGTCCACACATGGCGTTTGAGAGCTATATTTTGGCAACTGTTCAATTACTCAGATAGCTGAAAAATATGTCAGCCATGGGTCCCAGTGCATTATTGATGTTGGCTGTTTTCTTTCAGGTGCATTGCACAGTCCTTGCCTGCTGAGAGCAAGAAGGGTATTCTCTCTTCTGTCCCTTGGAGGCAAGTTAGAGTGCCACCCCGCTCCAAAATGTTCCTTCCCTTCAAAGGTGAACAGCATGAGTCACATCTGGTCATCCCCGTAGGTTATTTCCTTGCAGCCTCTTCTCCGCACTGCTTCTTTCCTGAACCATTTCACGGGTGGCTCACTGGAGTGAGCCTGTCACTAAAGACAGGCGAGTGGCTCACTGGAGTGAGGTCAGAACCGCTTGTGCATAGAGGGATTTTCCTCTGCTTTGCAAACACCCAGCGACATCACACAGCCTTGCGAGCGCCATCAATTGCAATTGTTGCCAGCAAAGCGTCGTCTGATGGGATATTGATTTGGCACCGTGCTTAGCAGCAGCTCGGCCAAATGGGGCCTCCTCACCACTGCAGGGCTCCGGCCGCCTTGGCGGACTAGGCAGATTAGAAAGGCCCGGCCCCAAATACTTGCGGTTGCCAAGCGAGGTGGGCTCAGCCAGCAGATCTGTATTTCAGGCAGCACAAAAGGATTCGGTGTGAGGCTGTTACCAAGGTGCCCAGAATCATGCCTTCAAGTGTACTTTTGAAGAGCAAACTCTGATAAACTCTTAAATTTAAACACCTGCTTAACTGGTATTAAAAAAAAGTCCAATCACTACATTTTCGGAAGTCTTTTTGCCTTGAAATGTTCTGCAGCTTTTTTTAGGAGCTTTTTTTCTTCCTTTTTTTCTTCATGTTTTAAGTGATTTATGATGATGCATTTATTAGTAGTGGTTTCCAGTGCGAGACAGTAATGGTGGAAGGTAGGCTATCATTGAAATGCTATTCAAATTTATAATAAAATTGAATGATGTAAGTTTTCCTGCCAATATTTTGACATAAACACATTTTCTTTTTTTTATTTTTTATTTTTTTATTTTATTATTATTATACTTTAAGTTTTAGGGTACATGTGCACAATGTGCAGGTTTGTTACATATGTATACATGTGCCATGCTGGTGTGCTGCACCCATTAACTCGTCATTTAGCATTAGGTATATCTCCTAATGCTATCCCTCCCCCCTCCCACCACCCCACAACAGTCCCTAGAGTGTGATGTTCCCCTTCCTGTGTCCATGTGTTTTCATTGTTCAATTCCCACCTATGAGTGAGAACATGTGGTGTTTGGTTTTCTGTCCTTGTGATAGTTTACTGAGAATGATGATTTCCAATTTCATCCATGTCCCTACAAAGGACATGAACTCATCCTTTTTTATGGCTGCATAGTATTCCATGGTGTATATGTGCCACATTTTCTTAATCCAGTCTACCATGGTTGGACATTTGGGTTGGTTCCAAGTCTTTGCTATTGTGAATAGTGCTGCAATAAACATACGTGTGCATGTGTCTTTATAGCAGCATGATTTATAGTCCTTTGGGTATATACCCAGTAATGGGATGGCTGGGTCAAATGGTATTTCTAGTTCTAGACCCCTGAGGAATCGCCACACTGACTTCCACAATGGTTGGACTAGTTTACAGTCCCACCAACAGTGTAAAAGTGTTCCTATTTCTCCACATCCTCTCCAGCAACTGTTGTTTCCTGACTTTTTAATGATTGCCATTCTAACTGGTGTGAGATGGTATCTCATTGTGGTTTTGATTTGCATTTCTCTGATGGCCAGTGATGATGAACATTTTTTCATGTGTCTTTTGGCTGCATAAATGTCTTCTTTTGAGAAGTCTCTATTCATATCCTTCGCCCACTTTTTGATGGGGTTGTTTTTTTCTTGTAAATTTGTTTGAGTTCTTTGTAGATTCTGGATATTAGCCCTTTGTCACATGAGTAGGTTGGGAAAATTTTCTCCCATTTTGTAGGTTGCCTGTTCACTCTGATGGTAGTTTCTTTTGCTGTGCAGAAGCTCTTTAGTTTAATTAGATCCCATTTGTCAAGTTTGGCTTTTGTTGCCATTGCTTTTGGTGTTTTAGACATGAAGTCCTTGCCCATGCCTATGTCCTGAATGGTAATGGCTAGGTTTTCTTCTAGGGTTTTTATGGTTTTAGGTCTAACATGTAAGTCTTTAATCCGTCTTGAATTAATTTTTGTATAAGGTGCAAGGAAGGGATCCAGTTTCAGTTTCTACATATGGCTAGCCAGTTTTCCCAGCACCATTTATTAAATCGGGAATCCTTTCCGCATTGCTTGTTTTTCTCAGGTTTGTCAAAGATCAGATAGTTGTAGATATGCGGTGTTATTTCTTAGTGCTCTGTTCTGTTCCATTGATCTATATCTCTGTTTTGGTACCAGTACCATGCTGTTTTGGTTACTGTAGCCTTGTAGTATAGTTTGAAGTCAGGTAGCGTGATGCCTCCAGCTTTGTTCTTTTGGCTTAGGATTGACTTGGCGATGCAGGCTCTTTTTTGGTTCCATATGAAGTTTAAAGTAGTTTTTTCCAATTCTGTGAAGAAAGTCATTGGTAGCTTGATGAGGATGGCATTGAATCTATAAATTACCTTGGGCAGTATGGCCATTTTCACGATATTTATTCTTCCTACCCATGAACATGGAATGTTCTTCCATTTGTTTGTATCCTCTTTTATTTCATTGAGCAGTGGTTTGTAGTTCTCCTTGAAGAGGTCCTTCATGTCCCTGGTAAGTTGGATTCCTAGGTATTTTATTCTCTTTGAAGCAATTGTGAATGGGAGTTCACTCATGATTTGGCTCTCTGTTTGTCTGTTATTGGTGTATAAGAATGCTTGTGATTTTTGTACATTGATTTTATATCCTGAGACTTTGCTGAAGTTGCTTATCAGCTTAAGGAGATTTTGGGCTGAAACAGTGGGGTTTTCTAGATATACAATCATGTCATCTGCAAACAGGGACAATTTGACTTCCTCTTTTCCTAATTGAATACCCTTTATTTCCTTCTCCTGCCTGATTGCCCTGGCCAGAACTTCCAGCACTATGTTGAATAGGAGTGGTGAGAGAGGGCATCCCTGTCTTGTGTCAGTTTTCAAAGGGAATGCTTCCAGTTTTTGCCCATTCAGTATGATATTGGCTGTGGGTTTGTCATAGATAGCTCTGATTATTTTGAGATACGTCCCATCAATACCTAATTTATTGAGAGTTTTTAGCATGAAATGTTGTTGAATTTTGTCAAAGGCCTTTTCTGCATCTATTGAGATAATAATGTGGTTTTTGTCTTTGGTTCTGTTTATATGCTGGATTACATTTATTGATTTGTGTATATTGAACCAGCCTTGCATCCCAGGGATGAAGCCCACTTGATCATGGTGGATAAGCTTTTTGATGTGCTGCTGGATTCGGTTTGCCAGTATTTTATTGAGGATTTTTGCATCAATGTTCATCAAGGATATTGGTCTAAAATTCTGTTTTTTGGTTGTGTCTCTGACTGGCTTTGGTATCAGGATGATGCTGGCCTCAGAAAATGAGTTAGGGAGGATTCCCTCTTTTTCTATTGATTGGAATAGTTTCAGAAGGAATGGTACCAGTTCCTCCTTGTACCTCTGGTAGAATTTGGCTGTGAATCCATCTGGTCCTGGACTCTTTTTGGTTGGTAAGCTATTGATTATTGCCACAATTTCAGAGCCTGTTATTGGTCTATTCAGAGATTCAAATTCTTCTTTGTTTAGTCTTGGGAGGGTGTATGTGTCGAGGAATTTATCCATTTCTTCTAGATTTTCTAGTTTATTTGCGTAGAGTTGTTTGTAGTATTCTCTGATGGTAGTTTGTATTTCTGTGGGATCCGTGGTGATATCTCCTTTATCATTTTTTATTGCGTCTATTTGATTCTTCTCTCTTTTTTTCTTTATTAGTCTTGCTAGCGGTCTATCAATTTTGTTGATCCTTTCAAAAAACCAGCTCCTGGATTCATTAATTTTTTGAAGGGTTTTTTGTGTCTCTATTTCCTTCAGTTCTGCTCTGATTTTAGTTGTTTCTTGCCTTCTGCTAGCTTTTGAATGTGTTTGCTCTTGCTTTTCTAGTTCTTTTAATTGTGATATTAGGGTGTCAATTTTGGATCTTTCCTGCTTTCTCTTGTGGGCTTTTAGTGCTATAAATTTCCCTCTACACACTGCTTTGAATGCGTCCCAGAGATTCTGGTATGTTGTGTCTTTGTTCTCATTGGTTTCAAAGAACATCTTTATTTCTGCCTTCATTTCATTGTGTACCCAGTAGTCATTCAGGAGCAGGTTGTTCAGTTTCCATGTAGTTGAGTGGTTTTGAGTGAGTTTCTTAATCCTGAGTTCTAGTTTGATTGTACTGTGGTCTGAGAGACAGTTTGTTATAATTTCTGTTCTTTTACATTTGCTGAGGAGAGCTTTACTTCCAACTATGTGTGCAATTTTGGAATAGGTGTGGTGTGGTGCTGAAAAAAATGTATATTCTGTTGATTTGGGGTGGAGAGTTCTGTAGATGTCTATTAGGTCTGCTTGGTGCAGAGCTGAGTTCAATTCCTGGGTATGCTTGTTACCTTTCTGTCTCGTTGATCTGTCTAATGTTGACAGTGGGGTGTTAAAGTCTCCCATTATTATTGTGTGGGAGTCTAAGTCTCTTTGTAGGTCACTCAGGACTTGCTTTATGAATCTGGGTGCTCCTGTATTGGGTGCATATATATTTAGGATAGTTAGCTCTTCTTGTTGAATTGATCCCTTTACCATTATCTAATGGCCTTCTTTGTCTCCTTTGATCTTTGTTGGTTTAAAGTCTGTTTTATCAGAGACTAGGATTGCAACCCCTGCCTTTTTTTGTTTTCCATTTGCTTGGTAGATCTTCCTCCATCCTTTTATCTTGAGCCTATGTGTGTCTCTGCACGTGAGATGGGTTTCCTGAATACAGCACACTGATGGGTCATGACTCTTTATCCAATTTGCCAGTCTGTGTCTTTTAATTGGAGCATTTAGTCCATTTACATTTAAAGTTAATATTGTTATGTGTGAATTTGATCCTGTCATTATGATGTTAGCTGGTTATTTTGCTCGTTAGTTGATGTAGTTTCTTCCTAGTCTCGATGGTCTTTACATTTTGGCATGATTTTGCAGCAGCTGGTACCGGTTTTTCCTTTCCATGTTTAGTGCTTCCTTTAGGAGCTCTTTTAGGGCAGGCCTGGTGGTGACCAAATCTCTCAGCATTTGCTTGTCTGTAAAGTATTTTATTTCTCCTTCACTTATGAAGCTTAGTTTGGCTGGATATGAAATTCTGGGTTGAAAATTATTTTCTTTAAGAATGTTGAATATTGGACCCCACTCTCTTCTGGCTTGTAGAGATTCTGCAGAGAGATCTGCTGTTAGTCTGATGGGCTTCCCTTTGTGGGTAATCCGACCTTTCTCTCTGGCTGCCCTTAACATTTTTTGCTTCATTTCAACTTTGGTGAATCTGACAATTATGTGTCTTGGAGTTGCTCTTCTTGAGGAGTATCTTTGTGGCATTCTCTGTATTTCCTGAATCTGAGTGTTGGCCTGCCTTGCTAGACTGGGGAAGTTCTCCTGGATAATATCCTGCAGAGTGTTTTCCAACTTGGTTCCATTCTCCCTGTCACTTTCAGGTACACCAATCAGACGTAGGTTTGATCTTTTCACATAGTCCCATATTTCTTGGAGGCTTTGTTCATTTCTTTTTATTCTTTTTTCTGTAAACTTCCCTTCTCACTTCATTTCATTCATTTCATCTTCCATCACTGATACCCTTTCTTCCAGTTGATCGCATTGGCTCCTGAGGCTTCTGCATTCTTCACGTAGTTCTCAAGCCTTGGCTTTCAGCTTCATCCTCCTTTAAGCACTTCTCTGTATTGGTTATTCTAGTTATACATTCGTCTAAATTTTTTTCAAAGTTTTTAACTTCTTTGCCTTTGGTTTGAATTTCCTCCTGTAGCTCAGAGTAGTTTGATCGTCTGAAGCCTTCTTCTCTCAACTCGTCAAAGTCATTCTCCGTCCAGCTTTGTTCCATTGCTGGTGAGGAACTGCGTTCCTTTGGAGGAGGAGAGGTGCTCTGCTTTTTAGAGTTTCCAGTTTTTCTGCTCTGTTTTTTCCCCATCTTTGTGGTTTTATCTACTTTTGGTCTTTGATGATGGTGATGTACAGATGGGTTTTTGGTGTGGATGTCCTTTCTGTTTGTTAGTTTTCCTTCTAATAGACAGGACCCTCAGCTGCAGGTCTGCTGGAGTTTGCTAGAGGTCCACTTCAGACGCTGTTTGCCTGGGTATCAGTAGCGGTGGCTGCAGAACAGTGGATTTTGGTGAACCGCGAATGCTGCTGTCCGATGGTTCCTCTGGAAGTTTTGTCTCAGAGGAGTACCCAGCCGTGTGAGGTGTCAGTCTGCCCCTACTGGGGGGTGCCTCCCAGTTAGGCTGCTCAGGGGTCAGGGGTCAGGGACCCACTTGAGGAGGCAGTCTGCCCGTTCTCAGATCTCCAGCTGCATGCTGCTCTCTTCAAAGCTGTCAGACAGGGACATTTAAGTCTGCAGAGTTTACTGCTGTCTTTTTGTTTGTCTGTGCCCTGTCCCCAGAGGTGGAGCCTACAGAGGCAGGCAGGCCTCCTTGAGCTGTGGTGGGCTCCACCCAGTTCGAGCTTCCCGGCTGCTTTGTTTACCTAAGCAAGCCTGGGCAATGGCGGGCGCCCCTCCCCCAGCCTCGCTGCCACCTTGCAGTTTGATCTCAGACTGCTGTGCTAGCAATCAGCGAGACTCCGTGGGCGTAGGACCCTCAGAGCCATGTGCGGGATATAATCTCCTGGTGCACCGTTTTTTAAGCCCGTCGGAAAAGCGCATTATTAGGGTGGGAGTGACCCGATTTTCCAGGTGCCGTCTGTCACCCCTTTCTTTGACTAGGAAAGGGAACTCCCTGACCCCTTGCACTTCTGGAGTGAGGCAATGCCTCGCCCTGCTTTGGCTCGCGCATGGTGCGCTGCACCCACTGTCCTGCACCCACTATCTGGCACTCCCTAGTGAGATGAACCTGGTACCTCAGATGGAAATGCAGAAATCACCCATCTTCTGCGTCGCTCACTCTGGGAGCTGTAGACCGGAGCTGTTCCTATTTGGCTGTCTTCTGAATTTTTCTCCACATTTTCATTTTGATATGAATGTTGCTTCTAAAAGCCATGGTTATTAAATAAATCTCCTGAGGTTACCAGCAGTCAATGACCAGCCCTCTATCAATAAATCCTTAACCAAGTTAGATTTCACTATGGAAGGCAGAGGGGTTTGAAAAGGTCATGCATTAAAATTTCCTCTCTTAACCAACTAATTCCACCTCATTGTTTGAGATGATGAATCTGGCAATAAATGAAGAGAAAAAGTGGTCAAAAGTCCCAGGTAATAGCAGCATCCTTAGGAATTGCTGAGCATTGATCTGGCAGAGTGATTAGATTCTGATAGGTTGAATTCTGTGTAGAATAGGAGTATAGGAAATATCCAGTTATCAGTAGGAAACTCCATGGCAAATAAGTCTGATTTCAGGGCAGGATGCAGTGGGTACTTCTGCTATGTTATATGAATGGGTGAGAATGGGACTGATTTTCACAAATGCTCTTTATGCCTAGGTAGGGGAGGGAAAGTATTAAATGAAATATTTCTTAAAAAGAGACTCATTGATTCAGAAGTCTCTGTTGGCTCTGCCCATAGTGAAGGCAGAATGGTTTCTAACATGGTCTTAATTGACTTGATGGGAGCTGTTTTCAAGGACTCAGCACTCTTTCCTTTCAATGCTTTCATTAAAATTCCCAAGTGCTTCCTAAATCCCATTGAGGAGAACAATTTTCATTTCTTCATTTACATTTAGCTAAGGCAGCAGGGAAGCCACATAGCTCTACGTGTGAGAGTCCACCTGTTTCCATGGCGGTACTGGCAGCACATAAGCAGTTTGAGAGTCTTTTGCTAAGATTGGCTTTCCATGTTAATTACTTTTAAATTGTGTCCCTAAGTTTCTATGCCTCTCCATAAATCAAGTCCCACTCCCTGCTCATAGAAGCCAGTTTATATCTCAGGAGTAGAAATATATGCACATGTCAACTTCTGATGGGTCTGTCAGTCTAAGAGTGAAGGATTATGGGCCGAGTCACAGTGCCTTCAGGGTCTTTTTTATTAGCAAGAATCTGTTAAAAGCATGTGGGTGGAAGGCATTCATAGATATGTTATTCTTTTATATTCTTTTATTCTCCTGAGTATTAAAATCCTTTCACTTCTGAGAATCACAGGGACCAGCATGGACCATTTAGATGTCCCCAAGGACAATTTTGAAAACACTGTCAGGAGTAGTTAATATCCCTCATTCCCCTTGTGTGCTGAGTCACATGAAAAGTAACATTTCACTTATCTGGAGGGTGCAAGGAACAGTAATTCTCCGCCAGATAGCTGAAAGGTGCAGCTAATCAGATAATTGAAAATTAACCCTTTATGCACTGAAAGGTAACTCTGGTCAGTGCTTTTTGCGTTTCCCTGAGTAGCTCCACATCTTCAGGTCTAGTAGAACACTCAAGTTTGTGTCCATGTCTGAGGTTTGCTCTTTGAGTATAATGTATGTGCTAGGAATCACTAACTTTGTGCCATAAATGAAATAAATTTCACAGTACTTGTCTGAGAAGCCCAATTGGTCATTGGTCAATTGGTATGTTAGGCATAGGGGGTTGGAGGGAAGGTCAGGGGGACAGGGGACAGTGGTGAACAAGACTTTTGGGATCTCTGCCCTCTAGAAGACTACAGTTGAATGGGTCCCTAAATCTGTACCCAATATTTTTCTGTTGTCCCCACCCGCCTGCCTCCTGACCTCATCACAGGCCACTCTCCCCTTGCCACATTGCTCCTGCCACAACTTAGCTCCTTATAAGCCCTTCAACTCCTCAAGCTTCTCCCTGCTTAATAATCTTTGCACATGTTGTTCCCTCTTGTCAGAAATATTTTCCTCCTACTCTTGCCTGTTAACTGGCTGTCTCCTTTTCCTTCAGGTCTTAGATCAAATGTCACCTGCTTGTGGAGGCCATCCGTGACCACTTGGGTGTATTAAAGATGGCTGCAAGTATCTGTATCACTCCCTCCCCACACCCTGCATCAAGAGGTGGGGTTTATTTCTTCTGTTGAATCAGGGCTAGCTCTGTGATTGCTTTAACCAACCCAGTGTAGCAGAAGTGATGTTGTGCCGGTCCTAGGCTTAGCCCGTAAGAGGACTGGCCGCTCCTGCCTCCCCACTCTTGGCACACTTGCACTTGCAATCTAGCTGCCATGTACAGGAGCCTAATTTAGCTACATGCTGAGACCACGAGGAGAAACCGTGTGGAGAAAGAGAGAGGTCTCAGCCTTCCAGCTGTCCCTGCCAAAGCACCAGACATGTGAGTGAAACCATATTGGATATTCTAGCCCGGGTTGCCATCTGGCTACAGCTGCATGGCAGACCCCAAACAAGACCAACAGAAGAACTACCTGGCCAACCCACAGGATCATGAGAGAGAAAAATTGGTTGTTTTAAAAAGCCACTGAATTTTGAGGATAGTTTGTTACACAGCAATATAGCTGAAATGCCACCCTATTTATAAATAAATCATATTCCTTTTGTTCTCTGCACTGCACCCTGTTTTTCTTTTCAGCACCCTTTACCTTTACAGTGATGCATCTGTTGTTTTATAATCTGTTTAGTATCTGTTTTCCCAATTAGATTAAAGATCCATGGTGCAAAACTGGAGTATTTTAATTGACCATTGTATACCTAGTATCACAGAGTGTGCAGCACATAGTAGGCACTCAGCCAATGTTTGTTGAACGAATGAATGAATTTAAAAGGTTCCAGCATTTATTTGTTTTGTGAGATCATTTCCCTCCAGATACAGAGAAAAGAATCTGTAAATCTTCACCTTTGGTGGCCTTTCAAAAACAACCTTCGAAAATCCTGTTTTTAAATCCTTCTTTGCAAATCAAACTTCCACTTTGCATCTCCTACACACCTGCTCAACAGATTTTAATGCTTCCCTATTGGCAAGAGTATAAAGCCTTAGCATTTTCTTTTTTTTTTTTTTGAGAGAGTGAGTCTTGCTCTGTTGCCAAGGCTGGAGTGTAATCCTGTGATCATGGCTCATTGCAGCCTTGACCCCTGGGCTCAAGCAATCCTCCCAGCTTAGCCTCCCTAGTAGCCAGGGCCACAGGTGTGCACCACCACACCTGGCTAATTTTTAAAAATTTTTTGTAGAGACAGGGTCTTCCCATGTTGCCCAGGCTGATCTCCAACTCCTAGCCTCATGAGATCCTCCTGCCTCGGCCTCCCAAAGTGCCGGGATTATAGGTGTGAGCTACCATGCCTGGCCAAGCCTAAACTTTAATACGGTAGTCCAGGCCCCTTCAGTCTGCATGTATAGCCGTTGCCCAGTGTCCCTTTCTTGACCCTCTTACACCCATCACATCAGGTTCTCTGTTATTATCTAGGCTGCTGTGGACCTTTCCACTTTCCTGGAGCCTTTCTTCTCTACTTCTACCAATTCCCCAAGAGACCTCCTTTCTTCAAGAAGCATTTACCAACAGCCTATGCTTTTTAGTGGGCATCTTTTCTTAACTGAGCAAACCATTGAACCAGTCCTCCGTTGGAAGTGGGAGCCATTCTTGATCCCACAGAAAGTTTAGAGACAGTGGAGCACTGGGCTGGGAGTTCAGGGACATCACTTCTGGTCCAAGCTCTGCTGCCAACTTGTGTGGTGACTGCATGTGATTGAGCTGCTCGTTCCTTATCTGAAGAATTAGGAGCTTGGATAAAGATCCCTTTCAGCTCTGAGGTTTTTCCATATTCAAATTTGCTTTACAGTGATAGGAAGAACAACCCGCTGATTTATGTACCTTTGGGTCAGAATTTGGCTGACTTGTAGCATCAGCAGTTTTACGTGAACAAAAATTTCAATTTCATTAGTACAGCCAAGTTAATTATACTGGGTTGGCAGTGTATTCTGAGAGGCAGAATGTCCACGGAGCCAGAAGTCAGGAGGCCTGCACTGTCTTGCTGCCCTGCCACTAGCTGGAGGAGAGCAGACCAGCCGGAGGGAAGCTGGCAGACTTCTTGGACCTTCACCACCTCATTTCTAAACTGGAGGTAATAATAATAATAAAGTATGCCTGTAATCCCAGCATTTTGGGAGGCCGAGGCAGGTGGATCCTGAAGTCAGGAGTTAAAGACCAGCCTGGCCAAGATGGTGAAACCCCGTCTCTACTAAAAATACAAAAATTAGCCGGGTGTGGTGGTGGGTGCCTGTAATCCCAGCTACTCAGGAGGCTGAGGCAGAGAATTGCTTGAACCTGGGAGGGAGAGGTTGCAGTGAGCCGAGATCACACCACTGCACTCCAGCCTGGGCAACAAGAGCGAAACTCTGTCTCAAAAAAAATAAATAAATAAAATAAATTAAAAAAGTAAATAAAGTGTTTTCATTCACTTCAGGTTTGTTCTGAGGGATTAATGTATGTAATATAGCAATGATTTGATAGGTCATTATCAAAATGTAACTGAAAGAAAATTATCGGTATATCTATTTATCAAGATAATACAGGCTTTTTCTATTTACCTTGGGTGCTCTGCCCACCCCTAGATCCCTTTATAGTGTTCCAGTTTCTGTCCCTTTGTGTCCTGCCAGATGGATGAGATGGAAGAAGCACTACTATTTTATGAGAACCTCCAATGTACAAGGCACTGGCCATACGTGATTTTTTGTTTGTTTGTTTGTTTTTTAAGATAGAATCTTGTTTTGCTGCCCAGGCTGGAGTGCAGTGGCATAATCTCGGCTCACTGCAACTTCTGCCTTCCAGGTTCAAGTGATTCTCCTGCCTCAGCTTCCTGAGTAGCTGGGACTACAGGAATGTGCCACCACGCCTGGCTACTTTTTGTGTTTTTAGTAGAGATTGGGTTACACCACCATGGTAGCCAGGCTTGCCTTGAACTCTTGACCTCAGGCAATCTGCCTGCCTCGGCCTCCAAAAGTACTGGGATTACAGGCGTGAGCCACTGTGCCCGGCCCTGTTTTTTTTTTTTTTCTCCTTACAACATTCCTATAAGGAATAATTGTATTATTAGTTGGCATTCTTTTAGTTGTCAGTAACATAACTCTGACTCAAACTAGTTTAAGTTAAAAAAAATTGGTGGGGTACATTTATTTTGTTCATATAACCTAAAAGTCAATGGGCATTCTGGCTTCAGGCATAGCAGGATCAGGGGGCTCAATGGACCCTTTCACATTGTTTTTCTTTGTCTCTCTAGTTCTTCTCTCAGCTTTTTCTGTGTTGATGTCATTTTTTTTTCTTTTTTCTTTTTTTCTTTTTTTTTTTTTTTGAGATGGAGTCTCACTCTGTCGCCCAGGCTGGAGTGCAGTGGTGTGATCTCAGCTCACTGCAACCTCCGCCTCCCAGGTTCAAGCAATTCTTGTGCCTTAGCCTTCTGAGCAGCTGGGATTACAGGCGTGTGCCACCATGCCCAGCTAATTTTTATATTTTTTTCGTAGAGATGGGGTTTTGCCATCTTGGCCAGGCTGGTCTTGAACTCCTGACCTCAGGTGATCCGGCCACGTCGGCCTCTCAGAGTGCTGGGATTACAGGCATGAGCCACTGCACCCAGCCCTGATGTCATTTTTCTGGTATATTCTCTCCACATGGTGAAAAGATAACCCCATGGCTAAGATAACTTCAAGCCATATGGCTTGTTTCTCAAAGAAAAGAGAAATAGACCATCTCTTTCCTAGGGGCCACATCAAATCTCCCATAAGGACCAGATCTGTTTCAGTCACATATCACCCCCTGGACCAATCACTCTATCCATAGGTATGGGGTCCATGGTTCTGGTTGGACAATCTAGGTTATGTCTATTATAGTCAAATCTGGCCTGCGGGGGCAGACTCAGGTTTTCCTGCAGCTTTTTTGGGTCCGTGAAAAGCTTGGTTAGCCCAGGCCAGACTAACCATGCCTCTGTTGATGGAACATTAGGGTATGTGAGCATTGGAAAGGGATCCAGAGGTCCCTGAGCCCAACCCAACCATGGCCAAACAAGAGAAGGGTCTTATCCTAGGTGGCGTGGTGAGGCAGTACCACTCCAAGTCCTTTCCTTTGCCTGTGCCACCTCTATCGGAAGGATTATGTAAGCTTCTCTTGTGGGAGCAACTGAAGGATCCTGGCAGAGAGAGGCGCAGAAACTGTGGGTCACATGCAGACTACATCGGGCTGCCCCTGAGCTGCCCTATCTCTTCTATCTCTTTGTCTTCTCACTTCTCTGGGCCACTACTTGGTAATGTAGTTGAGATTCTGGCTATTCAGAGCCCCATTTCAGAGGGGGGCTAGAGTGGGGGTACCTCTGGGCTTAGCCAGTCCTCTGCCTTTTCTTTCACCTCTTTTTTCTAGGGAAGGTGGTTCCTGAGACAGAGTCTGCCCCAAATTATAAAATCAAACAGAAAAAGACGTCAGAGGGAGAAGCAGGGTAACAGTGTCGCCAAAGAGGCCCCTTTCCCCACAAAGGAAGCCAGTGAGAGAGAACAGCCTCTGTTGACAGAACATTGTGGGGGCCGCCTCACATCTGGTGTGGGCGGGGAGGAGGGGCTGCTGTGCCTGGTGGTGCTACTTCTGATGTCCTAAATGTGTCTCCAGAATTTCCCCCTCAACAGACTCTCTTCATGATGCCACTGCCAAGTCGTGAAAAATGGATCAAGGGCATAGGCTGGCTTCATGGAGGTCAAAGCAAGTAGTCATCATCTCATAGCTGAAAGAAAAAAAGCTTTGCTCTTTCTGATTTGCCTATTTTCCTTTTTCTACTCTTCCTTGTTTGTAAGCGGAGGAGCTTGTTTGCAGTTGGTCACTGGATTTCTCTTCTGCAGCCCTGGTTATCATTTGCACCATAGTTGTTGCATGCTCCTGTGGCAGCTTCCTGGAGAGCTGACCTCTGTGCACAATGCCCTTGGCATATTCAGGGCAGCAGGTACCCTCCACATGTGGCCATGCCTCTCACTGTTTAGATGTGCCCATGGCTCCCTGACATCTATAGGAGAGAGCCCAAGCTTCTTCCATGACAACAAGAGAATGGCTGATCATTCCAGCATTTTCTCTTTCTGTTCCGTGTCACATTCACAGACACACCACACAAAACGTTTGTGGATTGCAGGACACCCTACCCGTTACCATGTTTCTGTGCCTCTTTTCATGCAGTGCCCTCTCTCTGGAATCACCTGCCTCCACCCACCTTTCATGCAAACAATTTCTACTCCACCTACTTTCAAGATCCAGTTCAAATGTCACCTTCACTATGAAGCCTTCCTAATTTCCCCACAGCATGAATGATCCCCTCATCCATGCTCCTGCTCCTTTCCGTACCTTCTCTATTATATACCTCTTTACTAGAGTTTTTGCGTGTCTGCAGGGAGGTGGTATAGCAAAGGCAAGAGAACATGAGCTTTGCCTTTTGGTCTGGGTTTGGAACCTGCTGTGCCATGTATTAGCTGTATGTCTTTGCAGAAGTTATCTGACCATTGGGAGCCCTTTCTGTCTTTACTTGTAAATGAGCATAATTAAACTATGCTAAAGTATTTTGTTGGGGATGAAATGGATCAACCTGTGATGTGCCTGCCATGGTGCTTGGCAAATGATAGTTCTCAAAAACTGGTAGGGTGGTAGATGTGGTTATTGTGATTATAAATGAACCATGAAATCTTAGCAATGAAAGAGACCAGGGGGGTCATTCTCATGCCTTCAAAGCCTGATTCCTATTTTTTTTTATCAGATTAACATCTAGCTTCCCCTTGAACTCTGGGACAGGTAGCTCACTTTCTTCCTAATCTTTTGTGATACTTAATTCTGACAGTGCAGAGGTTGGCTAGTCCATAGACTTAGTTACTCTGTGTGAATTTGCAGGAGTACTTTAAATTGTTGGTTATATGTATGTATGCATGCATACATGAATGTATATGTGCCTGTGCATATATATATATGTATGTATGTATGCATGTCTATATGCATTTAGTGATGTTTGACCATGTAATGTTTCCTAAACAGTTTTACTGAAAAATCTGGGTTAGGAAGAAACAAAGGAAATTAAACTGTAAAGCAAAGTTGTGAGTGGCTTTGTGTTTTCTTAGACCTTTTGTTTCCAGGTCTATTTGCATCTGTTTCTTTTTGCTTGCCTCTGAGCAGAATGCTAGTAGAAATTGTGGCTTGTGGTGTTGCTGCAACTATCAAGCATACTTTGGCTGTGATAGATGAAGAGAGAACACAATCTGAGTGACGTAGTAACATGGTGCATCTAAAAATAGTAGTATTTTGTTGGCAGAGAGAAGACAAAGTTGTTTTCTAATGTGGTTTAGGAGCAAGGAATCCTTAGTTGTTTTGTGGTATTTTGGCCTCAGTTTTCTCATCTGTAAAGTGGGAGCATTGGGCACTAAGAGCTGGGGTAAAGAGGAGGCAGAGGTGGACTCTGTACTTGAGAACTAACTACTTCCCTTCCCCATTCAACTGGAGCCACTCTATCTTTATTTTTTAAAGCTGAGTTATGCATTTGAGTTCCTTATATTATTTAAAATAAAATATTCTGTTGCTTCAAAAATTTGAAAACCTCCAAACTGTGTTGTCTTTTGGGCTCCTTCCTGCTCTAAAGACTATTATGGCTGTAGATAAAGCAAAGTTATATTTTTCCTGACTTTCTAATACACATTAATTTTGTAAGAAATTTTCTCAAATGAAACAAAATCTAGCTTCAAAAACTTAAAAAAAATGTTTTTGCTCTTTTCTCTCTGATTTGCTTAATTGCAGCAAAAGTCGATTTCTTTCCTTTTTCTTCCAAAATTTGCTTTTCTCTGACAATCAAAATTCCACTAAGAGTAGGAAAAAGTCATAGATGTGGTATGGAGTGAAAGGTAAGTATCATGCTTAATATTCCTTTGTATATTTTCATCCTAGGCCAGTACTTAGAGAAACTATGACATAGTTAAAATGTGAATTCAGCATTATTCGTCTCTCTTTTCAGCAATTTCTTTTTCCAAGTCTCTCCAGATGACCTCAATGAATCATAAAGCTGAAAACAACATAAAAATATTTTTGCCTAAATGTATCACTTTATAGATGTGGAAAATGGGACTCTGTGAGGGGGATGTATTTGTATAGGATAAGGTAATCAGCCATAACTCAAACTCTGGTCTTTTCTAGTTCAGTTTTCTCTCTAGTTGGTCTAGGAAGCCTCCTGGTGCTTCAGTTTTCTTACTGTAAAATGGGGATGATAATAATAGTATCTACCTCATAGAATAGTCTCGAGTATTACATGAGAGTAGAACACTTAGAACAATGCTTGGGCTATGGAAAGTTTCTGACACTTGTTTGCTGTTATTATCATTATTGTACTTCCACATGGTGCCAGCAGGCTGCCCAAGGTGCACACACTAATGGAAATACCCCATTTGGGGACCATGCTGCTGTCTTCCATTCTCAAAACACGTCACTATAAAAATTTCCTCTTGTGACATTCTATTTCCCCAGGGCACTGTTTCTCTGCTGGGTGACACTGGAAGGGTAATTGGTTTTATTCAGATAGATGAACTCCATGTTAAAATATTGCTTAATGTTACCATTGCCTAGTAATAATACCTTAACTCAGTGAAAATATATGCGCCTCCATAAACCTTAAAAGGCTGCCTTTAATGGGGCGACTTCAGATTTACCTGGCAGGTGAGTAGGTAAGTCGTTTTTCATCAAACAGGTCTTTTGTCTTACCTTGAGTTACTACCTTCTCTGCTAGAATGCATGGGGCCAGCCAAGCATCCTCATCACTCTCACCTCTAAGTTCTGGAAAATGAATGCCAATTATGAAGTGGGTGAGCATTTATGATTTAGAGACCATTTTATTCCTTTGTTAAGGTCAGGTGAATGGAACTTTACTTGAGCAGTGAAGAGAAACTAGTCCTCACTTCTAAGTTTATCATGCTTTTGGGAAGCAGGTAATCATCTAATAGATAGGAAAATAATTCTGAGAGTGTGATGGAAAGAAGTATTACCTGTCATTGAGGAAAAATACTGTATAGGGCATGCCCCACCCTGAATCTCAGGAACCCTGAGAGCCAGGTTTGAAATAGCCCCTGGTGGTGGCTTCACCTAGAAGGAAGTTTGACGGACCCTTCTGTGATGTCGCTTGCAATCATCTTGGGCATGGATTCCCCCAGTCTTTGGTTCCTCTCTTCATCTGTCCTCCCTCCCTGACTCCCAACTTCATACCTGGTCCCGTTCTTCCAGAGCATTCTACCTTATTGACATTGTTCATGAACTAGGGGAACCCTGACAGTGAGTTGCAGCTTTGTGGAGCTGAAACTTTGTCACCATCCACAGCCGCCCAGCCAGCACCCAGGAGGGACCCTCTTGAGTAGCGTGTGATATTGATCTGAAGAAACTTACCTCCTCACTATTGGTATATTTTCTCCTTTTCTTCCGCACAAGAGAGAGAGATGGGGGTGGGGGGGTGAAAGGGAGGGAGGGAGGGAATGAGGGAGGAGAGAGAGCGCGAGCGAGAGAGCCCCTTTAGCAAGAAAACATCAAGAGTTTTTGAGTGTGGTGTGTGGTTCCCTTCGTCCCCATCAGTCGCTTCAATATTTCAAAATGGATCCGGTTCTGTGGCGGGTGCGAGAGTGAGGCTGTGGGGGACCTCCAGGCCCAACCTCCGCGAAGCCTCGCGGCTTCTGCGTGCCCTGGCCCCGGGAGGATAAGGATTTCCCTTCCCTCCTACTTGCGCGCGGAGCCGAGCTCTTGTTGAGGTGAGGGTTCCGGAAGCCCACGCAGCTCCGCAGGTCGGTGGTGGCCGCGGCTGCCCTGCGGGGGTGAGTGTGCCCGGCCGGGGTCGGAGCCCAGCGTGTGCCCGGCAGACGGCGGTGCCCGCGCGCCCCTCCCTCCGCGCCCGCGGTGACAGCCCAGACACCAGCCCGGGCGCTGACAGACGACTTTTCTCACTTGTCAGTTTTCTCGCTTGTCAGCAGAGCTGCTGGTAAGTGAGAGAAAACAGAGGGGCGCGAAGGCAGGCGCGGCCAGGGAGTGAGCGGGGCGCTGGGCGCGGGGCGGAGCCGGGTGCGCGGCGTCCGGGTCAGGCCCCACCGCCCGCGCCGGCTCCCGCTTTGCTCAGCCGCCGCTTTTCTCTCCCTTCTCACTTTCTCTCCTCCCCACCCAGCCCTCCTTTTCACCTCCAAACCCTTTAGCTGCGCGCTGATCGCTTCTGTGGCTTTGTTTGGGGGTAGGGGGAGAATACGAATAGACCCGAGGTGCTTTCTCTTGGAGCTGGAGTCCAATCCCAATCCCTATCTCTATCCCTATCCCTGTGCTTATCCCTGGGCATTAGCCCGGGACCATGGCTGGTTCCCGCAGCTGCCTCCGGAGCGCACCTGGGGCCATGGTTTGCCGCGATCGGAGTCCGCTCTAAGTCGGAGTCTGGGGGCGCAGAAGGGGGAGCGCGCCGAGAAAGTGCCGGGCAAACGCGCGCCGCGCCTGGCTGGGCATCGCGAGCTGGGCGAGGAGACGGGGAGGGGACAGCCCAAACTATCTCAGCTTCACCGCCAGTGGTCACCTACCTGCAGCTATGGAGTCGCCAACCAAGGAGATTGAAGAATTTGAGAGCAACTCTCTGAAATACCTGCAACCGGAACAGATCGAGAAAATCTGGCTTCGGCTCCGCGGGCTGTAAGTATACCTATTTACTTCTCCTGCCCCATTTCCCGCTCCCATCCTTATTTTACCACACAGCCGCAGTCACGACTGCTCACCCTGTTCCTGCATGGGCCTTTAAATACAACCCTAGAAGTTCCACAACTGCTGCTCTGTTAATTACAGTCACTGCTACTTTTCTTCCAACACAGAGAGGGTTGTCTTTCTGTCTTAGAATGCCTTGCTGTTCCAAGTCATGCTTTTTTGGGGGGAAGGAGAGATGTCCTTTGATGAGTCAGTTATGGTGGCCCAATACTCAATGAGGTGTTTCTGATCCTTTTTGCCCAGGGAGAAAAGTTTGAGACCCAGACAGGGACTTTTAATTGAAGGAAGAATTTTTCTCTGCAAACTGCTTGCATACACTTGGGCAGGTGGTCCAAGAACTTACCAACAGTTAAAATTCAACATGCATTCTGGCTGCTACATTTCTTTTTTCCCTCTCCTTAGCCCAGTCGAACTTCTGATATTTCCTGGGGTTCTTTTTGGTGGAGAAATGTTTACTAGAAGGAAAGGCTCTTGTGGAGAAAGGGGGGGCAGAAACGATATTGGGGTTTTCTTGCAATATTTGAACAATGAAATAGAGTGGCCAGAATTCTAGTTGCCCTGATGGATGGAGATCTCTGAATTTCATTCACTTCATTGGGTTCTGTCTGTTTTTGGGTACTGAGGAGAGGTGACCTGAAAATACATGGTATTTTCTGTAAAAATATTTCATCATCAGTGAACTGCTGGTCACTCCAGTCAGGAGCTTGAGGGATAGCTGTATATTCACAGCTTGCTCCTCAGTCACTGGGCAGGTCCCAAAGACACCTTCCATTACTACTAGATACTACTTTCATCAGTCATTTGGCATCAGATATCTAGTGTGGTTTAAAAATATGGCTTTTCTCCAAGCATATTCTCTAGACATTCTGTTTCTAACAAGGGCACTGATGGGAAAACCAGCTTCCTGCCAGTTTGTTTGTTTTGCTGCTGTTATTGTTTTTGAAAGCACACACACAAACAAAAGACAAATAAAAAATGTGTTGATCTAAGTTAGCTTGATATTCAAAGTTTCTAAGGAGAAGCATTAAGGTAGTATGTGTTTCTTTAAGGGGTCCTTATTGACAGGTGCAATTTATAAAAGCCATTCCATATATAGTCCAAGTGAGCTTCATTGCCATTGATTTCAATGGGAAACCATGCCAAATAATTTGATTTTTGACTTGTCTAGCCACCGCTAGTGGAGACTGTAAATTTATTTGGAAACCTTGTCTCTGGCTGGCAGGCTTTCCTGACAGTTTAGATGCCTGCAACGCAGCAGCTCTCGGAGTGGTGTTTACAGTAATCTCATGTTATATTTAGTGAACATTACGTCCGATTGTATTGTGCTGCACACAGAAAGTTTGTTGTGTCCACAAAGTCTGGGCCCAAAGTGTATAATGTGAAAGCGTTGTCGAGCTGGATTCCTTGCCATGCTGACTAGAGGGATTCATATCCATACACCCAGGAACTTCTTCTCTTGGACTGCTTTTCAATTTAAACCGACTCCATGGAGACATTTGGGCTAGAGACAAGTGTTTGGTCAAATCAGCAATGCTGAGGCGGGAACTTGTGTGGAAAAGCATTAGCACTTACAACACTGCGTCGTGTAGCTTTCTCAGTTTCATATCTGCTAGGCTTCTCTCTCCAAGGTGTTGCAGTGTAATGTAACTACATTTTCATTTTCTAGTCTCTTGTATCTACTCAGAACCTAGTGCTTTTGAACATGAAAAGTGTGGGGTGATTATAGCTTCACTTTCTAATTTGAAAAGGAGATGCTATTATTTGTTATTATTATACATATTTTTACCAGTATGTGATCCTTACCACTTCTTCTTCTTCTTCTTTTTAAACATAACAGCAGTGCTAGAATAAATAGCTAAAGACTCTGGAAACCAAAGCACACACTCTTTTATACAACTTGGAATAACATTTTTGCAGTCCACAACTTGGAATAACACTTTGCCGTCCACAAAATAGAAACCCTTAGGGGAAGGAAGGGTGTGTGCATATTTGTCCACACAACAGATTGTCAGTAAGAGAAAGGAAGCTGCTCTTTCAACATTTTAGAAAGCCTCAAACCATAATTGGATTTTCATACCAATATATTACCATGACACCTTTATAGAAAGGGCTCTGTAGGTGACCACAGATGGTCAGGAATTCAGTTCAGCTTGTCTGAGAGACATCTCACTTCAGGATGTGATCATCAACTCACGCCTGGATTATTCAATGTTATCGCATCTCCTTCTTGTTGGTATCGCCCGTATTTAATTTATTGTTGAATTTTTCATCTCCTCCATTAGAATGTAAGTTCCATGAGGACACATACTTACTCACTGCAATACCTAGAACAGCATTTAGCACATAGTAGATGCTCAATCAATAGGTGGTGAAGCATAAAAACCCAAATGTGAGCTTTTAAATATTCAAAATGAAGATAAATATATATTTAGGACAGCTTATGGCCGTGAGACCTGTCAACACAATGAGCCATGAGCTAGCTAGGATGCAGGTTTTATTAACATCATTGCCCAGGTTGGGGCACAGAAATCTAAACTGAGGTGGGAAATGGGCAAGATGTGTGGCAGAGTTGTGGCCCAGGGCTGAATCCCACTGTGGTGATCATGTGGGCTTTCTCTTTCCCTTCTTTATAGCCCCTCTTTCACACTGGTGAGAGGTAGTCTTTACCAGAGCAAGAGGATTTCTGTGGTTATCACCTGCAAATAATCAACAGCCAAGTATATTGCAGGGAGGTGTCCCCTATACATTCCAACCCGTACCCATACCCTGCCATGCTTTATTTTTCTCTAGCACTTCCCACCATCCGAATGCTGTATAGTTTATTTATTTTTAGGTTTATTGTCTGTCTCCTCCAGCTAGAATATAAGCCCCATGAAGACAGGGTTTTTGGTTTGCTTTGGTCACTTGCTTTTGGTTTGCTTTTTATCCCCAGTGCCTACGCTTCCACCCGGTATACAGTAATACATATTTGAAACATAGAGCTGTTTTACATATTTCTCTAAGAAAGAATTAGGAATAACTCTTAGCATTGTAGCATCATCAGCATACTAACAGTGCATCAAATATTGGAGATGTGAGTTTTAAACACTCTATCTTAGCTGGGATTATAGACACCTGCAAGCCCAGGTGTCTGTTATGATGATGGCGCCCATGCCCCTTGAGCGAGGTTCTGCACACTAACGCTCAGAGGCTAGCTGTGATTTCCAGGGAGGGTGCTGGTCCTCAGCCTTGCTCTGTGGCCCTGATGCTGCTTACGCACATGCTCCCATTTCTCTAAGTGAGAAGAAAACAAATACTGCACACCTGAGCTTTCTTAATTGGAACTCTCAGAGGGATGCTGTCCTCTTACTCTTTGGAGAGGAGCCTCATTTTTCCTTTTCCATAAACCTCAGTTCCTCCCAATGAGCTGTTGTCATATCTCTTTTCTCTGGAGGACTGGATAGAGTTTTTGAGTCCCTCTGAATTACTTTTTTGTGTCCCTCTGAATTACTTTTTTGTTACAGAATCTTTCAGTCAGGGAAACAGGGCTGTGGGTGTTCTATATACCCCTGATGAAGCCTCATAGGGCTCCTTGGGTTTGAGCAATTGGGTTATGACTGTACCTTGGGTCCCGACCAAAAAGTTTTTCTATTGCCAGCCTGCTAGATGATGTCAGAAACGTGTTTCTATGCTGCATTTTTTAAAAACTGAGAGCAAGAGAGCAGGTTTTACTTATTCCTTGGCATTTATTATCACAATTATAATTATCTAATCTCATATATTTATTTTGCCCAACTATGAGGTAGTTGGTATAATAAATTTTATGCTTATATAACACTCCATGAAGATGATGATGCTTTTTTGCATTACCTAAAGTAACATTATTAATATAAAGGCAAGAGAATGGCTATTAAGTTAATAGACTGCAACAACTATTGTTTTTGTCTATGCAGCAAGCTTCCCATCCACCTTACTATGCTAACAGACTCTACTCCTCACCCCAGCATACTACAGGACTGGCCAATCACAGAATTCACCTTCCAGGTAATAAAAGTTGGTTTCAAGTAGGGTATGGATCCCAAACAGAAGCATTAGAGTCCCTCATTGACATTTCTGTATTGGCTGTGGGAAAGGGAGGCTTTGCTTTTCTTCTGGACTTTCATGGGGCTGCCATTGGATCCATTTCCCACCTCATAGAGAAGACCTTTTATGATAGGAGGCAGTGAGGCTAGTGCTCAAAAGGAAGCAGAAAACACGGAGTGGGAATCCCTGGGTCAGCTCCTGGAGGTCCCAGTTCCTGTAGATGTGTCTCCAGTTCTGTCAGCTGTCCCAGCTACATGAGCTAGTTAGACTCTGTTTTTGCTTAGGATGTTTTGAATTTGGTTTCTCTGAAACAGTCTTAACTAATACCCTATTGATGTACAGAGAAGTTAAGTGACTCTTCCAACCTACACAGCAAAGATGAGGAGAAAAGCCATAGGCAACAAAGCCTGGACCTTTGGTTTTAAATTTCTTATTTAAGCCCTCTCTGTGTTTTCTTTCTATATAACCGAACTTTTAAATGATATAATTAGTGTTCAGGCAACATGGGATTACTCAATTAACATTTACTGAGTGTCTATTAGGTGCCAGTCAGTTTGCTAAGCCCTGGGTTTGCAAAAGTAGGTAAGATACTTACTTAACTTTCAGCAATTTGAAGGCTAGTGGCAGAGACTGATATGAGTACCTGGAGGTGATGAATATAGTTCCAGGGGGATGCGAAGGAAGCTACGTCTACCTGGGAGGGCCAGAGAAGGTGTTACAGACTACAGTGAATTGTGTATTCATTCTAGGAGACTCATTAGAGTCATAAGGAAGAAACTTGCTTAGACTCTTTTCATTGATGTCAGCCTTTTGCAAAAATGCAAAGAAACCTTTTACAAAGATGAGAGAAAAACAAGGAGTCTTCCGGGCAGCCCAAAATAAACTAGTTGAGATTTCTGAGATGTTCTTAGGGACTACTGGCAAAGCTGCTTGCACTTAACTGAGATATGGCTTGTGTTCTAGTGAACCTTCTCTATGTTCACCACTCATTGAGAATTCCCTAAGGAGAGAGTATGGTTGGGTCTGTTTGCTGTCATGCAACATGGAGCTATTGGAGATAAATCTCACCACCTCCCCCTCACTGGCCCCCGGCTCCTCCCCCCCCCCCCCACCGCCGTTCCGTCAGAAGTAGTTGGCCCCTGAATTGGTCTGGGTAACAGGATTACCTTCTCCTACTAATCAATTCCCAAGAGCCTTACTTTCCTTAAAAGCTTAATGTGTGGTGTCCTCTTGCAGCTCATCTAGTGCAGTACTGAGGGACAGATAGAAGTGTAGTCATGAGAGGTGATGCTGGAAAGGAAGGCAGAGGCTGGGTAGTGATACATGACATTTAAAAATTTTACTTTTTGTTTTACTCAAAATTATGTATGCTCATAGTTTGAGGAGGTGAGTAATTGAACACATTTTACTATACAACAAAAAAGTGCTGTGTTCTAGGTGTTCTTTCATATCTTCTAGAGAAATATATATATATTTTATGATACATAATATTTTTAGAAGTTTGTGTTTTATCCTTTCAGTTATAAGAAATTGTTAAAAGATGTTAAGCTGGAGAGTAACAAAATTAGATTTGAATTTTAGGATTGTAATTCTGGAAAAAGGGTGGAGGACAGATTGGAGATGCGACTCGAGGCCTGGAGACCAGTTGGGGAAGATGCCTGATTTGGGGTAGCGCTGCTGAAGATGAAAGAACAGGGGGCATGTTTGAAATGAGAATTGACAGAACATAGATTTAGAGTAGAGAAAGAGGAGCTGTTGTCTTCTGAGTTCTTTCAGCTTAGATGTCTCAGTGAATTTGGTGTTATTTGCCTCGTTAGGGACTATGGAGATAAGAGCAGGCTAGGATAAAGCAGAATGATAAACTTGGGTATAGATATGTTAAATTGGTAGCCTCTGGAATGTTCAAGTAGCTATTGGTGATGGCAATATGGAGCCATGGAGAGACCTTTGGCCTGGAGTGGTGGGTCTGAGAATCTTGGTTCTTATTATTAAATCCTTGCAAGGAGATGACCCAGGGAAGAGGGCATTGACCTGAATCTTACCAGAAAAGCAATTCCAGGAGAATACTTTAAAAAATTGTTGTTTGTTTCCCCCAGATTACATATTTAATGTATTAACTGGTCCTTTTACTCTCCCATTCAATTGGAATTGCCAGATCGTTCAGCATATTTTTATTGGGTTTCCATTATGTACTAGGTGCTAGGAGCTTCAGAAGGGATACGAAAATATCAGAAGAAAATCCTTACCATCAGGAAACTTAGAATATATTGAGGGAAACAAGATACGTCTTATACATGTGAAAAGGTTAAAAATCAACAACAAAAAAGAGGGCAATAATTAATTGCTGACTAAGTGATGTGGACGCTACATGCTAGGATTCAGAGAAGGGAGACATTTGTGTTTGAAGGATTGTTTTCGAGTCTTTCTTTTCTTAATAAAGATCAAGTTAAATCTCTCTGAAATACATTCTTAATGTATATTAAAGGGGAAAAATGTGAATATCAAAAGAAGTAGATTCTCACATTTACAGTGAAATTTTCTTTACTTGAATACTCATGCAGCTTACTAGTACATCATCACTTGATTATTGTAATTTGGTTATGCTAGTGTATTAGTTAATTACAACTCAATATTTAGCAGCAAAGTGCTTAATATCTTGACTGAGCTTTACAGCATTCCTCTGTCAGTTGGGAAGCAGCCCTCAGCAGAGAGGTTTCTGCATTACCATCTCTAGTTTTCAATCTTTAATTTTCTTTGGCTCATGGAAGACTACTTTCCTTGGTTTCCATTTCCCCACATGGAAGAAAAGTGTTTATAGGACCTATCTCCTGGATTTTTGAGAAACAACTAAAAGAAATAATTGTTATTAGGTTAATGCAAAAGTAATTGCAGTTTTTGCTGTTAGTTTTAGCGGCAAAAACCGCATTACTTTTGCACCAACTTAACAAATATAAGGCACATTACAATAGACTGGGACAGCTTTGAGAATGACCATCATCGGAGTTTCCCACTAGCAATAAAAATGAATTCTACAACAAATGCAACACTCTATTTCTGGAGGAAGTATACTGAATTCGTGTAAAGTGTTGGTATTCTTCAGGCTTTTATTGTACTGTTTATACAGAGTCCTCTTGACAGCTGTTATTAAACAAAATAAATGAGTCTTAATGACCGTAAGACAAAGCTAGATGTTCCTAGCTTGTGAGATTATGAAAAAACTAAAGAGAATCATTCCATCCAGAAGATATAAAAATTGATCATTTTAGGTAATGAGTTTTGTTCATATAGTTGAAGGAATACACATCTGTATGCAGAAAATTCAGTCATTCATTCACTTACCAAATATTTCTGTGGCACTTACTATGTGCCTGGTGCTGTGCTAAGCACCAGGGAATTAGTGGGAAACAAGACAAAGGCTCCCTCCCTCGGGGGATGTTCAGCCTACAGTAGAGGAATATATTAAACAATACTTCCATAAATTACTACCTGCTGTGACGAGTGCTGCAAGAAGTCCAGCACAGGGAGCTGTGAAAACATAGAAGAGAGGACCCAAACCTGGTCCGGGATTCAGAGAAGGCTTCTCTGAGGAAAAGAGACGCATGCTGAGACATGAAGATTATGTAAATTGTAGTTAAGTAGAGTTAGGGAAGCGTATTCTAGGCATTTAAGGCCTGGGATGTTTATACCTGTAAAGATCTAAAGACAAGAAGGAGCATGGCCCCTCTGAGAAAATGAAAGAAGGCCAAGTGGCTGCAGCGCAGACTGGAAGGAGGCGAAGGCTCCAGACACAGCTGGAGAGGAGCCAGGTCCGACTTCATCCACCAGGGGGCCTCAGCAAGGGGAAGCCATTATCAGTAGGCATGGATGTGAGAACTTTTTAGGAGGTAGATCCAACAGGACTTGGATATGGGGGATGAGGAAGAAAGTGGAATTAAGGTCAACTCGCAGGGTTTTGGCTTGAATCCCCAGGTTCTTTTTTCTTAGATTAGGATCACTAAGGGAGGAACATGTTTGCAGGTCTTGTCGTGAGTGGGAACAGAATGAATGGGGGATAGAGAGTTCAGTATGGGATGAGTTCAGTGTGGGACATACTGACTATGAGGGGAGATATGGGGAAGGCAAGAGCAGTTGGATAAGTGAGTCTGGAGATTAAACAGGTCTGGAGATATAATCTACAGCCCAGCAAAGTAAGCAGGAAAATTCTGTGTATATCTGAATGATGCCAAATTAATATATCTATAAATTTTGTAAGTAGAGAATACAGTTTAGTGTGACCCCTAAATAGTCTGAAGGAAGGTTTCAGAAGACCAAAAATTTATGTATATTTTCTCATTGGCATTTACTTGTTCAAAATATTGGCATTTACTTAGGCCAGCTAATAATCATAACTTTACTTGAAACTTATATTGACTACTTGGTATCATGCCCATCAAAACATAGGTTTGGAACAGAGACAGAAACCAGTATGGTCATTCCCAGTATTCCAAGGGCAGAAAGAGGCCATGACCCAGGGAGCCAAATGGGATGAGCCCTCATCACGGACCTTCTGGGAGGTAGAGGGCACATGCCATGGGGCTGAGACCTGAAGCCTGGAGCCTAGCCCACTGCAGAAGGGCCAAGTGAAGCTTGGCTGCGTGGAGGCTCTCTGGCTCTGGCAAGAGGCCTTTCTGCAGTTTAGGCTCCATTGAGGGGGCTTGGCCTCCTGTGCCTGCTCCAGAGGTGCCTCCATGGATATGGCTGGGCCTTGTCTCCTGGAGCAGTCCACAGTTCTGGCCACAGCGCTCACTCACTGTACCACCTCTGCCCATTCATGCCCTTTCTCTGCTCTTTAAGGCCTTCCTTCTATTTCTACCCAAATCCAAGGACCCATTGCAAGGACCCGGTATTCAATATTCTGCCAAAATACAGCTTTCCTTTCCCTTAAGGCCACCAGAAGAGCAATAATTTAGACAATCAGTATGAGAGTGCATGGAGCATTTTGTCTGAAAGTCACAATTGGATATCCAAAGACCATTAAACTGTTGTTTATCCAGATTCCAACCAAAGAAAATGCTTAAATAACCAAGACTTTTCCTACACTCTAGAGATACATCTAGTAAATATGGAAGTGAAAGATTAATCTTTGAAAGCTCCTTCCAGATGTTTTAGGAGTAGTTCAAATTCCGACTGACATCCTGCCACTTGTTTTCATTTGTCTCTCTGACTTTTGTCTAAGGATGACCCACAAAAGTTTATTGCATTTAGTATACCATTCCATGTGGGTGTCACTGGAAACCGTGTCTGCTAACTGTGAGGAATTTAAACACTTTCATAAATAAGGCCTTTCCTAGCTCATTAGTGAAATAGAAGGATTAATTATCATAAATCAAGCCTCATAAATGTTGTTTCAGAACTGCCATTCTGACTATAAAATCACTGACTGAAATTAGTCATTGTTAAAAAAAAAATGAAAGAATCGTTCAAAGCACCAATTTCTGGGAGATTTGGCATAGTTTCAGTGAAGGTAACTACTATAGCTCAGGAAAATTTGCTTCCAATGCTCATCTGATTTCAGTTGACAGAAGAGCTCAAAATGGTCCCAAGAAATGCATCTGCTAGTTGGCGCTTTTTTTCCCTGTATTTTGGACAATGGGCTCATTTTGCCATATTTAAATTGTTGAGATTTATAGAGCGTGTGTTTAGGGAGGCTTACATAGATGATGCTACTACAAGATAGGATTTTGGATGAAATAGGAAGGACTCATGCTCCCAAGGAGCCATGGCACTGATTCAAATTCACCTGGAATTGTAAATGACCAGCAGCTGCTTTCTGCCAGGAGTCAGTTTTGATAAGAGTTGGGAGGAAGGGCACAGAGTGGGGAGAGGGAAGGAACACTGCAGGAGTGGGTAGGCAAGACTTAGAAAAATTAGACTGACATTGAAGTGAAATTCAGCAGAAGATTACAGTTTTTGTTCTGGCTAAATCTACAAGGGGAAAAACAAAGTAGAGAATTGAAACAGCTCTGTGAATAATTCAATTAGAAAAAACCCTACTCCTCCCCTAATTACAGGGATAGATCTGTGAAGAGTGAGATTTTGTCTTAATCCTTTGGATTTATATCTACTTTGGCAGTGCCGTCACAGATATTAAGAGATAGTTTTGCTTTTAGCTTTTCTTACTGATGTTTATTTAAGCAGGAGACGGGCTCCCAGGAAGAAGGTCGTAAAAATTGCTTCCATTCCCACCCACACAGTTTTGCAGTACTTATAACACAGCAAGTGGTTGTAAATACGTGAATAGAGGACTAAATCAGTTATGCAAAAAACGTACTACTTGGGCTTCCACAAGCATGACATTTGCTTTCTATTTTCTTTCTCTCAAAACCTTTCCCTGTTTTTTCCTTGGTGCCACTGATTAGCTCATTGCCCAGCTTTGAGCAAAAGGCTTTTAGCTAGAAGGAAAGGAAATTGTGTTTGGTTTGCTAAAAAAAAAATCTTGCCTTCCAAAGGAAGAGTTCAGCTTTCTTTGGGGAGGGGTCCCATTTAGGGCTTCTTAAATAGGAGTCCAAGTGCTGGAATTTTTAATCCAGGCTCATGAGAGAAGCAGGCATGAGCAGCAGATTTGATTTCTGTTTCTGGCCAGCTGTCTGCAGGCAGCCGAGGGGATGCGGAGGGAGATCAGTGAAGAGTGGGGCTTGCTTTGGGAGGACAGGAGCACTGGGGCAGCCTGGGTCTGCCATGTGAGTTGGTGTAGCCCCAGGTGGGGCTTCCTGTGGGGTTGTTTAGTTTGGAGTTTGTTACCTTCTCCTAGGTTTCTCTACTTTCCACTGCCTGGCCAGCACTAGATAGAAATGCACTTGCTCCTAAGAAAGAGTAAAAAATTGACTGTCTTATTTACATCTCTGCTTCAGATTTGCATTCTCCCATTCTTTAGGGTCACCATCCCCACCCCCAAACCACACTGTCAAAGGCTTCCTTCATGTGAATTTGATCCATCACTTTTGGCTAAACATACTGGAGTCCTCTATGTTTGGGAGCTGGCTATCTCTGAATATGATCTTCCTTTTCTAAGATAATTCAATGACAGTATGAGTCTGTAGAACAATTTTCTCTACTAGAAAACCTAGCTAATAAATTCCCTAGAATTTTTGTTTTTGTTAGTTTTTCTTTCCTAATGATTGGGCTGTTCAAGGTAAAAATGAGGTTTTTTTTTTTTCCATTTTATAATCTTTTGTTGTTGTTGTTGTCTTGCTTTGGACTTTTGGCCAGGCAGGAAAATGAAATCATTGTGCACATGGAATTTCATTTTGTAGCTCATCAGTTAAATATTCGAGCTAGTAAGACAGGAGATTCTCTTACTCTATTATCTCCTTTCTCACCCTTAAATATTCTTGTGGAAGGTGTCAAGAGACCACCAGTTTATGTATATATTTTTCTCATTAGCATTTACTTGTTCAAAATATGGGAAAGGCCAGGAAGCAATGGATAGCTTTGCAAAGTTAGTTTTTAATACATGCATCATGGAAATGAAATCACTGATAGGAATGAGAAGAAATGTACAAAGACTTTCCATTCTCAGTAGCGCGTAGATTAATTCATACAAATGATGTAAGAGATCCATTAGAAGTTTCTAGAGATATCCAATTCTTTCCAACCTGTACCCTGCATGCCAGTGAAAAACAAAACCAGAGGATCAGATGATCGTTCAGATCCTCACTCATTTCATGGTTATTTGTGACATTTTATCTCAGTCCACTTTCCCATGAGTGAAACACATGTGATCTGTACTCATGAGAACCTGTAGTTAACTACACGAGCCTTGCTGTGCATTTTGTTTTTATCTGAGCCTGTCTTTCAATGTCCTATCCCTTGAGAGAACTGAGGGCTGAGAACCAAGCTTTCCGAAGCGGTCTGTGTGTCGGCGGTGGTAGTGGTCTCTGGAGAAAAGAATGGAGACAGGATAGGACTTGGAGAAGAGTGAGTCATTGTTACCCAGAAACCCTGGAGAACACTGAAGGCAGAACTGGAATTTGCATTGTGTGTATGCAGTTGTTGCATATTCAACTTCCCATACCAGGAAATCTTGTGCCCAACTGGGAGGTATCTTTCTGTCAACTTAGAAACAGAGCACAAGTTTTGGTTTTTCAAAGCCAGCTTGTTAGAATATTAAGCCTATTTATAAACCTCATTATTGCAGCACCCATATGGCTGTTGTTCAAAGATACTCACTTTAAAAAAGTGAAAGACTGCCAGGCGCTTCATAATTTAGCATCAATGTTTAATCGACTCTCACTTATCCAGGCTATTAGAAACAATTTCCAAATCATCTGTTTGATTCTGGAGTACTTGATGCTTACATTTGACTGCAGGTGTGCCCAGTACTCTGGGAACTCCTAGCCATCAAAAAGCAAATAAAGACCCTTAAAAGCATCCTTGCTCCCACCTCACTGTTGTTTCTCGCTGTTTGCCTGCTTATCTTTACTTTGCCCCTGACTGTGGACAGAATCACCCCTTAAGCTTGCTTAGTTTCATTCTTTATCTCCCTGACTGAGGGCAGGAGAAGGAAAATGAAGTTCAGGGTCTAGAAGCTTCCACTTTATGACACTGCCGTGGAGAGCTTTGGGGAACCTATTTAAATACTGGAGGTCAGTGCTCTTTGCCCTTTGATGATGCTCCTATTTCAGAATCTGCCTGTCAGGATGTGACCAGCTGCCTGTAAATGGACCGAAGCCGTTGAGGGGGGTTTTGGGGTTCATGTCCCCTGTTGTGCACAAGTGCACGCACACACACACATGCATCATTTAATACTTCTTGGGTAATCCACAGTTCCATTGAAACATTCCGGACATAAACAGACATTAAGACTAGTGGTCTTTTAATTTACTTAAGAGCTAAATGAGTATGGGTTAATCAATAATTCTAGCCATAGCACATGAGATCTCCGCATTGAGTTACAACTTCCTGAGACTGCTTAAGGATGTGTGTAAGCAAGTCACTGGGCTCAGTTTTTAGGGAGTTATTGATAAAAAGGACTTTCTTTGAAAGATAATTTTAGATATTTCCAAGGATTATTGTGATATCCAGTTCATAACTATCCAGTTTTACTTTCTTTTCTCCTGCCTTTTGGGCAATGGCTCAGCTTTGACATTTAAGGGGAGTGTGTGGCTCTGCTAGGTTAAGTGGGACATTGCTGGGGTGGGTGGCAGGGTGTACAGGCAGGCACACGGCCCCTTATGCATGGGAAAAGCTGGGCAGTGTTTCAGCTCATTCTCCTCTTAGCAGAACTGAGATTAGCACCTGCTTTCTTTGTGGTTCAAGTGTTCCAAGATAAGGAAAATTGGGAGTATCCAATTTTTCCATTCTGGAAAAGCAATCTTCAACCTTTTTTTTGTGACTTTTAAAATCAATGAAAGATTTTTGATCAAGTAAGTTTTGAAAACCTACTGAATTATAATGCCATTATTATTTATGCAATACTACTGTTTTTAGTACAGTAGCTGACGCTTGAGCATTTCCAGGATGCCCAGCACTATGCTAAATGCCCTGCAGTCATCATTACATTTAACTCTCACATCACCCCGTAAAGCAGGCACTGCTGTTACCCAAATTTTACAGATGAGGAAACCAGTGGTTGGAGAAGTGATATAAGTTGCTAAAGGTCATGCAGCCTGTCGGACACAATAAGTTGGAGAAGGGATTAAAGCTCAGGCAAGTGATCTTGAGCAGTATGCTGTAATGCCTCCCCTTAGAAAAACAGAAACGACAAACAGATGAAGCTGTGTGTGTGTGTGTGTGTGTGTGTGTGTGTGTGTGTTTCAGTGAGAGAGAGAGAGAGAGAGAGAGAGAGAGAGAGAGAGAGAGAACGGTGGACCCATTCCAGGGAACAGACTTTGCAAAGTGCCACTCTAGACCTTCTTTGAAGTGGTGTCCTCAGCCTGGCCTTGTGAAGATGCCCTTGCCTTCTCTCCCAGCATGAAGCTGGCCTCTCCATCTCCCACCCTGCCAAATTTGCCAGGTCCCAGAACACAACAGCTCTTTGTCATTCTCTACTTTCTACATCAGCTTGGTCTAGCTACATGAAATCTTGAGATTTGTAGTGTGTTGTTTCAAGTTTCAAAATATTACAAATTTAAATTAAGTTTTAGAAACAAATTTTAAAAACAAGCCAGGAATGGTGGCTCATGCCTGTAATCGCAACACTTTGAGAGGCTGAGGCAGACAGATCACTTGAGGTCAGGAGTTCCAGACCAGCCTGGCCAACATGGTGAAACCCCATCTCTACTAAAAATACAAAACTTAGCTGGGCATGGTGGCATGCACCTGTAATCCCAGCTACTCAGAGGCTGAGGCAGGAGAATCGCTTGAACCCAGGAGGAGGAGGTTGCAGTGAGCCGAGATTGCGCCACTGCGCTCCAGCCTGGGCGACAGAGTGAGATTCCCTCTCAAAAACAAAACAAAGCAAAAAAAAATTCCCTTTGTCTTTCAGATTGCGAGTCAGGGATTCTGTTGAAGTTCTTAAAAATAGAAGGCCAAGAATAAACTGGGGTTTTTTTTCCAGCTCATTTCCTGCATTTTGGTGGACAGAATGCAGTATGTTTTATTGTTATTAATTTTATTTTGGTTTTATCTAGTGTCTAAGTTTCTTGGTGGAATCTTTTGCCTTCTTTGTATACATTCCTTAATTTTCTTTGAAGGCTTCAGAATTTGCCTTCTGTCTCAGCCACTTTAAGGTTCTGTATCCTTAGGCAAGTTACTTAACCTCTCTGAGACTCACTTCTGTCAAGTCGAAAGTAGGTAGAACCTCTCAGGGTTTGCAGGAGTTGTAAGTGAGTTAACTTGTGTAAGAGGAATGGAACAGAGGAGGTGCTCAACAAATGTGAGCTCCCCAGCCTTCTCATTGCTTTCCCTCTGTGTGTAGGAAACCACAGCTGTGGTGGATGTCCTCACTGCTCATTATAAATCATTGCTTAGTAGAAGGAAAAAGAATAAAAAGAAAGCATTTTTGATCAATTTTTGGGTAAATGCATTCATGAATTCAATAACAACATATTGAGCAGTTGCCATGACAAGGAAGAAACACTAGCAGATGTCAGGTAAGCCATCATTCTTTCCATAAGAATAACAGATCATGACCATGAGCAGTCATAAGTGCAATGTGGTGGGTAAGCTCTGGCCACTATGGGACACACAGAAGGAGTGTTACCCAGTTTGGGGGGCCCTAGAAGGTCTTTGGAAGTGATGTTTCAGTTGAGAACTGAAGGATGAGTAGGGCTCAGTCAGGCCTCACCAATCTTGCCCATTCAAAATAATCTGAGAGTTGGATCTTGAGTAATTTTTATGAGTTGCATTTTCTCTTGTGCTTTAAGAGCTGACCTCCAAACTCCATTGTAAGATGATACCATTTGGGTTGATTTTAGGGCTGTGTCTAAATGGGAGAAGATTGAAGGGGGAAACTTTACAATATCTGAAGCTAAGAATATATCTATGAACGAGGGGCGTGTCAGGAAGGTGAGTTGGACTGAAAATCAGACTTCTGGTCTGTCTTTCTTTGGGTCTACCAGATGCACAACCCATCTTTTGATGTGTATGGGTGACAGTTGCAAATAGTTCATTTATTTAGCCAACCATGTGCCAGTTAACGTGCATGCCCTTGGGATAGATATAGAGATGCATATGACAGACCTCTGACCTCAAGAAGCTCAGAACTAGGGACCAAGGGGCCTAAAAATCTTAGAATGCCTCTTACATGGCAGGCACACTACATGACAAATTTAATACACTATCTCATTTGAGATCATCTCATCCATTTCACAGATGCAGAAATGAAAGCTTGATTTAGCACAGAGCTTGCCTGAGGTCTCATAGCTAGTGTGGGTGAAGTTAGGTTTTGAGCCAGGTCTATCACACTCCAGAGCCCTGTTGCCTTTCCACAAAATCAGACATGAGACAATGCAATGCCACGGAGAACGGTGTCAGAGAGGTTTCAGCATGCTGTGGGAGCACAGAAGAGGGTGTGTAATGCGGCTTCCCACAAGAGGTGACACTCCCCCTGGGTATCATCTTTTCTAAAATATAAATTTTATTACTCTTCCCACTTAACTCTGTCCTTAGCACTTGCCAGCCTTATTTCCTGCTACCTCACTTTATAGTCCCTGCTTGCTGGACTGGTTTGAGACCATGAGGCATGCCCTCTGTTTCTGCTTGCTGTATACTTCCATATTTCTTCCTGCTGACATTTCACCCAGCAATCAAGACTACCTCTTTCACAAAGCATCCCTTGTATTTGTTGTTAAAATAACACTTTAGGTGCATGTCTTAACTTCCTTTTTAGAATTTGCGCTCTTTCAGAGAGGGGATCCTACAGAGTTATGAGGATTAGCAAAGTATATTAAGTGCTTATTGCTAGTAGGTGCTGAAAATGAAGCTTTTCTTATTTTTGTTCATCTTTGATTCTTTCAGAACTCCCAGCAGTGCCTTTATAGATTTCTTTGGCAAGTATTGGGAGAATTCTGTGGAAACCAATAGCAAGGGCTGTCTTCTTCTGACCTCTGAAGATGCTGTCTGCTGATAGGATTAGTTGGGCTTCTGAGTAGAGGCTAGGGGCATTCTTCTTTTCCAACTGCCTCCTTGCCTTTGGTCCCTGTATACGCTCAATGGGTTATTTTTTCGTCTTGCCAGTTGTACCTTAGATCAGTTTGTTAGACTGCTGTGCTAATGAGTCCAAGGGCACAGGTCACACCCACAGCTCACTATGCTCCATGGCTGAAGGTGAAGCCTCTGCCCTTGGCTGCTGCCTGGAAAGTGTGAGCTGTCATTGGTGACAGGGTCCAGGTGCGAGAGAGTGATTGATCAGTGCACATGCATCATAGCTTTTGGGGAGAGTATGAGGTAAACCACACAAAGAACTTGCCCTTGGGGAGCTGATGTTCAGGTGAATTATCTCATTTATTTCTCATAACAAGGTCTCAGAAGAGGGGCTCTGATTCTTCCCACTTTATATGCAAAGAAACTGAGGTTCAGGGGGATTTAATAACTAGTCCAGCATTGTAAAGCTAAGTGCTAGAGCCAAGACTGGAACATAGATAGTTTGCTTCAAAGGCCAAGCCTTAATCTACTGTTAGTCAACTTTCCTCCCTATTATATGTGATATAATATAAACATGGAAATATCTCTATATAGTCCTATATTTGTATATACCTTTATATGTAACTAGGTGTATCCATATTTTAATATTTTTTTCTGTTATAATGCTCACTCTTTAAAGAAAATTTGGAAAATTCATAAAACTAAAAAGGAGTGATTTGTCATCCTACTACCCTGGAGTCATGGTTGTCATTCTGGTGTGTCTCCTTTCAGGTAAATAGATATCACTACATATCTAGTCAAGACCACACTGTAGGTTCTGTGTTACTTGCTGCTTTACACACCTGACACTGCCCTGTGTGATTTCATTTTAACAGAGATGTAACAGGTCCTAGTGATTCTCAATTTGAAACCTCTTTAGTTTACAAAGAAATATGGTACACAGCTCTCCATTAGCAAACCAGTGGTTTGCTTCCTGGGTACAGTGACTGTAATGGAAATGCTGGTGTGGAACTAAGGTCAACTGGGAAACATTGTACTTCCCGGATATGCTACAAGGAGATGGATTTTCTTTCCTTAACACTTCCTCTCCTCTAATCCCCTCCAGTGCTGAGCCTATTGAAACTCTTTTAAGGGTCTTCAGAGTCTACAAAAATTGACACACATATGAAGAACTTTGGGATATTGGGACAACATACATTTTATGGCCATTTTCTCCTTGTCTGCCACTCTGACCTAGGTGAGATGGTCAGAGCAGATGTTACTAGCTTCATGTGATAGATTAAGAAGCCTGATGCACAAGATTTGCCCAAGGCTAAATGACTGTAAATAACAGACGTGGGCTGGAACTGGGTCTCTTCTGCTTCCTGGGGATGGTTCCTAATGCTGGTTCTCAACATTTGCTTCTAGACTTTCTCATTGTCCCCTTCCTCACTTCTTCTTTTTTTGAAGACCTTATGTCTCATCTCATAGTTTAGCTGCATGATTGCACATTTACATTTAAAAAGGCACATCCTTAAAGGGACCTCAGTGCTAGATGTTGGGGATAATAGTAACGATAGTGACAACATAAATAACTGATCATTATTCACCATTTAACCCATTTAATATGTGCCAGATAAAAGAAGTGTTTTGTAAGCTTGTGTCCATTTACTCTGTAAGAACCTCATGAACCTGGTAAAGGAAGGACTGAGGTTTGAACCTAGATTTTGTGGTCTTTAAAGCCTGACCTCAACTAAAATGCCATGGAACCTTCAAAAGGAAAAGGGAAGAACATGGGAGCAGAGCCACTGAGCTCTTGGGATGCTATTTTTTACTAAAGGCTTAGGTTCTGTACTTCTGACTACAATATAACACAGCATTCCCAAACTTTTAACTAAGCTTTGAAACCCATAAGCTTCACAGAGAAACCCCCCTAAGAAGTGTTGACCCCCATGCCCATCCCCACTGAAGTAATCCCTTTCTTACCCACTGCCTGCCACAACCCTTTTCTGATATATGTTTATGCCTTTTCTTACAGGAGGAAATATAAGAAAACGTCCCAGAGGTAAGAACGTCTTTCTGAGCTGCAACTGGTTGATTCATTTGTGGCCCAGCTCTTCACAAGTCTGGCTCATGGTGGACTGGAACTGTAATAAACAGGCTTTTGGTTCTTTCTCAGCATGTTGCGTGCTTTATCTCCGATCGTGACTGCTGCTGTAATTAAAAATTGATTGCAGGCATCTAGTGAGGCACAGTAGGTGGATGCCTTCACAAGAGAGTAGATCCTGTGGGCTCAAAAGCTTGTTACTGCCATGCTGTCTAGTGATTTTCCTAAAACCTTGACCAGAGAGTGATTAGGCTGGCGGGGGCTGAAGGTTTATGGATGGGGAGCACAAAGCGGTCTTTATATAACATGTTTAGTGTCTGAATTCTCCTTTGTCTCAGAATATCCTTTGCCTGATTTGCTGACAAAATGCTGTTGAGCTCAAAGCACAGGCACAGATTCCTTTAAGGGCAGTGGCAGTCTTTCGATTTGACTGTGGAAAGGGTAATTTTAACTAGAATGACATCTGTCATCATCCCTCATGTGCCCAGCCTGCCTCTGGGCTGTGCTTTGCACTCTTTGGCATAAGGAGCCATGAGGGATCAGGTGGTCACTGGCCCTAACCTATGTGGCTATTAAATGTTGGACTTAAATCTTCTGTATTTATAGTTCAAAAATAACTCACCAGGTTTTTGAGTGCATGGCCTCCGAAGTCCAATGGGAAGCCCATTTTTCAGTGCATATGCGATTTTCATTCCCCATTACAGGACCCGTTGACAGATGTAGTTTGCTGACTTGGTGGAGCAGCATGTGTATTTGAGCATGCATACAGGTTGTGACTATGGAGAGGGTGAGTGGGTTCTCTAATGATAGAATAATGAAATGAGCTTAGGAAATGTCATGTACTTCCTCGTGGAATTTATTCATTTGTTCATCTTTTAAAAATTATATATATATCTAAAGTGTATGATATTTTTTCATATGTGTATATATATATATACATACACATAGTGAAATCATTACAGTCAAGCAAATTAACATATTCATCACCTCACGTTGTTCATTCATTGGTTCATCTTGTATACACTGCTTTCTGTTTTTTACAATGATTTGTTTTCACAAATTTCATTGGACAATAATGGCACAGACGGTCTCCCATGACCTCTTTTATTTCTCCAGCGTCATTTCTTGCTACTTCCAACCTCCATCTTTATTCTTTAAACTTAGCTATGACTCTCCATCAAAGTTGGGATTCTAAAGGTCCAGCTGATCATGGATGCTTTCTTAGGAAGAGCTTTCATAAACTTTTAGTAAGCATATTATCTTAGGCTTATCTAGAGGTGTAGACCTCATGTATGTTAGGAGGCTTTTCTTGAGTTAGGTGGTCCCATAAGATTATAATGGTGCTAAAAAATTCCTATTGCTTAGTGACATAGTAGCTGCAGTAACATTGTAGTACAATGCATTAGCTTTTCTATGTTTAGATATGTTTAGATACCCACATACTTACCATTGTGTTACAGTTGCCCACATTACCAAGTACAGTATTATGCTGTACAAGTTTGTAGCCTAGGAGCAATAGGCTATACCAACAGCCTAGGCATGTAGTAGGCTATACCATCTAGGTTTGTGTAAGTACACTTAATGATTTTCACACAATGTCAATATTGCCTAAGGACACATTTATTATAAGGTGACTCCATTGTTATATTCTGTAATATTTATTCTTTTTATTGAGAAGAGTTAGGAAATAAAGTTACTTAGACCTTTTGCTGACCAAGCATTTGAAGCCCACAATTCAATCTAGACGGCCTGTATCTGCTTTCATTGTACTTGACTTGGGTGTTATGGAATTAAACAGATTACATGCAGATTAAAAAAATCATTAATGCAATTAAAATTTGCCAGTAGGTTTCAACAATGGCATTTTTTAGATCACTGCTTTAGTCTCGCCTTTTCTAATGAGCGTCATCTCACAGTAGAGATTCCTGTGTTGCATGGTCTCCTCCAGGGGTGTCCAGTGGAGAGAATACAGTCATGAGTTCTTAGTTTCTGTTTCTATTTGGGCCAGTAAAGCCCCTTCCTCATCCCTCTTTTATTCTTATCACTATAGACAGAAACTAAAAATCATGGCTTCAGGCTGCTAAAAGCCTAAAACAAAACAAAACAAAACAACAACAACAACAAAATAAAGTGGGTTGAGCAAACTTGGGTCCAAGGGAGTGGTATTATAATTTGATATGCAGCATAGAGTGCACGAGTCATTGAGAGGAAAATGAACTAAAACTTGAAAGCTTCCTGGAGATTGCTGTACTTTTCTAAATATAGTGAGAGCTTGTACAGATGGCTAAACAATTCTGTCTTGTTCAGGTTCGTTGGACTCACGGTAGTAATTGCATGTGAACCACTGAGCAGGATGTAAATTAATCACTCAGATTAGAGGGCACAGTAGTCTTGAGTAGTAAAAAGTAATTTATCATTTTCACATGTAGTTAACCTGGAGTATGAGGTGCTTCAAAGTTGCCTCAATTTTATTTTAAGGAGAGATACTTAGACAGTGAGAGGAAGTTTTACAAGAGAGCTGCTCAAACCTGTCAAGGTTCAAATTACAATGTCAATTTTGTTTTGAAAGTGTGTTTTTTGCATATCTGACGTGAATGCTGTTGCCTTTTTTTATTTTGTCACTGTAATGAAAAATAAACCAATTATGTTGAACAAGCTTTATTGAAGTCATTTAAAGTGTGAATTAATAGAGGATCAGTTTGAGCTCTTCTATTTTTAATGAAATACATTTTTTATATGAAGTAGATCCATGTGCTTCTGATCCATCATTGAATTACAAGCCATCCTCAACTTAGTGGCTTAAAATAACTTTTATTCTGCTCATAATTTTGCAGGTCAGGAATTCAGGAAGGACTTGGCTGGCTGGTTTGAATCTGATCCACCTGGTGTCAACTGGGGCTGCTGGGGATGGAGACTCCACTTCCAAGATAGTATCTTTGCTCACGTTAGGAGTCTTGGTGCTTTTTGTTTCTTGCTCTCTCCCTCTCTATTTTTTTTCTCTCTCTCCCTCTCTCCTCACATGGCTTTTGTCCTCCAGGGTGCTTCCATCTGGCTTGGGCTTCTTACTACATGGTGGGCTCAGGGCAATTGCACTTGTCTGGTTTCTTAGGTCAAATGTTCTAAGAGACAGGAATTAAAAGCTGCTAGTCTCTTAATTATGGCCTGGGTCCAGAAGTGAGCACAGCATCACTTCTGCTGTGTCTTATTGGTCAAGCTATCACTGAACCCACCCATTCAAGAGAATGGACCATAGACTAAATCTCTTGATAAAAGAAGTGTTTTAAAAAATTTCCAGCCTTGTTTAATCTATAGAGCAAACCTTCAGCCTTTTTCAGAATAATCTTGCTTGAGACCTTCTCTGGGGATCTGTAGATTTGGAGTAGGTGGATTCCTCATTTGATGAATGGTAGACAATTTTAAATATATCTTGACACTCCCAGTCAAGTAATGGTCTGTTTGAATGTTTGCTTGCCTACTTGATGGTTTATTTGGACTGGGAATAGCTGTGATTCCTTTCTCATGGTAGGAATAAACACAGCAATGTGGACTTAACTGGTGAGTTTAATTCTAACTGCAGTTATTTGGCTGGAGTTAATAATTAGTCAAATAAAGTAGGTGGCTTAATATAGGAAAACTAAGTGATATAAATGTTATATTAAAAGGTTTGATTTGGACATCAAAGGGAAGACAGCCCAGGATACAAAAATAATCTACATTTGTTTACGCTTTTCTTGCTAACTTTCATTTTATTTCACTTATGTATTTGTTTACCTATCAAAACCTTGTTAAAGAAAAAAAAAACCCACAGCTTTCAAAGTAATTGTCATCCTACTACAACACAATTGAGGCAGTTATCTTTCTTTAAGTATTTCACCAAGTACGAGGCATATTTTGGTAGCCCAAGGGAATGTTTTGATGATAGTGATTTTACTGAGTCTCACTCCTAGCATTAAGGAGAGTATACTAATCTCTTCCAAGACCAAATTTCAGTAGAAAGAGTGATTTCATAAGTCCTCTTTATCGGGTTAGCAAGGGAATCAATAGGTAGTAGGTAAGCCTCTCCTTGCACAGAAAACCTTATTGGATTGGGTTTTAAATCCACATATTTAAGGGGAACTATCCTTTTGCTTGTGAATGAATCTTGTTCATGAGGGTCAATCATTCCAAGAGATTTGCAGAAGTGGTGAAATGGTAATTTGACGGCTAGAGAGGATTACGCTGTAAACCTGCTTACTCATAAATGTCTCATCCGGTTTCTTTTAATAGAGTTTCACCTTCAAGTTATCAGGTCTGGCTTGCAGAAGTTTATACCTTTGAGAAATACTTAGAAATAACCAAATACTTATGAGCTGCCCTTGAAGAAAGGAATTGCTATCAGAGCTGATGTTGCAAGCTGAATCTATGATAGAGGTGCTTCCAACACACACACACACACACACACACACACACTCTGTCTCGCACACACACACACACACACACCCCTATTTCAGTATGATAGGGGATTAAGAAATAGAGGCACAAATTAAAGACCTATCCACAAACCTGAGGGAGTTCTACAGACACACGTTCAATTTTCATGTGTCTGGATTATGGAAATACTTTGGTCAGAATGTTTAGGAGTTGGAGTTGTGGCTTAAAAAAGCCATACCAGGTAATGAACAACCTCATTAGCATGAACATTTTTGTTTATTTGTTATTAATCATAGCACTGTTTAGATAGTTTAGGTAGAAGTTCTAGCTCTTACTGTGTCTGATTTATTCATTTTCTAAATCTAGACATATTTCTGTGAGTAATTAACTTTAGACAAAGGTGTCCCTCATGTTTTTGATAATCATATTATACTGATAGTCACATGCACAGTACTTTACAAAAATCTTCCATTTAACAAAAGTTTATTTAATACTTACTATAGTATATTGCTATATAGTTCAGTAAATACTGGAAATAACAAGATATGTACAATTGCCTCTGTTAATAGGTACAGAGGCTTGTAGGTGAGATACAGGTGAACAAAGGGATTATAATAAAATGTGGTAAGTGCTATAATAGATATAAGTATTGAAGGTCATTGGGAACAATCAGATCTGTTGGGAGGATACTTACATTATCATATACTCTTCTCTCGCTAGATTATAAAGTGAGCCTCCAGTATTGTTTATTATTCGTGGTGCTTGAAAGTATGGGCATACTGAAGTCTAATAGGATAGCCCAGAATCTTTCCTTCTTGTTTTCTTCATGTTTTCAGTTATTTTAAAAATGTATGTTTTGCTGATTTTTAGGCTTTCTTTTTTTTTTTTAAAAAAAAGGCAAATGGCTCAAAAATATTCTAGACATTAGGAAGAAGACAGCCCAGGATACAGACATGTGCAGATAATTGATAACCTGGATATTGTACATATAGATAATAGTGTGGCCTCTATCTGTGGCAAGGCAAAGCAAGGAGTTATGTTTTTCCATGAATGTCTAATGTGTTATTTCACTTGGATTTTGACGTGGCTCAGTAATCACACTTGATGAACCCAGTAATTGATTAAATCCAGCAAATGATTCCCTTAGTCAGGCCTGCCCATGTTCAGCCTTCATGAATTGACATAGCTAATAAGTCATCATCAACAGCCACCTTTGCTGGTAATAATAGATTGTCACATGTGAAGGGAGGGAAGGCGAGTGGTTATCACCCTGTGGGAGGCTGCCTGCTAAGCAGTTGTATCCTAGGATGGGATGTGGTACATCTTCTGCTGAACTCTGCCCGTTTCCTTCCCAGGATATATTAAGGCCCATTGGTTAATTCCGAAGTTCTTTCAGCACCTTTGAAATAGAATTGGTAGACTGTTGTCCCCTACCTTTGCAATTAAAAGTGGCAGCTAAGTAACTTGTTGGGAAAATTAACAGGGGTGACACTGGATAAATCAAATCATACATTTTTGCAAACTTAATGCACAACCAATCCTGCATTCTACTGCTTACTTAGTAGTATTGATTTTCAGAGCCTAAGTGGTAACATCAGGGACAAGAGGATCTTCCAAGAGATAAATCCCTTTACAAATATTTTCCTACATTTGTGATGACTAATAATACAGTCTCAAAGTAGTAAGAACAAGTGCATCAGCCATGAGAATGTGTCCAGTTTACATTCCAAGATTGCCACCTGAATCAGGGTGCCTTTATAGCAGCCACAGTGGTCTGGTTAGAGCCCCAGTCACAGATGGATGCTGAGACTTAGCCTGCAAGTGCAAGTCCTGGGGCAGTTAATGTGAGAAAGGGCCAAAAAGCACTACAATTTCAGGTAAAACATGGCTGGGGGTGGGGGAAGGGGAGTGATGGAGAGTCTATATAGTTTTGATCAGAGTTCAGAGTACAGGCAGCCATCACTCATTCACTACTTAGTCATTCACTCACTTACCCTTGCTAATGTATCAGCAGGAGTCGGTGGGGGGAAGGGAGGGGGTGGGAGGGGGGCAGGGCACAGGTGTAGGGATCTAGGCCCAGAAAGGCTATTTAGAGGCTTTCACCTGGGAACTAGGCATGGGATGAGAGGGTGCTGAGATGTAGTAAGTATAATAGCTCAGGCACTTCGTCTGGGTAGTGTATCTAGACACCAGTAGCAGGAGTGACCTTGGCATTGAGCTGTCATTTTCTGAGTCAAGAGGATCATCTAGGCACAATTCATTCGTCTTTTCTCTTCCATCTTCCTTATGTCTGATAATTACTACCATTCTTCCATTTATCCAGGATCAAAACTTCTGAGCCCCTTTGTATGATCTTCTGTTGGGTGTTCCTTCAACTTTAACTTTTTATTCTTCCTCTTTGCCCATGATCAATGGGTCCCTAACGGATTGTGGGCTTTTCCTTCACATTACTTTCCCTCCCATGATCTTGGTCCAGTCTCATCACCTGTCTCTTAGAGTATTGGGTGGCCTCTTTAATCTCTTTCATTACTCTGGTTTCTTCATCTTCTCCATGCTGCATACCTATGTCTGATTACTTTCTCCACAGCTCCTCTGATTGTGCCTTCTATGTTTGAAAAATAGCAACAAATCTCCATTGGCTTCCTGTTGGCCATTAAATGCCTATCTTCTTGTCTTGGATTTTAAGGCTGCCTACACTTGCTTCCACCTAAACTTTGCTGCTTTGTCTGTTACCTTGTTCCATTCACCCTAAGTTCCAGTCAAGCTGAACTCCTTACTGACTGTCATATTTGCCTGATTTTTTTATGATCCTTTCTTCTTTCATATTCTTTCCAGTACTCTAAATGTTCTCATTTTTATCTGTTGAAATCCCATCTTTTCTTCAAGATCCAATTCAAAGACCATCCCTTTCAATGGAAACTTCTTAGGTATTTCCACCTAAAAGAGTTCCTGCTTCTCTAATTCTGTATAAGAGTTAGTGGGGTGCATGTCATTCCTTGTGGCATCACTGATTTTTTTAAGTGGGGAATATGCTCCCCAAAAGCATTGGGCATGACAGATCTTTATTAAATGTGCATTGATTTTATGAATAAATCAGATTGGGATCCTTCATATATTTCTATCATGGGTCAGAACTAACGTCATAGTTACTAGGTGGAACTCTGGGTAAATAAGTTTGGATTGTGACTCATACTTTCAAATGGCTTTGCAGTTCACTGCATACTCCCACACGTAGACTCTCATTTGACCCTCACACTGGCCGGTGTAGAGGCCTGTGAGGTCAGCAAGACAGATGGCATGCATGGCAAGAATCAGTAAGTACATAATTGCTTAAATCATTGACTCTGCCTTTCTTTTCTTTTTTTAGTCCCTGCAACATGGAACTCAAGCTTTGGGTGGAAACACTGAGAGTATTTTAGCTTTAATCAGTGCTTCAATCTCTGTGTTTCCTCTACTCAAGCCATTAATCCTGGAGGTGCTTAGTACAGTATCAGATGTATTTGCTCAGGGTGGATCATTCTGAATATTTGATATTCAGGTATCTGTGTGGTTGTGCATCATTTGGCTGTTTGGCGGTGTTTTGCCAAAATGGTTTTGAGAGTAAGTTTCTTAGATTGCCTAATAAGACCGAAGTGCATTTTCAGGACTGTCAATAGCACTTATGCCCAGGCATATCAGGGTGCTTCAAAAGTTATGTCCAGACTTTAAGTTACCTGAGGAGGCAAATCTCTAAATCCTTCCCAAACCTGGTGGCTTTCAATGCTAAGAGGCACAATTGACAGGGTTGAATCAGTCATTAGTGAGGGCCGCCATGCTGGGGCCAAGTTCAACTTCCAGCAGCAGCAGCTTTAAAGGCAGATTTCAGACTCCCTGGAGACACTGGTCCAATGGAGTAGGTGAGCATTTCTTAACCATGGCACTATTGATGCTTTTGCTGTAGGGGCTGTCCTGTGCATTGTAGGATGTTTGGCAGTATCCCTGGCCTCTGCCCACTAGATGCCAGTAACATCTCATCTTCCCCTAGCTGTGGCAACCAAAAATGTCCCGTGTATGTCAAAATCACCTCTAGTTGAGAACCACTGGTAAAGAGGTAAGATTAAGAATCGTGTTTGTGTTCTGTCACATTTAGCTGTGCCGAATTGCTCCTCTCTGGTTCAGTGTCCTTGTCTGTAAAGAGATGAGATTCAATCTGAGAACGAATGTGGTCTTTGGCTCAAAAACAGTATTCTCTGGTTCCAGTTACTGAGGTCCTTCCAGGAGGAAGTCTAGGTCACTGAACAACATCTGCAGTGATGGTGGGCACTCTCTGCTGTTTAACTGAATCACCAGAAAAGAACAAAGCTGCCAGTTAGCACAGAGATCACTGGGCAGGTGACATAGTCTGTACCCCATATATATTGTCCTTTAGCCCCTAGCCAGATTATCCTTGGTTTACAATACTTCTAAATTCACTTAATTAATGAGAAGTAATCATGGGACATTAAAAGTATTGCTAAAGCACAAACTTTGGCAAGCACATAGGTATGTCCAGAGGGCCCCCTACTGATTGAAATCTATTGTGTGTCTACAGTGTGCCAGGTGCTTTACATGCATTTTCTCATTTGATCTTCACAATGATCCTGTTTTACAGAAAAGGAAGTCATGGAAAAGAGGTAACTCATCTGAGGTAACTCAAATGAGCAGACAAATGGTCGGGCCAGGGTTTAAAGGCAGGCCTTTCAGACACTGAAAGTTTCTTGAGTTCTTTCTATCCCTTTGGCTTTATAGTTTTTTTTGTCTGTTTTCTGTTTTTGTTTTTGTTTTTAATGGAGTCTTTCTCCATTGCCCAGGCTGGAGTGCAGAGGCAAGATCTCAGCTCACTGCAACCTCTGCCTCCCCAGTTCAAGCGATTCTCCTGTCTCAGCTTCCTGAGTAGCTGAGATTACAGGTGCATGCCATCATGCCCAGCTACTTCTTGTATTTTTAATAGAGACGGGGTTTTACTATGTTGGCCAGGCTGGTCTCAAACTCCTGACCTCAAGTGATCCACCCGCCTTGGCCTTTCAAAGTGCTGGGATCATAGGCATGAGCCACTGTGCTCAGCCTGGCTTTATAGATTTTTACAGCTGTGGAGCCCCTCCTTTTTTTTTCTTCCCCAAATGAAGCAGCTTAAAGCTGAATAAATCAACGTCAAAAAGATCTGCCTTTGGTAGTTCATTTCTCTACTCTGCCAATTGTTCTTTTCTCTTCAGACATTTTATGTTTGAAAGTTTTCGTATTTGGCCTTAACCTAAAAGTTGAAGCTCTCAGGAAAGTTTAATGAAGACTTAACAAAAAAACAACAAGCTATATTTAAGTAATGTGATTGAAAGGGAAAAATCCTCACCTCCACCACCAGGTTCTTTTTTCAAAATTGTCTATTTTCGTACTTAACAGCTAAAGTGCTTTGAAGCGATGTGATCAGTCATACATGAATACATAACTCTTTATGCATAAAAAAAGTAAATAACAAAAATAGAATCGGATAAGAGAAAACATGTTCTGTATTTTTCTATCCTCTGATTTAATACGATACTGCCTTTTCAAAGTTCGTGAGGTCACTGCCTGAATTTTTCCCTTTTCTATTCCACAAGTGAAGTCACACTCAGCTCTGCTTTGTTTATTCTCATAAATTTGGGATGTCGAGGAGAGGGGGCTGGAATGATGAACTTCTAAGCAAGCTGGAGGGAGTATGGCAAGATGAGAACATGCTTTGGAAGGGTGTGTCTGTAGTCTTTGCCCTGCCATGAAATTGGAAGAGTATAGGGTTGGAATACAGAGCAGGGGTTTGGAGTTGTCCATACTTGGGTTAAAATCTGAGTCCTGTCGTGAACCTGGTGAAATGCTTGTGTGGGTTTCCCCTGCCTACTGGAATCTGTTTCTTTTGGTAAATGGAAATAGTATTTGCTTCCTAGGGTTCTTGTGAGCCTGGAATGAAATAGTCTATGTGAGGCACATAGGAAGACTTTGGTGTGTGGAAAGTCCTTAGTCACTGAAGTCTTGGGACTTCAGTACCGGAATTCAGTGACCACTATGCAGAAGGCTTACACTTTGAGATGATACAGGTGGAAGTCTTGGGTCATCTAAGGGAACAGGTAGGAAGCAGACAGGTCTTGTTCTTCAGGGGCTCTGTGAGGCAGAGTCTGGATCTTATTTACTAAAGCATGGAATCAGCCTTAACAAGGGATTGGTGACTGTCTTTTGGGGCACATGGAATAGGACTTAAAGAAGATTGGGGTAGGTGGGGCAGGAGATCAAGCTACGTAAGGGCAATAGGCATTGGGACATGGACCTTAATTAGGAAAGGAAAATTTTGGAAGGGCACAGTCTCTTGTGGCCATAGAATATCTTTCTACGGGAAGGCATTTACAGTTTGTCTTCATTTTTAGTTTTCTATTTTGAGGAAAATTTATGTTCTTTAAACTATCACAGAGTAAACAACACTGTATTTCATTGATTGAGAGTATACATTCTTGTGTCAGAATGCCTGGCTTCTGTTCAATTATATTCTAAGCATATGACCTTTAGTAAGTTACTTTATTTCTCTAAGCCAGTGGTTCTCGACTGGGGGTGATTTGGCTGATTTGGCCCTACGAGGGTATTTGGCAATGTCTACAGACAGTTTTTGGTTGTCACTTCTGGATATGGGGTATATTACTGGTATCAAGTGAATAGAGACCATGGATACTGCTAAATAGCCTATAGTACATGGAACATTTCCACCACAACAAAGGATTATCCAAAATGTTAGAGTGCCAATGTTGAGGTACATAGTTCTAAGCTGTACCTTCTTCTTTAAAAAGAGAATAACATACTTACCTTGTGGGTTTGTTGTAAGGGTTAAAAGAGATAAAGATTAAAAGTGTTAAGTGTATATCCTGGCTTTTAGTAAGTGTAAAGAACATTTTAGCAATTGTTATCAATGTTACTATTTTGACTTATTGTTGTTTATGTAGTAAATTTATGACTTATGTTTCATAAATGTAGCTGACAAGATTTTATAGGTGTATTAGATACATTTACATTTCACAAGGAAAATTTTTAGACGTACTTTTAATCATGCTTTGAAAGAGATTTTAAAGTTGTCTTGAAGGGTTAATATTGTGTGGCTTATATAAACACAGTATACTACGTTCTGAAACAAATTAGAAATCATAAGTTCCACATGCTATTGTATTTTACTAGTCCTGAAAAGCACAAAATCACAGGTCTTAAATGAAACACTTTGGTATTGTTGCACATTGTTACCTAGGAGGCAATAAAACAAAATATATTTACTGGGAAATGAAGTTCCATCCCTTACTTGTGGGGGTAGAGACAGTAAATTATAATAGTGATTTCAGTGAAAATTAGTAGGTACAAAGCAAATCACAATATAAATGGGAATAGATTCCTACTTAGTATACCCTGACAACACAAATATCCCTAGAAATTGATAAAAGTCCAGTGCTTCTGAAAGCATGGCTGAATGTGGAGTCACAGGCAAGTTCCTTCCTGCTGCGAGGTTCTGAATCGCGGAGCTCTGCCACCAGGGGACAGGGTCGTCCCCGTTGTCCTGCACTCTGGTATGTACATAAATGGAGGACTTTGTGTTGACTTTTCTACAATCAGTTCTTTAATCTTTCAGATGTGTTCCACCATTAGATCATAATCAAGAATTCTCAGAATTAGCACTGCAATTAAAGCATGTGAGAACCCGATGTGAGCAATATGGACTGTGAGATGTGCAATCATCCTTCTGCTGTCATACCAAATTCATAATCCTACATCTTTGATAATTTTGCCATGATTTTTTGGATAATTTTAGTAACTACAAGTGTGCTCTGTTGTTTGTAATAGTACTATCTTTACTGATCACCCCTACTCACTCATGACCCATTATCAAGAAAGTAGGTTAACCCTTAAGGTAATGCAAACAGTGCCTGTTTGCTGGGTAAACAGAAGCCCCATTCCTTCAGAGGACATAATGCTACTATTTGGGAATGAAGGTACTTAATAATAACAATATAATACTGGTGATGAGGATGATGATGGTGGTGCTGATGGTGGTGGTGGCCCATGAGCACAGTTATTGCTAACTTCATACTTTCACCTGTTTGCTTTACATCTGCTTTTCTTTCCTGCTGATTCATTCTATTGAGAAACATGTTCTGGGAGCATGATTTTGAGATCTGACAGATGAGATTCTGATGAAGCCATTGTAAAGCTTAAATCGCTTCCCATTTAGCATCATTATTTTGAATAGAAAGAAATGTTTCTTAAATTAGTCTCTTGTGTCGAAGATGAATCATGTTTAAAGGGTGCTTTTTGTCTTCAGATTCATAGGGTAGATGATCCCCCCTCTTTGATATCAGTGACTTACTTTTGCCACTGGCTTGGGTGGAACATTGTAGGAGCATAATTATACCAGAAGACTGTAAAAAGGCAATATATCACTAGCATTCAGAGCATGGATTTTGGGGTCTGAGAGATGTAAATTTAAATCCATTTTCCACCACTTAAACTTTGTGATTTTTCGGCCAGTTAAGCTTATTCTCAGGGTGGGGCTTACTAATGGTACCTAATTCAAAGGGTTGTGATAAGTAAATGAGACAATGCGTGTATGCTATATGGCCCAATTCTAGATATATATACTAGCTGTTAATATAATGCCTGCCCTCCCAATAAAAATTAATGGCCACAGAATGTCTTCCTTCATCATAATTAACTCTCTGCAAAACTTGGCCTCCCTCAGGCACTTATTCTGCTTGTGCGGGAGATTAATTCTTCAGGATCTCATTTATTGGAGGATTTGTTGGAATGGGGTCTGCAATAGGCGGAGGTGGGAGAATCTGTGTCTCATGCTTCAGGATGATCCTCAAGGCTGTGAAGGCAAAACTTGCAGGTCTGCATAAAGAGGCTAAAAGAAGAAATCCAACCCTTTTATCCTAAGATTCTAGGTGTCACCTACTACTGTTATTCTTTTGATCCCTGTATTTATCTTCTAGTAGGCTCTGCAATGCATAGATCTGTGGGCAGGGACCTTATGTTTCCACCATATATTTAAAAAGGGTAGGTGAGATTTGCAAAATGAAAGTCAGTCCATGTGGTTTGCATTAATAATACTACTGAGAGATTGAACAAATTGAAAGTACTTATTTTAAAAATAAGTCATACTGAATGTTTTGAGTTGAGTGTATTTTATTTATGGAGGTAAATTTTGACCTGACTCCACTCTCAGACTCTTCATTTCACTACAGGTTTACTGAGTGGAACTATGCAATTAGTAGTCAAGCACTGTGAGACATTAAACCAAAACCAAAACAAAAAATGAAATGTGGTTTCTGCCCTCAAGGAGCTAATGACATAATTGGAGAGATATAGGACCCAGACAGGTAATTTCAATATAAGTTATTTGACAAAGGTACAAAGTCATAGAGAATTTCAATATTAAGTTCTTGGATAAAGATGTAAAGATTTAGTTACATCTGCTTAGTTTGGGGGTTCAGAAAAGTCTTTCTGTAGATGACACCTGAGGCTTAAGGATGAGTAAGAAAAACAGCCAGATGTGGAAAGGTGGTATGGGTGTTTTATTTAGAAGGAATACTATGAGCAGATAGTTCATTTTTATCACCGCTTTTGTTATCTGAGTCCCAGTCCCTGCTCTGGCTTGAGTGAGGTTTGTATGCAAGAGAAGGGAAGGATTGCTATGCTGTGGGTATCCTTGTGGGTGAGGGGCAACTCCCTGCCTTAATTACCTTATCGTGAACTAGATTATCACTCCCCTAAGGGCTGCAAGCAAAAGACAGAAAACACCTAATAAAGACCTTTCTCTACTTGAGAACATGCAGTGTGGCCATTTGGGCTATGTGGACCACTTGTCTGTCAGAATGGCCCATTTCAAAGAAACCAGGAATCACTTTAAAATAAGAATCAGGGAAAATAAAGACTCCTACAACTTCCATAAAAGAGTAGAGATTGACAGTAAATGATGAGATGTGATCCCCCCTTTTTAAATTTTCTCAGCTTTTGTAAGGCTGGTATGATTTCTTTCTTACGTAATTGATAGAATGCATCAGTGAAACCATCTAGATCTGTCTGTCTTTGTAGGAAGATAGTATTGAAACAGTTCTCAAATGGTATCAGAATTACCAGCAAGGTCTGTTAAAACACAAATTGCTGTGACCCCCACCCCACCCACTCTAAAGTTCTGATTTGGTAGGTCCGAGTGAGAGCTGTGGATTTACATTTCAAAAAGTTTGCAGGTGTTGCTGATGCTGCCTTTCTGCTGGAGCTACATGTGGATAACCTCTGCCTTAATAGGTATAGGGATATTCAGAGTTTCTATTTCTTGTTGAGTCATTCTTGGTTAAGTTGTGGTTTTTCAAGGAATTTGTTCATTTCATCTAAGTAGTGAAACTCATTGACATAATGTTGCTTGCCATCTTTTTAATATCTGTAAGATCTGCAATATCTCTTTTTCATTCGGGACATTAGTAATTTGTGCCTTCTCTTATTTCTTGATCAAGCTTGCTACTTGTTTATTACTTTTATTAATGTTTTTAAAAATCTTCTGTCCTTGTTAACTTTTTCTGTTGATTGTGTTATGTTTTATTGTGCTCTGCTTTTTGTTTATTATTTCCTTTCTTCTACTTACTTTGGGTTTAATTTGCTCTTCATTTTCTAACTTCTTAAGGTGAAACGTAGGGCATTGATTTTAAACCTTCCATCTTTTCTAATATGAGCATTTAAGCTATACAACTCACTCTAAGCACTTTCTTTCTCTGTACATCCCTGTTGCCTCATCCATACCCCTATTGTTACCTAGTAAACCCGTAGGATGGATATGCTGGGGCAGGTGAATGAATGAATGAATGTAGCTGACCTGGTAGTTTAGATGGCTCTTCCTTCATCCTTGTTTCTTGCGTATGTGGTTCTCAGACAAAGGAATTCCATTTATAGGAGAAAAAGTCATTTCTGAAGTAAACAATTTGTGAATGGAGAAACCTGTGTTTAGAAAAAGTGTGGTACCTGTGAGGCTGGCCTGACACTTAAAGAGCATGATTCCACTGCTATGTTGGCTGAATTTTCTCTGAGCTTGCCCCACTCTGGTGTTTCCTTCACAGGCCAGGCTGTCCTTCTTGTTCATTATCCAAGGGGGTCAAGATGAAATTTCTCTCCCTTCAAGTCAGTTTTCACAATTGACCAGGCACGTTAAAGCTGAAACATGGGATTACCTTTCCTGTTTTCTCAGCAGCAGCTGGCATCCATTGCCATCAGAAGCAAGAGCTGCCCTCTGCTAATAGACTCTATACACTTGGACAGAGATGATTCATACTGCTAGGATTTCGAGCTCCTGGGTCTCTTGAGATGAAAACTCTCAGATGCATAGATTTTCTGGCTTTTGGCAACTCATTTAATGAGCAAATAATTCGGATGCTCTTTACCCCCGCAAGGAAATAGGGAATTCCCTGGGAAATTTAGTTTGGGACCCATCACTGTATAAATCATTTACAACAAACGTTGATCAGAAAATATAATTTCTTTATTCTCTTCCTTTTAAATTTATACCATTGGTATTGATTGCAAAACAAACAACAACCAAACAAACAAGCTAGGTGTAAGAGTTAAAGAAAGAGGAAAGAAACGTGAAAAGCAGCTCAATAGTCAAAGACAGGTTTATTTTGGAGAATAAACCTGAGAGGGGCTTCTGGCCAATTTGGTCAGGAGCACTCTCTCTTACAGACTAAGAGTATTTAGGGGTTCAGAGTGAGAGAGTTTATCACAGGCTCGGAATGTTTCTGTGTGGAGGAGAAGTTTATTGTGGGGTTGGAATGTCTCTGGTTGTAGGGGAGTTTATCTTGGGGCAGGCATGTCTCTGGTTGTGGAGGCGTTTGTCTTAGGGTTGGAATGCTTCTGGTTGGAGATGTCATTTGTAGTTTATGGTCATGCTGACATTAGCCATTAGGCTGATGTCCTTTGGGTTGGATTTCGGTGGCTTTTGATCAAGGGGAACTTTAAAATGTTGGTGCTTTTCCAAGAGGGCAATGCTCCTGCTCTGTCACTAGGCTGAGGAGAAACTAAACTTTGCCTTTAAATAATAGAGTATGATTGTAATAATAAAAATAGCCATAATATTACTTGAAGATGCATGATAATCATGTCCTTGGCACTGAGATAAATGCTTTACACACTTATTTAATTTTTATTAACTCCTCTGGGATAGGTGCTATAATATTATTGCCTCCATTTTATGGGTGAGAAAACTGAGTCTTAGATAATCATAAGTAACTTTCCAAGGTCAGGAAATGATGGGGCTTGGTTCAATTGAGGTCAATTTGACTTTTGGCCCCAATCTCTTAACTCTTATGCTACCTTGCCTCTGTATTTAACTTTGGAGGTATTGGGATATAGTGACAAAGGTGGGATTATGACTTAGTGTTTACATTAAAGTTCACATCAGTACTGTTTGGAGGTTTGGTTAATTCCTGTTTAGATTTTTTGTGCATTTGAAGCCAAGCATGACTGGGAGCTACCATGAACACACCTTGGGGAGAAAAGGAAAATAATTTTTGTAGAGAATGGGGACCTCAGTGAAAACTGTGCCAAGGAATAGGATCTCCAAATCGCTCAGCCTCTTTTTTCACTGCTAAGGGGAATCCATCCACCAGATTGGCATCTTTGTCCGAGGCACAAATCTGTGCAGCACAAATCAGCTTTTCTTCATTCTTGTGAGATTTATGGGATGTGGCTTCTGATTGAGCCATAATGGGTAGGGGGAGTGGGGGATGTGAGTAGGGGAGAGGGTAACCAGAAGCTCCAGCCCATCTGTTGGGCCACAAGAGGGCTTAATTTCTTCCTCATTTTGCTTTTAGAAGTTCATGAAGGAAACCTGTTTTTCCAGTTCTTTGCTCATGTTGTCTCTCTGCTCTTTCCAGTAAGGGGTTGATATCCAGGTGCTGTATGCTGGTTTGACTGTGACACACAGTAAAAAAATACACTTTACATTATGCGTGCAAACACACACACACACACACACACACACACACAGTCTCTCATCTTACTACCACTGATTAAGTCTAATTTTCCTATTCTATTTTATTAACATAAAATTGTTGGCTATAACCCAGTAAGCTGATTTTATTATCTACTGATAGAGAGCAGTCCATAATTTGAAAATTACTGATAATGGTTGGTGGGAGTAGAGTATCAGAGCATAAGCTATATCCTTTTGGGGATGAATTTAAATGTCCAGGTCTAATCTGGACATATATTAATGCATATAAGTACGTTAATAAATCAGGGTACTGTTTTTGTTTTCTGGAGATAACTCAATATCCTTCCAGGGGTCTTTGGGTTTTCCTCCAACCTGAATTAGAAGCAAGCCATGACAATTTCTCTCTTGGGTCTGTGGGTCAAGTCAAAGGAGGTAGCCAACAGAGAGAGAACCTGGTGGAGTTTCAAGGTGACAGTTCAGGGTCCCCTATTTGTCTCAGTGGTTCAGGGTGAAGATACAAGGTCAGGAAGCTGACTGTGCTCGGGAACCACTTCTTGAAAATCTGTATTCTTTAGAGTTTTGCAGTAGATAACAGCAATAATGGAAAACAGGTTTTTTTGTTTTTTGTTTTTTTGCCAAGGTACTGACTGAAGGAAGGACATTTATCCCCTTAATAACAAAGGGAATTGCGCTCCTTTGATGCTCAGAGTGGCATGAAATATATTCCATATACATTCTTCAACATGCTTTCCAGACTGTAAGTTCATTAAAACTACTGAATGAATTCCAGGGTGAGGAAGATTAAGCTGTAATTTACTATATTTCATGGCTCGCTTCTCCCTTTTCTTTGAGCCCATTCATCTGTGGATGAGTCACAAAGAGATAGCAAATGCACCACAGAGCATCACGCCTCTAGGACAGCTTTGGGAACTAACAATTGATTCTGCTAGGATGCCATCAAGAGAGAGTCTGCCCCTTCCCTTCTGCCTTGCCCTGCCTGGGGATTCAGCCCTCCTTTCATCCTGGGAAGGTCTTACTCCGTCAGCTGATCTCAGCTGAAGATTAGTTTTGAGAAGTCACCTTCTGAATTATTGTGTTGGTAAGAGAGCTTGTGATCTCCAGTTCATGGTCTGGTCTTTCCCCATCTCCAGCTCTCTGCTCACTTGTTAGTCTTTCCTTGTGTACCCGAGCTTTGCTGCTGCATTACTCACAGGAACCTTACAAACAGCACTTCTCAAAAAGTTTAATGTGATCATCTGGGGATGTTTTTAAAACGTGGATTCTGATCCCGCAGAGCTGGGATGGGGCCTGAGATTCTGCATGTCTAACGGTTACTGATGCCCTGGTTCTTGGCCATTCTTTGGGGAGGGAGGCTCCACAGGTTGGTGCATAGGTGTGGAGAGGGCACTGTCTGTGTGCACAGCCCTCATTTTCATAAGACCCGGCATGTGACCATAAGATGGTAGGTTTTTATCTATAATAATAGAAGCAGGAATCACGATTCCTTCTTGGTAGAGCTGATATTTTCTCTCTAGTCCAGTCACTTTTCTCTTTGCATTCATCTTGTATTTACATGTGCCTTTTGGGAATCAGTGTTCCTGTCAGTGGCTGTCTCCACACACTCGTAGCAGTGAACAGATGCCCTGTGAACTTGATTCTTGCCTCGGAGTTGTGAGGAGCAGGGTATGCCCCAGTGGCAGAGAGATGGGGACACTCTACGGGTGTGAGGAACTCACAGAATAGGAAGCCTGGCCTTGCTGTGAAGTCCCTGCTGGTCTGGGACACAGCCTGACAGTCAGGCAAGGGCAAGTAGGTTTGTTTTCCTCTTTAGAACATGAGGTCTCCACCTCCTCCTCCAAAATAACCTTTGAGGCAGCCTCTTCTCTCCAGGACCCCATGTGGGCTTTTCTGGCTTTTCTGCCCCATGTGGCATCCTGGGTTTCTAGAACACATGTGATTATAACAGAGTATGCCACCATGATCAACTTATGAGGAAGTATGTCTACTCTTTTGACTTTATTGTAGTTTTTGGCCCTAGAAGGAATCTTGGATGTCATCTTTTTCAGCCTCAGGTGAAGCAGAAGCTCAGATGGCAAAGGGTTGTGCACAAAGTCAGGTGGCCAAGCATCTAGTCTCTGACTACTGGGAAAGCAAATAACTCATTTTACAGCCTCCAGGAATTTCTCCCCCAAGCAGTACTTCTCCTGCGGTACAAACCTGTGGCCCCCTCTGACAACGTCTGGACACAGTCTCCTTGCCCCATCTCTTCCCACTTCCAGGCTCCCCACTGTGTAAATTTCCTAGAACCCTTGTGGTAGAGGGGCCTCTCCTACTTTCCATACCTCACATTCACATGTGTCCAGCCTCTGTTTCCTGCATCTTGCCAGTCTGTTGATTCTATTTATCCATCAAGGCCCTAGTCTAATTTGACTTCCTCCTTGAACGCAAGATCATCAGGCTGGTTGTAAGGAACCTTGGGTTCTGATCCCTGCCTATAATAAGCTATGCAACGTGGCCAAGATCTTTATACTTTTGTGCCTTCATTCCCTCATATGATCAAAAAAGGAACTGGCTGTTAACACTTCTGTGATTTCACAATACCCTGATTCCACCCTATTCTCTCCTTTCTCTGAAGGGTTGCCCTTGAAGCAGTGTAGAGGTGTCATCTAGACCTGGAGTTTAGATTCCAGCTCTGCTACTAATCAGTGTGTGGCTTTAAGCAAGTTACTTAATCTTTCTGGGGCTCCTTTTTCTCATTAGTAAAAGATAGGGTTGTTAGGGGGAATCAGTGTATAGTAAAATTATCTAACATTTTAAGCACCCAGGATAATTTTCAAAGAAAGGTAAAATTATACTCTCTTTTGGATATAAAATGAACATGTGTTAGAGATTTTATTTAACTCATTATTAATGAGGGAACTGGTAGGATGTTATGACTACCAATGATGTTCAAATGACAATCCAAAGAATAGCCACATTCATAGATTGGAATGTGCAAATGAAGGACAAAACACATTCCATAGTGGAGAAGGGAAGCTCACTGAATCTTCACGAGACAGAAAGTAATATTTGCATGTCAGTGGACAGGAATTGTTTCATGTTGTTATCAGTTATCCACAATTCATGTAGTTGTAAAATAGATCAAAGGCTCTATGGGATATGCCTCTTGTTGCAGAGGACAGTGACAAGAGAAACTTAGACCACTTGGTCACCTTTAAATATTTTTCTTGGTGGTTGTATATATCAAGGCAAATCTCCTGGTGAAGTCCAAAATGGAGTGGAGGAGCATAGTCCTTCCTTGAGGAGAGAAGGAGGTCTTTATTCACAGATAGTAATAGCATCTACCACAGTTTGCATTTAGTTTATAAATTTTTAATCAGGTTTATTATAAGTTTCTAAATAGGTTTATTATGAAGTTGACCAGAAAGTCCTTCCTAAGTTTTATGCCCTGCTTCAGGGGAAGATCAGAAAGTCCTTCCTGTACATGCTGTTTCTCAATTCCTTCAGCTTAAAATATTCAATATGCCCAGGTAACTTATTTTGGCGGTAATGTGTCTGAAACCCCATCAACATGTACGTAGAAGCCTACTGATGTCTTCAGTTTTTCATGAGAAGATTTTCAGCGATCTAATTTTTTAAAAAATAACCAATTCAAGAAAACACTTTCTCTGTATTCAAGGATATATCCACGTGTTCAAATATATTCATAGACATGGTGAGAGAAACTCCATTCTTAGGTAAGCATAAGCATGAGTTTGGTGGGTTTCAATATATTAAATTTTGATTTGGGATAAACACATTTGAGGGTGTGTACTATTGTTTTAAAATCATTCTTTTTCTCTAAGTAAAATCTGAATACATTTTCTTTATTAAAAAAATACTACTGAGAAGACCAAAGTGTCCAGTCTTCTTTGATTCCTCCTCTATCCCCACAACCAACTTATCCCAGGTTCCTCCTGAGAGATTATAGCTATTGTCACTTTGTGTGTGTGTGTGTGTGTGTGTGTGTGTGTGTGTGTGTGTGTGTGTTATAATATGCATTTTTCAGCAACTTGCTTTTTCACTCACCCGTAGCTTGGATATTTTTCTATGTCAGCTCATAGAAATGTACCTCTTTTTAAAAAGTTTACAGTATGGCTAAATCACGGTTAATTGGGATGTTCTCTTAATGATAGGCACTTAAGTTGTTTCGAGTTCTTTACTGTGATAAATAATGTTGCAGCAATATAAGAAGGCTCATTATTGTGTTTATTAAGGGACAGTCTTTAAAATGCACAAATGTATTGGCTAAACTCTGCTTTCTATCTCTTTCAGATGTATTGGTGCATGTAATCAATGTTCATTGCCTTGAAAATCCCTTTTACAACATTTACACAATTTTTTAAACCTAGGTTGCATTACCTGTTTGGGTGAAAGTCATTGAATGTGGGAATCCTGCTCTTAAACTCGATGCCTTGAGGTAATTTCTATGACCTGCTGTGATATTTTCCCCTCCCTTCTTTCTTTCCTCTCTGCCTTCTTTCCTCTCCTCCCACCCCTCACTACACTTACCTCCACTCTTGTTGCAGACCCTAGATGGCTTTGCACCTATTATTTCTTGATTTATTCTATCACAAAGATAAACTTTAGTTGAGAAATTCTTTGTTTTTCCAAACAGTGTGAAAAGGTTGATTCCGTAACTTGGCTATTGTGAATAGAGCTGCATTGAACATGGGAGTGCAGGTATTTCTTTGACAAGATGATTTCAAATCCTTTGGATAAATACTAGGAAGTAGGATTGCTGGATCATATGGTAGTTGTATTTTTAGTTTTTTGAGGAACCTCTGTATAGTTTTCCATAATGGCTGTACTGTACTAATTTACATTCCTGCCAACAATGTATAAGGATTTCCTTTTTTCTCCATCTGAGATGATATCTCATTGTGGTTTTATTTTGCATTTCCCTAATAATTAACAATGTGAATTTGTTTTTGCATGTATTTGTTGGTCACTTGTATGTCTTCATTGGAGAAATATCTATTTAGGTCCCTTGCCCATTTTTAAATTAGGCTTTTTGTTTTTTTGCTATTGAATTGTTTGAGCTCCTTATATATTTTGGATATTAATACCTTATCTGATGTATGGCTTGCAAATGTTTTCTCCAAGTCTGTAGATTGTCTCCGTACCTTGTTAATTGTTTCCACTTAGATGTGGAATCTAAAACAACGAAGCTCATAGAAGCAGATAATAGAATGGTGGCTACAGAGGCTGGGGGGAAGGGAAGGAATGGGGAATTGATGGTTAGAGGTTACAAAATCTCAGTTACACAGGAGGAATTTTTTTGAAATCGATTGCACAGTGTAGTGAATATAGTTAATAATATTGTACATTTCAAAATTGCTAAGAGGGTAAATTTCTAACGTTCTTACCACAAAAAAAATTAAGTATTTAAGGTGATGGATATGTTAACTAGCTTGATTTAATTATTCCACATTGTTTTCATAAATTATAACATCACTTTGTACCCCATAAATATATATAATTACAAATAGTCAATATGTAATAAAAATTAAGATAAAGAAATGGGAAGGATATATACTGGAAATAAATTAGTAATAATAATAATAACAATAAGAAACTGAAGTTGAGCTGGTTTTCACATTGGCATAGAGCTTAATCTTTCTTATGGTTTGCATAGATTGAAGGTGTGACTCAAGCACTGTTACTGCTGACTCTGGTGAACCTCCAGTAGTAGGAATAATGAAGCATATGAAGAGACTTTGTGTGTTTGAATGAATAAATACATATTTGAAAGGGAGAAGCTTGGGACCTGTTAGATTTACACTGGAAGTCTAGATCTGCTGTTCAATATGGTAACCACTAGCCACATGTGGCTCTTGAGCCCTTGGAATGTGGCTACCATGGTCACATGTTAAAATGATAAATAATTGAGTCTATTAGTTAAATACAATATGCTCTTAATTTCAGTTGTTTATTTTATAAAACATGACTACTTAGAAAATTTTAAATTATGTCTGCAATTCAGGGTGTCTTGCTGTTGGACAGCCCTGCTCTAGCTGTCAATCAGGAGGAAGACTGGCAGTGAGCCAGGATTGATTTTGCATCATCCTGTTTATTAGAGACATACTTAAGTTCTAATCCCACCTTTAGTACCTAAAGGTGATTAAGTCTGAATCCCAAGAAGACTTGCCTATGCTTTTTTTCTGATTGGTTTTTGAAGATTTAATATGATTTCAGTGTAAGGCTTGCTACATCAGATTTTTTTGTTGTTGTTGCTTTGGAAACATCAAATGAAGAATTTGAGGAAAATGGCAATCACTAGATTAGCCTAATAGACAGCAGATTTTTTTAAAAGTTTTTTTTTTTGCAGTCATTTGTAACGCAGCTCATAACAGTCAGGCTCATCTTGGTAGAGGATCAGAGTGGTGATTTTTGATTGATAAAAATTTCTTCCCATTAGTCTTTTTTTTTTTTTTTTTTTTTTTTTTTTTTTTTTTTTTACCATTTTTGATAGTTTTTTTTTTTTCTGCCTTTGCAAAGAAAATTGAAGCAGTGGCATTCCATTTGTGGTGAATTTGGAATCTTATGTTTTTCCATGTTGGTAAATTTAGCATTCTTCTAGAATGCTATAACTTGGTATCTATTTAAACACACATATAAGCACAAACAAACAGAAACCCACACAATACACCATTAAGTTTGCATGTCAACATATTTTTGATTTGACTTTTGTCAGTCTCTGAAGATTTTTGTTTTAATCAATAGGCTTTATTTTGTAGAGCAGTTTTAGGTTTACAGCAAAAGTGAGAGGAAGGTACAGATATTTTTCCATAATAACCCCCATCCCCACATGTGCAGCTTCCCCCACTGTCAGCATCGCCCACCAGGGTGGAGCATTTGTTACAATCAATGAACCTACATTGACAGATCATTCTCGCCCGAAGTTCAGAGTATGTATTATGATTCACTTTGGGTCATGTACATTCTACAGGTTTGGAAAAATTTATAATGAAATGTATCTATTATCGTTGTGTTATACAAAGCAATTTCACTGCCCTGAAAACTCTCTGTGCTCTGCCTATTCAACTTTTCCTCCTCCAAACCCCTGGCAATTACTAATCCTTTTACTGTCTCCATAGTGTTATACTTTCCAGAATGTCATATAGTTGGAATCATACAGCATATAGCCTTTTCAGATTTGGTTCTTCCACTCAGCAATATGTATTCATGTTTTCTCTATGTCTTTTCATAGCTTGATGTTCTCTTTTTTTTAATTTTTAGTGCTGGATTATTTTCCACTGTCTAGATGTACCACAGTTTGTTTAACCATTCACCTATAAAAGGACATCTTGGTTGCTTCCAAGTTTTGGCAATTATGAATAAAGCTGCCATTTTTTGTGGACCTGAGTTTTCATTTTATCTGAGTAAATTCCAAGGAATATATGATTCCCAGATCTGATGTTAAGAGTGTGTTTAGTTTTGAAGGAATCTGCCAAACTGTCTTTTAAAGTGGCTGTACCATTTTGCATTCCTACCAGCAATGAGGGAGAGTTCCTATTGCTCCACATCCTCTACAGCATTTGGTGTTGCCAGGGTTTTGTATTTTGGCCGTTGTAATAGGTGTGCAATGGTGAAGACTGTCTTAATATGGCCAAATCAGTGGTTCAGTTGGAATTCTCTTGTCTCAGCAGAATGGACCGAGGTATGTTCTTGATGTTCTGAGATCGACAGTGAATGTCTTCTGTGGTTGCTACTGAGGGATAAGAGAAGATGGCAGACCAGAGGATGGATTACCAGCATTTCATCTAAAACTATAAGCTGCAGCCAGCTTTGCCCCATGTGCCTATTGTGTAGGCTGTGGGGCTGGCAACCAAAGAAGTGGGAATGCTGAGTCTAAGCCAGAAAAAATTCAGTTCAGTCCAAACTCTAATTATCTTGGAGGCAGCCTTTGTTCCATTTGGTGGTTGATTCATTCCGAGCATGGTTTCTGAATTTTACTGGGGAGAGTGCACGCGTGTGTGTGTATGTGTGTATGTGTGTGCATGCACACGCTTGTGTGTGAGGTGTGGAAATATTGGTTACCTCAACAGGCAGCTTTTGTTTTCTGATAGCAGCTTGTGTAACCAGCTGTCAGGTAGAGGGGCCTCATTAGCAGAGCAGATTCCTGGGAAGGTCTTACAAGGAACAGACGCTGCCAGCACGTGGTTGGCCTGAAAAGGCACAGCTAGGTAGGTGCTCTGCTCCTCTTCCTTATGATCAAAGAGAGAAGATGCTCCCCTGTGAACAGAGAAGTGGAGCAGGGACACTATCTTCACTGTATGACCTCTGGCTGTATGTACAGATAGAGCACTCCATTCATGACATGGACGCTCAGTAAGTAATTATGGGCATGTCAGTTTGAGCCAGCCAGTAACTGATCTTAACATCCTCTCCCTGCTGTGGCAAAATCCTGACCATGGCAAACCTAGCTCTTCGTCTCATTTATGATGCTGGTAGGACTTGCTTGCTCAGAGCTGCTGCTCTCACTTTTTCTGGCACTGCCCACTCCTCCCAGCCTCCTCAGGTTTTCTGTCCAGTCTTGGAAACGTCAACCAGCCTTGCTGGGATCAGCTTCTCATGTTCCTGAGCAGTGTCCTTCAGCTGTTTAGCAATGTCTTCAAGCCCCAAATACATACATGCTCCTAATTATAGTCTGCATGCCCCACTGGTTTCTGCTAATCCCCCTACCCTCAACTCCCACTCCAGCTCGTCTCTACACCCATCTGGACCCTGGCCTTGGGTTTCAAGCTGTTACTTGTGTCTGACCTCTCTGTTGGACCTCTCGCTTGTACTGCCTTTTTGGAGCCTGCCAAACAAATTAATGTAAATTATATACACAAGGTAAATTTTACTCAGCCATAAAAGCCCAGTTTGAGATGGGGAAGCATCTTCTGAAAAGAGGATAACTCTACATGAGGATGATTCCAAGCTTGTGGCCCAGATTCTGCTCTGTGTGCTTTGACCCTGGGGGTCGGCATGAAGGGATTGTATTCTGGGAAATTTGCCTCTTCTGTCAGTGATTCTGGGACCATTTCCTGCTTTGCTGGTCATTGGCGTGCTTGAGTGTTCCATTTTAAGCCCCCCGAGTAGATACCCTCATTGGGCTGGTACTTGAAGACATCACTTTTCCAGTGTTCTTTTACCATCTGTCCAGGTCATTACAGTTCCCTAAAATGAGGAAAGGTAGTGGGGTTATATTCCCTGAGGGAAGAGGAATCTGCAGTTGCCTTGGGAAGGAGACAGGAATGAGAGAGCTTGGGTGTTAAATTGTTCAAAACATGGTTGTTGATAAAATGCTACAACATTTCAGCCCTGTGGCCAAACTGTATGTGGGATTCTGAGCTTCCGAGAGCTCACAGAACTGTGTGTCAGTGGTTCAGTGATTCAACTTAGGCCTACCTAGGCAGATGGGCCTAGATGAAAAGAGCTCTGATTTTGTGTTTAATCTTTGCTCTCTCTTAGTTGTTGAAGGAGGAGAAAATAATTTCACCAAGATGTGAGGTTATGCAATAAGAAAGAGTAAGAGAGTGAGGAATTAAGAATATAATGATGATTTTATTTTTCTTTTTTCTTTTTTTTTTGCTTATTGGAAGAGAATGAATACTTCTTGAGTCCCAGGCTCTTACTAAAATGAGCTCTCTTATACATACACACACACACACACACACATATGTATATTGAGAAATCTACATATCTGTATATACCTTTAATTTTCACAATTGCCTTATAATGTTGATTTTAATGTCCTTATTGTAAAAAGGTATATTGAAAACTTCAGACATTTTATAAATTTCCCCCCAAATCAGGTTTTCATCAATTTTAGATTGACCAGGGATGGTTATACACCTTCCTCCCTGTTTCCTCCCTTCTTTTCTTTGGACAGTGTTTATTTTGGACCTTACTATCACTCAGCTTTATGTTAGATATTGTTCAACTCAGGAGAGAGAAACCTCATGACACATCCTGATATAAATTGACTACATATATTTTAAAGTTTTTATTTTGAAATAATGATAGATGCATAGAGGCTCACAAAGAAATGTATGGGGAAATGCCATGTATTCACCTTCCAGCTCCCTCAGGGTTCACATCTTACTTGATTATGGTACAATCTCAAAACCAAGGAATTAACATTGATATTATCCATAGAGCTTTTTCAGATTTCCCCAGTTGTGCACACATCATTTGCATTTGTGACAATTTTGTCACATGTGTAGCCCTGTGTAATTACCTCCACAATCAACAGCCTCTCTACTGTGCCATCATGGTAACACTTCTATTTTATGGCCACACCCATCCCCTCTCCTCCATCCCTAAGCCTTGACAACTGTTACTCTGTTCTTTATCTCTATAATTTTGTAATTTCACAGATGTTTTTTAAATGGAATCATATGGCATGTATTCTTTAAAGACTGGCTTTTTTTTTTCTCACGCAGCATAAACTGTAGATACCAGTATTCTGATCCTTTTTAATGCTAAATAGTCATCCACGGTACGGATGTGCCAAAATTTTGTCTTACGATTCATGCCCTGAAGGATGTTTGGGGAGTTTCCAATTTGAGGCTGTTAATAAGGCTGCTATGAACATTTGTGTACAAGTTCCTGTGTTAAAAAGAGATTAAGTTCTCGTGATGTATGTCTTAAAATTCATTTGCGCTTAAGTATGAAAAAAAGTCATCAGATTGTAGAGGGAGTTTGACAGCTATAGAGAGAAAACCCAATTAGAACTTAGTAACAGTGGCTAAGGTTGTTTTTCAGCAAGTATGATCTTTAACCAACATCATGGGTCATAAGAGATTTCAACCATTGCAAGCTGTATGTTAAAGCCTTCACTAATCCCACTGGCTTTTATACTGATTTTGTTCTATCCGTCTTATTCTAGAGTTAACGTTTCTGCCAGGACCAGTTGTGTAGCAGTATGTCCTATTTCTTAGTTCTTTAAAGGCAATAACTCAGCCATAAAAGCCAGCAGGAGAGTACTTCACTGACAAATTGGTTGGCCAGTCTTGTGTATGTGCATTAAATCGTTGGGAGCAAATAGGAAAGAGGAAGAGTGGGAGCAAAGCCTCTTCCGGTTTGCTTTTAAATGTTAAAAAAAAAAAAAAGAAATAGAAGGTAAAGAAAGCAAAATTACACTGGATGGATTATTGTGTTGGTAATAGGAAAGTAACAAACTATTTTATATTGATTTCCCATATCCCTGGGATTAAAATAAAGTGACATGCAAACACTGTGAAATAATTAAAATTCTGTCGTTAATTTTTTTTTTCAAGTAGATCTAATTTGATGGCAGAAGGCTTTCCCAGGAGGTCCTTTTCAGAGATAGAGGTGTAATTTGCAATAGGAATAATTATAGAAACAACATTCATATTCTGCTTTATCTTTAAAGTTCCAGGCCTAAGTTAATTTGTTTGTTTATTCATTTGTTTGTTCATTTATTCATTCATTCAAATGATATTCTGAATAATTATTAATATTTCTGCTTATAAGCCTAGATACTAAAGGGGCCCGATACCACCTTCTGTGCTCCCCTTAAACCACTTCATTCCCCATCACCCCATGATTTTCCACATTCATGACTTCTCCTTGGGACACTTATCCCCTCTGATCACTTGTCTGAAATCTACCTGTTCTTCAAATCCCACCTCAAGTCTTACCTCCTCTGTTGACTTGCTTCTGATTTCTCCTAGCTAGAAATTTCATACCTCTCTTCGGATTTCCTCCAACATTGTGTCTGTGGCCCTTTAATACTTTCTACTTTATATTGTAGTTATTTATGTCCATTTAACATTCTTGCTACTCTGTTGTTAATTTCCTTAGTAGTGGATTCATGTTTGATTCCTTTTAGTGTTTATTTGTTCTCTCCTTCCCTCCCTTCTTTTCTTTTTTCCTTCCTCTCACTTTCTTCCTTTCCTCCCTCTGTTCATTTTTTTCTCTCATTAAATATATGCTGAACACCTACTATATACCAAACACTGTAATAGGGGCTTTGAGTAGAAAGAATTAAGAGCCATTGTAGGTTCCTAAGGCAACCTAATTATGTACTTAAGTTAAACATGAGGAATTAAAAAAAATTCCTGATTGTTAGATTGAGATACTAAGAACATCCTAAGACAGAAGGTATTGGATATTCCTCTTTTAGAGGAATTTTACAAAAATTTTAGAGAAATTTTAAGTGAAAGGCAACTATTTTTTTTCTTGAGAGAGGAGCATGTAAATGTAGAGTTCCTAAATGGCAATAGGACTCACTTCAGTTTCAGATCCAGGATTCTGTGAACCTAAGGAAAATTATTGTGTTCCAAGGAAAATTATTGTCTACCTGTGGATAGACATCAACTAGATGTCAGCTGATGATATAAACTGAAAATGCTAGAGGGAGATGTGACTGGAATTCAAATAATGTATTGAAATAATTTTTATTGGTACACAAAATTCTTCAGCCAAGGAATACAGCTCTGAATTATAAAAAAACTATTTTAAAAGGCAAGTGGAACTACAGAATAAGTATTTCGTTTGTTTTTACTTCCTGTGTGGGTATCTAATTTTGTAAATTGTTCTATGACTGAGGAGTTTGATAAATGATAAACAAGAATGCCATCCTCTAACTCTTCTCTACCTTTCTCTCTTCTCAGAAAGTTATTGTGGAAAGAACATACTCAAAGCTAGGAACATCCACTAAGTGTAATTTGTTTAGAGAGGGGTCAGTGAAGTGGGGTTTGTAGATAAAAGTTTACAAAGCTGTCAGAAGTTCAATGCCCTGGATTTTAGGGAATAAATGTAGAGTCTGCAAGAGTTCATTTCCACACAACAAAATCTTTGGGAAACATCAAGGCATCTGCAACTATGGATGTGGGAAAATCCAGGCAGAAAGGGCTCAGAGATCACAGGAGCTCGGCAGTCTTTAGTGGCCAGCTTCACTGGGGATAGAACCACTATCAGGAGGGGCAAACCAGTTCTATGGATGGCCCCAGTACGGCTGGATCACACTCAAATTAGAAAGGAGACAGACGAGTGACCTGGGGAGCTCTTTCTAAAAGTCACTTATGTAGCTACCTCATATGCTAGCACTGTGGCATTTCTCTCCTGTGTCTTGTTTGTTTCTGTAGCAAAGCATCTGGCAGCAGAGAAATATGGCTGCCCCAACTATGTCACAGGTCAAAAGAGTGTTACCAGACTGAGGGTCTAGAAATTTCTGCAATGCAAAACATGGCTTTGAATTTCATGTTCCTGGCAATCACAATGAAAACAAATACTATATGATCCTCATGTTGTTGGGAAGATTTTGATTTGCTCCCCAGAGTAAAATTTAGATTTGTGTAAAATTTTTTTGACACTGACTGAACTCTTTTGGGCCTTGTTTGAATACAGTTTATCTCATTGTGCAACTTACCAGGATTTGAGGCTCTAGTGTGCTTTTCAGAAAAATGTAACTGCAATTTTACACTAAATGTTTTTACTCCCTAAAAATAAGTATCTGTGTTTTCTTTCTGTTTTGATTGTCAAGTAGCTGTGTTTCTTATGTATGAAATTTGGTTTAAGTGGCCAACTTTGAAAGAACATTATGAAACTTTGGTATTTTTCAGGTCCTTGTGTCGCTTTGTGTGCTTATTATTTCAGAAAAAAATAAATTTAGAATTTATAAAATTAATTTCCCTTAAAAAAATTTTTTTTTCTCACCAAAAAGGAGAAAAAATATGAAGAATTTCTATATGTCTATTTTTGGTCCCTTGACCAACCAGAGTTTTTTAGGGCAGGGGATTTGTTGACTTCTTCATATCCCAGTGCCCAGGAAAGTCCTTGACATATAGCCTTTCCTCAATATTCTTGGAACAAATGCTTATTGAAGGTGCACAAAAGGGTTAGGATGTCCTGAGGCCAAGAATGAAAAACCACTTTCTTCAGTGTTTATCCTGGGGCCCACCAAGCTGACCACTGAAGGTAGAAGAGAGACCACTTGAGAGCCTGAGGGATCCCGGCATGGGCTCTCCATGGCCTGAGTTTCCCATGTTCCATAGGGTCTGCCCTGTTCCTCTTTATTCCCTTCTCTGACACCTCAGCTACCCTCAGAGCTTCATCTCATCTCTGCAGACTCTTAATTCTCAAAGCTACATCCTCCAGCTTGCTCTTTTCCCTGAACTTCAGACCTATATATCCACCCTTAGAAGTTTCATAGACACTTCAATTTAGTAAATCCAAATGGAATGTATTTAAAACTTTTTATTCCAGGTTTGCTGCTCTTGTATGTTCCCTACTTCAGTGAAGGGCACCATCATCCAGTTGCTAATGCCACAAACCCGGGAGTCACCCTTCCCTCCCCTTGTTTCCCTATCCTATATACAGTCAATCACAAAGTTGTGTCCGTTCAACATGTAAAATAGTTCTTGAATCTAGCTGCCTCCCTACACCCACACCATTAATAGCATGGTTCAAACTATCATTTCTTTCCCAGTGGCCTCTTAATTTAGGTATTTGCTTCCATTTGTATTTCCTTCAAGTCATATGTAGCTGTACTGAAGCCAGAATAATCTTTCTAAAACATGAATGTTATCAGGTAATTTTTCAGTTTAATGGTTCTGCATTGTTTTCAAACTAAAGTCTGAGCTCGCTAGCATGGTATGCCTGGCCTTTATAAGGAAACTCACTTGCCTTTCCTCACCACAGTGAACACTGTGTGCACCAACCATATTGTATGTGTTTTAACTTCTCAAACAATATGTGCACCTCCAGTCCCTTGCACATTCCTTCTGCCCAGAACACAATTGATTCCTTCTTTCAGCACATTTTCTCACTAACTCTAATCATGTTTTAGTTCTTTACTTACACATTGCTGCTTCCAGGATGTTTCTCTTACCACGCAGCCTTGTGCTTCCAGGGACCTTGGACTTTGTCATGTTTGCTTTTTTTTTTTTTTTTTTTTTAAAACAACATAATGTGTCTTGTGGTGCCCCTCTACTCAAGGATAAACTTGACTAGGGTTTGATTACCTTTGGGCCCCTTACCTAGCACTATGCCTGGTTTATCATAGGTACTGAATAAGGAGTTAATGTATCAGTCAGGGCATGGGGTGGGGGTGTGAATATAGCAACATGACTGTATCCTCCATGGTACAGTAGGAGATCTTTTCAAGCTGTTGTTCTACTACCACTATAAACTGCTGGCTCTTCAAAGGGCATTCTTAGGAAATAAAGCTCAGAGTTGTCAAGGGATTAGAAAAACATTTTTTAAGCATCTTAATGAGATACAATTCAATACTATAAAAGTCACCCATTTAAAGCATACAGTTCAGTGTTTCATATATTCAGAATTGTGCAACCATTCTCAAAGTTTAAGTTTAAAATATTTTTATCACTCAAAAGAGAAATCCTGTACTTATTAGTACTCATTCCCTATTTTCCCCTCCTACTCTCCCATAACTCTACACAACCACTAATCTACTGTCTGTCTGTGTAGATTCACCTATTCTGGACATTTCATATAAATGGGACAATACAATTTCTGATCTTTTGCGTTTGGCTTCTTTCACTTAGAAAGATTTCAAGATTCATCCATGTTGTAGTACATATCAGTTCTTTACTCCTTTTTACCACCAAATAATATTCCATTCTGTGAGTTTGCCAGACTTTACCCATTTATCAATTGATGGACATTGTGGTTGTTTCCATATTTTGGTTATTATGAATAATGTTGCTGTGAACATTCTTATGTAAGTTTTTGGGTAGACGTATGTTTTTAGTTTTCATTTCTCTTGAGTATATCCTTAAGTGTGAAATTACTGGGTCATGTGGTAACTCTGTTTAACATTTTGAGGTGCTGCCAAGTCATTTTTCAAAGCAGCTGCACCATACATATTACATTCCCATCAATAGTGTATGAGGGTTCCAATTTCTCAGCATAATCACCAACGCTTGTTATTATCTGTTTTTGGATTATTGCCATCCTAGATGATGTGAAGTTGTATCTCATTGTGTTTTTCTTTTTTTTTTAGACAGGGTCTCACTTTGTCACCCAGGGTGGAATCTGGAATGCAGTGGTGGAATCTTGGTTTACTGCAACCTCCACTTCCCGGGCTCAAGCAATCCTCCTACCTCAGCCTCCCAAGTAGCAGGGACCACAGGCATGCACCACCATACCCAGCTAATTTTTCTTATTTTTTGTAGAGACAGGGTTTCACCATGTTGCCCAGGCTGGTTTCAAACTCTTGGACTCAAGCAATCCACCATCCTCAGCCTCCCAAAGTGCTGGGATTACAGGTGTGAGCTACCATGCCTGGTCTCATTGTGGTTTTGATTTGTATTTCCTTCAGGGGTAATGATGTTGAGCATCTTTTCACATGCTTATTAACCATTTGTGTATTTTCCTTGAAGGAATGTCTATTCAGATCCTTTATTCATTTTTTATTTGGGTTGTTTGTCGTTTTAATAATTTTTAGGAGTTCTTTATGTATTCTAGATACTAGTCCCTCATTAAATATAGGGATTGCAAATGTTATCTCCCATTCTGTGTGCTTTTTCTTTTTACTTTCTTGATGGTATCATTTAAAGCACAAAATGTTTTAATTTTGATATAGACCCGTTTATCAAGTTTTTCTTTTGTGGCTTGTGCTTTTGGTGTCATATCTAAGAAACTAATGCCTAATCTAAGGTCATGTAGATTTATTCTTATGCTTTCTTCTAAGAGTTTTATAGTTTTAACTCTTACATTTAGATCTATGATCCATTTTGAGTTTATTTTTGCATATGATGTAAAGTTGTGATCCAGCTTCATTCTTTTGTGTACAGATGTTCGCTTGTCCCAGCCAGTACCATTTCTTGAAAAGACCATTATTTTCTCATTGAATTATCTTGGCACTCTTGTCAATGTCAAGGCATTTTTGTCATAATTATTCTCATAATTATTGTTTGCCATATGAGTAACACAGGTTAACAAATAATGATTAGCTTTATTGAGTCTCAGTTAGGTGTTAGGCACCATTCTAGAAGATCTCCATTTAGCATTCCCAGTAACTATGAAATAAGTACTGCTATTATCCTCATTTTTCTCTTAAGGATGAAGAGGCATGGAAAGATTAACTTGGCAAAGGTCATACAGGTAGTAAATGTTGGACGCAGGCTTCGAACTCAGGCAACCTGACTATAGAATCTCTGTTTTTAGACATCATGCTGTGCCTGACTGTGTCTTGTTTATAGGAGGAGGAAAATTTTAAAACAGCCCAAATTCTGTTATCCAGAGAAGTATTGTCAAAATTTTCATGTATAGCTTTCCAAACTTTGTTCTGTACAAAAAATGTTATAATAATGGGATTAGACTACATATACATTCTTGATTTTATTCACTTTATTGATGTATCATTACTAACTTTCCTTCCTTCTATATCTAAAGCATTATTCTTAATGGCTACATAATATTCTACCTCATGTCTGCACCATTACTGATTTAACCATTCCACTGTTATTGGGCAGTCAGGTTGCTTCTGAGTTTTTCATTTATAAACAATGTTCTGATGTATGTATCTTTGCACATACTTCTATTTATATTCTTTCCATTGTTTTCTTTAAGATAAGAAAAAATTCCTCTAGAAGAAATGTAAAGAGTATGGAAAAACATTTAAAGTTTTTAATGCATTTTGAAAAATTGTTCTCTAGGAAGTTTCTACTTATTTACAATTAATGTTTTATAATTGATAGGTTACTCTGATACTGATTCAGGGTAGGCAAGCTCCCACTGGGGCTTAGCTGGGAAGGTTCTTGGCTTTGCCAAGGAAAAAATTCAAGGGTGAGCCTTTGAATTCTTTCCTTCTCTAATAAAGAAAACAGCTTTATTAAAGCGGCAGTGTTATAGGTCTGGCAGTGTTATAGGTCCAGCAGTGTTATGGCTCCGTGACTTCTCCTGCAGAGCAGGGCTACCCCATAGGGAGTATGCTGAGAAGTAGCAGCTCAGGACAGTTCTGTAGTCATATTTATTCCCACCTTTAACTATATACAAATTAAGGAGCAGTCTGCAGAAATTCCTAGAGAAAGGGTGGTAACTTCTGGGTGTTGCCATAACAATAGTAAACTGACATGGCATACTGATGGGTGTCTTATGGAAAGCCGTTTCCGCCTTGTCCCTATTTTAGCTAGTCCTCAATTTGGTCCAGTGTCTGAGCCCTGCCTCTGGAGTCTAGTCCTGCCTCTTATCACTTTAGTGTGAATCTCATTGATTCTCAGTGAGATTGAACATGTATCAATGATTATTATAATCTTTCTTGTGTGAATTACCTATTCATATTTTTACCCATATTTCCATGAAAAAGCTCCTTGTATACTAAAATATTAACCATGTATCTTTTTTTTGGTGTTTTCCTCTAGTTTGTCATTTTTCTTTAAAATTTTTGGGAATTTTTTGATGTATAGAAGATTTAAATTTCCAAGTGGCAAAATTTATCAGCAAAAAATATACATCTTTTTCTTTATGGCATCTTTGTGTTTGAAAATCAAAGGTCAAAAAATTGTTTCTAGCTCTTGTCTTCCATGAGCTAGACGTTGGTGGTGGGTGGGGTGGGGGGCAGGCAGAAATATGAGGAATCATATAAATTGTCCTTTTTATTTCCGCTGCATGTTTTATCTTAAACATTGATTACTTGTAGTCCCTTAACTGACAGGGAAATAAAGCATCAGCTTAACCATTTGGCGTTAACAATGTCAGTAGTGAGGCCACCTGGGGTGGAGAATTAGTGTCTCCTCCCAGTTGTATGGTTTTCAGCAATATTTTCCTCCCTGTGGTTTTTTTTTTTTAAACTCATTTGAATTTGCTCCTAGCATGAATACATGATATATTAGTCCATTTTCATACTGCTGTAAAGAACTTCCTGAGACTGGGTAATTTATAAAGGGAAGAGGTTTAATTGACTGACAGTTCAGCATGACTGGAGAGGCTTCAGGAAACTTACAATCATGGTGGAAGGTGACAGGGAAGTAAGGCAGGAAGGAGGGCAAGGCAGGAAGGCAGGGCAGCAGGAAGGAGAAGTGCCAAACAAAGTGGGAAGAGCCCTTTGTGAAACCATCAGATCTTGTGAGAACTGAGAACATGAGAACAGCATGGGGGAAACTGCCCCCATGATTCAATTACCTCCACCTGGTCTCTCCCTTGACACGTGAAGATTATGGGGATAATGGGATTATAAATCAAGATGAGATTTGGGTGGGGGCACAAAGCCTAACCATATCACATACAAATGACTTAATGTGTATGAGATCATAGGGACTTTTGTAGCACCATTGGTTAGAAAAATCACACATTATCCAATTAGCGTTAAAAAGACATGGATGAAACTGGAAGCCATCATTCTCAGCCAACTGACACAGGAACAGAAAACCAAACACTGCATGTTCTCACTCATAAGTGGGAGTTGAACAATGAGAACACATGGACACAGGGAGGGGAACAACACATACTGGGGCCTGTCGGAAGGTGGAGGGCAAGGGGAGGGAGAGCCCCTAATGCATGCGGGGCTGAAAACCTAGATGACAGGTTGATAGGTGCGGCAAACCACCATGGCACATGTATACCTGTGTAACAAACCTGCATGTTCTGCACATGTATCCCAGAACTTAAAATAAATAAAAAAAAAGACATATATTTCTTCAAGACACAGTAAATAAAAGTTCTTGAGAGTGTATGCTTCTACACAAACTAGATTTGTGGGCGTTAAAACAATGTTACTTTTTCAGAAACTACTGCTGTGATAGGGTGATCTTTTGAATCACATTGTACCAGAATTTTTTTTTTTGACGTTATAGCTTTTAAATGTTTTCAGACTATCTTCTTACTGACTTGACATTTAATACCTTTGGCATGTGAGTTTTCCTTATTTCGTTTTCCAGAGTCTCAGGAAAATACTTGTGTGTCTTGCCTGTTTACCAATTATTGCAGTGCATTGCACTTTTTTCTGGGTCTGGTCTTTCAGCTACATATTGTGAAGGTGCTATCCCGACCAGTCTCTTTGCATAACCCCACAGGGCCACCCACGTGGTCTATGGGACAGGGATAACTCATTAGGGCTTTCTTTGTCTTCTTTCTTGAGGGTCTAAGCTAAGCAGCACATATGTAAAAGAGCTTTAAGTTGAAATTCTTTTGAGAGGTGTGTGTATTTTTTAAAACTGGAAATGCAGTTTTACCAACTGCAGTTGAGGAAGGCCCACATGTAAAAAGTAAAGTAGAGGTTCCTCTTCAAAGAGACTTTCCTCCCATCTAATTAAGAATAAATAATAACTTCTCTTAGAAGCAAAATGTATTCAAAGACCTGTGCTAACATTCTTAGGTATCTGCTAGCCACAATAAATAAATCAATGTACTTTGTGTCCTTAGCTCCCACAATTTAGCCAAAATATTTGCCCTGGCGTGCTTATACCAGTCCAAGCAAGCATTAGGTCATAGCCTGTTCCTTTCCTTATTTGGAGATGTTTTTACCTTTCTCAGCATTCCACAAGTTACTTCGTCCTTCCTTTATTCTCCTCTGCCTTTGCCTCTTTTAAAAAGTTCTAAGTTGCTAGCCAATCAGGACAAATACAGAATGTGAGGTCCCATTCCAGCCAATGGAAACCAGACACAGCAGTAGGGTGGATGTGTCAAGTTATAAATAACCCTGTCTCCTTTCTTCAGTGTATTCTTGTGGCAAAACTGCTGGCAAGTGTACCTTTCTGCAGAAAGTAAAAATGGCCTTGCTGAGAAAATTTATGTTCAAGTACTATTTCTTTATGGCACCAGGGAACAAGCATTTCAAACACACGTGCATAAGGAGTGTTATTTTGCTGGTACTTCATTATTGTCTAAACTGTTTGTGTTTCTAGTAGGGGAGATCATGACTCATATTTGAAAATTTGATTTTAGATAATTAAAAAACTTACTTTTGAGTTTCTTCCAGTGCACTCTTTACCTTATCAGAGCTCGTGTATATTAACACTATCTGAAACACTGAATGAGAAAGTGGGGAAGACTCAGCTTTTCAGGTTCTAAAAATATGAGTTGTACATCTTGGCTTTCAAATTTGCTTTTACAGGACATTAGAAACTAAGAACAAGGGACTTTATTGTTGTTATGATTAATAGCTACAGTTGATTATCTTTTATTTTCAGGGATTGAATTAGTTATCAGTTGATATCCACAATAATCCTGTGAAATGTATGTTATGAATGATCATTTTACAGCTGGAAAATGAGAGGCTCAAAGATAACTTGCTTAAGATAACAAAGTTAGAGGTAGAGCCAGGACTTGAAATAGTAGGTCATTTGACTGTGGAATGCATATTTTAAAATCAGCTTTATTGATTACATATACAATAAATAGCACATATTTAAAGTGTATAATAAGTTTTGACATATGCATACACCAAAGCAATCACTATATTCAGGATAAAGATCATATCCATCACTTCCAAAATTTTCCTCATGACCCTTTTTAATGCCTCCCTCTCCCCCATATGCCTATCCCCAGGCAACGAATTATCTGCTTTCCAGCACTGTCAATTATTTTGCATTTTCTAGAATTTTACATACACAGATTCTGATATGGGTTTGGATGTTTGTCCCTTCCAAATCTCATGTTGAAATGTAATCCCTAGTGTTGGAGGTGGGGCCTGGTGGGAGGTGGTTGGGTCATGAGGGTGGATCCCTCATGAATGGCCTAGTTCCTACATCCACTTGGTGATGAGTGAGTTCTCACTCAGTGAGTTCACATATGATTGGGTTGTTTAAAACAGTCTGGTATCTCCACCCCTGACTCTGGCTCCCACTCTTGCCACCACGTGATACAATGACTTCTTCCTTCACCTTCTGCCATGATTGTAAACTTCCTCACTAGAGGCCCTCACTAGAGGCCAAGCCAGTGTTGGTGTCATGCTTCCTGTACAGCCTGCAGAACCATGAGCCAGCTAAACCTCTTTTCTTTAGGAATTACCTAGCCTCAGGTATTTCTTTATAGTTATGTGAAATTAACATTCATATAGTGTGCTCTTTTGCAGCTTACTTCTTTCACTTAGTTTGACTACTTTGACAGTCATCCATGTTGTTGCATATATCAATGGTTCATTCCTTATATTGTGGAATACTAGTTCATTATATGGCTTATATATCACAATATTCTAATTTATTCACTGTTGGCTGGCATTTGGGTTGTTTTCAGTTTGGGGCTGTTATGAATATAGTTGCTAAGAACATTCATATGCAAGATTTTGTATGGATATAGGCTTTCTCTTCTCTAGAAGAGATACCTAAAAGTGGAATGGCTACATCATATAGTAGCTGCATGTTTAATGGTTTAAGAAACTGTCAAACTTTTTTCCAAAGTTGTACCATTTTACATTCCCATCAGCAGGATATGAGAGTTCTAGTCGCTCCATATCCTTGTCAACACTTGGCACAATCAGCCTTTTTAATTTTAGCCATTCTAATAGAGAAAAGTTTCTCATTGTGACTTAATAATTGTATTTCTGCAACATCTAATGATGTTGAGGGTATTTCCATGTGCTTACTTATTACCTTTTTATCTTCTTTGGTCAAATATCTGTTTAAATCCTTTGCTCATTTAAAATTTGTTAATTTGGCTGGGTGTGGTGGCTCATGCCTGTAATCCCAGCACTTTGGGAGGCTGAGGTGGGTGGATCACGAGGTCAGGAGATCGAGACCATCCTGGCTAACACGGCAAAACCCTGTCTCTACTAAAAATACAAAAAATTAGCCAGGCATAGTGGTGGGCACCTGTAGTCCCAGCTACTTGGGAGGCTGAGGCAGGAGAATGGCGTGAACCCGGGAGGTGGAACTTGCAGTGAACTGAGATTGCACCACTGCACTCCAGCCTGGGCAACAGAGCGAGACTTCTTCTCAAAAAAAAAAAAAATTGTTAATTTATTTAAAACTGAATTTTAAGTCTTTGTATATTTCAGATACAAGTCCTTTATCAGATTTGTGATTTGAAAATATTTTCTTGTGGTCTGTGGCTTGTTTCTTATTTTCTTAACCCTGTCTTTTGAAGAGTATAACATTCTTAATTTTAATAAAGTCCAGCTTATTAGTTTCTTTTTTTGTATGGATTGTGCTTTTGATGTCTGTTATGGGTTAATTGTGTCCACCTAAAAAAGATGTTGGCATCCTAACCCCTTGTTCTGCAGAATGTAACCTTATTTGAAGATGGAGTCTTTACAGAGGTAACCAAATTAAAATGAAGTCATTATGATGGGCTCTAATCCAATATGACTGGTGTCCTTATAAAAAGGAGGAATTTAGACACAAGTGCAGAGGGAAGACTGATGTGAAGACCCAGGGAAAAGAGAGCCATCTCCAAGCCAAGGAGAGAGGCCTGGAACACGTCCTTCCTTCACTGCCCTCAGAAGGAACTAACCTTGCTGACACCTTGATTTTGGACTTCTAGCCTCCATAATTGTAAGACAATAAATTTCTGATTTTATAGTGACCTGGTTTGTGATACTTTTCTATGGCAGACATTGCACACTAATGTAGTGTCACAGAGATTTTCTCCTACATTTTCTTTTGGAACTTTTATAGTTTTAGGATTTCCATTTAGGTCTATGATTCATTTTGAGTTGATTTTTTTATGTGGTGGCAAGTATGGTTTGAAACTCAATATGGAAATTTACACATGGAAATCCGGTAGTTTCAGCCTCATTTGTTGAAAAGATTATCTTTCTCCATTGAATTGCTATTTTACCTCTGTTAAAAATTAGTTTTCTATTCATGTGTGTATGTTTCAAGACCCTCTATTCTGCTCCATTGACCTATTTGTCTATCTTGATGCTAATACCAATCTGCCTTCTTTACTTTAGCTTTATAATAAGACTTCATATCAGATTGTTTTAGTTCCCCTTTGTTCTTTTTAAAAATTGATTTGGCTATTTTAGGCCTTTGGCATTTCCATATGAATTTTAGAATCAGTTTGTCAGTTGTTATAGCTGGATTGTACTGAATCATAGATAGATTTGAGGAGATAATATCTTAACAATATCACGTCTTCTGACCTATAAACATAGGTGTATCTCAACATTATTTTAGATGTTGTTTAGTTTCAGCGATGTTTTGTAGTTTTCATTATACAGGTCTTGACAATCTCTTGTTAGATTTATTAGCATTTCAGATTTTTTATATGACTATAGATGGTATTTTTAAATTTCAACTTCTGATTGTTCATTTATAGTATCCAGAAATATAGTTGAGTTTTATATAATGATCTCATATCCTAAAGGCTTATTAAACTGATTGATCAGTTCTAATAGCTTTTTGGCAGATTCCATGAGGTTTTCTACATAAAATGTCATGTTGTTTGTAAATAAAGACAGTTTTACTTCTTCTTTTCCAGTCTGCATACGTTTTCTTTCTTTTCATTGCCTTAATGCACTGGATGCAACCTTCATAATAATGTTGAATATTAGCAGTAAGAGGAGACATCCTTGTCTCATTGCTGATCTTATAAGGAAAGCATTCAGTCTTTTACCTTTAAGTATGATGTTGATCAGGTTGGCACCTTTTCTCTGAAAAGTACAAGGTAGTAAATTTTTGGCTTGAGGACCACAGGGTCTCCATTATAACTACTCACTCAGATGTTGTAGTACAAAAGCAGCCATGTCTTTCTCATATGCATGCGTTCATCCTTACTTAGCTGGATACTCAAGTGGGATTCTTTGCAGATCTCTCTATTTAGCTCTCTTTATGTAGCTCTTTTTTTCTCTGGTATGCTGTCCTGTGAATTCTAACTTCCTTGGTCTTCCTGGAACCCCAACTCCATCTCCTGACTCAGAGAGTTCACTGGGCTCCACCTGGGTTACTTGTGTTGGACTGAGCCCTGGAAACCTTCCCAAGGCAGTAAGCTATGGCAACCACAGGGCTCCCTGTCTTTGTTTCGCATATCTCCAATGCAAACCTTCATTGCCTGTTCCTTGTGGCCTGATGTCCAGTGTTTTGAAAGCCATTGTTTTATGTATTTGTATGTTTTTAGATTGTTTCTTATGGGAGGATAAATCTAGTCACTGATTCTTCATTTTGGGCAGAATCTGCCATATTTTCCCCCATAATCTTGCATTATTCTGTATCTTGGTTAAGAGTCTAGTCATCATTATCTAACTTGGAGGAATCTATAGCCTTTTTTTTGTCTTATGATATCAAAATATTTTTGAACCCTTCATTTGGACCTTTAATATCTATTGATTTACACGTAAGGTAAACAAACTTTTGTAACTTAATCAATACATTTCAATATGCTTGTATTTGATAAAACATGGTAGCATCTATTTGATGCTGAAACATGGCAAAGCATATGTTGTTATATAGTCATGTCTTTTTTTTTCAGTTCACTAACAGTGCAGATGTGCGTATGAATTCACAAACTCCTTTGCAATAATCGCTGAGGTTCCCCAGATGTTCTTGCAGCCCAGGCTGGAAATCACTAGCCTATAGGATTTTTATGTGTGACATATTGACTGGAGGTGTCCTTCAGTTCATGGTTAATTTGAACCAGATTTTCATGTGTCTTCAAGTTGGTGACCTATGAAATAGTGTTGTGGTTTAAATCCCTGAACCCAGTAGTAGGGACCAAGGTGGACCTGGCAGGTGCACTTGTACTCGAGTGTAGTTCATCAGAGACTGGACCTCGAGTTCCTTTGTCTACCCAAGGAAGACATGTGTGGAAAGGATCCTTAATGGAACGTGCCTAACCTAGAAACCTTGATGAACAGTGAAGGTCAAGCCTAGAAGTAGCATCAAGTCAACAAATTCAGAGGATGCAAGCTGTGATGAAAATGGGAGGCAGTCAAGAGGCAGAAACTAGGTGGACATGGAATAAAATACCAGTGGTTTGGAAGCTAAGCCAGTGAGGTAGTGGCATGGGGCTTGATGCAAATGCCACTAGATCATCCATAGCTGCTTTTATATCTGGCATGTAGCTCATGGGTAGATTGGGTCTGAATAGCCACAGGGTTATAGAAGACAGCTGTATAGGAGTTTTTGCTGTAAGTATTCATTGAAGGAATGGTGGAAAACAATACCAAAAACCATGCTTGAATTGATATCTGGATATTTTGTTTGTAGATAAACATTTTTACCACTTATCTTAAAAGTTCTCTGAAATGCTTTGTTCTAAAATTCCTATTATATTAGCTTCTACTCCCCATGATAGTCTTTCTAGAGAGAATGTCTCAAAAAATAATAGATCTGACCATTCAGTCAACAAACACTTTTTGAATCCCTGCCCTGTGCCACGTACTGTTTTAGGTATTGAGGGTGCACAAATGAAAAATAAACAAATCAATGATTTATTTGAGTTTCCATGCTGGTAGAATGAGGCATAAGATAAAGAAAATAAAAAGGTAAAATACGTGGAATGACTAGTTGTGCTCAATGCTATGGAGAACAATAAGGCTAATTGGGACTAGTGACAGTGGTAGTGGCATTGGTGGTATTTGTGTGCAAATAAATATAGTGTGGACAGAAAAGGCAAAGACCTGAAGTGGCTGAACATTATATCTATTGTCAGCTATCTTGATGATTTGTCTCATAATAAGCCTCCATGATATTTTAAAAAATAATAATTCAAGCCACCTTTTACACATGTGATTCCTTCTCGTGGCCTCCTTTGCTCATATTCCTGATCCCAGCCACAAGAGCAGGATTGTAAAACTGATCTGATTTACAATATCTTAAAAGTCAGTGGGCTGAAGCTTTGCTAGAAAAAAAGTAGAGCTAGGAGGCCAGTGTGGTAGACGTGCTGAGGTGGCTCTTTGGGGGAAAAGAGTTAGTGCGACATTTTTGAGGGTCCAGCTTATTTTTTAGGACACATGGCCTATGTACAGACAGTGGTACTGAACAGAAAATGGCAAGCAATGGACTCTGACACAGCCAGATAAATTTGTCTTTAAGATCTATTTGGGTCCTAATAGAGTTAGTTAAACTAATTTGATAAAAAATAGGTTGCTGATGGAATTCCAAATTTCATACTCACTTATTTAGTCATGGTGCATGTACTTAAATGTCATAAAAATTAAGATAAATCTTGGAAGACATAGGACTATGATTACACCAAAGAGCATCACAGAAAGTGAATGTAACGGGGGAGGTAGGGAGTCCTCTACCACTGAAGTATTGATATGCCAGATGCTGGGCTTTTGGTACTTTTGTCTTGCTTAAGAGCACTGTAGCTGGAGGGTGGCAGAGCCAAGATTTAGACCTGCCTTGGGTGACTCCATAGATGGAGCACTTTGCATCATGGCACTCTTCTTTTTTACTGTCTTTGGTGGCTTCATGGGCCACAATTTCTCTCTGTTTTTCACCTTTGTTGGCCATAAGTGCAGCTCTTTGCCAGCATCAACCACGTTTCTTCCATACCCAGCTTGCCTGTTTATGGAATTTCATCACGGTTTTGTTTCCTGCTGTGCCTATGAGTAGAAGAAAAACATTCCAACATTGAGCTCTTATCCTTCTAAGGGAAATGGCATCACTGCATCTTGTACTGCTAGTACCAGCTGTAAGTGATGGGCCTGGCAATGGAGCCCTCCTTGGACACAGGGCCTCTGACCCAGTTCTACTGGTGGTGTCTGAAGGATCTGACACCCAAACCATGGCTTATTTCCCCTGTGAACATTCACCACTGTAGAAACATTTCGTTCCTGTAAAAAGACATCTTATATCCTCTACCCCTGTATTGTATAGTGTGGGGGAGGATTTTCTATTTTAAGATAAATAAGACAATTTTTTTTCAAATTGATCAGCCAATGCCAGAGAACATTAATTCTTTTGGAGAGCATTGTTCCTATAAAGTGAAACTACTCCACCAAATTAACATGCCAAAAAAACAAGAGGAGAGCTGTTTCAGGCAAAGAAGTAGAAATCAATTACCTGAAAAAATTTCAACGGTATTTATTTTAGGTGATTTTATTTCCAGATTAAACAAATAAAACTCCTGTGTCTTTTCTTACCTGTTTGACTTTTCAGTCAGAACTAATGGAACCAAGAAAGGAACAATAGACTTATTATTGATCTGCAAAAAGAAAAGGCCCCTAAAGAAAGGCAATAATGACATTTTAAAGAAGTGACTCTTGAAAAAAATATTTTTCATGAATACTTTAAGATATCTTTTATAGTACTGGAAAAATTTGATTTAAGTCTGGCTTGAACATGTAAGTGTGTCTGTAAGTAACAGTACGTGCAGAAAAAAAAGGTAGCAAATGCAGATTCTGAATCTGTACAAAACCTGTTTAAAATGCGCACATCCAAAAATGCCAAATTAGCAGTAGACCAGAAACAACCCCCAGGACTGTGGATGTATGCTTAGTGTTGAAGTGTCTATTCTAGTTCTACTCTTCAAACACACCAGCCATTTGGGTGTGGTTCCTTCTAGTGTGATTGGAGGAACCCCTTCTTTTATACTAATATACACTCATACACCCCTTCTTTTACACAGTTAAAATTCTGGATCTGGTGAGGTTTGTGTGATTTCTCAGATCACAATTCTTTTTTTTTTTTTTTTTTTTTTTTTTGAAATGGAGTCTCGCTCTGTCGCCCAGGCTGGAGTGCAGTGGTGCGATCTCGGCTCACTGCAAGCTCCGCCTCCTGGGTTCACACCATTCTCCTGCCTCAGCCTCCTGAGTAGCTGGGACTACAGGCACCCACCACAACACCCAGCTAATTTTTTGTATTTTTAGTAGAGACAGGATTTCACCGTGTTAGCCAGGATGGTCTCGATCTCCTGACATCATGATCTGCCTGCCTCGGCCTCCCAAAATGCTGGGATTACTGGCATGAACCACCGCACCCGGCCAGAATCTCAATATTTTTATCCAGTTGTGAATGTGAAATGAGATGATGTGAGTGGGCACTTGATAAAAAGGGGCCATTCATGGAGTAATGATGAGAGTTCATGGCCAGGGGTTTTGATCAATTCAGTCTAATTCTACGGACCTGAAGTTCAATGTTTTAAAGGTGCTCTATAACCAATAAAGTGCTATGGATCAGTAAAACATTGGTGACGGTGCTAGGTTGTAGGATATGCACTTTGAGTCCAAGGAGGCAATGTTTTATCCATTTCATCCTCCATAGGAGCTAGCACCAATATGAACACATAATATGTATCAAATAAATTACCTCATGGAAATCAGAAGAGACCTCAGTTTTCTCTAACAATCTAGATTTCTTCACAAGTGGCTCTTCAAATATGTTAAAAAGTGTATTCTGTTCTCAATAATTTAGTATTAAGGAAAATGTACCTAATATGTGTACTTGAACTATTTCTGTGGTATGTGATAGAAAATCCATCTTAAATTATTATAAGAAATAAAAGCACAATTTATTAACAAAGGAATTGGAGAATCTGAGAGCATATTGGATTTAGGTTTGGGTTGATCTGGGAGCTCAGATGAAGGCATAGAGACCAGGTGTCTTACTCCATCTTCCTACATCCCTGCTCTAAAGAGGCTCTGCTCTCTGCCAGGCTTATCTGTTGCAGCTAGGCCTCACAAGACCCCAGGTTCAAATCCAGCAGGAAAAAAAGTCTCTAGTAACTCTTGCACAACCCCCAGGACTCACTTGGACTAGCGGAGCTTGGGACAGATGCTTATCCCTTAACAGTTCCTGAAGAGTATTCTACTGCCAGAGGAAAGGAGGAGTGGACGCCAGGTGGCCTGTATGCAGTAAGAGTCCACTCCATCTATGGACCCCTTGGTTACCTTTTCCAGGCCTTTGTAGCTCACTCCTCCTCAGGTAAAATTTAGAGAAGTGATATTATTTTTAATAAGATCACGAGAGGTCCAAATAGTCTAATTTGTTATATTGGTTTTTTTTTCAGGTTTTTTGGGGGCCATTTTGTGTTCATAGGCAGTAAAACAACAGAGGTTTTCCCCAGGTATCTAAACTGCACCCAAAAGTCTGACAAGATCTTTCTAGTGATCTTGGGATGCAGGGATTTGGGTGCCAGGAACTGAGTTCGAGTCCTCATTACCTGTCTTGGCTGTGGCTTTGTGGCAAACTGATCAATATGGCTTCCACAGAGCTCCACATGAACACGTACAGAGCAGCCACGTTACATTCCATACAGTGGGAAGTCTTCACAGATGCCCCTTTCTCATCATTCACATTTCACCTTGTTAGAAAGGTCTTCCTCACTCTTCTTAATAAAACATTGTTATCTGAAATTAGTTGTTTATTTGTTTTTTGTCTACTCTCACTAACTCCATATGAGTATTAAACCCCATAAGAGTAAAAATGTTTTTCTATCTTCTTTCCTTCAGTAGCCACAGCATCTGAAACAGTGTGTGACATATGGTAGGCACTCATTACACAGTTCCTAGAACATGAATGAATGGCTTCTAAAACCATTTTTCTACAGTCTCTGTAGAGGCAGTAGGTACAAACTGTGTTTTGTAAATGAGGTTGGATTGAATGACTACCATAGCTGAATCCAGTCATAGCTATGTTGTTATAATGGATGGGCCATGCAATGTAATGAAGTAATTAACTCCCTAAGTTTGTACTTTATCCAAAAGACATATTACTGGCTTTAGGTGAGGAATGAGTCTGGCTTCCATGATGGATGGAACTTATATTTAAAGACAATAAGCATTGTACTATACAGTGTTTTATCTTGAACCACACAGTTGCATCTGAGGACAAATGTGATTGCACTATACAGAAACAGAATAAGGTTTGTGATTAATGCACTCTTGGAGCTCACAATCTCACCATCTATTCGCAGAGATATTGAAGTAGTAGTTACTTCACTCACAGAATTCTATCATAGTTCCTGGAAATGAGCTAGAGTTTCCCTTGTCAATTCCTTTATGGGTGCTCCATTGCCCTAATCTGTGAGAAAAAGAACTGATTCCAGCAAGTGAACTCATTAAAGGGAGTCTACATTTCCTTATTCCAGAGAGAAGCTGTTGATTGGATCTCTGAGTAGCTCTGTCGTAGGCTGGGCTCCTTGATGAATTGAATTCATTTACTCAAATGTGCAGGCTTAAACTTTGCAGAAATGAAATTGAATGACCATCAAGAGAAGCTATAGTGCTGATGGTTTAGTATATTAGTAGACCTCAGAGCATAAGTTAGCTTTATTTATAGATACTACTTTTGTGGTGAACTATCTAAAAGGATATCAAGAAAAAGAAACTGAATTTCAATTTTCAGAATATTGCTTGTAGTTATCACTCTGTTAGTCCAAATGATTTAAACTTTTTCATTCCATGTTGACATTTTAAACAAACACATATGAGCACTTTCCAGGTACTAAGAACCTGTTTTGGTTTCAGGAAATACCCAGTTCAAAGGAAGAGGGACAGATCTGTACACCAGTGATTTTAATATATATTATAAATAGTATGATAGAAATCTGTGCAAAATTTCATAAGAGGTGGCACATAATTCTTATTGGGATGGGGGTGGTGTGTGTGTGTTGTGTTTATTCTCTGGCTATGGTTTTTGTTTAATAATACTGGAAACAAAAACCACACAACTAACATTTGTTAAGTGCTTTTTATGTCAGGCGCTGTTCTAATTACTTTTTCACCTATACTCTCATTTAATCCCCGAAGTGGACTCTGTGGATCACAGGTACCTGGATCACCCCATTTTCACAGATGAGGAAACTGAGGCTCAAAGAGGATCAATAACTTGCCCAAGGTCATGTGGAGGAGACTACCTTCAACTAGGTGATATCTTGTCAGCCATCAGCCCGCCAGCTCCATGGTGCCTCCTGCTTTGGCTGGGTAGCAGGACTCTCCTGCGTGTGCTCCCTGTAGATATTTATGAATGTGTTTCTTTTTTTTACTCGCTTCATGTTTGTAATCCATGAACATGTGTGTGTGCCTCTAGGGTGACTTCATTAGTGTCAGGGGAGAAACTTACATACATATGTGTACAATGAAATAGTGTTGTTGACCTGTTTTAGAAAGCTCACATCTTAGTAGTTCCCACTGCAGTTTTTACTGGGGTCTCTCTTAGTCTTCAGCACTAAGTCAGATCTATTGCGGTTTTTTGTTGTTTTGAGACAGAGTCTTGCTCTGTCACCCAGGCTGGAGTGTAGTGGCACGATCTCAGCTCACTGCAACCTCCACCTCCTGGGTTCAAGTGATTCTCCTGCCTCAGCTTCCTGAGTAGCTGGGATTACAGGAACCTGCCACAACGCTCAGCTAATTTTTGTATTTTAGTAGAGGTGGGGTTTTGCTGTGTTGGCCAGACTGGTCTCAAACTCCTGACCTCAAGCAATCCACCTGCCTTGGCCTCCCAAAGTGCTGGGATTACAGGTGTGCCCAGCCAGACCTATTGTGTTTTAATGCTTGCTGATGGGAAGTTCTGCCTTGGAGCCTTGGGATTTTGATTTTGATTGAGCTCCTCCCCTAATTTTTTTTTTACTTTTTTACATGACACCTTTTTCGTCATCTGCAAAATGGAGATAAGGATGCATTTACTCCCTCAATGATGGGGTCGCTGGTCAGGTCATTCATTCCTGTGGGTGTTGGTTTAGTAAGTCTGCAGTGATGAACTCCTTTATGGGAGCTGGTGTGTACGCTGTTACTCCAGGGCCAGCCCTGATGGGAGTTGTGCTCATGGAGCTCACAGCCTCACAGGGAAGATCTCATGCACATAAATAACCGTAATACATGATAATAATACAAATAATAACAGGAGCCATAGGCAGCTGCCACTTATCAGTAGCTTGCTATGTATCAGAAATACGTACTTTTATTTAGGCATCAGAATCAACTCCTGATATGGGATCTTTTGTTTATTTTTAAAACTCACTTAAAAAACAGCTTTTAAAATAGTATACATGCATAGTAAAAACTTAAGGCATACAAAAGTGCAGTAAGTGAAAAGTTGGTATTTTTTCCACTGTAGATTTCTCAGTCCTATTCTCCAAAGAAAAATCACCATAAACATTTTCTTCTGTATTCTTTAAGAATGCTTATTCACATGCTGGCATATATGCCTATCCATTCTTTTACAGAGTGTGATTGTATTATGTACAATTCTATGCCTTGTTTTTTCACTTGGTGTTTTTGCTGTCTCCACCCTCCCCATACATACACACACACACACACACACACACGTATACACACACAGGCACATGTATACAAACGTGGAGAGATCAATCTCGACCTTTTTATTTTTGATAGCAAATAGTAGTCCTTTTCAGGGATGAGTTTAAAAAATTATGTCCTGTGAAAATATTCTGTAAAAGCAAAAATATATTCAAAAAAGTAAATATATTCCATATGAAATGGTGTGGGGGCTGTATTGGAGCTTGAACTAAATGGCATCAGAAAAGGGCTCTGGTTCCAGGGTACCAGACATCCCCGGCAGAGAATGGAGGCTGGAGGTGGTAATGGGCAAGGCTGGGGATATGAAGAGTCCCATGGGACATGAGCGTGTCCAGGGCTCATCTTGGGCACCTGCCCCATGATGAAAGCTCCGATTTCCACTCCTCTGGCTGTGTTTGAGCTGGTGAGAGGGTTCTGCGATGTTTGTGAGTAGCTCAGGAACTGAGTGAAGCAGAAACAGATAATGAGGGGTGTGGCTGCCATCATGGGCTCAGGTCTCCCATACCACTCTCCTGCCTCTTCTGTGATTTCTCCCTTTGCTCCACGCCTATGCCTTCTACCCCACCAGCCTTTCCTGGTGAAATCCTGTTCTTCTTTCCAAACCTTCCCCCAACCATCTTGTTTCCCTCTTATAGCATCAGGAATATAGCAGTGATAGGAGCCTACTTGTCTTGAGTTCTCACTATGCGCCAGATGCCACCAACCATTCTGAGCTCGTTGCATGAATTTACTCATTTAATCCTTACCCCACCTTTTAAGAGACTGTTATCACCATTTTACAGATGAGGAAATCTGAGGCACAGAAAGGCTCCCCCCTTTCCTGAGCGGTGAAGCCCAGTTTACATTAGTACAGTCTAGTTATACTGCCGGACGTCACCATAACTGCTGTCATTTAATCCTCACAGTGACCGTGAGGTAGGTGTGGGTATCTCCCTTTTCACAGATGAGAACATGGGAGCTCAGAGGGGCTGAGCAGCTTGCCAAATTTGTGCCATAGGTAGTGGCAGAACTGTTTTTGTAATCTGATTCTCTCAACTCTCCCCCTAACTCCCTGCCTCTGCATGGAAATCTGTATTAGGAGCACTTGTGCCTGTTCTTCCCACCACTCCTGGGGTCTCCTTTTCTCCCCCAGCAACAGCCATGCTCAGCTGTTGAACTCAGTAAATAATTGCTGAATGATTAATCTCTCTCATGACTGCTCTGTGTGTGAGGGTTCCTTAATTACCAAAACTTTAAGGCATGTCTCATTGTAAATGTTTTGAAATTGTATATGGTAAAGTGTAAAAACATGTGGTGTGTTAATGTTGATATCTCACCTTGAGTTCATCTGTCTCTTGCCTAAAGGTGTTTTTATATCCATGTAGAGTGCCTTTTACTCTATGGCTCCTGATCTGCCATGCAATCAACAGATTTAATAATTTATCAATGTCATATGAGGCTTATCTTGAAGCTGAGTGTGAAGTGGCTTCAGGGTCAGAGAGCTGGGTCTTGCAGATTCCTGGTGCTTTTTCCAGGCTCTGTTGGGCTCTACTGAGCATGGTTTTGCACAGTTCCCCTGCCCTTACCCTGGCTGTGGGACCCTGGGATAGGTGTTTGAACGGAGTTGTAATAGTGTGTGTCAGTTATGTTGGATCATTTTCCCAAGTGTAATTTGAGCGTGTGCAACCTGTGATATGTTCTTATGAAAAGCACATTTGCATATTAATGTATCTGCATTTTGATTCTAAGCCCTTTACTTCCATAGGACTGTGCCCTGAATTTATGCTTAGGTCTGAGAATGTCTGTGAGTTCTAGAGGGGCTGTGCCTGTGTCTGATATGACTCTGCCCCCAACTGTCCCCTCCCCACATGCCTAGCACAGTGCCCGGTACACAGTGAGCAAGCCAGAAGTACTGAATGAATGAGTGGTTGTGTCTTCAGGAAGATGAGTAAGGGTCGGCATAGGAAAGAGTTTCTGAAAATGTTCCAAGTATATCAGTTCTTCTGTTACTGAGCCCCAAATTTCCTTCATGTTTCAGTACTTGCAAATGATCTGAGGTTTTTCTGGCAGCCCAGTCTTTAGGAGGTGACACAGCAACCTCAGCTGTGACCTGCTTGGTTGCAGTGGATTTTGCATAGAGAGTAGCTGTAATTAAACTGTTGATTTGGCTTAATGCTGTTGATTTGCTTTCATCATTTGAGAAAATGTGCAGATATTATAAAACTTGCCAGGGGCTGGGATTTGGCTGTGGAAATAAATTTTGGTTAATTATTTAGCTAAAGAACTTTTAGTATTAGAATTTTTGTGTTAATGAAATTGTTAGTTATGTTCAAATCATGATGTATATGATGACTAAATTACCATAATTTTTCTTCTAATGGTCATTTTCTGCTTCTGTCCCTTTAACTGTGTTATAGACCATATACCTGATTATGAAGGATTATTTAGTTTAACAGTTCTTTTATGGATCACTAATATAAACTTATAGTTGTACCTAGATGTGTACAAGTATAGTTGACAATGATCATTCGGTATATTACCTTTGGTTTCCTTTGCAGGAATTAATTGACATAATAAATGCACAGAGGCCTACCATAGAGTCATACATATGGTAAAAGATTGGTATGTATTTACTAATGCATCCAATAATGCATGCATTCATTTTTCCATCTGGTGACAATGCTATTAAAAATAAGACGTTTCTGGCTGGGTGTGGTGGCTCACACTTGTAATCCCAGCACTTTGGGAGGCCAAGGCGGGAGAATCACGAGGTCAGGAGATCGAGACCATCCTGGCTAACATGGTGAAACCCTGTCTCTACTAAAAATACAAAAAATTAGCTGGGCATAGTGGCAGGCACCTGTAGTCCCAGCTACTCGGGAGGCTGAGACAGGAGAATGGTGTGAACACAGGAGGCAGAGATTGCAGTGAGCCAAGATTGCGCCACTGCATTCCAGCCTGGGCAACAGAGTGAGACTCCGTCTCAAAAAAATAAATAAATAAATAAATAAAAATAAAATAAAATAAAATAAAAATAAGATGTTTCTAACAGCCACATAGAGGCATTTTACTTTTTGGTAGTTTTTAAAGTAAGGGACATTTATTCTCATATATTCCAAGTTCAAATTATGCTCCCGTGCTCTATGATGCAGAGTTTTGGAATCCCAATTCATCGTTGTCTAAGCATTTGAGAGGGTCACATGTACGTTTTCTTTGAGACAAAGAAATGGCTTTATCTACAATCATGCCTTCAGCCAACCCTCTCTGTGTAGGTGGGATGGTCCACTATCTGGGTGAAACACTCAAATAATGGTAATCCCACTGCTTGACAATGGGTGTCTCAAATATCAAGTTATCTTTGATGAGCAACAGACAGCATCTACCTTTTAGGTACTTACCAGATAGCTGAGTCTTGACACCCCTTCAGCAACTCCCTCATTGTGTTGACACCATTGTCAGTATAAGAGACAGGCCAGCTACCATCCCCCCAGGTTCTCCAAGCTCTATTGTTGCCTCTAACTGGCAATTTATTCAGACCATTGTAGTATCTACGCTTTCTGTGGAAATGCTTCAAGGGCATTAGGGCTCTGATTTTTGTTCTGTCCACAAAAAGACCTGAATCCAACCATTGTGAGTGGGGGTGAGGGATGGGAGTGGAACCAACATTTCTTAAGCATCTACTAGCCAGATACTGTGTAAGATCCTTTACCTGTGCCATCTCATTTAATCCTCATGATAACCTTGAGAGGTGTGTACCATCACCTCCATTTTAGAGGTAAGAAATTAAAAGCTTGAGGTGCTTAAGTAATTTGTCCAATGTTGTAGTTCCTAATCTGAACCCAGTCCTGTCTACTAAAAAGCCCATATCCAAAACTTCTGTACTAACTTGCTTCATGAAGCACTGTTTGTTGTTATTTAATGTTTTGTCAATATTTGCCCACCTATTAGTCTATCTGTATATTTCTATGCAATAAATTTTTCCTAAAATTCAGTCCAGAGAGACCTATCTTTCTGTGCACTGATAATGTTCCTTTTTCTTTGATGGTGAGGACTATGTCACTTCTCATTATTCTCTTTTTGCTTGACTGCAGAGCCAGATTGAGTGCTCAATTGCAGTAATTCTCATCTCTGATATCTGGTACTATCACCTCCCTCTTTCTTTTTAGAATTTCTTATTGCTGTCTTTTCTCTTTTTTAAACTACTTCTTGAGTTTTCAAATATTTCTTAAAATAAGGTATAAATTATAAAATCACTATAACATTTTTCAAACAGTTAAACAGATTTTTCATGTTGGATGTCAGTTTTACAATGTGCAGCAGCAGAGAGATGTTGGATCCATTTAAGCAATAGTTTCTATGTCCTGTCCTTCCATTCACAGGTGTGTACAGACACTTACATGTGCACACACACAGACATTAGTAGGACAAGCCCCTTGAGGCTCCCAGCCCATGGCTTCCATGTGTCTGTCTTGTGTGACCTTAGTCTCACTGACTTTATTCTATAATCGCCTCATCAGACCAACCAATCCTTGTAATTAATAGGTCACCCATCCAAAAGACACTTTCCCTTTTGCCTCTCTAGTTTCCTCTTATGAAAGCAGTTTTAAGAGAGGCATTTTTCTGAGTGTGTAAAGACTTTATATCAGAGCTGCTGCCTTGAAATTTAGTTTTGAAGATCATTGTGGGTGATCTTTATTAAGTCTTTCAGGCCTGTAAGTTACTGTTCTAGCTTGGGGCTGGGCTGGAGGGGTATGGGCGGGGTGGGAAAACTTTGCTCCATCCAGGGATGCAAAGTCCATAGAGTAATCACGATGTTTCTTCCTCGTGTGCCCCTCCAAGCTCTGTTGCAAGGGAGACCTATGTTGCCAGCTTCTCTCTCTCTCAACTTGGTTTTTACACCCAGTGAATGCATGGAAGTGTGTGTGTGTGTGTGTGTGTGTGTGTGTGTGTGTGTGTCCGGAAGCGTAAAGAGACAGATGGTTCTGAAGGCTGGCACAGAGTGGAAGCTTCCTGCTAAACAGATGTCCCTCTCGGAGTAATGCAGGCTGCCCAAGAAACCTATGCTTTTTGGCTCCTGCACCCATTGCCAAGGGTCGTTCTACTCTCTAAATAGGCAGCCTGAACTTCAAGTAGATGGAGGGAATGTGGGCCAGCCAGAAACCATCAACAAATACAAAGGCATTTTTTTGGCCTGAATGGTGATAAAAGTTCAGAATTGATGCTTTTTGTTTGTTTTGGACCTAAGATTTGGTGCCCTTTGCTAGGAGACCAGTTGGCCCGTCAGCTCTCAGCAGCATTCACTCTGTGTAGCTGTAAAACTCTTCTAGGTTCTTTGGGGAATTTCAAAGTTGAGTAGAAAATCTATTCTTGCCCACGAGGAACTAGCAATTCAATAAATTTTGCCAAAGCCAAAATCTAGAGGCAATGAGACTAAAACAAACAAAGCACAACAATAAAAAACTTGATGCAAAAATAGGAACATAATATGATAATTATGTTGTAATTTTAAACATAATTTTAAAAATGGTTTAGTGTTAAATGGATTTAGATGTAGAGTTGGAAAAATGTTGAAGAAATATTCTCTGCTGTAAAACAGGGCTTCTGGGCATAGCAGGTTTGGTGGAGGATGAATCATTGCAGGTAGGCGTGCAAGTTTGTGTTTTGGGTCTTCAAAACAAAAATTGCGTAATGGACTCTCTTGTCCATCAAGCAGTTCACAAAATAGACCTCTGACCAAGAGGGGCTGCAGTGGCTCTCTCCCTTCCTCTTCTCTTCTCACTGTAATTTTAGGAACCCTTTGGGCAGTAGCTACACCTATAGTTAAAGGGAATACAGGAAGTACTCAGGGGAAACAAAAAACTGCCTTTCTGAATAAAAATATGGAAGAGAAGAAATGTCCAAAATAGCATCTGGAAACAAACATTTTTATGAAACTAGCAAAGATGCTTGTCTCCAGGACAGACCTGTTTGGTATACAAGACTGAAAACATTTCTAATTAGTATTATCATGGTCAGTCCTGACCACATGGGTTTTTTTTGTTCCATGGTTAAGGACCCAAGTTGTTGTAGAAAGGCTTTTACTACATTTTCAGTAGGGCCAGGAATTTTGCTGCAGTATGGACTTATTGGTAAACAAGCATTTGTTAACACCTTCTGCTGTTGTTTTACAAGCCAGGTAAGAGTGGTAACTGAACAGATATTCTATGCAGTTACTCTTTGTAATTGTGCCGTCACTCTTCCTGGATTTGCCTAAGGTTATGAAACTTGGGCTGGATTCACTTCTTTTGCAGATATTTTTTTCACCTTCCGGGGAACTTGTGAAGGTTCCTGATTCACAGTTTTTGGGCCTGTGAAACTTAATGACTGAGGGAGAGTGGAAAGTAATTAGGTTCCTTGCAATTATGATTATGGTGAGGCTACGAAGAACTCACTTTGCATAGCCTGCTATATATAGTTCAAGGAAAGCCATGCCTTCTATAATCTCACTTAAATTTGGCAATCTTGGGGTGGGCAGGGCATATTTAAAATCTTGCACTTATCAAATAAGAAAACTGAGAGGTCATAGGGTCATCCGGCTCATAGATAGCAAACCTACTTTTAAACCCAGTTTTATTTCTTATTCCAAGTTCAATGCTATTCCCATGAAGCACATGACCTCTTAAAATTGGTACTTTTTATTTTGAAATGCCTCAATTTTTAGTATTTAAAAAAGTTTTGGTATCTTTTTACAAAAAGGTAGTTTTGAGAATATGAATTACACATCCAGGTGAGAAAACTAAGACATAAGGAAATTTGGGGGCTTACTCAAGACCATAAAATAAAATTAGATATAGCATATCAGGGAATTGGTGACCCTTTCTACCACACATTGTGATTGTTGCTTTGCCTCTGTATGCAGCTCTCCTTGGGCTTGGTGCACTTGCTACTGCTTTGGTGACTCTCAGGAAATACAGGAAAATGGGACTTATATATTAGACTCCAACACTGATTCAGTAGCAACATGGAATTTCCACTTTCTAGTTGCCCTTCATTGGAGGTTATTTATTCTATCTTCTACACAGGGAAATTGGGAAGACATATGGGTTGTTTGCTTTTTAAAGCACATACTGCCGAAAAAGGGAAAACCCAGGGCTATTGCATATCGCCAGTTATAAAAACTTTTGTTGTTGTTAAGGGATCACTTTAGTTCATCATTTTCTTTTTACTGATGAGGAAGAAACTGAGAAAGATTAAAAGACGTGTCAATATCACAAAGTGAGGATAAGTTTTAGCAGAGCTTAGGCCTTCTGATTTTGTTTCATTCATTTTTTACTGTATTTAATCTTTTGTTTATGTTGGAATTCAAGCTATTTGTTTTTTACTAATGTTTTCTGTGCTTCTGCAAGATTTTATGAGACTCCCCAGTTCAAAATTTCTTTCCTTAATTTTCCACACCCAAGCCTTTTATATCTATAACTTTTATATTTTGCAATAAGAAAAATTAGACTTATAGAGGCTATTCATCCATCCGCTTGCTTTCTAATTGATCACTTAGGAGACTTGTGATATGCCCTCCATCTCTGTGCCTCTCTTTCTTGTTCCCTTCTAACTTACAATTCCCTGTAACTGCAGCCATACCCTTCTAGGCTCCCTGTCTGCCCTCCTTATTCCAGTCAAGCTTGGACTTTGATCCTTTGCTTATCCCAGAATGCTTTGTTCCAAACATCTTTAAGCCAACCTACTCAAATGTTAGCCAGAAAACAGCAATTATCTATTGAGCTAAACATTCATACTGAATGATCAGGAATGGTAGCGTTATGATCAAATAGGGAGGAAAGTCACAGCTATTCTCTGAGAGAAAGCTGAGATATATTCACAACATTGGTTTATATTATCTTAGTGTGAAACCACTTAAATCTTAACAGTACATGTTGGGATGTATTGGAAGAAAGACATCACAAAAGTAATTATTGACTATGAAAAGCATCCATAAGAAATGTTTTTAGAGCAACTACTGTAAACTAATCAGAATATAATTATTCTAGACAATACCCCAAGTAGGTGCCGATCGTTTGATATGAGGATTAGAGATAAAAACTTCATTATGTTCCATATAAAATGCCAGTGCAGAATGGAAAACAATAACACTTCAACTAACTATATTGATATTTATGCAGTGTCTTCCACCCAAGATCCTGACAAGTGCTAGTAAGCTATCATTATGTTCTCTGTGTGGCAATGAACAATAAGGGTTCAGCATGTGTTTGTTTAAAAAAGAGTCATGCTTATTAATATTGATAGCATAATATTTGGAAACTATATTATTATGCAGCTATAATGTAACCATTTATTCTGTTCTGCTATCAAGCCATTGAAACTGAGCTCTGCCCAATGACTGCATTTGCTTGACTTAGGGTTGCTGTACTTATTTGTTGGAGGTACCCTCCCATATGTACCCTCCTTCAGACCTCACCAGCCTATGGATGCAACATGAACCACATCAAGGGAATTCACATTTCCCTGGCTTACATCCCACTGAGGTCTCAGCATCACATCCCTGCCCTCCAACAAAGCCTTTCCTCATTTGTTTGGGAAGTCCCAGGAGTGTCTCATATGTGATCACAAATCATAGTTTTCCTCTTTGAACCCACCTTTCCCTGATGTCCAAGGCACTTGGAAACACCAGGTACTGGTGCCTCCTTCATTGTTGCCACCATGGCTGGTATCCTCTTTAGGAACATTGCTTCCTTGGCTAGATATGGACTCCTGGTGTGGTCCCTTGGGTGTCACTGAGCTGGAGCCATGTGTGTTTTGTGCACACACAGGAAGTGTTTCACTCCTATGCTTGCTCATACCCAGGATATCCTTGTGAAACCACAGCCTCAGTACTGCTCTTCTCCCTACTGGGCTTGGGCCTGGTGCATGGGATCCCACTGGGGAACAAGTCATTCTCTTTATGCTCATCCCTGCAACCAAGTCCTTTTTCAGGCCATGCTGATCAGCTCACGGAAACAGAAGCCTCCCTCTCCCTTTTCCAGATTAACCCAGATAGGTCTGGAACCAATAGGAACCCGCTAACATATTACCAGCTAAAAACAATAGCTTTGCGTCTGTTAGGATAAACACAATGATTCACACTGCAGAATTGGTGTGCCAGAATTTTTGCAGGCTGTGTCCAGGGAAAAGGAAGCAGGTTGTTAAGTATGCTACTAGTAGAAAAATAAAACAAACCACTGTTTATTGAGTTCTTCCTATTCACTAGGCCATGTATTTACTACTTACTGGCTTTATACATACCACACACATACGCATATACACAGACATACACATACTTTATTTAATTCTTCAACCCTACAACAGAGGTCATTTTTTCCATAGGCCAAGATAGGTAACAGGTGCAGAAAGCCAATGGAGGAATGGAAGGGAGCCATTATTTACTGAGCACCTGCTCGGTCCCAGGCTTTACGGAGGTGCATTGCATATGCTGTTTTACTTCATCCTCACAGTGCTCCCAAGCCATTCCCCTTCTGCAGGTAACTATGTGAAGGCAAAGAGAACATAATTTCTTGATGACTGCAGAGCTAGTAACTGGTAAATCTGACATGACCCTAGTCTGTTTGAGTTCAAAGCCCTAGCTCTTTCCTTTGTATAGCACGAGAGCCTCAGAGACATTGCTTGACTCTGTCCCTACCACCTCATTTCCAATCTTTGCCTCAGAGGGCCTAACCTCGTTTTACATCATCAGAACCAGAGCTCTGAATTTGACCATTGCCCAGTGTTTCCTCAAAGAGATGTTTAATAGGCTTTTGAGGGCTAGCCTGAGAATGTAGGCACTATTAACTCTCATTTCTATAGGAAGATATATGTCACATTCCAATTAAGTGGCTTACAAATTGAGTATGTAACACATTCAAATGCATATGACATATATGTAATAACCTTTGAAAATTTGTAAGTTGGATATTTATAGCATTAAAATAGTTAAATTTATTAAAAATAAAAATGTTTCCATTAGTGTTCCTGTCTTTATTAGTCAAGTAAGAGGACTGAGGAGCTAGAAACCTTATTTGCTATCCACATTTGCTATCCAGCTTGGAGTTGCTGGTAAAAGTTCCTCTGTGTGAGGAAAAAATGTGGTAGTTTAAGCATGAAATAAATATTGTAAGATCACAATGATCTATTGAATTTTTAAGTACAATTATAATTTAAATTCATTTTTTTCCTGTATCTTGCTGCTCTATGTGAATCTCCAGCAGAGGATAATTTAATCTTGAAGCTGAATTAAGTTTCATAGTAACCCTTACCAAAGCAGATAATTTCTCTTTACATAGAGCAGAATTCAAGCAAATTTGTATTAATTTTGGTTGTGAAAAGTATCTCTCTGCTGTTGCAACTGTGACTGACATTATTTTAATGATTCTCAAAATCAAACAAATATTGAGGTTTTTATGTTTTTTTGTTTTTTTAAATCGAACCCCAGCTTAGAATTGAGAGTGTGGGTTAGCCATCCTTCTTCTGGGAAGTCTAACCTAGCCCATTCCTATTGTATTAGTCTAGTCTCATGCTGCTCATAAAGACATACCCAAAACTGGGTAATTTATAAAGAAAAAGAGGTTTAATGGACTCACAGTTCCACATGGCTGGGGAGGCCTAACAATCATGGCGGAAGGCGAATGAAGAGCGAAGTCATGTCTTACATGGCAGCAGGAAAGAAAGCTTATGTGGGGGAACTCCCATTTATAAAACCATCAGATCTCATAAGACTTATTCACTACCACAAGAACAGCATGGGAAAGACCCGTCCCCATGATTCAATTACCTCCCACCAGGTCCCTCCCATGACACATCAGAATTATTACAATTCAAAGTGAGATTTGGATGGGGATACAGAGCCAACCATATCACCCATCAACCCACCAGTTTAGGGGCCTTCCTGTTTGCTCCCCAGGGGCCCTGCACTAATGCCCATGTCTCCCATAGCACATGTGACTGTAGCTGCTTTTCTGTTCATCCACATCCCCCACTGGACTGCAAGTTCCTTTCAGGAGGGAAGGACTGCTTTGGATTCACTCCCTTCCCTGTGCCCGGCACAGTGCCTAGTCCTCAATAAGTAGTTAATGAATAATTGAATTGGTGAATGGCTAAGTTATTCCCTTGTTTTTCTAGTTGAGGGATGAAATGTGAGTTTTGGATAAGATAGGTAACTTGCTTATGATTGTGTAAGTAGTAAATGACAACACAGGCAAGATAAAGTGCCTGCCCAGGAGAAAGCTGAGACATAGACACAGCTAGTCACCGCAGTTATCGTAGCCAGGGAGAGCAAAAGACAGTTAACCAATCGGAGGCTAACTATAGCTCTAATGAGTGACGTTATGGGGTCTCATAAAAGGGAAAAGAGAACAAGGAAGACACTGAATTCTTTCTGGGTTAGCAGAGACACCCAAGTGTAAGAATGTAGAAAGTGTTTGAGAAACCACTTGACTGAAGGCAAAAACCTCATTGTTGTGCATATATATACGCCAAATGGAAGAAGAAAAATTAGATAAAAGTTTCAGGTTAGGGTGTGTATGTAGATATATAATATATCATGTATGTATGTAATGTATAAAACCTGATATGCATATTTATGGAAATGTTCTGGGTTTGATGGTGGAAAAATCATTGAAAACAAGTAGCTGGCAGTAACAGCAGACATTTACTGAGTATGTATACTGGGACTGAACTACTTACTGGGCTGGGAGGAGATACAGAAATTAGAGCCATTCTGTCATTGATCTTAAGGAGACTTTAGCCAGAGAAGGAGGATATGACCTTAACACAAATGAAAATAAAGCAAAGTGAGGGAAATATAAGTAAAGTCCAAAATATCATTATTATTTTGTATTATTTATTTGTGTTTGTCTTCTTTCTTTTCTTTTCCTCTTTCTTTCTCTTTCTCTTTCTTTCTTTCTTTGTTTCTTTCTCTCTCTCTTTCTTTCTTCTCTATTTTTTCTCTTTCTTTCCTTTCTCTCTTTCTCTCTCTCTCTTTTTTTTTTTTTTTTTTTTTTTGAGAAGAAGTTTCACTCTTGTTGCCCAGGCTGGAGTGCAATGGTTTAATCTTAGCTCACCACAACCTCTGCTTCCTGGGTTCAAGTGATTCTCCTGCCTCAGCCTCCCGAGTAGCTGGGATTACAGGCATGTGCCACTACGCCCAGCTAATTTTTGTATTTTTAGTAGAGACAGGGTTTCACCATGTGCGCCAGGATGGTCTCAATCTCCTGACCTCATGATCCGCCCGTCTCACCCTCCCCAAGTGCTGGGATTACAGGCGTAAGCCACTGTGCCAAGCCTGTATTTATTTGTTTTTATAAGAGACAGGGTCTCACTCTGTTGTCCCCAGGCTGAACTGGAACTCCTGGGCTCAAGCCTGATTCTCTTGCTTCAGTCTCCCAAGTAGCTGGACTACAGGCACATGCCACTACACCAGGCAGTAAGGTCCAAAATAATCAAATTAAAAAAAATTATAGAGGCCCAAATGTTTGAGAAACTATATGCAGTTAAAAATATGTTAAAGATGATTCTTGAAGGATAAGGCAGAATTTCAACAGGTAAAGGTGGAATAGAGGAGGCAGGTAAGGTAAAGTCATCTTTTGAGTGGTTAGGATTTGTAAATAACATAGAAACCTTTAAAAGTGACTTATACATGTTGGCATTATTACCTTTGGTCATGGCTCTGGCTGGAAACCAAGGCAGGCCCAAGGGTTTAACTTAGGGCTATTGATGAAGGTGCTCTTTACTGTAGGCGTCTGGGCAGAGTGGACAGAATCCAAAGCCTTGTAAGGCCCCCAGAGACTGGCAACAGCAGGGGGTTGTTGCCACCACTGGGGGGCCTGACCCAGCAGGGCAGAGGGTGAAGCCACAGTGGGACGGGCAGGGCTGGAGGCAAGATATTGCTTATGAGACAAGCCATCCCACCTGTCACTGTCAGCCCCAGTGTGAGCTTCCTATGGTCCACAAGTGCCTCATCTACCCTAACTTCCTTCCCTTTCTACTTTCTGATCTGCTGATGCCTCCAACAGAAACTCAACAGGAAGCCAGAGGGCCAGAGAGCCAGCGATGGCCCATCCACAGTCACCCCCAGGCACAGAGAAGGGTGGAGAACAGATCCAGGGTAGCTGAGAATAACCAACACAGACACATAGCACTTTCTACCAATTCCAGCCTTATACTGAAAGTTCATTACAGTTTTCCGCACCAGAGAATTCAGCAAAAGACAGCTCTGTATTGGATATCATTCAGAGGGATTTTATTACTGACAGTACCAGAAATAACTTCTTTTAAGTCCTACTTTGTGTGCTTCTAACGATATAACACTGTTCTCTAAGAAAAACAAAAAACACATAGTGATGCTAAATAAGTTGGTTTTATTAGGGAAGGGGATATTTTATTATCCAAGACCCTGGCCTTTCATTTCACCTGGGTGCTTTTCAGAGCTAGGACTCAGAGAACAAAGCTCTGTGAGGAGACTGCAGCTGGAGACTTTTTCTTACTTTCTAAGTTCATTCTTTTCTCTTTAGGCTTGTGGGTGGTTTCCTTTATAAGCCATTTTAGAAGTTCTGGGTCTCCACTGCTCCTGAGGTGACCAGACTTTCTGGAAAATGGAGGCTGAGGCAGGATGATGAGCTCAGCTGGGTGGGCCCTCATCCTGTCCTGATTCCTAAGCACTGCTGGGAGTAAATCCTTTAAATTGCACATCACATTTGCATCTCTCTGTTTACATTTCTTAATTTCCTCAAGAATCGTTTGTTTGTCGAGAGCTGGTTGTTTCTTTAGCAAAGATTTCCTGAATAAACAATGTAAAGAGCCTTCTTTTTTAAAAACACCGCTCCACTAAATAAACAAATACAGCAATGAATAAATAAAGGAAATATCTAGTAGGTTAATCCTAGTCCATGCAAACATGTTTTCTTCCACACAGCTGACTAAAGGCATAGATTCAATAGAATTCAAGTAGTTCTGACTCATGCTCATTTAATTTAATCAGCATTGACCATATGTTTGGAGTTTGTCTTAAAACAGAAGCGTTTCTTCCTAGTTTTGTGTGTGTATGTGTGTGTGTGTGTGTGTGTGTGTGTTCGTGTTCAATGAAAACTCTATAAGTGTTATAGACTATTTTCAGCTAAAAACCTTCCCCTCTCCTGGTTAGTTTCCTAATGTTGTTGCAGCAAATTATCACAAACCAGGTGGCTTAAAACAAATTTTTTCCCTCACAGTTCTGGAGGCCAGAAGTCCAAAATCAAGGGGGTTAGTGGGACCATGCTCCTTCCATCGACCCTGGGGAAGAACCTTCCTTGCCTCTTCCCAGCATCTGGTGGCTCCTGGCAATCTTGATATTCCTTGGCTTCTGGTCTCATCACTCAGGTCTCTTCCTCCTGCTTCACATGGCCTTCTCTCTGTGCCCTCCCCACTTCTTATTAGGATATCAGTTATTGGATTTAGGGCATCCTAATCCAATATGAGCTCATCTGGATCCTTAATTAATTATATATGCAAAAATCCAGCTTCCAAATAAGGTCACTGTACTGGGTTAAAAAAATGTCCCCACCAAAATTCATATCAACCCAGAACCTCAGAATGTGACTTTATTTGGGAATACAGTCTTTGCAGATATAACTAGTCAACATGAGGTCATCCTGGATTAGAGTGGGTCCCAAATCCAATGACTGGTGTCTTTACAAGATCGGAAGAGGCCATAGGGAGAAGAAAGCCATGTGAAGTAGGAGGAAGAAATTGGAGTCAGACAGCTACAAGGCATGGAACATGAAGAATTGTCAGAAACCACCAGAAGCTAGGAGGAGGCAAGGAAGGATTCTTCTCAACAGCCTTCAGAGAAGGTGTCCCATAAACACCTTGATTTTGGACGTCTAGTTCCCAGAACTGTGCAAGAATAAATTTCTGTTGTTGTAAACCACTAAATTTGTGTTAATTTGTTATGGCAGTCCTGAGAAAATAATTCAATCACTCTTAAGTTTTCCAGGTAGATGTGAATTTTGGTGGTATACTAGTCAATCCACTTCACCCTAACTGTGAGGGGAGTTGGCCAATGTCATTCTACCTGTTATGCAAATGAGGAGCAAGGTGCTAGGGGAAGGGGCAGAGCAGGAAACTGATTTCACTTTTAAAAAACATTATTGTGGCACTATTCACAATAGCAAAGACTTGGAACCAACCCAAATGTCCATCAATGATAGACTGGATTAAGAAAATGTGACACACATACACCATGGAATACTATGCAGCCATAAAAAAGATGAATTCATGTCCTTTGCAGGGACATAGATGAAGCTGGAAACCATCATTCTCGGCAAACTATCACAAGGACAGAAAACCAACCACCACATGTTCTCACTCATAGGTGGGAACTGAACAATAAGAACACTTAGACACAGGGCGGGGAACATCACACACTGGGACCTGTCGGGGGCTGGGGGTTGGGGGAGGGATAGCATTAGGAGAAATACCTAATGTAAATGACGAGTTGATGGGTGCAGGAAACCAACATGGCACATGTATAGCTATGTATCAAACCTGCATGTTGTGCACATGTTCCCTAGAACTTAAAGTATAATAACAAAATAAATAAATAATAAAAAACGTATTAAAGTTCAATTCTCTTTTTTCTTGGAGATAAAAAGATTTCTCAAGGTTCCTGGAAAGCCACTTTTTGGGGGCCAATCATAAATATAATTTAACAGATTATATAAATAGCCCTACTATTTAAAAAAATGTAGACCCCTTTAGTGCTTTTATAGAGCTCTGAGCAAAGAATTGTAAGAAAACTCCATGCCTTCCCTATGATGATCTGGTCTTATTTCATGACTGCTATGGTACTGCTTACTAGTCTACTCTTGGCCCTTGTCCGTGCGCTGATAAACCTTTCATGGTATGCACTCACTCATGGCTTGATGGTGTCTGGATAGCAGATTCCCAGGGTTTGTTCTTTAGGCGTCAATTTTTATAATTATTTCCTTACATTTTGCTCTCTTTTACTTTGAGGAAAGGTCGTGTTTCCTTCAGAGTAGCTAAGGCATGGACCTAGGGTAGGAGGTTTCAGGAATTGCTACTCTGAAGGACGATGTTTTCTGTCATCTTCCTAGATTTCCAACCTGGGGCTTTCAGATTCCAATTTGTTAGTTTGCTGGAATTCTTACAGAGGAAAAGGAGGTTATGGTTCCACATGGCAAGATCATTTGTGTCAACATTTAATTTAACAGTCAATGTTTTTGTTAACTGAGGTAACAGACAATCTGCAAACAGAATAAATTTTTAAAAGATTACTCCATCAAAGGGGACCTTCCTCAGGAATTATTTTCTAGAATTCTCTATCTAGACTGGTGATCTTCTAAATCTTCTAGGCAAAACCACTTATGTAATTTGCAGAGCCCAGTGTGCACGCAGTGAAAATTTGGGTCTCCTTGTTCAAAAAACATAAAAAGGGGACCATGGCCCTTCAAGCATGAAAGAGTGATACCTTTGTTGGGCGTGTGGTGAGAGGATCCCAGGGAAAGAGAAAACAAGGAGCGACTTTGAGGCACTGTGGGTGGTGAACTGCATCCAGATGATCTAGCCCAGCAGTCTCCAACTTTTTGGCACCAGGGACCCATTTTGTGGAAGACAATTTTGCCACGGATGGCAGGGGGATGGTTTTAGGATGAAACTGTCCTACCTCAGATCATCAGGCATTAGAATCTCATAAGGAGTGTGCAATCTAGATCCCTCATGTGCACAATTCACAGTAGGGTTCGTGCTACTATGAGAATCTAATGCCTCAGTTGATCTGACAGGAGCCAGAGCACAGGCTGTCTTGCTCGCTTGCCAGCTGCTCACCTCCTGCTGTCTGGTTCCTAACAGGCCATTGACTGCTACCAGTCTGTGGCCTTGGGTTTGCGGACCCCTGATCTAGCCCTTTCCTCTCCACCTCTATCATACCGCCTTCAGGTACTCTTCCTCCTCCTGCTCTTTTGAACGTGCCTCACACCCCTTTATTTTCCAGCCCTTTTGCTCCCTTTCTCCTCCCACATTCCTTCATTTGGGCAGCCTGCAGCATCTTTGACCTACTCCACCCCACATCTCTCCTTCACTCTGCCAGTTCATATGGTCAGGCCTGGATTCAACAGCCCGAGCTCAGAAGAGCCCCTGCATGTGATCTGATGCTCTCATGTTGCCGTCTTGAAATTCTTAATACTTTTTTAGTTGGTTTTACAAATAAGTGAAGTGGTGGAATGATAAATCAGAGGGTTTTAAAATTTGCAAGTTAATGCTCATGTTGCATGAAAGAAATACACAGGTATTTGCACAATGCTTTGAGACACTAAAGGTCTGTGCAGCCACGGCAGTATCCTTCCCTGTAAACCATGGTGATTTTTTAAAAAAAATTATTATTTTTTTTAGAGGCAGGGTCTTGCTCTGTCACCCAGGCTGCAGTGCAAACATGGTGCTTTTGATTCTCATTTGACTTTTGCAGGAACATTTGTTTCACTTTCTAATATCAACGAAATGTTTGGAGTTCTCAGTTGTGATAGTGAATGGCATGCATCATTCAGTGCATTTGCTATTGTGTCAGATTTTCTGTGGTGTTTTAGGGAGTCATCCATGAATTGATCTTAAATGAGGGCTGGATATGTATCTCCCTCCTCCTGAGCTTCCCCAACTCTCCTGATTTGGGTCTCATTTCCTGTCTTTTATGTAGAAGCTTTCATAAGACTCTACTTTGATCATTCATTGTCTTAGGAAATTTGAGTTCACTAAGGAGTGTGTAGGCATTAGAACTTCATTGTTCCCATCTTTGAGTCTGTGTAACCAGGAGTAATTGGGAGATGTTTCTGTCATCACTTAGCCCTGGAGCAATTTGTACTCTGACTTCAAGAGAGTATGACAAGGATAGTTACATGGAGAGGGGGATGGGTTTAGAATATTTTAATTGCTATTCTAGTACATGTCAGTATGACATGATCTGCAAAAGGAAATTTCCCTAACGATTTTAAGTCTGTACCAGTTGCATTTTGTTCATTCAGAAGAGCTATGAAGCAATGTGGATTCCCATTTTCTCAGATAGTAGATTTTATATAATTTTTTTGGCATGGAGCTGTATATGGAGAGAGGAGCTAACTGGTCAGCCTGAATATGCCTCAAGTTTATGCAAATTTCTCAAAGCCCATGGGGTTCAACAATATCTTATGAATTGTTTCTTTTTCTATTTTACTTTTTTATTTCCAACTTTTGATTTTGATTTTTTTTCAAACATGTGGGCAAGTTCAAAAGATTAGTATAATGAACACCTACACTTGCCATCTAGATTCTACAATTGTTATAGTGAGTTGGTTCTTGACTCCAATTAGGCACTTTTTGCGTTTTATTCACAGGCCCCTTTCAAAACCTATTGGTTTTGGCTTGTCACTCAGATTTTCCCAAACTGAGAGGGACCCATTAACTTCTGTTTTTATGCTAAAAAAAAAGAGGAAATTAAAAAAATCATAGAACCTTCCCTATTAGTGTTGTTGATGACAGTATTGATTCTTGTGTAAATTGGATTTACCTTTATCCTTTCATCTTCCTTTTTATAGGCTATTGAGAGTTTACTGTCATGCCTACCTGAGCACAGGAGTTTGGCATTAAATTCATGGTTTGTAACTTAACCATTGCTACTTACAGAACAAAACAACTGGATGAATATCACATGGAACTATTTTTCATTCTTTCGAGTTCACACCGATGTGCTTGTTGAGAAAGAGAAACATCTGAAACACAGGCCCCTTGGTGTAACATCAGTGACAACACTGCCTGTCTAGGGAACCTCGACTGGATGGCTGCCAGCTCAGGGGTGCAGTTGAGAACGATTCCTGGGTCGCTGTTGACTCCTTGGAGGAGACATTTCATGCCCACATAACTCTAGATATTTGCTGATGGAAAGCACAGTGCTCTACTGTGCACTTCAAGTGGAATATCATGCAGATAGCAGTGAATTGCATCATGCAGATTAGAAGGGGGGTTATCTAAGGTAGCATAACAGCCTCTTTTGAAGGCACTGAAAAAATATATATTTGGGAATAGTGTTGGCATACAGCACCTAGAACAAAGTCTCACATGTAAACCATGCTCAGAGAATGTTCTATTTAACTTCGTCTGTAAGATATGAAACTGTCTTTTTTCTTTCTCATATTTAACTTTCAGTTATAAAGCTTTCTAAATTGCTTTGATAATATTCAAAGATATAGGCAGATTAACACTTTCTCTGTTATTTCCTCTTTCATGTGTGTTGACACATACAACTATATGTGTGTAGTGTTATATAAGTGTCAACTACTTAAGTGAAGAAAGTAGGTATGGCTGTCTAGAAAAAGTGCTTTAAAAGTGGGAAGACATACTTTTAAAGCTAAAGCAGTGACAAGATTTTGTCATTTGAAATAGTGGGATAAACTGTAGATCATAATTCATAAATTCTTTATTCTTAAAGAGTAAAAATATTAATGATGAAAATCCAGGGAGATTTGTTTAGGCTCATGGATCTATTGAACCATTTCAGTAGAAAGGAGATTAATTACAGTTGAAATTTCATTAACACACATTTTAATAATTAAAATATATGAAGTGATATGTTAAGTGAAGATGTGATATAAATCGTCAAACTTTATTTACGACCTTATCTACCAAACCTCAAATTCTATAAAATTTCAAACTCTATAAATTGGTAGGTATATAAGTACACAAATGCAAAACTTGAGATTTAAAAATTCTTTTCTATGCTTCACATCCCCAGATTTATATAGGTAATATTATAATGGTAATATTCTTGACTATAGCCTGACATAGCTTATTATAATAAGATTGAGTTAACAAGGTAGTGTGTAGTTACAAGAATAACTTAAATATTCTTGATGGGTTTATAGATTAGGAGAAAAGACTTTAAGAGTCATAGCCTTAAGAGTCAATATGGTAAGTGAAATGATGGCTCTCCACAGTTGTCCACATCCTAATCCCTGAAATCTATAAATGCTGCCTGATGTGGCAGAAGGGACTTTGCATGTGTGATTGAGTTAAGGGTCTTGAGATAGGAAGGTCATCCTGGATCATCTGGGTGGGCCCACCATCATCGCAGGGCTGCTTATAAGTGAGAGGCAGGAGAGCCAGAGACCAAGAGAGATTTGAAGATGCCCTACTGACTGGCTTTAGAATGGAAGAAGGGGCCACAAGCCCAGGAAGGTGGGTGGTCTCCAGAAGATTGAAAAGGCAAGGAAACTGATTCTCTCCTAGAGCCTCCAGAAGGAATGCTGCCCTGTAGACATCTTGATTGTAGCCCTGTGAGACCCATTTTAGACTTCTGACCTCCAGAACTAAGAGAAGAAATTTGTGTTGTTTTAAGCCACTAAGGTGTGGTATTTGTTAAGGCAGCAACAGGAAACTGACATAGTCAGGAAGCAAGTTGGTCACAGGTGGAACTATGTCTTTGATCAGGAGAGTGAGAACCTGCTTGTGATCATTTCCTAGAGTATTAACCAAAAAGTCTTATGAAATGTGGAAAAAATAGCAATCTTGTGACCCAGGATTTACTGAAGCCCTTGGAATTCAACACTCAGAGGTGTTAGGCAAATCCAAAGTACTTTTATCAAAATTAGTCACCACAATTATGTTAGTAGATGGAAATTAAGCTGGAATTTAAATCATTCTGCACAGGATAAAGCTTTAACTTCCATATTTCCTGAAATTAAATATTATTCTAAAAATAATTACTTCCTGAATTATTAATCCCTGATATTTAAGGACTCACTTTTTATCTATGGCTTGCCTGTAACCTTGTAATAAAGTGGACCTGGCCCGCTTTGTGCTGGGGTATGTACTAGCAGAATGCTAGATTGAATTGCTAGAAAAAAGCCAGCCAACAGTTTGGCTGGAAGACCAGTCATCTGCAGAGCACACCAGAGCTGACAGCCATGGGGCACCTCCTTTCTGGAGTCTGCACAAGTGTGAAAAAGGCTACTTTATGCTAAAGGAGCCCTTTTCCTGGAATATTTACTTAGGCCTCCATCTCCCCATGATGATTTACATGTTATTTCTCACCCCTGCTGTCAGGATAAAATGAGTATTTTGAGGTCTCATGATCTGAAGAGTGTTGGTACTACCTGTCACCTGTCAGGAAGATGGATACCAGCATCTGCTGTAGTTGTTGACTTGTATCAAAATAACCACACAGTACTTGGGTACAGTGAATTCTGCTCCTTCTTTGTTTCCTTGGCTAGTGCTTAAGATAAAAAAAGTACATTATTCTTTGTATTTTTCTAGTAGCATTCACTTGGATCTTTCAAAGCAAAACCTGCAAATGTTTTTACTTTCATGAAGCTAGTAAGTATAGGAATTGTTGTCTTCTTAATAGTATAGTGCTTACATATGTGGGCTCTGGAGCCAGACTGCGTGGGTTTGAATCCTGGCTCTGCCATTTACTGGCTGTGTGACCTTGGGCAAGTTCCTTTACCCCTCCCTGTGGCTGTTTCCTCAAAAGGGGCATAATGATATTTTCTATCTCATAAGATTGTTTGAGGGTGAGATGAATTAATATGTGAAAAACACCTAGAGTAGTACGTAGCACATTTTAGTAAAATAATGACTATGTATTTACTTGAATTATTTAATTCTTATAACCTCCATATAATGAGTTACGGGTGATTTTTATTCCATTTTAGAGATAGAAACCATGGCATGGATAACTGGTCCAATTCTCATGGTTGGTAAGTAACAACACCAAGATAAGAACTTGTGTCTGTGTAACTCCAGGGTGAAACTCTTAATTGTCAATCTATACTGCCTCATATACTTCTTTATTTCCATACAATTACCCATGATATGGGAGGCACATAATGTTTGAGTGGTGATTCTGATTGATGGATTAAGAGGGATTCTAAGGCTATGTTTTATTAATGATATCAGCCATAAATGCTTGAGTTGTGAAAGTGAATGTTCTGTATATTTTGCTGCACACAGTAAAATGCCTTTACCTGAGTGTTTGTCATCTAGTCCTATAAACAAGTGTGGCATCATTTGGAGACCAACACATATATTTCAAGAGGAATTTTGAGAATGAGATTTTTATGATGAGGAAATATACCAAACCTTTCCGAATGTGATGAAACTATGAAATGAAAATAAAGTGGTTCCAAAAGTCTGAGACCATTGGCTCCCCCCACCTCCAGAAACCCGCAGATGGATGATGTGAACATGTCCTGGTCCTCTTTTAAGGCATAGGATCTCCTTAATCTCTTCCAGAAATTTCTGTTGAAAAGTGGAGTTCCAAGACAGTTCCAACATCCCTGGCATCAGGTTAATGGTTAAAAAACACGCCAGAGTCCTGGGTTCCAGTGCTGCATCTACAGGTTGCTGTGAAGGTCTTGGCAAGAGAATCTGCTTCCTTCCACTCCACCTGAAAACCTGTAGGTCAATCCTTCAGCTCCATGTTTAGGCTTCTTACTCTGTCTGATTCTCTGGCAAAGCTGGGCTGCCTTCACTAATTTCTGAGTTAGAAGACCCACTTCTGAGTAACCTGGCCTACTTAGCAAGCACACATTTCTCCCATCCTGACCCAGCTTTCTGAAAAGACCAATTTGGTCTGCCTTAATGTCTGCTTAATGCTTTCTAATTTGACACTGATTTTCTAAACATCTGTACTCAATTTAAGAGTCTTCTAAAATGTACATCCTCTAAACACCCATCAGTTAACATTATAATTTTGTGAGACTCAGTTGACAGAATTGAGTACCCCTTTGCCAAGGTTTTATCTGTAGGAGATCTGAATTGGAGAGACTACTTCCTCACCAGGTTATCCCTGTAGTCTGCCGAAATCTATGTTGAAAATATCTGGTCAGATACCTTTTTCAGAAGAGGTAGTAGTGGGTGGGGGTGCAGTGTATGAACTTTGGAGTTGGACAGCCTGGATTTGAACCCTGGCTCTGCGAATGATCAGCTTGGTAGCCTCAAGTAATTTATTTCACTTATTTATATCTTAGCGTCTTCATCTTAAAGTGAGGATGATTGTAGTTCTACCTCATTGAGTTCTAGGGAGAATTTAAAGAGAAAAACACAAGAAAAGATTTAGCCCAAGGACTGGCCCATAGTAAGCAGGCAATTTGGATACTTTTATTATAAGTCAGTGGTGGCTTTTTTCACTATTCTAACTTTGTTATTCTAACCTTATGTTAAATGGATTTATACTGGGCTTATTCATTAATTTATTTAATAGTTGTTGAGCAACTACTGTTTGTAACTCACTGGGTGGTTGATAAAGATAAGATCCTTGTTCTAAAGGAGCACATGTTTTAGTGTACAAACAAGATGAACACACAAGTAAATAAAATCAGGTTGTACTAAGTGTTATGATAGTAGTGATTAGTGTAGCATGATACAAAGTAATTTGGGTCAGGTAGAATTTTTACAGTTGATGGAGAAGGGGCAATCAAGGTGGTGACATGGGGTGGAGGTGAGGGATACATTCTAGGCAGAACTATAGTAAATTCAAAGGTGCTGAGATGGAAAAGAGCTTGGTATTTTCTAGCTATATAAAGAAGCCTAATGTATTGTCTTAGTCTGTTTTCTATTGCTATAACAGAATTACACAGAATGGGTAATCTATAAAGAAAAGAAGTTTATTTAGCTCACGATTCTGGAGGCTGGGAAGTCCAAGGCCATGACACTGGCATCTGGCGAGGACCTTCTTGCTGCATCATCATATGTTGGAGGGCATCAAATGCTGAGAGGGCATGTCAGCTCAGGTCTCTCTTCCTCTTCTTAGTCCCTTCATGGGGACTCCACCCTAATGACTTTACCCAATCCTAATTACCTCCCAAAGGCCCCACCTCCAAATGCCATCAACATATGAATTTGAGGATTGTTCCAACATATGAAGTTTGTGAGACAGATTTAAACTATAGCAGATATCTAGAGTAATAATTCTTAAATTTAGTGTTTCTGAATCATTGAAAGGCTTGTTAAAACACAGCTTGTTGAGCCTTAAACCCAGACTCTCTGATTCAGTAGGTCTGGGATGGGTCCTGAAAGTCTGCATTTCTAAAAAGGTCCTAGGTAATGATGCTTCTTGTCCTGGGACCACCCTTTGAGAACCACTGGCTTGAGCATATGAATTGGTCAGTGGCAGATAATGAGGATAAAGGGGCAGACAAGGGCCAGGGTGTAAGCATCATGGGGTCCATGGCGTTTGCTTTTTATTCTAAGTACAATGGGAAACCTTTGAAACATGTTGATTTGGCACATGATATAATTCGATATATGTTTTAAAGGGCTCACTCTGATTGCTGTGGGGAGACTGGGTATAAAGCTGCTGGAATTGTCCATATGAGAGACTAGTGGTGTAGACCAGAGTGGTGGCAGTGGGCTGCACAGATTCAGCATGCATTTTGGAGGTAGGCTTTCCAATGTTTGTTGATAGTTTTGATATAGCAAGAGGAAAAAGTACTAGTTAATGATGACTTAACTCATGTCACCTATTTAATAGAAACCATATATCAGTTAAGAGATGTTCATCTTAGATTGTTTTGGAACTAGTCATTCTTTCACATACTTATGAATTTAATTATCCCTGACCCTGAGTCTTTTGTTAACTTTCTGAAATTAAGAACACAATAACAGTCCTCTTATGCTTTGTAACATGCATTTCACCTGAAGATCACAAGTTTCCTCTTCTAGACTGGTTCTTTTATCCTTTCATATATCATTTGTTCAACAAATGTTTGAATAGTTGTTGAATGAATACATTTCTTCTTACCCACATTGGATTGCAAACAGAGATTCCATAATTCTTCATCTATTATGGAAGCATGCCGTTATATATTATTCAGTTACCCAGATTGTATGTTAATTTGTTATGTGCTAACATGTTGATTTTCCTTCTAAGAAAACTGTCTATAGTTGATATATATTTTCCAACCTTCTTAAACAGTGTTCTAAGCAGAGTTTAGTATTTTCTTGATGGCTCATGGCCTGATAATAAACATCATTTATTGGAACATCAGTATTGTGATTTGAAAAGAGACAAAGATACCATGGGATAGACTGAATGCACATCAACCTGAGTTGTGATACTTTTTGATTGGTCACTTTTCGGTTAAATGTGGAGGAGAGTGTAAATCAGTGATGTGGTTCTTAGCCTGTCTGGTATTCAGTAATATCAATTATCGAACCAACAACCTAAGTAAGGAAGTGAAAGTGAAATCATATCTAAGTGGCACAACTTTACGTGGCTAATCTTGAAGATTCTTTGCAAAAGTCTGTAAGGTAGTTATACCTCCACTTTACAGATGAGGAAATTATGTGCTCACTGTTGGGGCGACTTGTATAGTCATATATATAGTAAGTGGTGGAGCAGGCTTTAAATTCTCTGTCGGTTTCTCTGACTAAAACTTACATTCTTTTTCATATATATATATATAAAATTAGATATGTTTTAAAGGGTTCACTCTGACTGCTGTAAGGAGACTGGTTATAAAGCTGCTAGAATTGTCCATGTGAGAGACTCCCTCAGTGTTACTCCCATCCTTGGTGTGTCACCTTCTTGTTAGTCTCAATACACTCTTGCTTATTATCTTTATAGGTCTGAGAGGAAGGGATTGGTGCTACACGGACATTTTGATAGAATTGCAGATGCTTTTGTCACCTGTAAGGAAAAAGTATTTATAGACATTGAATGACTAAGTACTCTGGAGGAACACAAAAAGAAATGGCCAATTCTACCCAGAAAGTCAGAAAAGCATCCTAGAATATAGTAGTCAGGTTGAGCTGTGTCTTGAACCCCCCATTTGGTGTTGGTCAGGAAGCTGTGGGGAGGAAGACTTCTAGGCAGAAGGCAGAGAGAACAGGGTGAGAGGCATAGGACTGTAGTATGCAGCCACTTTAGATTTTCTGAAAACTGCTGGTTGCTCAGTAAATAGAATATAGGTGGAGTGGTGGATCAGAGGGCTGGGGGAACACAGGTGGCAAAAAAAGACAAGAAGTGAGTTAAGCAAGGGCTGTATCATAAAGGATTTTGTATGTTTTCATGAACTCGGCCTTTGTTCAGAAGGCAATGGGGAGAACCTGCAGGATATTTTTCCAAATAGTTTTATTGAGCTGTACTGTACACATTATAAAATTAATCTGTGAGAACTGTATACCTCTGTATTTTTAAAATTAATTTACAGAGTTGTACAACCATCACCACAGCAGTTTTCGAAAATTTCCATCATCCCCCAGAGTTCTCTGATTTCCATTTGCAGTCAATTCCCACACTACAGGTTTTTTAAGGCCTTAGTTTTACATTTTATTCAAGAACCCTAGGAGTGAGGTGAAGAGACTTAAGGGACATAGGCCAGAGGCTTGGCTAGCCCTCCCTCCCTCCCTGCCTTTTATCCATTAAGGTTATATGTGTTCAACACTCAGTTTGTACCAGTATGTCCCAGTGGCTCCCTCCAGTCTCAGGGTAAACGTCATTCAAAGACAGTGCCATCATTTCAGTGGGTGTTGTTAGTACAGTTTAGTGTGTCAAAACACTTCAGCTTTCTCTTAGTTCACAGGAAACCACATTTCTGCAAATGGTCCCATATTAGAACAAAAAGATAATATTGACCTGCCAGTTCTAAAAGGGATAATTTTATTTTGAAACCTGTGCCATGTTAAAATTTGACAAAGATTTTTGTTGTGTGCCTGTATCATGTAGCTAATTTTTTTGTATTTTGCTTTTAATCAATAGGATAATGAAAAGACCTGCTTTCTGTATTTGAGAGTTTATCTGTCCTGATAAAAATCATTTAGGATGTTGGTTTGTGGAGAAAATGACATCAGCATTGATATTTAATAAAAGTAGTAAGCCAAGGAGACTAACTGCTTAACTTCAACTTTAAAAAAACAATCACAGATGTCTTTTACTATATGATTCTGGCAGAAAAAAACATTGCCCACACCAAGTACAACTTTAGTATAAGCTTAATTCTGAACAATGAGAGTTACTAATATCCAAGCCTACAGGAGCCATACTGTCCAGCTCTAATACATTTTAAAGAAAATCTTAATAAAACAAAAATAAACAAAAACATCTGGAACTAAATCCTGGATTATTCCTTGTCTCTTTATCTAGTTTATAAGGACCTTGTCAATTTTGGTTGTTGATTCTATACTACTAAACTATATGTACATGATTCCATACTACTATACTAGACCACTTCCAGGCATCATAGTCAAGAATGTAGACCCCGTAACCAGAGTGTCTGAGTTTGAATTCTGGGTTCTGTCACTTACTAGCTGTGTGACCTTGGGCAAGTTATTTAGCCTTTCTGGGTCTCAGTTTGTTATTTAGCCTCTCTGGGTCTCTGTCCAACTGTAAAATAAGAATAATAATAACTACTTCATAGGAATTTTTTAAGAATTTAATATTAATATTTGTCAAAGGGCTTGTATCTAACACATTATAAACATTATATTGTGTTATAATTCTATCCATTTGTATATCAGCTTGTCAGAGCTGTTGTTATGCAAAGTTTTCTCAGTGAAAAATAACATCAAACTTTGACTTTTTCCCATATGAATTCCATTCTTATTTTTGTCTTCAGTTTTCAGAATTTTACTTATGATGTGTTTTAGTGTGGCTTTCTTTGGGTTTATCTTACTTGGTATTCTCGTAGCTTCTTAAATCTGCAGGTTTGTTTTTTAGCAAATATGGGAAGTTTTTAGTTATTTTTATGAATATGTTTTCAGCTCTACTCTTTCTTTTCTCCATCTAAGATTCCAATGATATGACTGTTGAGTCTTTTGTTTCTGCCCCACAGGTGTCTCTTTCTATTGTTCTATCTTCAAGTTCACTTATTTTTTTTCCTCTGTCACATATATTTGCCTATTGAGCCCTTCTAGTGAATTTTTTTATTTATTTCAGTTATTGAAGTTTTAAGTCTCATAATTTCCATTTGGTTCTTCTTTATATCTAGTACCACTGGGTAGAGGATGAGAGATGCCAAGCCTGCAGGAGCAGAAACTATTTTCTCTGGCTTGGGCTGCCCAGTGCTGATGGGGTTGTCACTCAGTTCCTGCTTGTGCTACCTGTGAGGGTGAAAAGTGCTTCTATGGGTTGGCCTGGCATCACCAAATTTGGAGGCAGAAGATGCCAGGCTCATGGGGGGCAGAGAGTGCTTCCTCGGGCTGCCTGGTGCTGGCTGTGCTTCTGCTTAGTCTTTCCTGGTGCCTCCTACAGGGGAAGAAGCACCTACCTGGGACATCTTCTGCCTCCGGATGGGTGGTTAGGAGATTTTAGGTTGCTGTGCTGCTCCTTGACTTTTGAGGTCCCCAGCCAGTCTGTGTTCTTCTTTCACCTTTCAGAATGTTCTTATGATTGTTTGTTGTGTTATATCCAGGGTTTGGGGTCATACTTAGCAGGGAAAAGAGTCTATGCCGTCTTGTCCAAAACTAGAGAAGCTCATTACTTTTTCTAAAATATTCTGGAACCGAGCCCTCAGAATTGTAGCTGCACTTCTGCACATGACAATGACAATAAGAATTACCTCAAATTTTACATTTTGGCTCTTGCTTAGAGACTTTCTCTAAGATTCTATGAAGAGTTTTGATCTTCTGTTTTCTCAGGATAAAGTCAGGTTGACATTTCTCAGAGAGAAAGTGGGACTGTAGTTGGTGCTACTTGCAGGATAGGGTTTGCAACCTGTGTAATTGGGGTGCGGCCTTTGGAATGAGATATTGAACATTTTAGATATCATCTGAATAAATCACCAAATGTATTTCTCAGCAATTGCAAACTATATTTTAACAATGTTCTATTCCCTTTTAAGAATGGTTATTTAATAATACGTGGTTGTATACTACCAGTACAGTTTAAATTATCATTGGCAAATAAGTGATTTGTAAAGCATTGGCCATAGACCATAGAGGTTGCTGGGTCCTTCATTTACGAGTGTATGATTTTTGAGTTTGGATATCAGCCAGGGTTAGGCAAGAAGCAGACTCCAATTCAGATGGTCCAAGAGATTTTGATGAAAGGACTGCTTACAAATATGGGAGCAGGTAACACAATTACCAAAGGGTGTTGGACACCCAAGACTAGTTACAGTGGGCGGTTATTACCATCCTTAGTCCTGGAGGTGCAAGGAGAGGAATTAGCACTACAGGAAACCAGTGGGTAAAGGAGCTATGAGAGAGGGATCTCCTGTTGGAAGCTGGAGACACGGAGGGACAGTCACTGTCAGAAAACATACCTTGGAGGAAGAAGGGAGTGGGGAAGAAATACCTCAGCTCCTCTCCTCCTGAGCTCTGATCTCTTGTTGTTAGTGCTTCCCAATGACTGGGTTCACCCAGAAGCCTGCCTATGAGGAAGCTCTGGCAATGCCTCTTTAGGAGGAAGCCTCAGGTCATACAGCAGGGCAGGGCAGGTGGCAGGATGACCCACAGTGGGTGTAGATGCAGACTGAAGAATCAGTGTAGGCCGTAATAGTGAGGGCTGTCATCTGTTGGATTCTTGCTACAAGCCAAGCACTAAGCGCTTTATATGCATCATCCCTAGCGTGATCGTCAGAGACTCCCATCATTTGATTGATGAGGAAACTGAGCTGCAGCATGACTAAATAACTCACTCAAGATCACATGGCTAGCAAGCAGCAAAGCTGGTGGTATTGGAACTGTAGCTTTCAGTTCCCAGGTCTGTGTATATACCCCTAAGCCTCAGTTTTCAAGTTATAAAATAAGGGTAATATACCTACCACAGAAGGTCACTGTAAGGGAGACCCTGCAAAGTGTTGAGCTCAGTGCAATACATGTAGGAAATGTTCAACAGTGATACATTTCCTCTGATTCTGCTTTCTGTCATCTTTCTCTATTTTTATTTTTTATGTATTGAAACAGAGTTTTGCTCTTGTTGCCCAGGGCTGGAGTGCAGTAGCGCGATCTTGGCTCACTGCAACCTCTGCTTCCCAGGTTCAAGCGATTCTCCTACCTCAGCCCCTGGAGTAGCTGGGATTACAGGCATGTGCTACCACACCTGGCTAATTTTGTATTTTTAGTAGAGACAGGGTTTCATCATGTTGGTCAGGCTGGTCTCAAACTCCTGACTTCAGGTGATCCTCCCACCTCAGCTTCCCAAAGTGCTGGGATTACAGGCATGAGCCACCACACCCAACACTCTTTCTGTCATCTCTCTCTTTTGCAGATCAACATGGAAAACAAACATTATGCTACACAGCTCATGTGACTGGGATATTTTCCTCCTTAGCAGAGAGGGAATGCTTTAAACAGTCTTTCCCCCATGTTCTTCAAGGATTATAATTGAGGCATCAGTTTGATCTACATGTTGAGGGAAGTGACTAAATAGAAATTCAATGCAGGGAGCCAAGATACTTAATAAGTGTCAGTGAAAATAGTTTTACAAGTTGTTTACTCAACAATCACAGTTTTCATTTCTAAGGAAAGGTGAAACTACAATAAATTCTTAACCAAAGAAAGGAGATTTCTATCTAGAACAATTGAATACTTCTAAAGGAAGAAGGCTGCCCATGCGTTTTTTGGCTTTCCCATATCTTAGAAACACATGCTATTGAAACTTTGAGAAGCCATTTCACAGGTGTGTTGTCACTTTTCCTCCCTCCGCCCGAGACTTTTCTGTATTGTTGGTTGTTTTCACTATTTGAGAAGTTAAAGTATTAGAATTTAGTAGATATTGGGGCTCGACATAAAGATATCCTTCTGGTTTCATATTAAAGCATCTGTGTTTATATTGGCTTCTTATCTGCAAACTGTCCACTGACTCAATGATATGTCAGCTCGTTTGTTTTGGTGGGATATTTTTCCACCACTTCCATTCTCTAGACACTTTTTTCTTTTTTAAAAAAATTTTATTATTATTATACTTTGAGTTTTAGGGTACATGTGCACAACGTGCAGGTTTGTTACATATGTATACCTGTGCCATGTTGGTGTGCTGCACCCATTAACTTGTCATTTAGCATTAGGTATATCTCCTAATGCTATCCCTCCCCACTCCCCCAACCCCACAACAGTCCCCAGAATCTGATGTTCCCCTTCCTGTGTCCATGAGTTCTCATTGTTCAATTCCCACCTATGAGTGAGAACATGCGGTGTTTGGTTTTTTGTCCTTGCGATAGTTTGCTGAGAATGATGGTTTCCAGCTTCATCGATGTCCCTACAAAGGACATGAACTCATCATTTCTTATGGCTGCATAGTATTCCATGGTGTATATGTGCCACATTTTCTTAATCCAGTCTATCATTGATGGGCATTTGGGTTGGTTCCAAGTCTTTGCTATTGAGAACAGCACTGCAATAAACATATGTGTGCATGTGTCTTTATAGCAGCATGATTTATAATCCTTTGGGTATATAACCAGTAATGGGATGGCTGGGTCAAATGGTATTTCTAGTTCCAGATCCCTGAGGAATCGCCACACTGACTTCCACAATGGTTGAACTAGTTTACAGTCCTCCCAACAGTGTAAAAATGTTCCTATTTCTCCACATCCTCTCCAGCACCTGTTGTTTCCTGACTTTTTAATGATCACCATTCTAACTGGTGTGTGATGGTATCTCGTTGTGGTTTTGATTTGCATTTCTCTGATGGCCAGTGATGATGAGCATTTTTTCATGTGTTTTTTGGCCACATAAATGTCTTCTTTTGAGAAGTGTCTGTTCATATCCTTCACCCATTTTTTGATAGGGTTGTTTGTTTTTTTCTTGTAAATTTGTTTGAGTTCATTGTAGATTCTGGATATTAGCCCTTTGTCAGATGAGTAGGTTGCAAACATTTTCTCCCATTCTGTAGGTTGCCTGTTCACTCTGATGGTAGTTTATTTTGCTGTGCAGAAGCACAGCAAAGCTCTTTAGTATAATCAGATCCCATTTGTCAACTTTGGCTTTTGTTGCCATTGCTTTTGGTGTTTTAGACCTGGAATCCTTGCCCATGCCTATATCCTGAATGGTATTGCCTAGGTTTTCTTCTAAGGTTTTTATGGTTTTAGGTCTATCATTTAAGTCTTCAATCCATCTTGAATTAATTTTTGTATAAGGTGTAAGGAAGGGATCCAGTTTCAGCTTTCTACATATGGCTGGCCAGTTTTCCCAGAATGATTTATTAAATAGGGAATCCTTTCCCCATTGCTTGTTTTTGTCAGGTTTGTCAAAGATCAGATAGTTGTAGATAAGCAGCATTATTTCTGAGGGCTCTGTTCTGTTCCATTTGTCTATATCTCTGTTTTGGTACCATACCATGCTGTTTCAGTACCAGTACCATGCTGTTTTGGTTACTGTAGCCTTGTAGTATAGTTTGAAGTCAGGTAGCATGATGCCTCCAGCTTTGTTCTTTTGGCTTAGGATTGACCTGGCGATGCGGGCTCTTTTTTGGTTCCATATGAACTTTAAAGTAGTTTTTTCCAATTCTGTGAAGAAAGTCATTGGTAGCTTGATGGGGATGGCATTGAATCTATAAATTACCTTGGGCAGTATGGCCATTTTCATGATACTGATTCTTCCTACCCATGAGCATGGAATGTTCTTCCATTTGTTTGTATCCTCTTTTATTTCATTGAGCAGTGGTTTGTAGTTCTCCTTGAAGAGGTCCTTCACATCCCTTGTAAGTTGGATTCCTAGGTATTTTATTCTCTTTGAAGCAGTTGTGAATGGGAGTTCACTCATGATTTGGCTCTCTGTTTGTCTGTTATTGGTGTGTAAGAATGCTTGTGATTTTTGCACATTGATTTTGTATCCTGAGACTTAGCTGAAGTTGCTTATTAGCTTAAGGAGATTTTGGGCTGAGACGATGGGGTTTTCTAGATATACAGTCATGTCATCTGCAAACAGGGACAATTTGACTTCCTCTTTTCCTAATTGAATGCCCTTTATTTCCTTCTCCTGCCTGATTGCCCTGGCCAGAACTTCCAACACTATGTTGAATAGGAGTGGTGAGAGAGGGCATCCCTGTCTTGTGCCAGTTTTCAAAGGGAATGCTTCCAGTCTTTGTCCATTCAGTATGATATTGGCTGTGGGTTTGTCATAGACAGCTCTTATTATTTTGAGATACGTGCCATCAATACCTAATTTATGGAGAGTTTTTAGCATGAAGCATTGTTGAATTTTGTCAAAGGCCTTTTCTGCATCTATTGAGATAATAATGTGGTTTTTGTCTTTGGTTCTATTTATATGCTGGATTACGTTTATTGATTTGCGTATGTTGAACCAGCCTTGCATCCCAGGGATGAAGCCCACTTGATCATGGTGGATAAGCTTTTTGATGTGCTGCTGGATTTGGTTTGCCAGTGTTTTATTGAGGAATTTTCATCAATGTTCATCAAGGATATTGGTCTAAAATTCTCTTGTTTGTTGTGTCTCTGCCAGGCTTTGGTATCAGGATGATGCTGGCCTCATAAAAAGAGTTAGGGAGGATTCCCTCTTTATTTATTGATTGGAATAGTTTTAGAAGGAATGGTACCAGTTCCTCCTTGTACCTCTGGTAGAATTTGGCTGTGAATCCATCTGGTCGTGGACTTTCTTTGGTTGGTGAGCTATTAATTATTGCCTCAATTTCAGCTCCTGTTATTGATCTATTCAGAGATTCAACTTCTTCCTGGTTTAGTCTTGGGAGAGTGTATGTGTCAAGGAATTTATCCATTTCTTCTAGATTTTCTAGTTTATTTGTGTAGAGGTGTTTATGGTATTCTCTGATAGTAGTTTGTATTTCTGTGGGATTGGTGGTGATATCCCCTTTATCACTTTTTATTGCGTCTGTTTGATTCTTCTCTCTTTTCTTCTTTATTAGTCTTGCTAGCGGTCTATCAATTTTGTTGATCGTTTCAAAAAAGCAGCTCCTGGATTCATTGATTTTTTGAAGGGTTTTTTGTGTCTCTATTTCCTTCAGTTCTGCTCTGATCTTAGTTAATTCTTGCCTTCTGCTAGCTTTTGAATATGTTTGCTCTTGCTTCTCTAGTTCTTTTAATTTTGATGTTAGGGTGTCAATTTTGGATCGTTCCTGCTTTCTCTTGTGGGCATTTAGTGCTATAAATTTCCCTCTACACACTGCTTTGAATGTGTCCCAGAGATTCTGGTATGTTGTGTCTTTGTTCTCATTGGTTTCAAAGAACATCTTTATTTCTGCCTTCATTTCATTATGTACCCAGTAGTCATTCAGGAGCAGGTTGTTCAGTTTCCATGTAGTTGAGTGGTTTTGAGTGTGTTTCTTAATCCTGAGTTCTAGTTTGATTGCACTGTGGTCTGAGAGACAGTCTGTTATAATTTCTGTTCTTTCACATTTGCTGAGGAGTGCTTTACTTCCAACTATGTGGTCAATTTTGGAATAGGTGTGTTGTGATGCTGAAAAGAATGTATACTCTGTTGATTTAGGGTAGAGAGTTCTGTAGATGTCTATTAGGTCTGCTTGGTGCAGAGCTGAGTTCAATTCCTGGGTATCCTTGTTAATGTTCTGTCTCATTGATCTGTCTAATGTTGACAGTGGGGTGTTAAAGTCTCCCATTATTATTGTGTGGGAGTCTAAGTCTCTTTGTAGGTCACTAAGGACTTGCTTTATGAATCTGGGTGCTCCTGTGTTGGGTGCATATATATTTAGGATAGTTAGTTCTTCTTGTTGAATTGATCCCTTTACCATTATGTAATGGCCTTCTTTGTCTCTTTTGATCTTTGTTGGTTTAAAGTCTGTTTTATCTGAGACTAGGATTGCAACCCTTGCCTTTTTTTGTTTTCCATTTGCTTGGTAGATCTTCCTCCATCCCTTTATTTTGAGCCTATGTGTGTCTCTGCACGTGAGATGGGTTTCCTGAATACAGCACACTGATGGGTCTTGACTCTTTATCCAGTTTGCCAGTCTGTGCCTTTTAATTGGAATATTTAGCCCATTTACATTTAAGGTTAGTATTCTTACGTGTGAATTTGATCCTGTCATTATGATGTTAGCTGGTCATTTTGCTCGTTAGTTGATGCAGTTTCTTCCTAGCCTTGATGATCTTTACAATTTGGCATGTTTTTGCAGTGGCTGGTACTGGTCGTTCCTTTCCATGTTTAGTGCTTCCTTCAGGAGCTCTTTTAGGGCAGGCCTGGTGGTGACCAAATCTCTCAGCATTTGCTTGTCTGTAAAGTATTTTATTTCTCCTTCACTTATGAAGCTTAGTTTGGCTGGATATGAAATTCTGGGTTGGAAATTATTTTCTTTAAGAATGTTGCATATTTGCCCCCACTCTCTTCTGGCTTGTAGAGTTTATGCCAAGAGATCAGCTGTTAGTCTGATGGGCTTCCCTTTGTGGGTAACCCGACCTTTCTCTCTGGCTGCCCTTAACATTTTTTCTTTCATTTCATCTTTGGTGAATCTGACAATTATGTGTCTTGGAATTGCTCTTCTCGAGGAGTATCTTTGTGGCCTTCTCTGTATTTCCTGAATTTGGATGTTGGCCTGCCTTGCTAGATTGGGGAAGTTCTCCTGGATAATATCCTGCAGAGTGTTTCCTAACTTGGTTCCATTCTCCCAGTCACTTTCAGGTACACCAATCAGATGTAGATTTGGTCTTTTCACATAGTCCCATATTTCTTGGAGGCTTTGTTTGTTTCTTTTTGTTCTTTTTTCTCTAAACTTCTCTTCTCACTACATTTCATTCATTTCGTCTTCCATCACTGATACCCTTTCTTCCAGTTGATCGCATCGGCTACTGAGGCTTGTGCGTTCGTCACATAGTTCTCGTGCCATAGTTTTCAGCTCCATCAGGTCCTTTAAGGACTTCTCTGCATTGGTTATTCTAGTTAGCCATTCATCTAATTTTTTTTCAAGGTTTTTAACTTCTTTGCCATTGGTTCGAACTTCCTCCTTTAGCTCGGAGTAGTTTGATCTTCTGAAGCCTTCTTCTCTCAACTCGTCAAAGTCATTCTCCGTCCAGCATTGTTCCGTTGCTGGTGAGGAGCTGCGTTCCTTTGGAGGAGGAGAGGCACTCTGATTTTTAGAGTTTCCAGTTTTTCTGCTCTGTTTTTTTCCCCATCTTTGTGGTTTTATCTACCTTTGGTCTTTGATGATGGTGATGTACAGATGGGTTTTTGGTGTGGATGTCCTTTCTGTTTGTTAGTTTTCCTTCTAACAGTCAGGACCCTCAGCTGTAGGTCTGTTGGAGTTTGCCGGAGGTCCACTCCAGACCCTGTTTGCCTGGGTATCAGCAACGGTGGCTGCGGAACAGCATATATTGGTGAACTGTAAATGCTGCTGCCTGATCGTTCCTCTAGAAGTTTTGTCTCAGAGGAGTACCTGGCCGTTTGAGGTGTCAGTCCACCCCTATTGGGGGGTTGCCTCCCAGTTAGGCTACTCGGGGGTCAGGGAACCACTTGAGGAGGCAGTCTGCCCGTTCTCAGATCTCCAGCTGCGTGCTGGGAGAACCACTACTCTCTTCAAAGCTGACAGACAGGGACATTCAAGTCTGCAGAGGTTACTTCTGCCTTTTGTTTGTCTGTGCCCTGCCCTCAAAGGTGGAGCCTACAGAGGCAGGCAGGCCTCCTTGAGCTGTGGTGGTCTCCACCCAGTTTGAGCTTCCCAGCTGCTTTGTTTACCTACTCAAGCCTCAGCAATGGCAGGCGCCCCTCCCCCAGCCTCACTGCTGCCTTGCAGTTTGATCTCAGATTGCTGTGCTAGCAGTGAGCGAGGCTCCGTGGGCATAGGACCCTCCAAGCCAGGTGTGGGGTATAATCTCCTGGTGTGCCGTTTGTTAAGCCCATTGGAAAAGCGCAGTATTAGGGTGGGAGTGACCCCATTTTCCAGGTGCCATCTGTCATCCCTTTCTTTGACTAGGAAAGGGAATTCCTTGACCACTTGCACTTCCCGGGTGAGGTGATGCTTTGCCGTGCTTTGGCTCACGCACGGTGCGCTGCACCCACTGTCTTGCCCCACTTTCTGGCACTCCCCAGTGAGATGAACCCGCTACCTCAGTTGGAAATGCAGAAATCACCCGTCTTCTTTATCGCTCACACTGGGAGCTGTAGATAGCTCCCAGCTGTTCCTATTTGGCCACCTTGCCTCCACCCCACTTTTTTCTTAACACCTAACACAGATAAAGTCATGCTTCATGATTTAGTATTTACTAACTCCATAAGTGCTAACAGATTTTCATACATTGACTCCCAGCCTCCCAACCATTTTGTAAAACTCTTTCAGGTCAAGGTCAGTGGTTATAAAATTCTTTCATAACCCTCTCTAGCCTAATTCAATGCCAGACTGAGTTAATAAGTAGGTGCTGATTGATGTTTACTGCACTCTGTGTTTATTTCTGTCTCTTGCAAGGAAACCAATTCAAATTCACTTCTAGTTGTTCCTCCCTCTACCCTCAACTTTTAATCCTTATAAGAAAATCTTTTTTGGTTTTCTTCTAAAATGTAACAGATTACTCTCAAAAATTACAGGAAATTCAGAATAAATATACAAGCAATAATATGATTGGGAGAAAAAGAATACCAGTCATAATTGCATCACAAATATAGTTCTAAGAGTAACTCAGCAAGATATGGACAGAAGTTATATGAAGAACATTGTAGTCCTTTACTGTGGGACATAAAGACTGAATAAACTGGGAAATAGTCCATGCTTCTGAGTGGGAAGACTTCATTTTTTAAGATGAAAATCATTTCATCCCTAAATAAATGTTTAAGTATATAAACAAACAAGCAGATATTTGCTGAGCAAAATAATCTAGTGTTTCAGCATAACGTTTGGTGTTAAACATCGTACAATGAATTTCCCACCTTTTTTTTAAATAAGACTTACTGTGAGGATTGAATAAGATAATATATGTAAAATACTTAGTAGAGTGCCTGGCATATGATAATTGGTCAATAAATATAGGCAGTTCTTTTATTTTTATTAATGATGTTTATGTTGACCATCTGGCTTTTAAAAAAATGTGTATTTTCTAATTTTTCTAAAGCATTGCTTTTGTATTAAGAAGTTAACAAAAATTGCTTTTAATTAGAAGGAAAAGGGAGAAACCAAAGGCACCATAAACAAGATATATTTTTTAAAGGGGCTAAACTTAATGAGGGAGTTGACCTGGTCACAGGCTAGGTAGACGTGTCTTTTCAGAAGCCTTTTGATGTGTTCATGTCCTGCTTGTAGCTTGTCTTGGTTCTCGTATTGTTCCTGCTTACTTCTCATGTAGCAAGCCCTCACCCATTTGTGTAGGTCTTGACTGGAAAAAAGATGGAGGGGCCTTAGATGTCAAACTCTAATGTGCAGGAGTGGAATTATTTGGCTAAGACCTATCTCAGGGGATCTGATACCTTCATGCTACTTTGGTGATGTTCTGTGTCCATTTCATTTCTGTTAGCCATCTTCCCTTCTATGACTTACTGAAAATAACCATGTCCTCTCCTGCTTTCTCCTGCTGAAGCCTTCTCTAGATTTTCAGGCCAGAGCACTTTAAGGCTACACAGTTTTAGTTCCAATTCTATGCTTCTTCTATCCTTTCTCTGACCCCTCCTGCCCAGTCCTTCCATTTTTCTAGGCCTGTAGGGATAGCAGTTGAAGCAGAAATGACTCACTTCTCTTTGACTGGAAAGTGTGGGCCATAAGCATGTTCATTGCAGACTCTGTTTTCTGTCCTGATGGTCTGACATATACCAAACTGGTTTTTAACTGTTGCAAGTAGCACTAAAGGACTCACTTTTCTGTGCAGACTCCAGGGCTGGCACTGAACAGTCATAGTGAACTTGTTTTGGAAGATGTTAGCACTTAGGTGCTTCTAAGGTAAAGAGGTCTTAACAGTAGCAATACTTTGAAATGCTCTCTGGGTTTCTCTCATTGGTACTGGTTTGCTTTCAGAAAGAGGCCCAAGAGATCAGTGGGAACAAAGTATTTCTTCATTTTTGTACTATTGGAGAAAAGATACTGGAAGTTTCTTGAATATTTAGAAGCCAGAGTTTTATTTTTAGTTATGAAACTCTGGACATTATAGATAGATAACAGTATACCATCAGTTTTCTTTTGCCATTTACTCTAGATTTTACAGAGATCACTAGCTATAAGTTTTGTCTTGAGGCTGGAAATTTGAACTCTCTGGCTTAAGGATCATCTCAGCAATCTGAGTCAGGATTTATTTTTGCTAATAACAACTTTCCTCTGTTCAATCCATTAACTCCTCTCATTGATAAGGACATAAAGAAAATGGTTTCTGGAGATATTTTTATTGGTGTTGGTTTTTGCCTTAGTTTGGGTGAAATGATATGTGTTTATATATTTATGTATGTATGTTCATGTAACACAATGTATAGTATGGAATGTTATACATACGTATGTATGTTTGTAGACATCTAAGTGTGTGGGGGAAGGGGAAAATTCTAGCAGATCCCAGCATGATCCAGTATGGAACTATAGACAGGCAACTGGGCAGGCTAATTTCTCAGTCTAATCAACCCGTCTCCTTACCTGTGTCTCATGTTGCCCCAGTGTTCTTATCTGTCAAATGGGATCATTTCCTCTTTTCCTCAGAGGAACAGAGTAGGAATAAATGAGAGAGTGTATCTCACACACTCTGATACTACATATAAAATAAATATGAAATATGCATTTAGACTCACTTCATTCCTTTTAAAGAGAAATTTCAATTATACTTTATATATTTTACCAGATATATTCAGAATAACTTTATCAATATACTCTGAACTCAATCTTGTATATGTATATATGTGTGTAAATATATGTGTGCATACTGTATATAATGTATAATAGCCTGTGTGTGTGTATATATATATATATATACATATACATATACATGTACGAGTGATTTAATAGTAGATACATTTTGTTTGTTTTCTACTGGAAGATTTTTCTTTTTTCTCCATATGCTGACAATATAAACTAAGCTAGATTAATTGTAGCTCATTCATCTTTAAACTTAATTAATTCATTGCTTCTCCAGGCAAAGCAGTTCATGCTTATCAAACAGAAAGTGACACTTTCTTTACTATTTCTTTAGAGGGTGGCAGACAGAACGTGTCAATTTGTTAGGCCAAATTGAGAGAGGAGATGATGAAATTGAACACACAGATCTTGCTGCTGGGAAATGCATGAACAGGAGGCACTCAGGAGAGTAGAAACTGCATGACTGACAAAGATCCTGGAGAGAATAAGAGAAACAATCCAGAATTTGCATCATTTTGACTGATACACCTGTTAGATTTTGGAAAATTATGTAGTCACTCCCATATCTTATTAGACATTTAGATTTTATTTATTTTACTTACTTTTTATTTTGAAATCATTGCAAACTCATGAAGAATTGCAAGAGTAGAAAAAAGAACTCCTATACACTCTTCACCCAGATTTATTAATCGTTCATATTTTACCAGTTTTGCTTCATCATTATCTATTTTTTCCTGAACCATTTGAGATAAGCAGTACTCTCTTACTCTTAAATATTTCAATATGCATTTCTTAACATAATCACTGTACAATGATAAAATACTGTTATCTACTTTACAGTTTGTATTAAAATTCCACCACTTGTCTTTATACACAGTATCCTCCCTTCTCCTTTTCACCTTTCTTTGCTTTCATGACCTTGGTAATTTGAAGGGTCAAGACTAGTTATTTTGTAGAATATCCCTCAACTTTGGTTTGTCAGAAATTGCCTCATGATTAAATTCAGACTCTGCATCTTTGGCAGGAACATCACAGAAATGATGTTGTGTCTTTCTCTGTCTAACACACAGGGAGGCACAGGATGTCAGTTGTCCCGTTGTTGGGCTTTTCACTTTGATCACTGGGTTAAAATAGTGCGCTTCAGTTTTCTTCATTGTAAAGTCACAATTTTAATTTTAGCAAGTTGAGGCCGGGCGCGGTGGCTCACACCTGTCATCCCAGCACTTTGGGAGGTCAAGGTGGGTGGATCACCTGAGGTCAAGGATTCAAGACCAGGCTGGCCAACATGGCAAAGATGGGGTTTGTCTCTACTAACAATACAAAAAAAAAATAGCTGTGCGTGATGGTGGGCGCTTGTAATCCCAGCTATATAGGAGGCTGAGGCAGGAGCATTGCTTGAACCCGGGAGGCAGAGGTTGCAGTGAGCCAAGATCATGCCATTGCACTCCAGCCTGGGTGACAGAGTGAGACTCTGTCTCAAAAAAAAAAAATTAGCAAGTCGAAAATTACATTGTTTCTAGTGCATTCTACATATTGATAATTTAAAATGGAACTTTTACATCATTCCTTAAAGTGTATGCAATGGAATATTTTATTTGATTTGGCACCTATTCTCCTCCTTAAGAAGCATAATAGGGACAGAGTTCTTTAAACAATTGGAAACTTTATTTTCATTCTAGTCTATGTTTGAAAATCTCTTATTGATCACCCTATCATGATATCCTCAAACAATATGAATATTAATCAAACTCTATCAATTTCCTGTCACCATAGTCTTAGTATTAATTTCTTTTCTTCTGGATTGGATTATCTTTATAATTATTGTTAGCATCCAATTGACCAAAATTAGGACTGATGCAGTGGCTCACGCCTGTAATTCCAGCACTTTGGGAGCCCGAAGAGGGTGGATCACTTGAGGCCAGGAGTTTAAGACCAGCCTGGCCATCATAGTGAAGCCTTTTCTCTACTAAAAACTACAAAAATTAGCTGGGCGTAGTTGTGCACACTTATAATCCTAGCTACTTGGTGGGGGCTGAGGCAGGAGAATCACTTGAACCTGAGAGGCAGAGGCTGCAGTGAGCCGAGATTGAGCCACTGCATTCCAGCCTGGGCAACAGAGTGAGACTGTGTCTCAAAAAACAAACAAACAAACAAACAAACAACAAAACAAAAAACAAAAAACAAATTGACCAAAATTATGTGAATGAATTATATTTTTTTGTAAACAATTATTACATATAAATCATAAAACTAGCAATACATCTCATAATAAAATGGAGGGAGATGATGATTATGGCTCTTTGATTAGGCTTTGGGGACTCTTATTTTCTGTTGGTTTTCATTCATCACTCCTGAGATTTTTGTACTGGGGAAAGGGGTGATAGGAAGAAGTGTCAGGAAGCCTCAGCTCTAGAAAGTAGAAAGCTGTAGAAAGTTCTGAGAAAATCTACGTATAGAAGTCAAGGTCTGGAAATGTATTCCTTACAATTATCTGTATAGTATACACTTCAGAGTATCCTTTCAGAGCTCCAGGATATGAGGGGGATCCAGGGGAAGATTTCTTTGCTGATTAACCAATCCAGAGACTTCTCTAGAATTCCAAAATTCCTTGGAAAGTCATCTAATATGCCTAAATCATTCCAAAGTAATAAATGTGTATATAGCACCTAGTTTTTTGAATTGTGTCTGGGTGCACTATGATATATAATAAATTATTTTGCAGATTTCCTGAAACTGCAGCAAGATCATTAAACCAGAACATTTATTGAATGACTACTGTTCGACAGGCACTGTGGTAGGCAGTTTTTAGGTATGCTTGATATGTGAAGATTGGAAATTACAAGACAGATAAATCAAGGCTGGATATTCAGATTGCAAAAGGCAGCTTTGCAAAAGAATTAGTCATAGAGTGTCTGTAAATAGAGTACTCTCAACTGCAATTTGAATTGCTCAATTTACAAAAATAATCAGTTTACAGAGAGTTGCTTAGGAATATTTTGACCACATAATGTCAGATGCACCTCTGTGCTTGAAGCAAGTGTTTATAAAGGCAGAAACATGTCTAAATATGATTGTAATCTTTAAAGAAGACCATTATGGGTGTTGGTTGGAGGCTCATTAGGGTCAATTGACGAGCCCTGGAAAACGGCACATGCTTGGAAGCGGAAACTGAGGTCAAACCTTTCTGTCTGTGTCACTTAACTTGGCACTAGCATGAATGAAAGGTAATTTACTCTGCAGATGTTTGGATGAAAAAACATTTTTTATGTAATGTTAGCTGTAAAATAATTTTTAAGCCAGAAGAAGCATTTCATTTAATCACTTCAGTATATTTAAGGTTTAGAACTCCTAGCGAGTGGAAAACCAACTGCTCACTGGTACATTCAACATTCCATATGTGTCATACTGGAGATTTGTGGCTGGAAACTGTGTTTTGAATAAAACCCAGTTGATTTTCAGGGTCATTTAGCCTTTGGATGGTAACTTGTTAAAAAATATAAAGCAAATCAGATCCTGGTTGCTACTTAGTGGCTTCACAACAGATGATATTTTCTACCTGCTTGTCTTTTAACACCCTCCCGACCCCATTCCACCCAGCAATACCAACGCCACATCTGGAAAGAAATTGCTGAGAAAATGCATTTCTGCTAAGCTACTCAGGAAGAGAACACCAGTGTATGCAATGCTGCACAAAAACTGTGCTAATATGGCCCAGTGTTTCCCATTTTTAAAAAATGACACTGTTGATATATAAAAAAAAGAAAGAATTATCTTGTTATATCCTACAGAGAAGCAAACTAAGTTTGCCAGTGATGACACAGTTTTCAAATGCTGAGTCACTTCCTATTGTCCCTTGCTGTGTATTTTGACTGTAAGAACCCAAGGCATCAGTGAGGGTGAGGAGGTTTGTTCCATCCTCTACAGGTGATAGATAATCCAGACTCTACTGGGGTCTCATCTGCAGCTGTTTTCAAGGACTACATGGAAACTGTTGAATGAGGGAATTGGGTGATGCCAGGGTTACAGCGAAAGGGTTTATATTTGTGCCTGATAGCTACAAGCTGGCTAATGCCCACAGTAGGAGGAACCAGTGGAAAACTGATGCATTATTCTTATGCTTGAAATGTCAACGTGGGGTTGCATAAACCTTCTTTACATTTATATCAGTTTAATTGACTTGGCTATCTAGTATGAAATGTAAGACTGGAGGAAATCATATGTATTTTTAAATTTCTGTTTGAATACCACAGTGGTTTTAATACAGAGCAATTATTTTTACCTCTTTAAAAAGAGTAATTAATGAATTTTCCTATTTTTATTGCTCATTGTCAGTCAATTTCACCCCTGGTGTTTGCATATGTTTAGATTATAGTCTTTTTGTAGAGAAATGAGGCAGCCTTATTAGGAAGAATATTTATATACTCAAGATGAAAAATCTCTTCTGCATACGGAAGCATCCCAATTTATAAACAGGTAGCTGAGACCTGTACAAATATAAATTGGTCCTCCTGTTTCTCTGCCCATGATTTTAACCAATTTGTGTTCAATTCTATGTCTATGAATACTTTGAAAGACTTACAGTTGTGGTAAAAGTTAGGAATTTTAGTTTGTGTTGAGTATTTTATTTTTGGAAAACAAGTGAGCTAGATTTTAATTTGAGTTTTTGCTGATTGACTCATTCTGGTTTTTTTTTTGTTTTTGTTGTTGCCCTTGGTGGCTGCAGGAGACATGGATAATTTCAGGCTGTCCTGAAATTTGCTTCTGTGTAACCTATCTAAAGAAGGCTTTTTTCTTACTGTGAACAGGGCTCGTCTGCCTGTTTGCTTAGGAATGCTTCCAGATATATCTGAGTTGTAGCATTAAAAAAAAAAACAAAACGAACAATAATGATCAAAGAAATAGATGAGTCAGAAGGAGCTTGCCCCACTGTTACAGACTGTCTGCCTGGATGCCATAAAGGGAGAAAAAGGGGCTGGGTGCAGTGGCTCACACCTGTAATCCCAGCACTTTGGGAGGCCCTGGCAGGCAGATCACGAGGTCAAGAGATCAAGACCATCCTGGCCAACATGGTGAAACCCCATCTCTACTAAAAATACGAAAATTAGCTGGGCGTGGTGGTGCACGCCTGTAGTCCCAGCTACTTGGGAGGCTGAGGCAGGAGAATCACTTGAACCTGGGAGGCGGAAGTTGCAGTGAGCCGAGATCGCACCACTGCACTCCAGCCTGGGCGACTCTGTCTCAAAAAAAAAAGCGGGGAGAAAAAGTAGACCCTTGCTGAGGCCACATGAAGTGCCAGGACAGAAGCTCTGCTGGTCCTCACCATCGCCCTTTGACTCAGGTGCTGTTGTTAATCCCATTTTACTTGTGAGGACATGGAACTTCAGAGAGGGTCACCGAAAACCTCCAGGTCATTCAGCTCAAATCAGAGCTTCATGTCCCTAACACTCTTAAGCATAAGCTGTGTTGCCTCTGAAGGAAGACAGTGCAGACAGAAGAGAAGAGCAGCTTAGACAGTGAACTTTGGATACCAGAGTGACGTAGCACTGGCAGGCGGGACTCTTGTGGGAGCCACATGGTAAATCAGTATATTCCTTCAGTGACCTGAGCAAATCATTTAATTTCCCGGACCCTCAATTTTTTTACGTTTCAAATGAGATAGTTGGGTAGGATGCTATCTGGACCTGGCAATATTCTCTAGGTACTTCCATGAGTTAAATGTTCAACCTGGAGTGCTGCAACTAGTTACTAGGAGTTGGAATTTTTAAATTTTAAGACAATTAATCAGTATACTTTATACTGCCCCACCCCATTTTGGGCACAAGGAAATTCCTATTATTGAACCTACTCTCTGGAAATTGCCTCCTGAAGACTAAACTTTTTAAGTTCTTTATAAGATTAGCTCATATTTAACTGATGGTTTCAGCATTTTGTTTTGATTTGAGGGTAACTTTACCAATGAAGGTAAAACCTTAACCTTATTTCCCTATCTGCCAGAATAAGGCAGAGGAAAACACACTTTGGGTATATATGGGCATCCTGCTTCAGTGGGAAGGATTTAATGAAATGGGCATAGTAGATATCAGTGTGATTAATCATACGTGACAAACCAGAAGCCACATTGAATTGTGCATAATGTAATCCAAGCGGGGGCAGGGAGGATTGTCAAGATAAACAGCCCTACATCCGATCACACTGTGGCTGCTTCTGGATGAACTGCTTATCTTCTATGCAAAATAATATCTGTAGTACTGGAATTATTGCCAGGTCTGTTGGGGCGGTGATTCAAAGTACAAAGAGAGAGACATATATAAAATTGTTTGGGACTGAGCGAAAAGTTATTTATTCACATTTTGAGACTAGAGAGTGAAACATCAAAGCAGAGGTAAAATGTTATTGTCCTTTTACAAATGAGAAAACCGAGCCTTGACGAAAGCAAGTAACTTGTCCAGTTACCCAGAATCAACATTCAAACTTACATCTGTGTACTACACTACAACTCTATTCTAATCACTTCCATCAAATAGTATTAGGTTGGTGAAAAATGATTGCGGTTTTTGTCATTACTTTTAATAGCAAAAACCTTTTTGGTGGCATCATATGAGACAGCCTCTACTGCTATTCTGCATGAAGAGTAATGGCAAAAACCGCAATCACTTTTGCACCAACCTATGGTGGTTTTGTGTGATAAACCAAGCTGTTACAGATAAGTGGAGAAAAGAATAGATAGATAACTATTCCAGTAAGCCAGAGGGACAGATCCTTGGCAATCTTCACAGTACATAAAATCCAGGAATAGATCAGATAATTAATTGTTAGTTATAGAGGAATAGATCCATTAAAAAGCACATCAAAATTAAAAGCTGTAAAATGGAAAGGAAACCATGAAAGCAAATTGGGTTAGCTAGGGTAATGCAAGCTACCTTAGCAAACACCAGACACCAGTGGCTTAGCATTATTGATGTTTACTTCTTGCTCTCATGTTCCTGGTGGGTGGCCTTCCAGCTGGTGATTTGGGTACTCAGGCTCTTTCTGTTTTGTGGCACTGCCTTCTGCTACAGCCTCCGAAGCCCCTGCCTTCTGCCGGGGAATGGGATGGAAGAGAGAGATAAGGTTCTTGGTCCCGAAGTGACACACATCACTTCCACTCAAGAATTAGTCCCATGCCCTCACCTCAATGCAAAGGGGTTGGGAATGTAGCCCCCATTTGGGCAGCCAATTCCCAGCAACAAGTCCCCACTATGGAAGAGGGAGCATGAACCTTTGGTAGATCATTAGCCACTTGGCTACACAAATAGGATCTTTTTAGCCTTATGGACCTCATATTCATGAGTTTTGCTTACTTACAGCAGAAGATTGAATTGGAGGATATATGTGGTGAAAGGAGCAGAGTGGTGCTTAATTTCAAATGGCAAAGTTTCCAATCATCACGGTTTAAATTATTCCTATCAAAATATTATGGATCAAGGAACCAAGATACTCTATTTCTCCAGCTCTACTCATACTGGTTTTTTTTTCTTAATATTTTACTAACTCAGGACAAGACTTATTGTCTTTTTTCCTTTCTTTTTCTGGTTTACTTTTTCACGTAAGAGACCATGGAACAGGCCTTGAGTTAATGTGGATCTCAAAACAGAGGCTTGCCAAGAGCCTCTTTGATGGGATCCTATGAGACAGCTTCTACTGCAATTCTGCTGTCAACATGCATTTCTCTCAGAATGGGGCTCCTGTGTCAAAGTGCCTGGTGGGATGAATAGATATTTTCTCTGGAGAGAATGATTTGAAGTGAAAACAAAATCTGATTTTATAGAGGAAATCCAGCAAGCAGAGTCTTCCTAGCGAAGGTGTTCCTGTATAGAGCTGTCAAGCACCCTGACAGTTATCAATTTCTACTTGTGGCTCCCTGTAATTTCAGTAATTTTGCTGAGGATTTGTCCATGACAAATTACATAGGGAGGCAAATATTTTGTATTTACTTTGAGATTGAAGAATCCAAAGCCTCCCTCCTCTCTCCCAAGATTTCCCCTCTGCCTTCAGAGTGGAGCATGAGTAGGATATAAATGGTGGAGTCCATTAAGCCAAGTTATGGGTAGAACCTGCTGGGGTTACTAATTGAATCAGCACCGTCGCAAACCTGTGTCCTTGTAGGCCCAAACACGTTCAAGTAGTTTGGTTAAAGATACAATTAGTAAACATTCAGTTAATTATGAAATAACTTTAATCTCTTATTTTAAATGGCTACCAGTTAATGCCAGCTCTCTGGCCATATATAATTATTATCAACCCAACAACATGATATTTTTTGAACACCTACTGTGGAAAAGCATGCAGGGCACTACAGGAAATATTAAGAATAATGAACATAATCTCCCAAATCAAGGTACTTACAGGCTCATCCATGTTTCTAGATGGATGCATGTAGAAAATTAAACAATACTAGATGTAGTGTATTAAAGGAGTCTGATGGGGCGAGGGAACTTAGATGGTTGGCATTGTCTTGTTAAGGGTGATACCATGAAGGACAGTATGATGGTATTCTTTTTTGAAGTATGACTCATATAAATAAGTTTATTTATATTTGTATTGATTTTCCTCAAGCTCCATTCACATGCGGCATCTCATTTCTATTTTTGTGGCCCTTGCAATGTGACAAGCAGGTATCATTAGTCCATTTTCCAGATGTGGAACTTGAAGCAGAGAGAGGCATGGCTGTAGCCCACTGGGAATACCTAGTGTGCACAATTCAGGACTAAGCAGCATCCAAAACCTCTCTTCCTCCTCATAGAGTAACGTTTTGCTAAAAATGGGTAACTCTCACTGGGTGCAGTGGCTCACGCCTGTAATACCAGTACTTTGGGAGGCCGAGGCTGGTGAATTGCTTGAGGCCAGGAGTTCGAGACCAGCCTGGGCAACATGGTGAAATCCTGTCTCTACTAAAAATACAAAAATTAGCTGGGCATGGTAGCTTATGCCTGTAATCCTAGCTTCTTGGGAGGCTGAGGAAGGAGAATTGCTTGAACCCAGGAGACAGAGGTTGCAGTGAGTCGAGATTACGCCACTACATGCCAGCCCAAATAACAGAGCAAGACTCTGTCAAAAGGAAAAAAAAAAGGTAGTTCTCTAATATAGGTACATTCTTCTACCTTAAGAAGGGTAGGGAATTTATACTTAGGCAAGTGGGAATAGACTATTAGATAAAACTTGAGCATTGGAAATTAGAATATTAACCCTGCCACTTACTACATGTATGATACTGGGGGAGTAATGTTAACATTACTGAGTCTCAATTTTCCCCTCTGTAATTACAGGCATATATTGAGAGGATTTATGAAGTAATGTAAGGAAAGTACTTAGTACAGTTCCTGGTACATAGTAAGCACTCACAAATTTGTAGCTTTTATTTTAATATTCTAAATTTGTTATGGAATTCATAACAGTGGTGGGGCAAGTGGAACTGTAAGCTGGTATCTCCTTGTGGAAGAGGGAAGGGGGTGTAAGAGTTGAAATCCACACCAACCTTTCCAGCAGGCAGAGGGACAGAGGCTGAGGTTCTGTGTTCAGGAAGTGGGGAAACCCAGTTCTCCCACACACCGGGTTTACCCAGGGGTGACTTTCAAGACTGAGGGGAGATGTAGCTGTCTTTGGGATCAGTGTTATGTTAAGTAAAACAAAAAGTCTTCGCCATGGAGAAGATGCATTAGAGAATGCCGGATAAAGGAAGCCCCTGACAATGTGTGGTTGTCTCTGAGGGAGAAATCCCAGACCACTAAGGGATGCCCACAGCCAGGAAGTTAACCTGGCAATTGTACTGTTGCAAATCAAGAACTAGCTTCACCATCTCTCTTTTGCCTGATTGCTCAGACCTACTTAGCTACCAAGAACTGCTGACAGCAAACTGTAGATAGTTTGAAATCCCCTTGATGAGGGGAAGACAGCTTCACTGAGGGCCGAAGCCAGGAGCCAGTGGCTGAACTACCAGGCATGCCGTGATAGGTTTGGAACCTACTCTTCTTTGAGTCTATTTGTAGATAATTTCTGGGTCAGATGATTCTCATTTTAAAGGAATAATAGATAAACTCCTGGAGGTTACCGTGTATTAGAGACTGAAATGAAAAATATGGACAAAATTTACATGTTGAAGCCCTAACACCCAATGTGACTATGTTTGAAGATAAGGCCTTTAAATAAGTAATTAAGGTTAAATGAGGTCATGAGAGTAGGATCCTCATCGAATGGGACTGGTGTCTTTTTAAGAAGAGGAAGAGACACTGGGAATGGATATGTACACGCAAGAGAAAAGGCCATTTGAGGACACCGTGAGAAGGTGGCCATCTACAAGCCAAGAAGAGAGGCATCAGGAGAAACTCAACCCAGAAATGCCTTGATGTTGGACTTTCCGCCTCCAGAACTATGAGAAAATTGAGTTCTGTTGTTTAAGCCACCCAGTCTATGGTATTTTATCATGGCAGCCCCAGCAGACAAACATATCGTACACTCAGGATATGCTGTACCTAGTGAATGAAGACATTGAAAATTTAACCTTCTCTAATAGAATTTCAAGCTAAAATCTTAGTTTGATTTTATATGTAGAATTTATGCTAAATTCTCTGGGTAATGTTCACTGTGGATTGGTCTTGTGAGATGTCACAAGTCATTTTTTACTACTAAAAAAATAAAGATTGTGAACGGTTTACTTAAATTAATGAGTGGATTCAAGTTTATTGCTGTAACTCTCCTTCAGACATATAATGACTAAGAGAAAGGAAGTGGAGTCAAGAAAGAACATACACTTAAACTCACACTCACACATACTGAAAACCTCTGTCAGAGATCCTGTATCTGATAAGTGGTTAGCGTTGTGGCAGTAACTATTTTAGTTCTGTCCTACTCTGCATACTTTTGAGGATGTCTTGGAAATTGGGGTGCCATGAGAGTATGTATGCTTCAGTTTATTGAAATCGAGATGGTCTTTGGAGGTGTGCTCATTTGGTTGATATTGGGGTGGGCTGTAAGAGTGTGTTTCACAGGATTATATTGCTTGTTGGTGAGTCCTTCCTAAGACTTCTGCTTTTCATGTCAACACCCTCATAAGCCCATTGGGAGTAGAGCTTGCATCTTCTTTATCTTTACACACAGTGCCCACTGAGCACAGTGCCTGCCACGTAAAGAGTTTTGATAAATATTCAAATGGGAGTTTTAATTTTTTAACTTGTGGAGGGATAGCTTGAGGACTATGCTAATTAACTGTTACCAAAATAAAGCAAGAGAAATGGCCAAAAACACTGTCTGCTCAAGCCTATAACTTTTCTTTATTAAGTAAGAATAGAAGGATATGTACTTCTTCTGTGAAAGCTGAAAAATTATACTTGCAAGTATCTAAAGTCTCTAAACTTCACTGTAGCAGGTCTTTGAAGAAGCAGGAAAATAAGAAAACCAGCTAATCAGAAAAAAAGAAAATCTACGAAGAAAGTAAACTAGCAACTGTTTATGATAACAGTTGGCTTCTTTTTTCGGGAGCTCCATCTGCCTAAGTATCTAGTTCATTTATCAGGCATCTTCAGGGAATGTAGCACTCTACATAACTAATTTTCCAGATTACCCTATTAAGTCAAACTCATAAATAAAAATGCTTTATTTTGGGTGAAATTTTATGTAAAACATTCAAAAGCTCTCAATCCAGAGGACAGTGAATCTAATTCAATCTATTTCTGCATATTAATTACTTCATTTCTTCTATTTGATTATAAAATCTACCATTACTGATTTCCTTAAGACACACTATTACATGAAAGGAACACATCAATTCTGATTGACTTCAATTTTAGAAATAAAAAGTGAAAACATATATCTAAGAACAGAGGAAAAGTGGCAGTCATTTATTTTTTTATTTATTTATTTTTTTGTGAGACGGAGTTTCACTCTTGTTGCCCAAACTGGAGTGCAATGGCAGGATCTTGGCTCACTGCAACCTTCACCTCCCAGGTTCAAGTGATTCTCCTGCCTCAGCCTCCCGAGCAGCTGGGATTACAGGTGTGTGCCACCATGTCTGGCTAATTTTTTGCATTTTTAGTAGAAATGAGGTTTCACCATGTTAGCCAGGCTGATCTTGAACTCCTGACCTCAGGTGATCTGCCCACCTTGGCCTCCCAAAGTGTTGGGATTACAGGCATGAGACACTGTGCCCAGCTGGTAGTCATGTTTTTTTAGCCCCAACTAGATAACATATTGGACTAAAAAAGTGTTGCATATTTTCATCAGTCTAAAAGACCCCAGGCATCATTTGTGGAGAAAATTTGTTTGCTCATTGTAGATTTTCCCCTGGCCAATATAATCTCTCACTGGAGACAGTGTGTCAGCCTCACCCCCACCCCTAAAGTTTGCCATTTCTAATATGCTCAGGAGTGGTAAATCAGTCTGTTATATAAAGTTAGGATTACTGTAAGATTAGGGACTTTCCAGCAAACTGCACAACTTTTAGTTCACTGCCTTTAGAAAGCTTTCTTTTTGCTGTGCCCCAGTTTGGGGCTTGTTGTGGATCTTGGTTGCCAGATTTGTGATTACTGTTAAACTATAATCTATCACTTTAACAAAACATCTGTCATCTTGATAATGGGGAAAGAGTACTAGGTATTAGGATGATGGAACAAAAAACACCCAAAACCAACACCAAAAATCTTTCCCCCTAGAAAACAACTCCCATCTCCGCAAAAAGATAAGTAAGATGGAAACATCAATGACAGGGACAATTAAGAAAGTTGGGAGGAAGAAAAGGGCCCGGAGAAGATATCAAAAAGTGGTCATTTTGAATACCTTCTCTTGGTACTCTACTGATTCGTAACCTTCATGAAGCTAAGTGAGTATAAAAATGTGAATCATTTCCAAATGAGATCAATAAAATGAATTTCAACTATAAAATAACTGTTTTTTAAGCTTCAGATAATACTTTCTTCAGCCAATGTGTAAACTGTTGTGTTAAAGGGAAGCTGAACTATATACCTGTGCAATTTATCATTTACAGCTCCTTTTCCTGGTTGCCAACCAGCTAAGATATCTATGTTTACCACATAAGAGAGTTTCTGTTAGTCAAGTCCAAAGTACACATAACTCTATTGCTAAGGCAAGAACTCTCACATGAGTCACTGTAATGGCCATCTCTAGAGAAATTGGAATGCATTTTTATAATGTGAGTGTTTGAAAAGATGTCAAGTTGTTGCTTGGTGAGCAGAGTTGCTTAAAAGTTCCAGAGAGAAGCTGTGATCGAGGACTAGCAGTGTTGTAGGTGCTGTACAAGGGGAATAACCAGCACCATCTAACAGGACCTCATGGCTGACCTGGTTAGAATTGGGTTTAGTCTTTCGAAATTTGTTGTAATCCTAAAAATAGAGGTAAATCTCTTGCCATCTGTCAGATTTTACCACCATCACCTGCACATCTTACTGCATTTTCTTTAGTAATATAGCTAGAGTGGACTTTTCTAGGTAAATCTGCCTAGTATCAGAACTTGAACTCCTCTCCTTAAAAATCTATGTTGAACTGATGCACTGTATCTTGTTTCTGCAACTAGTTTTAAGCTCCTTGAGGTATTTATGACCTTGTGTCTCCTACAATGACTTGAGTCCAATAGATGTTCAATCAATATTTTGAGTGACTGCTGAATTAACTTTGTAAAAGCTTCTTTGGTACAGGAACTATGAAAATATTTGCTGTTGGTGACTGTACATACATGAAGTTCACGATGCTACTCTGTAAAATAATACTTGGGGTTCTTTGCTTAGCAGCAGTGAATGATGGGGGCTGCTCCTATAGGGAAGGCCTGGCTGACTTTGGAAGGGCATAGCCAGCCTTTGGAAATAAAAAGGACCCAGCCTAACTTGGCCCCAAAGGCCTGCTGGCTTTTAAGTATTAATTTTATAGAGATAAATCATGACTCAGTCAAATATAACATGAACACATGCTATGATGTTTAATTTTATTTGTAAACTTGTCTAGGCTAGAGTACCCAGACATTTGGTCAAACATTATTTAGATGTTGCCATGAAGGTATTTTTAGATGAGATTAACATTTAAGTCAGTAGACTTTGAGTAAAGTGGATTACTCTCCAAGCTACAGATGGGTCTCATATTCAGTCTTTGTACCCAATCCATTCTTTGATTGGGAGAATATAGAATACTCCACCTCCTGCACACCTTATTATCACACCAACACGGCTCCATTATTATAACAGTGGATTATGGCTGAAATTGCTGAAAGACACAGGCCATGTCTGAAGAGGAGATACTTAAGGAAGCCCAAAGTCAAGAAGTGAGACAAAAACAAAGACCACCAGAGGAATTTTCAGACCTCTGGCATCTGTAACTACGCAACAATTATATAGCTCAACTCCTAGCCAGATTAATATAAATCCTCACACACAATGAAGGCTCGTTTACTTCAGTTCCTCCTGCCTGATACAGTGTGTTCTGCCTTCAACAGAAAATGATAGGACATGCCAAATAGCAAGGAAAAAAATCACACACACACTTTAGAGATGTTGGGGCAGCTGGACCCAACACCAGGCCATGGGGGCGACAAAGTCCGGTGGAGTCAAAAGAATGAGAAAAGACAAGTTTAAGAGTGCATAAAGTGGGACCAGGGGGCCAACACTAGTGTGGAGGTTGTGAAGGCTCCGAGCTCTGGGAGCCCATGCTATTTATTGGTAATCCAACAAAGAAGCAGGTGGTGAGGATATGAGGGTTGAAAGGAAGTGGTGCATCAAGTGCATAAGCTATAGCTGTGATGGTTTAGCATTTCCTTTGAAGCATATGGAACATATTCTGGTACTTGAGATAATGGGGAACATGTTCTTCTAGTTTAAGATACAATCATTTTATAAGCCTGGGAATGCTAGAAGCAAGGAGCCAGTAAGTCTAGACACATTCCAGAGGCCATGAGGGGTTTTATGCCCTGAGCCCTGGATTCCATCCAAGCCACGAGGGGTTTTATGCCCTGGGCTTAGATTATGGTGTGGCAGGGCAGCCTTCCACCCTTTGGCACAGAGCTTGTTGTTCCAAAGACCATGAGGGGTTTCAGACCCTGGACCCCCGACATGTTCCAAGACTCTTTTACATTATGTCAGAGATGCAAGCCCTGCCTCAGCTTTTTTCCCAAAACTCAGCTTTTCCCCAACATAAAGAAACAAAACAATCATTAGACCCAAACTCAAATATTACACAGATGTTGGGATCTTCAGATAGGGAGTAAAAAAATAACTATGATTGATATATGAAGAGCTCTAGTGGAAAAAGTAGACAACATGCAATAATAGATGGGCAATGTAAGCAGAGAGATGGAAATGAGAAAGAATCAAAAGGAGATGCTAGAAATAAAGAATACAGTAAGAGAAATGAAGAATGTCTTTGGAGTTCAAAGTGAAATCAACTATCCAAGGAAAGAATCAGTAAACTTAAAATGGGTCAATAGAATCTTCTCAAACTGAAATGCAAAGGAAAAAGAAAAAGAATGGAAAAAAATGGAACAAAACACCCTAGAACTGTGAGACTATTTCAAAAGATGTAACATAAGCAATATTGGAATTCTGAAGGAGAGGAAAGAGAATGGAGTAGAAGAAATATTTGAAGTAATAATAGCTGAGAACGTTTTAAAACTAATGACATATATGAAACTATAGATCTGGGAAGCTCAGAGAGTGCCAAGTAGGATAAATGCCAAAAAATCCACCACCATTTAGGCTTATCATATTCAATCTTCCTCTTAGAGGAACATGGATAAGAATTACATCAGACTTCTCCTCAGAAGCCATGTGAGTGAGAAGAGTAGAATGAAATACTTGAAGTATTGAAAGAAAAAGAAATTACCCATCTAGAATTTTTATTTAGTGAAATTATCCTTCATAAATGAAGGAGAAATAAAGGCTTCTTCAGACAAAGAAAAACTGAGGGAATCCACCTCTAGAAGACTTTTTCTTCAAGAGATGTTAAAAGCCAGGAGAACAATGATACAGGTTGGAGACTCAGATCTATTTAAAGAAGAAAGAACATCAGAGAAGAAATAAATGAGTATAAAATAAAATCTTTTTTTCTTATTTTTTAATTGATTCAAAAGAACTTTTTAAAGCAATAATGATATCAATGTTTTGGGTTATCATAGCATATGAATAAGTGAAATGAATGACAGCAATGTCCTATGGGATGAGAGCAGCTTATTGGGAATACTCTGTTATAAGGTCCTTGGAGCACATGTGATGTGAGTGGAATGTTATTTGAAATAGATTTCAATTTAGATGGACTACATTCTAGGGACACCACGAAAATTTTTAAAAAGATGTATAATCAAAATGATAAAGTAAAATGAGATTATATAAAATCCCTAGTTAAAACCAGACAAGGAAGAAAAACAACAGGAAAAGAGCAGGGGAAAGAACTCTGTATTTTCTTTGCAATTTTTCTGTAAATCTAAAATTATTCTAAAATTAAAAGTTTCTTCAAAAACGTTAAGGAGCTTGTTCCTGTATTTTTTAAGTAGATGATGGTGATTATTTAATCATTACGGTTTTTAGATATCATGGATACATTGTGGTATTTAGACTTCACTGGTTAAACTAAAAATGTAATTTTTAGTTGTCGATGTTTACAAGATGCTGGAAATATATGTTCTTAAAACTATTCAAACTTATGCAAAGTAAGAATATAGATTTCAACTTCATAAATTTAAGGGGATATATGGTGTTTTAAAATTCTTTCAGTTTGTAAGAGCAAAAAGTTATAAGGCTGTCGGCCTGTATTTAACCCATGTGGGAACAGAACACCCATCAGGCTTATGTTGAATTGCATTTTGTGCCAGAGAAGGGTGGAGAATGGCAGTTGTTGGTTAGGTGAGGTGCAAGATCCACTGGTGGGCCAATTACTAACCGATCATCCCTCTCACCTGCCCACCCTCAGGAGAGCTGCCTTGAATGGCAGCCTGGGGGAGAAGGACCTTGAAGTATCATCCAGGCTCTTTGAGGAAGAGTCCAGAATGGTGGACAATGTCTGTTCTGTGCTCAGGATTGCGGGTGTTCAACCACATGCAGTATATTTATTAAGCTTGGCCCAGGTGAGTGCTCTAGTGCGAATGTAACCGGGAGGGAAAACCAGACAGAGCATAGTAGGATGAGGACGACCCTGAAAGAACTCATGTGTGGTCGAGGGTGTGTCTTGTGCTGGGGATTTGAAAAGTGGGGTTTGGGCTAAGTGAAGTTTTAATGACAAGGTGAAAAGGAGTTCATTTTAGTCGAGGGGAGGCTGTTGGTCTTGGGCCAGGAGGGCAGATAATTGTACTGAGAATGGTGTTGGCAGCTTCTGCTGGAGAGCTCTGCTTGCCTACAGTTAGACTGGGATTGAAGTCACTTGTGAAGACTAGGGGCGTCAACAAATATGAATTTTGTCTTACTTGGTTTTGCCTGATGAGATTCTTTATTTTTTAACATCTAGCTATTAATATGTTTAAGAAATTATATTTTAAAGATTCTGCCATAGTTCTGAACTGGCCGTTTTTTCATTGGTGGGGATTCAACAAATTCCTCTAATTGGTTTTGATCCCAGTATCTGAAATTCTGATCTGAATCCAATAAAATGCAGAGTTTTAGATTCCTTGGCAGGAGATCCTCACTCACATGCCTCTGAAAAGAAGATCCCTTAGTATACAGAAATTTGGGGAGAATGAATTAGATACCTTTGAAGAATTAGTCATTGTTCATGGGTTTATACTCCTGGTCATTGATATTTATAGGACTACTGTTGGTGAACTTGCTTCCACCTTAATCTTTGAGTAACAATGTTAGGTTGGAAGAAAATGAGGACTCTAAAACCTCTAGGTATACTACCATGGGCAATACAAAATAAATCTGCTTGATTATTGCATAAAAAAATAGAATATGGATCAACAATCAGGATATCTTTTTATTGAACAAAACTTCCAGTAGAACCAATTCTCTGGAGTGGCCATGCCAGGCTAGTGGCCCCCAGGTGTCTGGTGAGCAGTGACTGCAGGACAAGGGCCAATCTCATGTGTTCTGAGCCTCCCTGGGCTATACCTCACATATCCTTTTGAAGTTGGTCCTATGTGATAGGCATATGGCTCTTAATTATCACCTTACATGAACTAATCCTGTGGCACTTGTTCTGCATTTATAGCTCTTACACATGCAACCTGTACCCTGAAGCTCAAAGGTTTCCAAACTGCCAAAGGACAAGGTCTTTTTGGGGGATGGCCTAACCAGGAGGTACCCCTAGTATGGGGAATTTGCATGCTATCCAGCATAGAAAATTTCCAGGGTTCCTTTCTCCTGGGGTCCTGGGCTGGGCTCACCTCAGCAGCTATAGCCATTCACACTCCACTAGTCATAGCCATCTATATTTTTAAGTGTTATTGACACCTGCTTCTCTAGTAGCCCATGTGGTACTATTTTTAAAAAGGATCTTAGTGATAGAAACAAGATTCTTTGACTTATCAGCAGAAAAATATTTCCCTCAGTGAATGAAGAAATCTTGTTTTCATATATGTGAATCGGCTCAACTGGATGAAATTTATATGAAGACAATACAGATTTTGTTTGCTTTTCTCATTGGAACGTGTCCCAAGGATAGCAATCAACCATCAAGATAGATTTAATCCAGACAAGACTATATTTTCTTATTACTGTCTCTAGAAAGTAATTATCACCTGCTTCTTGAAATGAATAACTTCCAAGAAGAATGGTCTGCAGTTACTGTCTTAGATTTTTCTCATGTTTTTCATTCCCACTTGCTTGTACTGCATCAGTTATAACCTGTGAGACAAAGGGCAGCACACAACCATTTTAATACTCCTTGGATTAGTTTAAATTCATGTCATCTCTAGGGTATATTTCTTCTGGGAATTCAAATAGCTTCAACAACATCCTGCCAGGTTCATAGATTACTGAGGGTCCTAAGTTTTAAAATCCACCCTTCTTTGGGGTAACTAAGGGCAGCATGAAGTAGCTGAGTGATGATAAAAGGCAGTTTAGGGGCATAATATGGGAGCTAGTGACCCTGAAACTGATACTTTTCCTGGAGAGCTTTAGAAGAATTCATGATTCAGATGGACACAAAACAGGGTACTTCATACAGCTTTTGATTTCTGCCCTGAGCTTTGAAACAAGGCCTCCACAAACTCCGGAACTTATGGAGCACACAGCCCTTATTCCTGAGGTTTCCCCATGCTGCTCTTAGGAAGACATTTAGTGACTGTCTTTAGAGGCGAATGAAAAAAGAAAACCCAGAAAGAAAGATTTCCTCCCTTCCTCCATATATTCATGTGAGTAGGTACCTGTTTCACAGAATGATATCTCATTTATGGTGTTGTTAGAAGTATTATCCTTTGTTTTGTGCATCTTTTGCTTAAAAATATCCCTACAGTATTTATTGTATAATTGAATCAAATAAAGTGACTCAAAATGCCACTTTGTTAGGATTAACAGTTTTCAAAAGACTTTCATACGTTATCTTGTTTGACCAGCATAGGAACCCTGAGGGGCTCACATTCTTGTCATAATATCACAAGTGACAAACTCTTTGTCTTAAGAAGGTAAGGGATGTGCCCAGGCCACTGGATTAAAGAACAGTAGAGATAAAATTAGAAGCCAGATTCCCTGACTCCTTTAGTCCAATGTTCAGTTCCTAAAATGTCTGAAAGGACTCAATTAGGAATAACGGGAAGTGGATGTTGGGAGGATAACTAAATACTTGTTATTGCCATATTAATTTAGAGTACAAACATTATTCTGTACCCCCTTCCTGGATCTGTCAAAGAACACAGGAGCAGACACACTCTTTGATTCAATTCTGGCAGCAATAACTGTAGTAGGGGTGATAGGGTGATTGCAGGAGAAGGTTACAAGGAGAGGGTAGGTTCCCTTTCTAGACTGTCCACAGAAACTTCTGTGGCTTTGGCAAAAAGATTTCTGTCATCATCTAGTACAACTTCTGAGGGTCTCGCACCATTGGAGTTTGTGCTTATATCTTCTGCAGGAAGATTAGCTGGTTCTAGGGCTGATGGACTTGACCCTAGGGTGAAGACAGTGTTGGTGAACAGGTCCCTCCAGTCAGGGGCTTCCCTCTTGCTGCCATCTCTGCTTGCTCACCATTATTGTCTTTGGTGTTTTGCTCAAAGAGTGTGTTTGTTAGGACCTTGTTTCCAAAGCTTTAGGGTAGCCAGAGCTCAGATCACTTTTGCTTTACTGTGGGATATTTACCTTGTGCTTTGGGTGAACAGCTTAGGTAGCTAGCTGCTTGGTGTTTTGAAATATCCATGTTTCCACTTAGAAGACTGGTGTTTTGTTTATTTTAATCTGTCATGTGCAGAAATGAGGCTTAACTGGGATAGATTTCCTATTTGTGTGTGGAGGTGTGAGTTGGAAGGTGTACACTTGGTCTGTTCTTGTAAGGGCTGAGGTGGGCAGAGCAAAGGGACCTGGAGATGGGGCAAGGATGGCAATGACTTGAAGGGTCTGTGTGTGTGGAGGGAGGAGGCCCAGTCAGGATGCTCAGAGTGAAACTGGATCCACCTGCTCACAGAGCGTGGCTGGGTTTCATTCATCTTGCCATTCATTATTCCTTACCAGAATTAATTATCAGTGCATGAGGACCAATGATGAACCAATCTGCACATAGATGGGTTTCTGTTCAGACACAGGGGGCTTGTTGCCCTTCAGGGAAGCTCTGCCTCATAATCACTCTTCTAAATGCCTCAGGGCACCCATCCCTATGGGTTCTGGGAGGTCCCCAGACTCCTTTGTCCCTTTTACTTCTCCTGCCCTGTGCATCTTCCTCCCTTCCCTGGGCCAGCAACACTGGCCTGTTTGTATTCTGGGGCTCCATTCTTTGGACTTCAGGCTTCTGTAGTTTTCTTCTAGCCTAAAAGAGGATGAATCATGAACTCTACCTTGCAGAGAAAAACTGGAAAATCATTCAGGGAGAAAACAGACTCAAGTCTTGACCATCTGCTTTTACAGCTACTGCCTCTGCTTTCATCTCAGACAGCTAAGCCTGAGCACCTGAGAGTATGTCAGAGGAGAAACTACAGCACAGGCAACTCCACCCCTCCAATACCGCTTGGTTGGGTAGGGCTAGAAGGAGACATTGTGGCACAATAGGAAAAGCCTGGGATTTGGAGTCAGATAGATATGAGTTCAAATTCTGTCTCTGCTAATTACTACTTTAAAATAGTTTCTAAACCCAGATCCAACCTAAATAAAATGAATCAGTCTCTCCAGGTGGGGCTTGAGCATTTGCGATTTCTAAAAACTTCCCCCGGTGATTCTAATGTGCAGCCAGAGCTGGATGCCATTAATCTGACATTTTGCTCTAGTTTGGGGAGATTTCCTAGTTTCCCAGATTCTGCACTGCACATCTCTCTGTGATGGTGGATACTCACTCTTTCTCCAGGCTGTGGGCAGCCAAACATGCCTCCTTTTTCTAAGACTCTCAGTTGGCCCTGACTGTACTGCTTTTTGGGAGTTGCCAATATTCTTTATCTTTCTAGATGACTTCATTGTGTATTGACCTTTGTTACATGCTCTCTTGAGTTTTATCCCTTCCTTTCTTTGTATTATCTTGATCAGTTTCTATCATAATTCATTGGTCTTTTTGGTAAAGAAGAGTTAGTGACTATCTTCTTTCCTAAGCAGGTCTTGATGAGTCAAGTAAAGTGAGAACTGTTCTTGGATGTTCTGAAGCTGCTTTTAAAATATTTATTTATATTCCTCATCTCTTATCAATTTCTTCTCCTTAAAAATCCTTTGTTTTCATTTATATTTTTCTCAACTCTCAGATTAACTTCTTATTTGTCTCATAAGATGCTTGTCAATATCCCTTCTGTGTTTTCTGATGATATAGTGACCCTCCCAGACTTCAACCAAAATCATATCACTAAATATTAAAAACAAAGGCAGGGTTTATCTTAAACTCGTGTGTTCCTTTTAACTCTTGTCAAATGAGAGCATTTGGATACAACCTTGAAGACTCAGCGGTGTGGTCTATTCATTGCTCACCCAAGTCAGTTACACTGAACTGAATAACCATGTAAATGATTTTGCTGCTCCTCCTCTTTCTCCTCCTTCTCCTCCTCCTCCTCCTTCTTCTTCTTCTGTCTCTCTCTCTGTGTGTTTAACAGAGAGATTCTTCTACATGAATTTTTAAAACCATAGCAACTGACTTGAAAAAATACAAATTAGACCAACCACCTAGTTTTGTCCTCGCACTGCTAGAGTAATAATTTTAAATTAAAATTTTTGCCAGCGCTTGAGCTTTTTAAATTTGGACTTCCTGAAGGACTTGGATTATGCTTCTGAATTGTCCTGTGCAATACCTAGAACATGCCACTGGGAGCTAAAAGTGCTTTGGTGCTGGAGGTGGTGAGGGTGCTGAGCTCTTGACAATGATGCTGTGTCATTAGTGCACTGTAGCTATAATTAAGGTTAAAAAGATACAATTTGCCATTGTGTCATTGAGACATGCAAGTGTCAGTTATTCATTCAACAAAAATTTGTGAATTATTGAGTAGTTTTATGTGCTAGGAGCTATGTGTCATTCAGTTATTCATTCAACAAAAATTTGTGAATTATTGAATAGTTTTATGTGCTAGGAGCTGTGTGTCATTCAGTTATTCATTCAACAAAAATTTGTGAATTATTGAATAGTTTTATGTGCTAGGAGCTATTATGAATAAAGATGATTCAACATAAATTTTTGTAAAGTTTCACAGTAAACTTTGATCAATGTTTTTATCGTTTTTGAATAGAGGTAGATACTTATAGTATTGCATACATGATTAAAAGGAAAGTATTCTAAGAGTAAATATCAGGTAAAAAGAACTTTCTACCAATAATATTGAATATGACTTTAAACAATTTGGTCTGACTCCTCCCTCCCAGCCCCCCACCCCTTCCAGCTTATCTGGTTTGCCTGCTCTCTTTTGAGATACTTTACAAGATAAAAGCTGCAGATAAATTATTTGGAATTACCCAAATATGTGAATGGTTTGGGAAACTGCATATTCTAGACCTTTGCAAACCAATTTTAGAAATTTTTAGATGCCTGTTAATTTTTTCCTAGGCTACTAGATTAATAACCATTGTTGAATCAGAAATGCATCCATCTTCCAAAATGACATTATTGCAAAATCCCCAAATTGCTTGCAATTCCTACAGTAGGCCCTAGATTGTATCTACACAGTGTGAAATGTACATGTGAGTAATTATACAGAAAGCTCAATCAGTATAGATCTCAGTCTGGATGATTAAAGACAAGGGCTTTCTCTTCATCTTAAGTGGGTTTATTTTAAATGAGTATAACATACCTCTATAAATAATGTACTTTTCAAGGCAAAGTAAACACTCTATTTATCTTGCATTGTTTGGGAATGGAGTGCCCATGTTAACAAATTTTACAAAAACTGAAGCTCGCCACTTCAGAAGCTTTTTGTGGAAACTATTTTGTAGTGAAAAACCTTGAATGTGTAGTTTTCATGTTTATGGCTCCTTCAGCATAATATGCTGAATAAAATGTGAGTTTCTTAATGGTGAGTATCATTAGAATTGGCAAATAGTAGTAAGCATAACTGATCTGTATAGAAAATTTTAAAGGCAATGAATAGTCCTGGATGTCTTTTGAACAGACTTTAAAACATTGTCTTTTTATTGCAAGTCTATTTGATGTGACTTGTTTTCTCATTCCTTCATTCGTGGAACTGTAAACCCAAAATAAAATTCTAGGCACCCCTAGCCAAAAGAATGGATCTTCCTCTTGGCCAAAGGGATCCCAAAGAAACCTGAAGAACTAGTTCCAGCCATGATGGGAAGGGAGCACCAGGACATGCCTGTTTATACTCTCCTCTCTTTGGAGTTTAGACACAATTGATCAGCATTAACATGAAAACAGAACTCTTATGACTGACAAAACAGACTTTTTGTAGCAGTAAGATACCAAATTCCAACCTGACTCTGGTATAGTACCACATAACACAGCAGGTCCTGAAAGAAATAAAAGTATTTTACCCCACAATATATTTCTTTGACATATTTTGAAATGGTCCTGCAAAGCTGTTTCTTGTCGGGGGAATTTGCGTTCTATAGAGACTCTCCTTCCATTACTAGTTTTTTTCCAGAGTCTGATGTCTTTTAAGGTCTGATAAGAGACAGTCACCATCTATTCTCTCTGAAGCCTTCTACAGGGAGGCTTTGTCTACATAACAAGAACCTTGGCTTCCACAATCCCCCCTATCTTAACTCAGGCTGACTTCAACTGTTTCTACAATTGCCAGTCAATAAATCTTTGAATTTACCTATGACCTGGAAGCACCCCTCCCAACCTGCCCATTTGGAGATGGGCAAACCAGTGATAGCTTACGTGTGTTGACGTATGTCTTTACCTGTAACTTCTGTCTCCCTAAAATGTATAAAAGCAAGCTGTAACTCAACCACACCTTGTGCACATATTCTCAGGACCTCCTGAGGCTCTGTCGTGGGCTGGCTCTTAACCTTGGCAAAATAAACCTCTAAACTGATTGAGACATGCCTCAGATCCTTTTTGGTTTATAGAACAAATATTTATAGTGTGCCAGAACTCTTTGTATGCCTAACTTCAATACTTCTTCTCTCTACCCCTTTAAAATTCCTGGTTTCTAATCTGTGATGAGTCATTAAACCAGAAAAGCAAAGTGACTACACTTGTATGCAAAATAAGAATTAATAGGATCCTTGAAGTTCTAAATGTCCTGTTTGATATCATCATGTTCATAAGGTTTAGTACATGTCCTTAGTGGGGGATGCTATTGGCACGTCCTGCTCGCATGCTTGCTCATAGATGTGTGTCTGATGCCTGTAAGTTTGGGATAAATGAGGTGTTATAACTTTTTAGAGTTTTTTTTTTTTTTCTTCTCCCTGGAAGGAATGAGCTTAGAATACCACAGGTGTGTGTTGTAAGGGCATATTGTTGAGTTTGTTTTCTCAGGAATTGGGAAAAAACAATCCTTTCCATTGGCTTTTTGTAGCATCAGCATCAATGCAGTTTGGGTGTGGTAGAAGCAAAGACATGGATACATGTTACTGTCTATCCCAACCCACATGATAGGTTTTATGGACCATTCCCTGCTTAATAATGACTCAACAAATGTTGAGTATATAGCCATGTGTGATTCCGTCTTTAGATCTTTATAAAAATATACTTTTTGATTGGAAAAAAACTTATTTGTCAGATCCCATGTCCCAATTTTTGGATTGCAGAATATGGTCACTTTTGGAGTAAAAGTGGGAAATGGCTGAAACTTTGATAGAGGTTGCTGTGAATATCTTACAGACGGCATTCCCTCCTATGTTCCCCTGTGGGAAGTGGAGGGAAGTTTCCTCCCTTTATCAAAATGTAAGAAGCTGGGTAATAAGTCTTGTGAGCTCCACCCCTCCCCAGTTCCCACTCAGTGTCAGGAGCACTGCTGAGGCTGCTGCTACTGCTAGCATTGTCTTCCTTTCCTTTCAGCTGCTGCTTGGTGACGTTAGACCCTGATAAATAAGAGGACCCAGAGGCAAAGAGACTTTAGTGCAAGGGTCATTCTTCGGTCCCCCATAGCATTTTATTTATACTACTCTTAGCACATGCATCCTAACTTTAATTTATGTTAGTTACGCTGACCGGATTGTAAACACCTCTGAGACAAGGGACTGAGTCTTATTTTATTATTATGCGTGTCTCCAGGCCTAGCATTGGGCCTGCTGCAGAGTGGGTGCTGGCAAATGAATGAATGAATAATTGAATGAATGTGCGCTTGTATCATTGAAAGCTCTCCCTGACCTTCGCATTGATGGATTTTTATTTGTCCTGAGAGCTTATTTATAGGTTTTCCTTTCAGGTGTATGAACTTTAGTGTGAAAAGCAAGAGTTAGAGAAGGATGAACTTGTGCCCTGAAGTCAATAGGAGGGAGGTTCTGTAAAAGGGAAGTGCAGGCCTGGGGCAAGGGGCAGAGTTGAAATAACTGACTTAATTTGTAAAGGAAATGGAGAATGCCCCAGGCTCAGGGCTGTCAGCCAAGTGGGTTTTCAAAAGCACTGATTTCAGTTGAACAAAGGAATGTTGTGTCAATATGAGAAAGTTTTTATCGTTTTCATCTACTCAGGCTGCCTTCTCTTCACTATTTCTGTGTCTTGACATTTTAGAATGGATAGACCCCTGTATCAACGCTAGCACTATCCATGTTCTCTTACTAGAGAAGGCATTCGAGTTTTTGTTGCTTTTGTCATAATGGAAGGTTATAAGATAAAAACAATTTGTTAACTTGATATTTTTGTCCTTACATGTATGTTCTAGAAATGAGATTAGTTTAACAATGTAGCACTATCACTGTAGTTTTAAAATGAAATTGGAACATAATCACTCATTTTCTTCCATTTTCTCCCCATGAAATTGTAATATTGGAAAGAGAATTCAGTGTTGGAGGAATTTATTTTTTTGTAGAACTATATTTTCATGATTTTCTGGCCCACAGAGATCCTATAAAAGAACGGCAGGCAAGCCTGAGCATCAGTGACTCACAGAGCATTCAGTGCTCCAACTGACCTTGAGTAAAATTTCTGGGCATTTAGGAGAATGATGGCATAAGAGGAGATTACCCTTCCTCAAACGTACCACAAATCAGATAACTTTACAGTGTTCCTACTATGAAATTTTAGATTATGAGGCAAGAGTCAGACAGTTTTGCCGTATAAATCAGACCAGTATCAACTCACGTAAGCTAGTGTGATTTTTTTTTTTTTTGTATTGGTGGTGCTAATTGAATTTGCTGGAAATGTTTATGTAATAAATTTTCTACTTTAAAGATGCTGTGCCAGGAGCATAAACTAGTTTCAGTGCAAAGCATGTTACACAGAGAAAGTTGCCACTGGAATGAATGACAAGGATTACATTAATATCGTGTTATTGTCTGAATTACACTTATGAACAAAAATGTCATTAATAAACTAAGGCTAAGAACCTTAGCTATGTCATAAAGTTTGAATTCTAGTGGGCACATTTTAAAAAACTGAATCATTTTTTGAATCAGTGTACTTATCAGAGCAGAGATGTACATCAAATATAGCATCTCTTTTCTTACTCTGAAAAGCTATTCTTAAGTGAGAGGAGTCCTACATTCATTTGATGGTGTCTTAGCAATCGTGGCCACCAGAAGGTACAAGGATATGAAGTCTCTTGGCAGAGACTTGGATGAAGCACTTAACTATTCAAGACAATTCCCTGTTTCTTTTCATACCATCTTGAATTCATATAATTGTGGAAAAGCATGAAGTGGAATAGCGCATGTTCAAATGCCTTGAAAAAGTGAAATTCATTTTTAGGGTATTATTTTCTTAAGTGTATTAGGCCATTCTCACATTGCTATAAAGAAAAACCTGAGACTGGGTAATTTATAAAGAAAAGAGGTTTAATTGGCTCATGGTTCTGCAGGTTGTGTGGGAAACATAGCTTCTGGTGAAGCCTCAGAAAACTTTCATTCAAGGCAGAAGAAGTGGGAGCTTGCATGTCCCATGGCAGAAGCATGAGCAAGGCAGTGGGGAGGTGCCACACACTTTTAAACCAACAGATCTCTCATGAGCTTAGAGTGAGAGCTCACTATCACCAATGGGGTTGGCCCAAGTCATTCATAAGGTATCTGCCCCCATGACCCAAACACCTCCCACCAGTCCCCACCTCCAATACTGAGGATTACAATTCAACATGAGAGCTGGGCAGGGACGAGTATCCAGACTGTATATCAAGTGTCATCCTAAAACTGTTACACAATGCACTTGTTTATGCAATGGGCCCTATTAGCTGTGGTTGGTGTAAAAACCTGTTATTTAAATAGAAAGTTTCTTCCAATACAATAATTGGTGTTGAAAAACAAAAGGCTCCTCTATTCTGGAAAATTGTATTAGACATTATTCTTCAATTTCAATGTTTACTGTAGCATCACTTCCAGAAATAAATACTTAGGTGTTTACCCTGGTCATGTTGCAATGAATTGAAAATACTATATTGACATATTGATATATTTATTGTTTTCTCTAATTAAAGAGAAAAACATCTAGTAGTTTTCTTTTTTTTTAAATTAAACTTTAAGTTCTGGGTTACATGTGCAGAACATGCAGGTTTGTTACATAGGTATACATGTACCATGGTGGCTTGCTGCACCCATCAACCCATCATCTAGGTTTTAAGCCCTGTATGCATTAGGTATTTGTCCTAATGCTTTCCCTCTGCTTGCCCCTTAACCCCTGACAGATCCCAGTGTGTGATGTTCCCTTCCCTGTGCCCGTTCATTCTCATTATTCAACTCCCACTTATGAGTGGGAACATGTGGTGTTTGGTTTTCTGTTCCTGTGTTAGTTTGCTGAGAAAGATGGTTTCCAGTTTCATCCACGTCCTTGCAAAGAACATGAACTCATTCTTCTTTATGGCTGCATAGTATTCCATGGTGTATATGTGCCACATTTTCTTTATCTAGTCTATCACTGATGGGCATTTAGGTTGGTTCCAAGTCTTTGCTATTGTGAATAGCACTGCAGTAAACATATGTGCGCATGTGTCTTTATGGTAGAATGACTTATAATCCTTTGGGCATATACCCAGTAATGGGATTGCTGGATCAAATGGTATTTCTGATTCTAGATCCTTGAGGAATTGCCACACTGTCTTCCACACTGGTTGAACTAATTTACATTCCCACCAACAGTATAAAAGCATTCCTATTTCTCCACATCCTCACCCGCATCTGTTGTTTGCTGACTTTTTAATGATCACCATTCTAACTGGTATGAGATGGTATCTCATTGTGGTTTTAATTTTCATTTCTCTAATGACCACTGATGGTGAGCTTTTTTCATGTTTTTTGGCCACATAAATGTCTTCTTTTGAGAAACGTCTGCTCATATCCTTCACCCACTTTTTGATGGGGTCGTTTTCTTTTTTCTTGTAAATTTGTTTAAGTTCCTTGTAGATTCTGGATATTAGATCTTTGTCAGATGGATAGATTGCAAAAATTTTCTCCCATTCTGTAGGTTGTCTGTTCACTCTGATGATAGTTTCTTTTGCTGTGCAGAAGCTCTTTAGTTTAATTAGATCCTATTTGTCAATTTTGGCTTCTGTTGCCATTGCTTTCGTTGTTTTAGTCATGAAGTCTTTGCCCATGCCTATGTCCTGAATGGTATTGCCTAGGTTTTCTTCTAGGGTTTTTATTGTTTTAGGTTTTACATTTTAGTCTTTAATCCATCTTGAGTTAATTTTTGTATAAGGTGTAATGAAGGGGTCCAGTTTCAGTTTTCTGCATATGACTAGCCAGTTTGCCCAGCACCATTTATTAAATAGGGAATCCTTTCCCCATAGCTTGTTTTTGTCAGGTTTCTCAAAGATCAGATGGTTGTAGGTGTGTGGTGTTATTTGTGAGACCTCCGTTCTGTTCCATTGGTCTATGTATCTGTTTTGGTTACTGTAGCCTTGTAGTATAGTTTGAAGTCAGGTAGTGTGATGCCTTCAGGTTTGTTCATTTTCCTTTGGATTGTCTTGGCTATATGGGCTCTCTTTTGGTTCCATATGAAATTTAAAGTATTTTTTCCTGGTTCTGTGGAGAAAGTCAATGTTAGCTTAATGGGAATAGCATTGAATCTATAAATTACTTTGGGCAGTATGGCCATTTTCACGATATTGATTCTTCCTATCCATGAGCATGGAATGTTTTTCCATTTGTTTGTGTGCTCTCTTATTTCCTTGAACAGTGGTTTGTAGTTCTCCTTGAAGAGGTCCTTCACTTCGTTTGTAAGTTGTATTCCTAGGTATTTTATTTTCTTTGTAGCAATTGTGAATGGGAGTTCACTCATGATTTGGCTCTCTGTTTGTCTGCTATTGGTGTATAGGATTGCTTATGATTTTTGCACATTGATGTTGTTTCCTGAGACTTTGCTGAAGTGGCTTATCAGCTTAAGGAGTTTTTGGGCTGAGACAATGCAGTTTTCTAAATATACAATCATGTCATCTGCAAACAGAGACAATTTGACCTTCTGTCTTCCTATTTGAATACACTTTCTTTCTTTCTCTTGCTTGATTGCCCTGACCAGACCTTCCAATACTATGTTGAAAAGGAGTGGTGAGAGAGGGCATCCTTGTCTTGTGCCAGTTTTCAAAGGGAATGCTTCCAGCTTTTACCCAGTCAGTATGATATCGGCTATGGCTTTGTCATAAATAACTCTTATTATTTTGAGATACATTCCATCAATACCTAGTTTGTTGAGTGCTTTTAGCATGAAGGGATGTTGAATTTTACTGAAGGCCTTTTCTGCGTCTATTGAGATAATCATGTGGTTTATTGTCATTGGTTCTGTTTATGTGATGGATTACGTTTATTGATTTTCATATGTTGAACAAGCCTTCCATCCCAGGGATGAAGCCAACTTGATAGTGGTGGATAAGCTTTTTTTTTTTTTTTTTTTTTTTTTTTTGAGACAGAGTCTTGCTCTGTTGCCCAGGCTGGACTGCAGTGGCATGATCTCGGCTCACTACAGCCTCCGCCTCCCAGGTTCAAGTGATTCTCCTGCCTCAGCCTCCCAAGTAGCTGGGACTACAGGTGTGTACCACCATGCCTGGCTATTATTATTATTATTTTGTATTTTTAGTAGAGATGAGGTTTCACTGTGTTAGCCAGGATGGTCTCGATCTCCTGACCTCGTGATCCGCCTGCCTTGGCCTTCCAAGGTGCTGGGATTACAGGCGTGAGCCACCACGCCTGGCCTGGATAAGCTTTTTGATATGCTGCTGGTTTCAGTTTGCCAGTATTTTATTGAGGATTTTTGCATCAATGTTCATCAGAAATATTGGCCTGAAATTTTCATTTTTTGTTGTGTCTCTGCCAGGTTTTGGTATCAGGATGATGCTGGCCTTATAAAATGAGTTAGGGAGGAGTCCCTCTTTTTCTATTGTTTGGAATAGTTTCAGAAGGAATAATACCAGCTCCTCTTTGTACCTCTGGTGGAATTTGGCTGTGAATTCATCTGGTCCTGGACTTCTTTTTGGTTGGTAGTCTATTAATTACTGCCTCAATTTCAGAACTTGTTATTGGTCTATTCAGGGACTTCCTCCTGTTTTAGTCCTGGGAGGGTGTATGTGTCCAGGAATTTATCCATTTCTTCTAGATTTTTCTAGTTGATTTGTGTAGAGGTGTTTATAGTATTCTCTAATGGTAGTTTGTATTTCTGTGGGATCAGTGGTGATATCCCCTTTATCATTTTTTATTGTGTCTATTTGATTCTTCTCTCTTCTTTATTAGTCTGGCTAGTGGTCTATTTTGTTAATCTTTTCAAAAAAACAGCTCCTGGATTCCTTGATTTTTGGAAGAGTTTTTCATGTCTGTGTCTCCTTCAGTTCTGCTCTGATCTTAGTTATTTTTGTCTTCTGCTAGCTTTTGAATTTGTTTGCTCTTGCTTCTCTAGTTCTTTTAATTGTGATATTAAATCTTTCCCACTTTCTGTTGTGGGCATTTAGTGCTATAAATTTTCCTCTAAACATTGCTTTAGCCGTGTGCCAGAGATTCTGATACGTTGTGTCTTGGTTCTCATTGGTTTCAAAGAACTTATTTATTTCTGCCTTAATTTCGTTATTTACTCAGTAGTTATTCAGGAGCAGGTTTGTTCCATTTCCATGTAGTTGTGTGGTTTTGAGTGAGTTTCTTAATCCTGAGTTCTAATTTGATTGCACTGTTGTCTGAGAGACTGTTATGTTTTCCATTCTTTTGCATTTGCTGAGGAGTGTTTTACTTCCAAATATATGGTCGATTTTAGGATAATTGCTATGTGGTGCTAAGAAGAATGTATATTCTGTTGATTTGTGGTGGAGAGTTTTGTAGATGTCTATTAGGTCTGCTTGGTCCAGAGCTGAGTTCAAGTCCTGAATATCCTTGTTAATTTTCTGTCTCATCGATCTGTCTGATATTGACAGTGGGGTGTTAAAGTCTCCCACTATTATTGTGTGGGAGTCTAAGTCTCTTTGTAGGTCTCTAAGAACTTGCTTTATGAATCTGGGAGCTCCTGTATTAGGTGCATATATATTTAGGATAGTTAGCTCTTCTTGTTGCATTGATCCCTTTACCATTATGTAATGCCCTTTTTTGTCTTTTTTGATCCTTGTTGGTTTAAAGTCTGTTTTATCAGAGACTAGGATTGCAACCCCTGCTTTTTTTTTTTGCTTTCCATTTGCTTGGTAAATATTCCTCCATCCCTTTATTTTGAGCCTATATGTGTCTTTGCACATGAGATGGGTCTCCTGAATACAGCACACCAATGGGTCTTGACTCTTTATCCAATTTGCCAGTCTGTGTCTCTTAATTGGGGTATTTAGCCCATTTACATTTAAGGTTAATATTGTTGTGTGTGAATTTGATCCTGTCATCATGATGCTAGCTGATCATTTTGCACATTAGTTGATGCAGTTTCTTCATAGTGTCATTGGTCTTTATAATTTGGTATGTTTTTGCAGTGGCTGGTACCAGTTTTTCCTTTCCATATTTAGTGCTTCCTTCAGGAGCTCTTGTGAGGCAGGCTGGTGGTGATAAAATCCCTTAGCATTTGCTTGTCTGTAAAGGATTTTATTTCTCCTTTGCTTATGAAGCTTAGTTTTTGGCTGGATATAAAATTCTGGGTTGAAAATTCTTTTCTTTAAGAATGTTGAATATTGGCCCCCACTCTCTTCTGGGTTGTAGGGTTTCTTCTGAGAGATCCACTGTTAGTTAGATGGGCATCCCTTTGTAAGTAACCTGACCTTTCTGTCTGGCTGCCCTTAACATTTTTTCCTTTGTTTCAACCTTGGAGAATCTGATGGTTATGTTTCTTGGGGTTACTCTTCTTAAGGAGTATCTTAGTGGTGTTCTCTGTATTTCCTGAAGTTGAATGTTTGGCTGTCTTGCTAGGTTGGGGAAATTCTCCTGGATAACATCCTAAAGTGTGTTTTCCAACTTGGTTCCATTCTCCCTGTCACTTTCAGGTACAATCATAGCTTTGGTCTTTTCACATAGTCCCATATTTCTTGGAGGCTTTATTTGTTCCTTTTCATTCTTTTTTCTCTAATCTTGTCTTCACTCTTCATTTCATTAAGTTGATATTCAATCTCTGATATCCTTTCTTCCGCTTGATCAATTCAGCCATTGATATTGTGTATGCTTCATGAAGTTCTCGTGCTGTGTTTTTCAGCTCCATCAGGTCATTTATGTTCTTCCCTAAACTGGTTATTCTAGTTAGCAGTTCCTGTAACCTTTTATCAAGGTTCTTAGCTTCCTTGCATTGGGTTAGAACATGCTCCTTTAGCTCAGTGGAGCTTGTTATTACCCACCTTCTGAAGCCTACTTCTGTTAATTCGTCAAACTCATTCTCCATCCAGTTGTGTGCCCTTGTTGGAGAGGAATTGCAATCATTTGGAGGAGATGAGGTATTCTGGTTTTTGGAATTTTCAGCATTTTTGCACTGGTTTTTCCTCATCTTCGTGGATTTATATACCTTTGATCTTTGATGCTGATGGCCTTTGGATGGGGTTTTTCTGTGGGTGTCCTTTTTGTGGATGTTGATGTTATTGCTTTCTGTTTGTTAGTTCTAACAGGACTCTCTTCTGCAGGTCTGCTGGAGTTTGCTGGAGGTCCACTCCAGACCCTGTTTGCCTGGGTATCACCAGCGGAGGCTGCAGAAAAGCAAAGATTGCTGCCTGCTTCTTCCTCTGGAAGCTTTGTCCCAGAGGGACACCTGTCTGATACCAGCTGGAGCTTTCCTGTATGAGGTGTCTGTTGACCCCTGCTGGGAGGTATCTCCCAGTCAGGAGGCATGGGTGTCAGGGACCCACTTGAGGAGGCAGTCTGTCCCTTAGCAGAGCTCTAGGGCTGTGCTGGTAAATCCACTGCTCTCTTCAGAGCCGGCAGGCAGGAACATTAAGTCCACTAAAAGCCGCACCCACAACTGCCCCTACCCCCAAGTGCTCTGTCCCAGGGAGATGGGAGTTTTATCTATAAGCCCCTGACTGAGGCTGCCGCCTTTCTTTCAGAGATGTCCTGCCAAGTGAGTAGGATTTAGAGAGGCAGTCCAGCCCCAGGACCTTTGCCACACTGCGGTGAGTTCCACACAGTCAGAGTTAACACTGTGAGGGGTTTAACCACCTACTCAGGTCTCAGTAATGGCAGATGCACCTCCCCACACCAAGCTCAATCGTCCCAGGTCAACTTCAGATTGCTGTGCTGGCAGTGAGAATTTCAAGCCACTGGTTCTTAGCTTGCTGGGCTTCATGGAAGTGGAACCCACTGAGTGAGAACACTTGGCTCCCTAGCTTCAACCCCCTTTCCAGGGGAGTGAACGGTTCTGTCTTGCTGGTGTTCTAGGCGCCACTGGGGTACAAAACAAAACAAAACAAAACAAAAAAACTCCTGCAGCTAGCTTGGTGTCTGCCCAAATGACCACATAGTTTTGTGCTTGAAATCCAGGGTCCTGGTGGTGTAGGCACATGAGACCAGGAATCTCCTGGTCTGCCGTTGCAAAAGCCATGGGAAAAGCATAGCATCTGGGCTGGAGAGCACAGTCCCTCACAGCACAGTCCCTAGCAGCTTCCCTTGGCTAGAGGAGGGAGTTCCCTGACTCCTTGCACTTTCCCAGGTGAGGCGATGCCCCACCCTGCTTCTGCTGGCCCACTATGGGCTGCACCCGCTGTCTAACCAGTCCCGGTGAGATAAGCCAGGTACCTCAGCTGGAAATGCAGGAATCACCCACCTTCTGCCTTGGTCTTGCTGGGAGCTGCAGACCGGAGCTGTTCCTATTTGGCCATCCAACTGGTAGTTTTCTAACATGGTTCTATCTGTTAGAGGTTATTTGCTAAAATATTCATAGGTTTGCGTTCACATTCAACACATATTTAATGCACTTATATTCCACAAACATTTATTGAGTGACTGCTTTGTGCTAGGATCTGGGTGAGGAACTGTCACATGCTTCAGTTTATTTAATTCTCATGACAGTACACTATGTAGGTTTGAACATTGGCATTACAAATCTCTGAGTAGGAAAACATTTTATTTCACAGGCCAATGAATGACTCACTGAAAAAGAAAAATCGTTTCAGGACACACAGTTGAAAAATACATGAATACCAGGCAATATGCGTGTGTGTATAATTGTGTGTGTGTGTGTGTATGTACAGACGTGTGTAGGGTAAATAGAATATATCCTATCCATCCATTGTGAATATAAAGCATAATATTCTGTTTACAAACTGTAATGTATGATCACAGGTATACCTGTGTCCTACAGCATAGACTGTTTGAGATTGTGTGGGGCTGGGTTGGGGTGGGCAGGAAGAGAAAGGGATTAAAAACGGGACATGGAGTGTGCACATATGCATACATGGAAATCGGGGTGAGTGGACTATGCTGACAGACACAACTTGCATATTTGCCAAACCCCTAATTATTTTATGAATACTAATTTTATTGGAAAATTCATAGTTTTAAGATTTAAAATTGGGGAAAATTAGGAAAATTCATGATTCTTTGAAATCACTCTTCATTCTCAGTGTAAATAATCTTTCTACTCTAGAAAATACTGCTCATGACTTAGACATTTTATTTTTTATTAAAATAACAAATGTACATGTAAAAAATGGCAAACATTATGATGCAAATTGTCTCCCTTCCACCCTAGAGACACCCTAGTCTTCAGAGTTTGTCAGTGGTTTCTTGTGTATAGCACCAAAAGATTTCGATGTAATTATGTGAACATATAAATATAAATGTAAATACTTTTTAAAACACAAATGCAAGATACTATACACATTGGACATCTTTTCTTTTTTTTAAGAGTTTTTCCTAAGCATCCTGTATCAATTTCCTTCATTCTCTTTAAAGACTGAATGGAACTTTATTGTATGTGTGAACCACTGTCTTCCCTAGTGCCTCACATATGACAGACAATCAATATTTGTTGACTTAACAAATTAAATATTTAACTATTCTCCCCACTGATGGGTAGGGGCATCTGGCTGATGATAACAGACATATTCAAGGAAAGGAACTAATAATAAATATAATTAATAATGAGGTTCAAGTCAGTGAGAGAAACCTTTATCCTTTGGAGTCCACTTAACAGTGGGGGCTCTGTTTAAAGAAATTCTTCAGCTCTTATCTTGATAGTGATGAATCTGTCTCTCTCATCTCTCTCTCACACACACTCATGCGCATGCACACACACACACACACACACACACACACACACACACACACACACACACACAGAAATGTCTACTTTTAGCTCCTTCAAGGATAGGAATACATTTTCTACCAGGTCATTTCTATAACTCTGGCAGGTTGAGCCATATATTTGAGATTGAGCCATATATTTGAGAATTATACATTGATACCTGAATTAAAGACTGCTTTTTGGCTGTTAGCTCTACTTTTATGTAAATGAAGCAGCATTGAAAGCTTCTTGATTGGTTGGGATTGATTGAACATTGAAGTTCCATCTTTTTTTTCCATCAGTTTTCCCTCTGGGAAAAATGTGATGCTTTGGACTCTCCAGTTGGTTCCAGCAGCAGAACAGAGCATGGGCCAGTGCCCATTTACTTGAATGAGAGAGGCATCGAGTAAAACGTTGTCTTCCTTCTGAACCCTGCTTATATATAAACTCGGGGGTTCCCAAAAGGAAGGAGCAGCTGCTGGAGGAAATGACATTGGAAAGAAAAGGCTCTTTCGAGGTGCCTGTAGCTTTCATTGATTGGTTGATCACACTTGTCTAAAATGCTGCAAGGAAGAGATTTATTTGTGCCAGTCATGATGCCTATAAGGCAACAAGCAAGTGCCTTCTGTCCCTGAAGTTGGAATTCAAAGCTGATTGCATGGGAGACATGGGAAATGCTTGTCAGCTCAGAGGAATCTTCTACTCAGCTTTGCTACAAATTATTTCCTTGAATATGTCTGTTATTGTCAACCAGATGCCCCTACCCATCATTTGGGAGAATAGTTAAATATTTAATTTGTTAAGTCAACAAATATTGATTGTCTGTCCTGTGTGAGGTATGAGGGAAGACACTAGATCATATATACAGTAAAATTCCATTCAGTCTTAAAGAGAATGAAGGAAATCCATACAGGATGCTTAGGAAAAACTCTTAAAAAAAGAGCAGGTCCCTTTAAAGTTTTTTGGGAGATCCTAATTTATCCTCCTCTACTGAAGTTAAGTTACTCTAAATGAACAGTGCTAGCCAAAATGATAGAAACCTCACATCAGGATTTTAAAACTCAAGTTTCTATTGGTTTCAAACCAGAGCTACACAGGAATGAGATCTTGAATAGAAAAAAGCTGAATAGAAAAAAAGTTCATCTTAGGAAGTAGAAATTATAACACCTATGTCTAGAGGATATCTTTGTATAAGCAGAGGACTTGGATATAGCTGAGCTTGGCTCTGCTGAGAGCAAATCCCACTTCTTTTATTATGTTAAAAATTTATTATTATTATTTAATTTAGAAATCAGGTCTCACTTTGTTGCCCAGGGTGGTCTCAAACTCCTGGGCTCAGGCAATCCTCCCATGTCTGCCTCTCCAACATGGGATTATAGGCATGAGCCACGGTGCACAACCCAAATCTCACTTCTGAGCTCCCATAGGCTTCTAACTTTTCAGTGTCTAAGCTTTCTTGTAAGTGTGTTGTCAGACACAGACATAAACACTTGACAAAAAATATTTCCAATTATTCCTAAGCAAAATGTCATTTTAACTTTGTATAATACTAGCTGGCCTCCTCCATGTTACTCATAAGAGAATCATTAACCATGATTATATAAATTCCAGCTGCTATTCACCCTGAACCAGTGGTTTTCAACTCTGGCTATACCTTAGACTCACCTGGGGAGCTTTTAAAAATGCAGGTGTCTTGGGGCCACTTGTCCTGTCCTCCTCCCACCTCCCACCCCCAGGTTCCAGTTGATCTAGTCTGGCTGGGACCTGGGCACCCACAGTCTTTAAAAGTTCTCCAAGTGATTCTAACATGCAGCTGGGGTTGAAAATCAGTGCATCTGAGTTATGTTGTGTGGTCCAGGTGAGAAGCAACTCAGTCCAAAATCAGAAGAGCAGTTTAGAGTATCTGCCATTGGAATGATTGATTCTGGAGCCCTCAATGAAGACCTCTGTATGTTTTCTCTGGTTAGAGGCCTCCCTGCAGTGTTTCAGCATCAGCCACTCGGAGTCCCCCCAGCTCTCCCTGCCCAAGTTGATTCAACATATGTCACTGCTCTATGTTTAGTCCTAGCTTCCCAAATGCATACTCCAAATTTGATGAAAATGCACCCAAGCTGACAGAAACATCTTTATATAGAGAGACGCAGAAAGAAAGGATAGAGGCTTCCAATTCTAAGAGGAGATCCACTTTCCCAATAGTCATAAACTGTGTTGTTCTTGACATTCTTTCAAGGACTTTGTAATGAGAATTTTTAAAAAAAATAAAACTCATTCTTGACTCCACACTTTTATCTTGAAAATTGACATTTTTTTCTTTTTCTTATAAACCACTGAGTGAACGATTTTGTTTCTTCCACTGTTTCTCTAAGCATAGCTGTCAGCTTATACAATTGTAAAAATGTTGCATAAACAGGATGCAGTTCATACATTTTGTCCACCCAAATCACTTTGTTATATCCTCATTTGCTTCAAATACCCAAATGTAATTTGGTTAACTGTAAGAGAAAGATATGCCAGGGAAGTTTAATGATGGCTTGTGCATAGATTAAAGTCTTCCAAATACATTTTACCTCTGAAATGTGCTGCTTAAAGAAAATAAACATTTATACATATTCAGAAAAATAGGCATGCAGAAAAGTTAGTAGGATTACAGCCTCCAGATTGACATTTCTGGAATATAAATTCAGAATTAAAACTATAAAAGCTCTATCACTATGCAAATGATGGGGAAAAGACTGTTAAATTATAAGCAAAACCTGGCTCTAATTTTAGAGAGAATTCTTGCTAGGGGCAATGAGATTTTATATTTTAACAGTTCAATTCCATTAGTGTTTCCAAAGTATTTCCTGAAGATTGTTAAATAGAGTCTACACAAAACAATCTGAAGAATTTGTAAGAGGGGCCAAGGATATCACACAAGAGGATACTTAAAGAAGAGTCGGATATTATCAAGGCAGACTCCTTTTTCATTCTTCATGCCGTGAATTTCATAAGCTTACAGAGATAGTATAATAAAGAGTTTAAGAGGTGAGTTTTGGAGGCTGACAGGTTTCGGATTTTATCTCTACCACCTATCAGCTGTTTGACCTTGGAAAATTACTAATTAACCTCTCTTAACTCTAATTTTCTCACCTATAGAATGGATACAAATACGTATCTCATAGACTTGTAAAGCTTAAATGAGCTAAGTGTATAAAATACTTATGTAGTGCTTGATACAACATCAATGTTCTGCAAATAATTATGTTTTATTATTATTGATAATTGATAACATGGCCATGCTAAAAAAAGTTATTAATAACAGTAAAAGCATTATATAAAATTAAAAGTAAGCAATTTTATTTAAAAATAGATATCTGGTTATGCCTTATTTTCTTGATAAAAGCATGAGCTGGTGTTTTTTTATTATCAAGCTTTACTCTGTCAACTTCTCTCTCTCTATTCCACATATTAGCCAGAATTAAATTGCCAACAGCAGTAAACCCTTTGGTTATTTTCAGCAGGAGATGATTTGATATGAGGAGTTAAATGTTTACAAAATCACTGGAAGAACTGGAGGAGAAGGTTCTTGACTTGGTTTCCAGGAATGAATCCTGAAATAACACCATATAGAACTGACCATTAAGGGAATGTCTCCCCCTGCCGCATCCTGGAAGGTGAGAAATTGGGGAGCCAGTGTCCCAACTTCTGACCTTAGGATCGCATCATTTACTTACTCTCTACAGACTAGAAACTCCTTTCAGAATCGCTAACTACAAGAATGCACAGTGTCCGCTGTGTTCATGCCCATCTCTCTCACTCCCAAACAATCTGCATGAGACCTGTTCTATCTCCTCTTAACTCAGTTTTGAATTCAAGTATTATGCAATAATGACTGCTTGGAGGAAACTAAGTCACATCTAGAACTCTAGTTTCAAGAATGGATAGAAAGTGTACTTTATGTTTTCTAGCCTGTGCCATCCTAAAGATGCACCAGACAAGGGTTAGAGTAGGTGCCAGATGAGAGTCAACCTACCTTATCATTTGGACATTGATTTTTCAGTAGCCTGAGTTTGCTTTAGGCTTTGAGGGAGCATTTCTGAATGGCTTTGATTCCTTGAGTGATTCCCTCTTCTACTGAAAACTCAGTCATGGATATACATGCACATAAGGGTTAATAGAATGAATGGTGGTAAGAAATCAGGCATATTAGAAGGGTTAAACTGTTAGGATGGAGACTTGACTACGAGTTTTCTGGTGGACAGGATGTAAAGGAAAATAGGATGAATAGCTGGAATCAGAAAATAGTCATACCACATTTTCTGGAGAGGCCATGCTGTTTTCCTCACGTTGGGCTCAATAAGAGCTAATCAAGGACAGTGATCAACTTCGAGGGAGCCAGGGGAGTATACAATTGGGAAAGGATCTTTTAATTAATTATTTGTGTATCCTATTTCTTAAGCTGGCTTGTAGGAACATGTGATAATTTTATTATTTTTTACAACTCCATAGATCTTCATATTATATGTGTAAAATATTTCTTAATAAAAATGGTGATAAAAAAAAGACTTAACAAGGTGGCTATACCCTGAGATCAGTCTCCTTTGGCTTTTTCTGTCTTTTACTATCTCAGGAGAGTTCTCCCCAGGCCACCCCAACCTCACCCCATGAAGAGCATATGTCTCCTCTGCCCAGGGATTGGAGGTTGCAGGGAGCAGCTGGTTCTGAGGAGGGTGGCTTTGCTGGAGAGACAGGAGCAGAATGGATGTCCAGAATAGTGTAGATTTAGGGGGAGGGGAAAAAGAGACAAGATGTCAAGGAAACTTTTGGGGAGCATCCTGGAGATATCTGTGTGTCCAGATGGTTAGGATTGACTCCTGTCCTATGGTATACTGGTAGCAAACAGGAGACAGTACTAGTACCAGGGAGTTAAAGGGAAGCAGGGACTCAGTGTATGGGTAGGACGTTGAGCCCACAGGCTGCCAACCCTAGCCCTTGTCTGAATGGATGCCCAGAAGATTGGTTGATCTCCAGGTCAGGCTTTGGGCTTTTCAGGCAGATTCCACCTAAGAAATAGGGGTAGAAAAGGAAAGAGGAATAGTGGAGAGGATGAGCATGAGTGCAGATTTAGGGGCTTCACAGGAATCTTCCTTAAGACAGGCAGGGAGAGTGCAGCACAGCCTGGCTCCCAGGCAATGAGGCTGCTCAGAGGAGCCAGAAAACGCAACCTACACCTGCCAAGTGGAGGGTAGGTTGGGAGCACCACAGGCGTGGATGCCCAGATGTCACCAAGCAACCTGGGGTTTCAACACTTACCCTTGCAGGGCCAGCCTCTAACAGGTGGACTGGATTTTCCCCTAGGCAAGCATTTAAGGTAAAGCCTGGTGCAGCTGAAAAATTCCCATTAAGACACAGTGTTTATAAATCTTGAGGCCTGATTTCCTGGAAGCTCAAAAGTGAAGATCTTGCTTTTTTGGTTTCTTTTTACGTGTTGGTTTGCCCTCGTTTTTTTAAGGGTAATACAGGTTAAGTTCTAGTTTAAAATGGTGGCTTGAGGTTAGGGTCTTTTTTTTCTCTCTTGACCAGAAGAATCCATATTATTTTCACTTATTCATTTCCTCAACTACCTTTCTCAATACTTGTGTAGTAGTTACTATGTGTCAGAGGGTATTCTAAGTACTTAACAAGTTTTAATTTGTTTACTCCTCATACCACCATATGAGGCTTTCTTATTATTATCACTCCCATTTTCAGATACAGTAACTGAGACACATCGAGGTTAAGTAACTTGTCTAAAGTTATGCATCTCGTCAGTGGCAGAGGTGGTATTTGAACCCAGGCAGCCTGGTTCCTGGCCCTGTGCTCTTAATGACAGTGCTCTGATACCTAAGCTAAATATTTATTTGATATGCTTGTACTGTCTAGTCCGAGTTCTTGGGTTATGCCCTGGCACCATGGCTCAACTATTTCTGTTGTCTTGAGTGTTAGTTTTCTATTTTTAATATCTTGACAAGTTAGTAAACAATTGGCAAGATACTTACATTTGAACTTTGGGATTTATCTGTAAGCCCTGCCTTAATATGATTTATTTATAGCATTGCTGATTATTATTATTATTTGCACGTAACCTGATCCATGGCAATGAAGAAACAGGAAAGAAGAAAAGCAATGCCATTCAGTTTGTTTTACATTAGTCTGTCCCACCAGGGAACTTAGCCATCTTGGCTCAGATAGATTTAGCTTGGAGTGGAGTGGTATCACATAGTATAGTAGAGGCTTCTGGCTACGCAGGGCAGATTAAATACATGGATTTTCCTCTACTCTTTCATGAAACCGTTTTATGTGACAGCAAGGCAATGACGAAGGTATAAATGCACAAGAACAAAAGGGAAGCAGAAATGACAGAAGAAAATAGATGTCAACAAAAAATTGAAAGCTGGAAATGATATGGACTAGTAACTGACTTAGCAGACTATAAAAGCAGAAAGCCTACAGAGAAGGAATGCAGCAAGAGGGAAGCTCATTTGTGCTGCAGAACAGCAGAAAGACTCAGGAGCTGGAGGCCTGAGGAAGCTCTGAACGAATGGTTCATAGTCTTCAGAGGAACAAGCAGATTTCCAGATCACCTCCTCAACGTGCACAGCTAAGCAGCTCTTTCTCCCTCTTTGCTCTGGGATGAAGGAGAAATCACTTGGGTCTTCGTGGGGTTACAGAGCTGGCCTGAGGGTACATGCGTGACATATACCTACACACAAATGAATACTATTTTGCCTCAGTTAGCAGTTTGTTGCAAATTTTATTCGTGTAGTGTGAGGTATTCTGTTTCCAAAACTTTGAAGCCAGGATGGAATAAAATTGGAACATAGAATGTCCCTGTCATGCTTAACTTGAGCTCAGAACATTGAAACTACAGGTGAGGTGGGAGATTCTGATTAATATTTAATTGATATCTATCATTGAAATAGAAAATGAACATGTTAAAAAAATTGGTAGCTACTAATTGATCTGTCTGATACAATAAATCAATAAATAAATTTACATTCTAATTAAGGAGACCTAATCACCCCGACCTCTTGTAAATCTCCTGGGGCTTAGTACTGGAATGGCCTTCAATACTAAATGTCCTTGACAGTCTTTGATATATGGGGTTGTGGGTAGCACTCAATATTATTTACTCTAGTGTTATTTTTTCCATAGGGCTTAAATCAGGGCAGTGATTTGAATCTAAACTATTCAATATGTTATTTCTCACAGGGGCTTTCCCAGAGCAGAGGTATAGATATTTTTTGCAAGTCATTTGATAAGGCAAGTTGATCAAGCATCATGATTATATAGGAATATCTTACTTTGAAGAGTGTGATTATTTGGAAGAAACATGAAGGATTATGAAGCATGGACCAATAGCTGGCCAGGCTCTTAATGCAGTTTAATGTAATAATTGGGGACAGGGAAGCATTATTGATTGATTCTGTGGTTTTTCGTGTTTCTCTTGTTAGTTCAGTTTTTTTTTTCATTCAGTTGCTATAAGAAAAAGCAATTTATCCAAAGTGAATCTTAAGACAGTTGATGTTATTAGGTGAAATATTTCTTCAGCAGGCCTATTCACAGAACCAGAGCCTTAAGACTAGTCTAGAAAGGCTTGGTTTTGGCAGGGTAATGAAACATAATGCTTGGAGACTCATAGGTCTGACTCATTTATACTCAGGTTGACATTAATTTGTTTTAAAGAGCAATATTTATTTGTGCTTGTGGCATTTGTGAGAGGACATAAAATCTTGAAGGGCCCTCGAAAACCTTAAAGTGAAGTTGATAGCTGTAAAAATTTTCTTTTCCTGTAAAATAATCTCTGGGAATTTAGAGCACATCATCTAATGTAACCTATCTTCTATCTGCGAAAAGAAATTTAACCCTACCGTAATTAACTCTGTTTATCTTGTGGTGATATTTGGGATGGAGTCAGGATTGGGACCATTTACCTATAGGCGGGTGTCTCTCTACCTGTGGCTGGATAGGAGGTATACCTTTCCCATCCAGGGGTACTGCCTCATTTTGAGCTGCTGGGTCTTCTTGAGCCACTTAAGTTTCTGTCCATGCCTGGTAGTAGGATTCTTCCCTAGATGGGCTATGGAATACAGTGTATATTTTTTACACCAGGATTGATAGAAGAATAGCAATGTCAAACCCCTCTCAGCATCAAATCCATACATTTCACTTCATTGACCAAGTGGTGGGGACCTCCAGTCCATTGCCTCCAGAAAGGGGTGCCAATAAATGTGCCAGGAACTGATACTGTCATGATAGGTGATCTGATGGAGCAGCCCCTCAATATTATGCTTCACACTTATCATAATTTAATATAAACTAGTATTTTGTTTTGTCTAGCTCTCCCAAATGTCAGTTTTTGAGCCAATGCGGTTTGTTTGATTTACTGTAGTCTCCTGACACCTAAAGCAGGACCTGGTGCAGGGTTACCTGATAAATACAGGAATGAATGAGCAATGCCAAAGCTACCCCGTAACCTGTCCTTGCCCAGGGATAAGTAAATTTGCATGACGTAAGGTCAGAATAAATGCATCTGTTCTCACACCAGGAAAATGGTGTCATATGAAGATTGTCCATGAACCAGCAGCATGGGCTTATGACTGACTTGCATTCCTGGCTCTTTTAGTGATTTTCTGTTCTTAAGAAGACAGTTTGGTTTCTGTGGTCTTACTTTCTACAGCTATATCATAGTTATCATGATATTTCCAGATATCTTTTTAAAGTACTCAGTAATTCAATTTTATTTGACAATCACTTACAGCCTGAGATGTGCAAATCACCATGTAGGTTTGAGGGGTTTTAAGAATGAAACAGACAGTTTTTATCTTCATGCATCTGGTAGCTTACTCACTAGAGGAAGTCAATAGTAATAGTATTAATAATATAACAAGGTTCAGTACATGATACCCCCCCAAATCTGGTACCTTGGCATTTGAGAAAATGGCAAACATAGGAAGGTTGCTCTCTGGCTTTCCCTCACACTTCTCCTCTGAGGCAGGTCATGAGACCCTCATTTGAGAGGTGCCCCCCCCATACCTGGCAGAAAGTAACTTCCTTATCTCTGAAGACATGGAGCACAGAGAAAATCTGAACAGACAGGCCTTGCTAAGTTTTCCCCGTTTATTACTATTAGATCATACCTTTTTGTCCCCCAATATACTTCTGCACAACTGTTCATTCTTCGTCAAACCTAATCATAAAAAAATACAAGTCTACTTGTATCTTTGGGTTTTCATTTTCAAAGGCCCTCATGTCACATAAAACTTATGTTAAATAAATGTGTATGCTTTCCTCTTGTTAATCTTTCCTTTTCCCCCACAAATACAAACAATAACATTTACATAAGCATGTGTTATCTACCAGACAGTTCTCTAAGTTGCTAATATATAAAAATTATCACAGTAACCTCTGTGGTGGATCCTAATATTATTGCCTTTCACGGGTTAGAAAACCAAGACACAGAGAAGTTAGTGTAGCTGTTTAAGGCTAACTAAACCCAGATAAAAATTCTCTGGATTCAGTGAAATACAAAGTACATGCATATATCATTAATACAGAAAAATGCTTAAGTAGCATCAGTCTAGGCCAATTTTGTCAATATTAACACTGGCATTTGGGCAGATTTTCACAGTGAGGTTATTTGGTGGCAGGCTGCCACCCTCCTGGCTAGGCAGGGATTTTTAGGAAGATACAGCCACATCTTGACAAGACCCAGGTTGAAGGACTGTGATGCATAAGCTGAGCCTTGAGTGTTGGAAATACTGGAGGCCAGGCATGGGGCTGGGGCTGCTGGAACGCATTTAGGTTGGGCTATTAGGCAGAGATTGGGATAGGAAAGCACAGTTCTTACTGTGTGAAGCAGGAATTTATTAAAGGATACAGACTCATGGCCCACAGACCAGAGTGGACAGCAGTAAGGCTTACTTGCGATTAGATACTTAAAGTACCTTAAATTCTATCCTGGGTAGCAAATGGATTGGTTCCAGAGGGATGATGGGATGAGTGAATATTTGAAATAAATGAATGAATATCATTGCATACCTGCTTTACATCAGGCGGTGTGTTCAGCACTTTCAGATACCTTACCTTGTGGTGAGGATAAGTAGGAGGAACTAGACGAAATGGAGATATTGGGGGCAGATGAGAAAACATCATTGTCGCATAAGTGGTCCTTCTGTGATAATGGATTCATTCCTGAGCATACCCTGTCATTGCTTTATAGTAATGATGCCCTTCATAATTAAACTGGAGTCTTCTCTTCCAAACACTTTTTAATTGGACAGCAATTTTTGCTATTATAAATGGTACAAGGCAGCATTTAAAATAGAAGAAAAAATTCAAGATAATCATGTTATAATTGTCTGTGTGGCATGGGTATCTTTTACCCAAGTTGTTCTTGAGGCAATGTCTTATATATTTGGTAGCTTAATGTTCAACCTTTGTGATAACTGAAGAAGACAACTGATAATAGGAAAAAAGGAATCAATTTACCTAATCTACATATCCTTGCCTTGGAAACACTTAGAGTGAGTTGACTATAGCTAAAGGGAAAGGGATTATGTTAGGTCTGCTATTTGCTTTCACTAGATTCCTCTTATTATAGCTGGGGTAAGCATTCATATTTAATTAACAAAGAGAAAAATCAAGGTATATGTTAACATTTGGATATAGATGAATAAAGTTGGATGTAGAATCACTAAGTTCTTCTCGGAACTTCTTGTCATAAAGCTTTCCCTTCCAGTCTGTTAATTTTATACATGTAATTCAAGCTATTATATTTGTCTTGATGTGATAGAGTTTTCCCATGATAATCTTTACCTTCTCTAAAGTAAACTATATTTTAATTAAGATCTTGGACTTTGACTTCTTTTACAGTTGTTTTGGAAAAATTTTGTAATTGATGCATGTTTGATATAAAATTGACTTTGAAACTGACCTGTAATTCAGATTGGAGTTGCTTGAAAACCATTTGAGTAATTTTGAGCCAATGTGAATTATGTTTATGTGAATTTATATATTTTCCCTTTTTTTACCTTGGACCTAAACCAGATTAACTGTATGGCATGTCAGTGAGCAGGAATGAGGATAATTGCTGGTTTAAAAATATAACTGCTGTAGATCTAGCTGGCATACAACCCTGAGATGTGGGCGGAAGGTAGCAAGCTGAAGGGAGATTTATGAAGTGGACTGTGCAAGTTCCTTTTGAAAAACTTTGTTCTTTGTGCTCAAGAGCAGAGATGGAAAGCCAGCACACAGATGCCGTTCAGTAGCTATAGCTGAACCGGTTTTGTGAGGCTGGGATTGGAGAACTCTGTTTAAGGACAAATATAAGTTTGCACTTGGTCCTTCAAAGGGGATGACACAGCATCTCTTTAAATTTCTCTAGACTGCTCTTGTCTTAGTCCCAGACCACAGCTCTCAGACTTGATCACTTGAGTTGCCTTAAATGATGAAATCACCCCACCACTTGTCTTATTCAGATTTTTGTGTCTTTTGTCTGCTGTTTCTAAGTTTTTCCATCATCACATCTCTAATTTCACACCTGCTGCCTGCCCTTCTGGCTCCAGGTTCTGGCTTTGTCTTTCTGACCCAGTGTTGATTGCTACCAATAACCTCCCTTCCTACATGACCCAAATAGGACACAATTCATTATTTATGTTTTTTTTTTCACCTTGATTCATTCTGTAATAGAATGGAGCCAGACATAACCTCCGTAAAGCATTAACTCGTATCTTGGTGATTACTTCTCTGTTAAGAAATGCTGAAATTTCATTCCAACATTTTCATTGAAAATTCATGTGCTTGGCAGTGTACTACACAGGGAGCTAAAATGGAACTTGAAACAGGCCCTTTGAGTTGTAAATAACATGGAAGAAAGTGTAGCCTTAAAGGCTAGCATCCTTTCTTTGTGATGATAATGAACCTGTACCACCACTCCATTTCAGGGATGCAAGCTGAGGTTCAGGATGCTGGAGTCCTCAGACTGATATGGTGAATCAACAGAGCTTGGAAGACATCTGTTTCTGAGCTCTAGTGTCTCTTGATCACCAAAACTACAGGTTAAAATATGAAATATTACTATAGGTTAAAATATGAAAAAGTGCTTGGTCTAGCCAGACATTTAAGGTCAAGAAGACAAAAATTAGTTCAACTATGTGGGCAAACATTGAGTACTAATATATGAAATAAAATAATCTTCATTTATTGTCTTTGAAATACATTTCTGTGTCCAAAAAAAAAATCTATTTTCCAAATAATTTCTAGCCAGCTAACTCTGTTGTCTTTTTTAAAGAAAACAGCCCTCTTGGATGCATCTTGCTGAATTACAGGGAACTAATTCCCCATGCCACAAGCCAAAATAATTTTTTATTTTATATATATATATTTTTTGAGACAAGGTCTCACTTTGTCACCCAGGCTAGAGTGCAGTGGCATGATCATAGCTCACTGCAGCGTCAACCTCCCTGGCTCAGGTGATCCTCCCACCTCAGCCTCTGAAGTAGTTAGGACTACAGCTGTGCACCACCACACCTGGCTCATTTTTTGTATTTTTTCTATAGGTGGGATTTCACCTTGGTGTCCAGGCTGATCTCAAACACCTGGGCTCAAGGATTCCACCTGTCTCGGCCTCCCAAAGTACTGGGATTATAGGCATGAGCCACCACACCCGGCCTTTTATCTATGTTTTAATACACCATGATATAAAAATAGTACTTCCTCTCCCAAAGTCAATCTCATTTCAGAAGCATGGTTTTGAGCAAATGAAAAGACATCTGTATGTTAAGTCAAAATATTCTGAATATTTATGGTAATAACTATATGACAATAAAACTGTGAGATTGTAAGGTTAACTTGATTTGAAGTAGAATTCTCTCTTCTTATCTATTGTTTCAGAACTAATAGGTTTCATTGACTTTTCTCCTCCTTACTGATCATGGTGACCTGTACATATATATAATTTGGTCTGTTAACATCACTTCTGCCTCTGTAGAGTAACCCTTTTTGCCCTCGAACCAATGGATTTAACTTATGATTTAAAAAATTAACACACTGAAAATACCACCTGCCTGAAGCAGCACAACAGAGAATATGAAAGCTCCTGTAATGCTTTGGATAGAAAGCTATGGGGTGGTGATTCTCCAATGGGCAATGGGAGAGTGAACTCAATTTTGCTTCCTTAGGAGGTATGGACAACAGGCAGCACACTTTCAAAGAAGTAAACAAGGAATCTCAGTGGCTGGTTGAGATACAGGCAATAGGGTATTTGCACAGATTTTCTAACTGACTTGGGGGAAATTTATTTACCTTCTCTCAGCCTCAGTTTTTCCATTTGTAAAATGGACATAATGAAAGCATCTGGCTCATAGGATGGTGGTGACAGTTTTCAGTGAAATGATGCACACCTGGCTTATAGTAAATGGGAATGACTTCTAATTCTAGAGGGACCCAAAGGGAAGCCTCCCAGGCTGCACATCTCATGTGATGGGCAGAAGTGAAGATCCAGGGTGTGCTGGGGAGATTAGCAGGGGGATTAGTAACAGGTGCTACCTTCTTTGGAGACTAGCTAACGGAATGAGGTTTGCTCAGTTTTGGTGGCTAATACAGAATGCTGTAGTAAATGTGAGGAGGGGCCGTGTAGGAAAAGCTCAGAGGTTACTTCAGTACTGAGCCCCTTCAGATTGTCCTTTTCCTGGAAGTTACACATCAGGTAGAAAGGCCACAAGTAGCACCACAAATATCATATAGGCCTCTCTCAATTTTCAAAGGATTAAAATCTAATCAAGCATATTAATATTAATATTAAAACATCCTAGTTATTATTTAATTTTGTTGATTCAGATAGAACTTCAGGATTTGAGATCATTGTTTTATATCTATAGCTATATGTTATAATAACCAATATGTACCATCATATAGTATATCAGATAGTCAGGAGTGATTGTTGTTAAAACACTAATAATTTTACCATCACTGGAATTTACTAGTTTGCATGTATGTGTGTGTATAAACTAAATCTAAAATGATATCCTGTTCTGAATATATGTAAGCAATTGACTTACATATTTTTGCTAGTTTTAGGTTCAGTATTTCAACATGAGTATTCCGTTTTAAAAAATGAACCTAAAAATTCAAATCCAGCCTATCGAATTAAGCCAAAAGTGCACCACAATTGTTTTGAAGTTGAGCCACTAATAATTGCAAACACTCTTCTGGTGTTTACGTGGGCCAGGCCCTCTTAAATGCATTATAAACTTACTCCTCACACCAACTACATTAGATAAAGCTGCTATTTTCCCCCTTGACAGAGGAGGAAACTGAGGCAGAGAAAAATTGAGTAGCTCAAGCTCACACAGTTACTGAGAAGCAGGCAGAGCTGGGATTGAAACCCAGGCCATTTGGCTTTAGAGGCCATGGACTCATCCACCACATACATGGCCTCTTAACTTACAGGCTCGTGAGAACAGATGTATTCTTGAATAAGAACCTATTACAGTCAAATCATGTTCATTAGTTTCCTGAGTTTCACTGTGCTACTAGCTTTTGAAAAGTCTCTTCTTGGTTTCTTTATTTGGTCAAAGCTGGAGCAAGTAGATAGTGCCTGTCACCCGTCTTCTGGAGTATGGGGTGGAGCTGGTACAAGACAGCACCAAGGAGACAGGGACAGCTCAATTAAGATTGTTCAGCAGTTGGAGGAACAGGAGTACTAATGCTGTCAGCACCTCCAGAGCAGTCCCAAATTAAGTGCCAACAAAATGAACAGATGTGGGACCTGGCAAGCAGTTGGAAAGAATACTGCCTGAAGAACTGTGCAAAGTTGAAAAAGAGGAGAGGGCAGTAAGAGAAGAGTAAGAGTCAAGGAAGAAATTGGGGAAAAGGACCATCTTCAGGGAAAAGTATTCCTGCTTTCTGGGGTGGACCCAACTTGCTTCTGGCTGCAGTAGAAGTCACCCTGGGCGTGTTTCCATTTTTAGGGAAAAATATATATTGCATAGTGATTAAACATACCCTAGAATAGTGGTTCTCAATTAGGAGAGATTTGACCTCCCAGGAGGCATTTGGCAGAGTCTGGAAACATTTTTAGTTGTCACAACTTGGGGGTGGATGCTACTGGCATCTCGTGGGTAGAGACCAGGGATATTGTTAAACATGCTACACTGCATGGGACAGCCCCCACAACAAAGAGTTATCTAGTCCAAAATGTTAATGGTGCCAATTTGCGGAAACTCCTGCTTTAGTGCCAGACAGCCTGGGTTCAAACCCTGACTTGCCATTTACTAATTTTGTGACCTTGGGAAAGGTACTTAGCCTTTGTGCCTGAAGAACTCATCTGAAAAATGAACATGGTGATAATACTATATTTCAATTAAAATAAAATGCTGTCAATCATAAAGTATACCTTCATTTTATGAACTACCAAGAAAGGCAAACCAATGCCAAATAAGTTATGATATTCTATGTTTTGTACAATGCATCTCTATTTCAGAAATATTAAAATGAGGAAATGAATGCATCTCAGAATTGATAATCTCTGGCATGACATCTCATAGAGTTTGGAGGAATTAAATAAATATATATATGTATATATTTCTATGCTGTGCGTCCCGATCATTGCAGTGATGAATCTGAGAGATAAAGCACAAGAGGACTCCAGCCAAACCAAGTTAGTCATTCATTCCCTCATTCATTCACTTGTTAGGCGTTTGTCAAGCACCTATTAAGTATGTAAAGATGACTAAGAGGGTCTTTATTAAAAATCCACATATTTATGTCTTGTAATTTTTAAAATTGTTTTTCGTTAGAAAGCTTGTAGGAAGTCCCAGTTGGTGCTAAGTTTTATATTGCTTCCAGACCCTGTGTGTTTCTTGAGTAGAGCCCGATGAACTGACTAGAATAACCACAACCCTTTACCACGTAAGAGGACAGGAGTAATTGCCTCAGTCGGAGTTCAACCAGAAAGTAGAGCCAGTAGGAGATACATAATAAGAGACTTCTTGCAAGCAAAAGCCTGATTTGATTGTGAGGGCTGACTAGGTAAATCTGAAATCTGCAGGGGAGACCATTAGGAAGGGCATCCTGAAACTCTCAGGCAAGGTTGAAGATGCTGTCCACAGGCAGAATTTATTCTTTTTCAGAGACGCCTCAGTTATGCTTTAAGGCCTTTCCACCCAGATTATGTAGCACAATCTCCTTTATTTAAAGTCAAGTGATTATGGATTTTAATAACATTTACAAAATACCTTCACGTCAATACCTAGATTAGTGTTTGATTGAATAACTGCAGGCTGTAACCTAGCCAAGTGGACATATAACCTAGCCAAGTGGACATATATCACTGCAATGTTTGAGTCGAGTGCCATCACTTTTTAGGTGTGTGACCCTGCTGAAAGTCACATAAAGTATTTTAGCCAGTTTCCTCGTTTCTGAAACAGGAATAATAACATTAACTACGTCATATCTGTGTTTTGTGGACTAAATGAGGTTATCAGTGCAAAGTCAGAATATGTATTCCTGGAGGTCATGGACTTGACTTTCCATCTTTATATATGTGGCATGGCACAGTCACTGATAAAGGCATTCAAACTGACCATGACAGCACACCTGGATGCGCCCTGCAGTGGTGGGATGTGTGGAGCATACGCTGGAACCAGAGTACTCACGCACCCTTACTGTGGAGGGGCGTTTTGGTCATCTGCTACCCAGACAGATAGTGAACTTTGGCACCACCTTCAAAACTTGGCATTGAGATTAAATGATGCAATAAAAGAGAAACTGTGATTCTATCAAGAAGCAACAATTTAAAAAAGAAAACACTATTGACTGTTTTCACCATTTAAAGATTCAAAAGAACAATTTCTAGTTTATACAGCAATATTACTAATGACATATTACTAATGACTGAATGCCACTTTCAGTCATTACTGATGACTGAATTTCACTTTTTTAGCAATATTACTAATGACTGAATGTCACTTTTGTCAAGCTTTCCTACTGAAAACATTTAAATGAAGTCAAGATAAAAGTTGTCCTATTATTCAATCATTGTGTAAATACTGGGTGGATTTTAACTTTTTCTTTAGCTTTTTATTTATTTATCTCACCCTGCCCCTCCCTTTTTTTTCATTCTGTTCTTCTATTTCTCCTATAAGGTTTTATTTCACCTTAGTTATTTGGTGGCATGTAAATACTTCTTGACTTGAATGAGTAATTTTCACCTCTTTCCAGGTAATTTCTAACACTGAAAGTAAATTACTCTGTACAAGCATATTCCCAAAGAACTTCTGCACAGAGAAGTTAACTCACTTTATGAATGGCTTCATATACGAGATATTTTCCAGCTATGTATAATAAATCTGCTTATATCTTTGGGATTTTTTTCACATTCACATATTTTATTATTTTGTATTTAGATTACTTTTCGCCCTGAAATAAATTGCCTGCCAATGAGTTGCAATACATTTGCTTTCAACAAAGAATGAAATGAAAGGGAGGAATATAAAATTATAAATAAATGTATAAATGGTATTACCCTAACAAAAGGATGCTTATCATAGTCCAGTTTGTGGGGCATGTGATTACATTCCCATCGTTGCTCACAGACAGAACAACCTCACAGTAGTTCATATAACTCTGTTAGGCTCATGGTTTATAAAATGGGACTCAGACACCTGCTTCTCATAAAGTTTTACAGGTTCTAATTTATTAAAAATCTTTTATACTTGCTGATTTTTCTTGGTGATAATCTCTGTATAGACTGAGTTATAACTCAGAGTTGATCTTACCTAGGCAGGCTTGCATGTTTTGGGAAGGAGGAAATCATGCACAGGAATGCAGAGAATGAGACTTAATTTTTACGTAATATGTCTTGGATGGCACTTTTCTTGCTCTCGGCATCCTTGAACAAGGAAATTTATTTTGCATTTACCTATAGGGTCAGAATTTCCCATCATCTGAAATTAGTTCTGGCCCTGAGGTAAGAAACACACACACACACACACACACACACACCCCACATATCAAGAAATGGTTGGCTCATTCTCAAGTCCTATTCTTGCTCTTCAGTTTCTCTCTTTCATTCTGCCTTGCATCATAGTTATTTATGTACCCAGCAGAGTACCTGGCACAAAGTATATACACACGTGCATTCGTGCACACATAGCAGCTACTGAAGGCTTAAAAGCGTGGTGTTAACCTCTCTACATACATTATTTTATGTGTAATCATCAAATCTATGAGGAAGATACTCTTATTCCTATTTTACCAAAGAAGAAATGGAAATATTGGGTATTTAAAAAGCTTGTTCAAGGTCATACAACTAGTAAATGCAAAAGCCAGGCTTTGGAATGGAAGGCATTATACTCTAAAGGTCACATGCTAGACTCCTGGGCTAGCCCTTCTTTTATTCGCTCACTGCTGCATGAGTGAATGCCTTTCCCTCTCACCCAACTTGAAGGTTCCTGAATCCCTTCTCTTTGTAGCCTATATAACACCTGCCATTGACTTGGCACCAACAAAAATGTTGTTGACTCAACAGTACACGTGGCCAAAAGCATGGGGATTTCTGATCTGAATATCATCCTGTATCAAGACCAACCCAAAGGAAATGTACCTCACTCTACACTTCATTTATTTAAAGCAAAGTTAAAATTCAGGAATCACAGATTGACTTTAGTCTAAGTGTAAGCTTCTACTGTAATACAAAAAGTTAACATGCTCTTGAGAATTATTAGGAGAAGTTGACATTTGAGAGATAATAACTAATTGGATCTCATGTTATTAACACTTTTAAAAGGCCCTGGAGAAACTAGAAGCATGATGTAAGAATAAGTGAGATGATTTAAGGTGTTAAACATGGGTGTTTGTGAGGACATGACTTGAGAATGTTTAACATAAAGAGAAGAAGGTTATCGTTAGATAATGGTTTCAAATGTGAAGATTTTCGAAGAAACTGCTAGTGTATTAGTCTATTCTCATGCTGCTAATAAAGACATACCTGAGACTGGGTAATTTATAAAGGAAAGAGGTATAATTGACTCACAGTTCAGCATGGCTGGGGAAGCCCCAGGAAACTTACAATCATGGGGGAAGGGGAAGCAAACATGTCCTTATTCACAGAAGCAAGGAGACGTGCCCAATTCTCCTTCTTGCAGCAAGAAGTGCCCAGCAAGAGGGGGAAAAGTCCCGTTTAAAACCATCAGATCTTGTGAGAACTCACTATCATGAGAACAATAGCATGGGGGTAACCACCCACATGATTCGATTACCTCCTACCAGGTTCCTCCCTTAACACATGGGGATTATGGGAACTACAATTCAAGATAAGATTTGGGTAGGGACACAGCCAAACCTTATCAGCTACTAACCAATTTTGTATCAACTTGAGCACAAGAAAGTGTGTCTAAAGTGAAATATTTGGTTTGGTGTTCATTATTCATCTAACCTATTTATTCAATGTCCACTATGCTCATAGCAATATAAAGGAAATTTTGACCACAGGGGCTTTAAAAGAAGATAAAAATTTGTGCACATTAAATTGTATAGTTTCCATTGTCCAGTTAACGTGGGAAATTGTTTTTTGGCTCTAAAGTGTAGAAGGGATTTATTTTACTGATTCTTTATACAAGATAATCCTGCAAGAAAAGGTATAATCTTTTCAAATAGACATTTTCATCTCTAAAAGTTTTGTAAAAATAGATGGCATAACATTTTTTTTAATCCAGTATTTTGTTTTTCAGGAAGCCAAGATAACAAAGTCCAGGTCTACTGACATCTAATTATATATTAGAGTGATGATACTTAAATAATCTATAAAAATAGAGATGTTCTATAAGAATCCACAACAATACAGATGTTCTCTCTTATGTTTGAAACCAAGTGGAATATTATCAATTTGTGACTTGTTTGCTTTTTATTTCTTGGGTCTAGAATACTGTATGGCACAATGATAATCTTTAAGTGTTCATTATATTAAATGGAACTAATCATTTGGTATTTCATAGTGAATTCATACTATTAGGCTGTGAGCTGTATGAGGCCAAGGTCCATGTCAGCTTCACCTGTATTCTCCACAGTATCTAATATAGTATCCAGCCCATAGTAAGTATGTTCAGCCAATATATAAAAGAATGTAAAAATTAAAAAAATCTAGCATACTTTTTACCATGTTTATTAGTTGAATAATAACTAGGTAACACATTCAACTACTGGATAAAATGCTCTTAATTTATGATGATAAAATTATTTCATCAACAAATATGGTTGATTGACAGAGGATCCAAACCTTTTTCCATAAGCCATTTAAAGTTAATCAGTTATAGGCATGAAACATAGAGGATAGGATGCATAATTTACAATTAAAATATTAATTTTACTTGCAATTGAGATGGGAGTTTTAATAAGATCTTTATTTAGTGTTTTTTTTTTCTTTAGAGAAATGATGGACCACCTGTAAATGCTGGAAAAAAGTTCTTAGTTGTTCTTAGCCATTTCTATAGTGAGTCGAAGTAGTATGTAGCAGGGATCAGTAGAGTAATACTTATACATAAAACTTGCTCCATATTTAAATATTTGGACACAGTGGATTTAGATTTTTTTTTTTAAGTGAGTGGAGATGTGATACCTCCATTCAGGAGAATCTGAAGAATCTGCAAAATTAACAATTGTTTTAGGACTCTAAATCTAAGAGAAGTTTTAAAAATTGTATATAGATTTTTTTTTTATTTTGGGTGATTTGCTCGCAAATTTTGTGTTATAATAGCAGTGTCTCTAGATCTGGATTCACTGTTAGCTCTAATGAGAACCAAACGAAGAGTTAGAATGTTTTATCTTCCTATTGCCCAGTCCTGTGTCAATTCAGGCTGGATTCCAGCTTCTGTCCTAATGTGGTGTGTAGCTGAAAGGACAGGCATTTTCCGAAAGGCTGCATATAGCACTCTCTGTTCTTGTGGATAAGGATGATTAGTCATGAAACCAAGAAAATCTTCAAAATCTTCACTCTGAATTTTCCCACCAGCCAAAGTTCACTGTTCTACATACATATGTGCAATTATAAATGACATACATTTGTATAAATGTGCAATTATACACCAACGTTGAAGGTCAGAATAAGTTTATGAGAGAAATGACCACTTCCTATCATGTCTCAATCATATTTATCTCAATAATAGAGATACCCAAAGAACTGATTATTAAATAAGCATTAATATTGGTCCTTTGACTAAAGTTGCAAATGTAATTTCCTAGACATCTCATGAGCAGCTGTAAAACATAATTAGATTGTAATAATAAATGGGTTTGACCAAGTGACTTCCTATTTGACTCAGGCAAATCTTTCTCATCTTTGGAGAAATCTCTCTTAAGGAATCAGTCTTCCCATTTTGGGCTCCTCACTTTGAAGCTTTGGGAAAAGAATAGACTATCCTGATATTTAATTTTTAAGTTATTATAATACAACATTCCAGGCTGACTAGAGTATATAGTACTTGAAGGTTGGCAGGTTATACAAGAAGTATTAATGCAGGAATTGATCTAAGAATCTGACCTTGTGGTATTTGAGTGACATTTACAATTCACCAGGGTACTGATGTATGAAAAGTTGGTTCTTTAGAATTTTTCACCAGTTGAATATCTTTATTATTAGCATTGTTCTTAAGGTTATAAAAAGTTCTTCCTTGTATTTTATGACTTTTTGTAAAAATAGGATCTCTTGACTTTAATTTCTAGCAGAAAATAAATTATAATTTACTAAAAGTTTTGAGCATTCCATACAACTTCAGATATTTTTCTGATTTATATGACAAGATTTGGTTTAGCATTTTAAAACAATATTATGTAGTATCCCATGACTCCCATTTGCAAAATTTTTAATTTTCTTTCAGAAATCTCATTTTTCCTGAAAATATTTTAATATTTTCATTAGAAATAGAATGGTTTTATAAAATCACTATTCATTATTTAATGCCTTAAGTCTAGTTAATGATTATTTCCTTAGGAAAGAGTAGTACAGCTTTTGCCTTACCATAAGTTAGCATGTGAAGTTTATTTGTTCAAATGAAATATGCAGTTATAAAATATTCTGATATGTAACAGAAAACAAAACATTCTGATTTCAGAAATAAGACATACTTGTTTGATAATCTCAGCATTTGGTTTAGGAAGACTAGGACAGATCTATTATGTAGACTCTATCAGGTAACTGATAAGTAAGTGTACCTACCCATTTCACTCAATATATTATGAACTTTTTAATGTTAATCGATATTATAAATAGTATATCAATATTATAATTATACTATATATTACATAATTCTAAATTGCATGTGTTATAATGATAATGATAGCTATAAAAATTGAAGATTTTTTCATCGTGTGATATTACAATAATGTTTTTAATCAATTCCCTGTTAGTGGAAACTTTGCTGTTTTCCATCTTTGCTGCCATAGCCAGAACAGTGATGAATGTCTGTAAATGAATATTTCAGGATATGCTTATTTATTTTATTAGATGAATAACTAGAAGAGAAATTTTTAAATCAAAGGATACCTACATTTTTCAAGTTTCTGGCAAATATTGCCAAATGCCTACCAAGAAGATCATACTAATTTATAGACCCATCAGCAATTTACAAAAGCAACCATTTTTTCCTGTGCTGCTTAGCACAGAGTTTTACTATTGTTTATGATCCTAGCCAATTTAATAAATAAAATGAAATCCCAGTGAAATTTTAATTGCATTTCTGAGGCTCATGAATTCTTCTAGGCTTATTGGACATTTATAGTTCTTCTGTGAATTGCTTTTTCATTTCCTTTTTATATTTTCCGTAAAAAGCATATTTGTGTTTTTATTGATTTCACAAGTCTCTTAGAAATGATACTTTGTTATAATATGTAGTAAATAGATTTTTTCTCATGTCCTAATATAATTTTAAATCTTTTACAATTATAAGTTGTTATTAGTTTGTTTGCTCTATTGGTCTTTTCTGCTTTCAAGCTTTGATGCCATGCTTAGAGAAACCTTTTCCACTCACAAATTATATAAATACAATATATATCTTACATTTATTTTAAGTATTTGTATGAGTTTACTTTTCTACATTTAAATCTTTAAATCTTTTCCATTTGGAAAATATTTTGGGGTAAGTTGTTAAAAATGCATTAATTATTTTTACAGCTATACTTGACAAACGTTATATACTATTTGTTCAATAATTCAGACTTTTTTACTGTTATGAAATAAATTTATCATATATAAGTCCTATCCTGTGACTTAGTATTTTTTCCTGGAAATTCTATTTATTCTATCAGATTGTTTTCTCAATATTGACAATAGTGCTGTATTGTTTTTATTTTTAAAATTTATATTTTTATAGATGGTAGGACAAGACATAAAATTACTTCTCTTTTGAATTCCTTTTTGTTTAGAAATTACTTGGCTATGTTTAAAAGTTTAGCCTTCTATGTTAAATTATATAATAAGTTCTCAAATTTTGCAACAAATCCATAGTTTAGAATTTAATTTGAGGAGAAATTTATATCTTTAAAATGGTAAGCTTTTCCATCCAAAAATATGATGTGGATCTCACTTTCTTCAATATTCATTTTATATCCCTTAGTAGAACTTTATAGTTTTCTTCACATGGAATTAGAGAATTTCTTTTTACATTTTTTCCTAGATATATACTTTGGCTGTTATATTGAATAGAATAGCTTTCTTTATATTTTTAAATGTTATTGAACCTTTAATGGGAAGATACTTATTTTTGTGTATCTGTTTGGTAATCACTTACTATATAATATTTCATTATGTGTTCTAATGGCTTTAAAATTTATTGAACTTTTTATAATCTAAAAGTAATGAAATTTTTGTTCAATTTTTCATTCCTTCTACCTACTTTTTTGGTCTTATTTCATTGACTATAATTCGTAACCATTTTTTTTTTTTTTTGTAAATAATGCTACTAGAGGGCATCCTTGCCTTATTCCAGTCCTTAATAGAATCCTTTTATTGTTTGTTCAGTAAATATAATCCTGGCTATTGTTTCCAAATATGTATTCTTTATCATTTAAAAAAGTCATTAAATTCCTGGTTTACTATGTAATTGTTTAAATCAAGAAAAATATTGAACTGCATCAAATTTTTTTTTAGTATCTGTCAAAAAGATCATATAGACTTTTGTGAACTTATTTATTTGGTACATTATATAAATAGATTTTAAAATATTGAACCATTCTTGGTAGCATGAATCTGAAGAACTTATTAAACAATGACAACACTGAAAAAGTTTAATTTTTAGATTTTTAAAGCTGAAAACCACACTCTGAAACAGAAAATTCTAGGATACTCAAGAAGTCAATAGGGCTTCATAGACAACAACCTTATTTTGTTGTGATATAGCTGCAATATATGAATATATATTGCTATATATGAATATGTATAAAATTACCGAGCTTTTTTCTTCACATAAATATTATATGGGATATTGGATATCTAGTACATTTTTGACAGCTGTTTTGTTTCCATATTTATTAATTGATAGTCATTATGTTTGTGTAGTAAATTTTAACTTACTGTTAATATAAAAGATAAACCATCTCTAACCTAATATTTTGGTAGTACTTTCACAACTTTCAATAAAGGATTGTATATTACAGTAAAAAAAAAAAAGGTAGCCAGGAATAAAAAGATAATGAATGTTACTTAGTTCTTTTTCTTGTTTTCTAGAAGGTGTAACTTTTAGAATGGCGTATTTCATATAAGGAACAATAAGCATTTGATAAAATAATTTATTGTGTATTTGTAATTATGCAACAGACATTTAATACAAATGGGTTGATATGATGAGAGAGAATATGAAATAAAATTGGAAAGACTTATAAAACAATTATTATATAAGTAGAGAGTATCTGTGATAGGCTAGGGATTTTTCTTTTTCTACTTTTGAACATTTCTTTTTGTGGGTTTTAATTTTTAATTAAAGAGACATTTAGCCAATGGTATTGCTCTTTTCCAATATGAAAAAATACTACACTTTCGCTTTTCTTGGAGTGAGGTTTCTTGGCGTAACTGACATTTTGAGCCAGATAATTTTTTGCTGTGGGGCTGTCCTGTGTATTGTGGAATGTTTAGCAGCATCCCTGCATACCTATTAGATGCCAGTAGCACCTTCCTGTTGTTAACAACCGAAATGTCTTCAGACATTGCTAATTTCCGGTGGGGGACAGAATTGCAACCCCCCTTGAGAATCACTCCCTTACCATGAGACTATAATGGGGAACATATTCAAGGATCCGTTTAAAGAAAGCCTTTGGGCAAAATGAACTGGGTAATAGATTAATCTGCTATTTACATAGGCCTGCTCATACTAAGGGTTTACACATTCTTTTCATTACTGTACCTGCCTTTGTCCTTCTCTGTCTCCCGCACGTGGAAGCCTCCTTTTTTCCACCCTGTCTCTTATTCTTCCCTTGATTTCAACACCCTTCTCATATATGATGTAAAATCTGTATTGCTTTTTAAAAATATATAACACTTGTTAATAACCGGGCATTTGGGATCTCCCGGGGCTTACACTATCAGCTGCCGCTTTTCACTGCATTGTGACCTATAGGCAAGACTGAGTTGTAGAAACGGGACTGTCCGGCCGGGCGCAGTGGCTTACTTACGCCTGTAATCCCAGCACTTTGGGAGGCCAAGGAGGGTGGATCATGAGGTCAGGAGATCGAGACAATCCTGGCTAACACGGTGAAACCCCGTCTCTACTAAAATACAAAAAAATTAGCCAGGCGTGGTGGCAGGCACCTGTAGTCCCAGCTACTCGGGAGACTGACGCAGGAGAATGGTGTGAACCAGGTAGGCGGAGCTTGCAGTGAGCCAAGAGTGCGCCACTGCACTGCAGCCTGGGCGACAGAGCAAGACTCCGTCTCAAAAAAAAAAAAAAAAAAAAAAAAGTGGGACTGCCCATGCTCTTGGTAAGGATCAGTACTAAAAGCAACAGTCCACTAAGGGCACTGACAGGATGCCAGGCTGCATGAATTATGGAGCGCTTCAGACAGAGGCAGGGAGGGGAGCAGGTAACTTCTTTACTCTTTTATATTAGAAATATAAATAACTTCTTCCAGTTGAAATCTAGTTGCAATGGAGGAAGCCACGCTAGTGAAAGATGGTCATCTTATCTCAAGCCCTTTATTTCTGCCCTTTCCAAAATTTCCATTGAAAATCCAAGGATTACAAAAATGAGACAAAAAACATTTTTGCACATATATTTCCATTGCCTTCCAAACAGTCTTACCAGGTTTCTGTGATTACTGGGAGAGGTAGCCACGCTCACGTTCTGCTGGAGAAAAAGAGGAGGTTGCTATAAGTGTTTAGATGCTTAGCAATAAGCATCAACAAATTTAGAAATATTTCTCTCCTTTAATCCTGATTGGACTTCTGAATTTTGTCTTAATCAAATAAAAGCCAAAATAACAAAAGTGTACAAAAATGTAGTTACAAAACTTTCATTTTAATACAGTTTATGACAGCAAAAATCAGAAACAACCTAAATGTCCTGCAATAGTGGATTTTATAAATTATGATATGTATATTTAGAGACAAACTATGCTGTTATTAAAATTATATCAGAGAAAAACTCTTAATAACAAGGGAAAGTGTTTATAATACATTAAGTGTTAAAGCATACTATCAAATAAATTTTGTAGAGAAGTTTAAACTCTATGGATACATGATACAATATAATAATTATATAAACATTTTATGTTAATAGTTGTAATCCCTAGGTGGTACAATTTTATGTGATTTTATTTTCTAATAGGTATTTTATAAATTTCCCACAATAACCATAGATTCTTTTAAAAATACAAATAAAGCAAAGGTTTTTAAAATTTAAGAAAATTTGTGGGAGACTATGAAAGGAATTTCTAATGATAGGTATTTGTGAAATACTTATTTCAATTATTCTCTTTTAAAAGAACATGAATTAAAACTTTATTTGTATCTCACATTTTTCAGTATAGTAAACACACACACACACACACACACACACACACACACACACACAAAGAAACCAAACCCTTCTGTTACTTAGGAAGTGTTAGGAAAAGTATTAAATAAAACCTGAGAAAAAATATATACCAGCATTGTAATTGAGAATGTTCTGTGGTGAGTAAACAAATTATTGTTGGTTTTCTGACTATAAGAAAGGAAAAAATATATATATTTAAAAAAACCCATTGGTTTGTAGTCTTGAGCAGAAGTTCTTCTAACCAAAAGCATGTGAATATAGAAGAATTAATGAGCGTTGGAGATTCTATGCTTTATTCAGGAAAAACAATCCAAATATGTAACAGGACCCTTGAGATTTGGCAGTCATAATGATGCACCCATTTGTCCTTGACATGACGTTAACTGGTCCTCAGAGAGTGTCCAGAGAGAGACAGAAAACAATATTAGAGAAAAGTAGTATTCAGAGACAAAAGGGGGAGAGATGTTTAAAAATATGCTCTCGTCATTGTGAGGTAAAAGTGAAGTATGTCAAATTATCTGAGCCTGTTTAATTTATGAGATCATAGGTTCATAATGTAATAATGCCACAAAATTGGATATGAGAGAAAACCAAAGAAGTGATTGAAATATTCATAAAATAGAAAAACTGGTTTCAAAGATAGCTGTATGCCATGATTTGCTATTTTAAGTCCACGAATGTATAATCTTACATGTTTTCTGCCCATTACCTTTGTATCTTAATTTGTAATAGGACACTTTCCTTGCGTGACAAAAAAACTGTCTCGTTTTAAATTTACAATCATCACTTCATGTCAAGTTCATTGAATCCATGCCTTCCCTGACTGCACCTGCATCAGCAGGGAAGTAGAGCCCTGTGACAGCACTCCAGAGCAGCACTCGCCAAATCCCATGCAATAAAACCCTCTAATCCTGGGGGATTTACAAGAAAAATACAAGACCTTGTCAGATCTAGGAGGGAAATGACGTACACAATTGCTTCATCGTGGAGAGTCTAAGCGCACATCAGTGTAAAAAGCTCTGAGCTGGTGAAGACCAAACAAACTTTGCTTAACTTAGTTTAACCTGGATTTCTCAAATATTTGTGCAACAGAAATCTTCTCTCCAGCAATGCATGTTAACATCCTGTGGGCTAGATGTCCTGTGGTATACAGTTTAGAAAGCACTTGTCAGGATAATTCAAACCATAACAAGGTCGTTTAATTATTAAGACAATTAACACCATGACAAGGTAGCTTAATTATTCCAATTACTTGGCTGAAAGTGTTGTCCCACCCCACAAGGTCAGAATTACCATCAATTGTTATGCCATTTCACACTCTGGTCTAAAGTCAGACCTTGGTTTCTGTACTTTAAAAAATATTCCCAGGAAATTAGAATGCAATGTTGGCTTTGGGAATCATTGCACTGGATTTAGAACAATGCCAATAGTATCACCAATATCTTACTTCTTCAAGAGATCTTCTGTCTTTTTTTCCTATTCTTATCTCTTTATCAGTGCCTGCTGACTGGCTGCTACGGAGGTGAATATACCACAAGAAGGCTAAAGAAAGCTTTCTGGGGAGTATATTCAACAAGGCTAGCTGTCAGTTTTAAGTAACAGTGGTGGGAATAAATCCTTACCAAGTAGATCAAAAGAGCTAGTAGGAGTGAACAGACAGAAGTCCGAGAGTAGGAATCTTTATTTCTGGTAATAAATTCACGTAGTTTGGTGACCTCATGTCTCATGTCTTCCCAACTACTGTGCATTTTCTGTACAGGTCCTGTTTCTACCCCTATATTCCTCCCTTTGGTCCTGGGGCAGACACCCTTCACCCTTCCAGCAGGGACCTCCAAACTACAACAGTTGTGCCCATCTCTGCTTCCACTATGCCCTGCCTGCCACTAAGGAGTTGCTGAGTGCTGTACATATAGCAGGGCCAGATTTATTCAGATGTGCAGAGAAACTGAGGTTTCTTTACTTCCTATGTATGACCTGACCTTCATGAGCTCACCCTGCTGGGTGATGGGGCAGTTTGTGTGTGTGTTTGTGTGTGTATGTATGTATGTATGTATGTATGTATGTAAGGGAGAGTGTATTAGTCTGTTCTCATGCTGCTAATAAATATATAGCTGACACTGGGTAATTTATAAAGAAAAAGAGGTTTAATGGACTCACAGTTCCACATGGCTGGGGAGGCCTCACAATCATGGCAGAAGGCAAAAGAGGAGCAAAGACATGTCTTACATGGCAGCAGGCAAGAGAGCATGTGCAGGGGAACTGCTCTTTATAAAATCATCGGTGTTCATGAGACTTATTCACTGTCACGAGAACAGCACGGGAAAACCAGCCCCCATGAGTCAATTACCTCTTGCGAGGTCCCTCCCTTGACATGTGGGGATTATGGGAGCTACAATTCAAGGTGAGATTGGGTGGGGACACAGCCAAACCATATCAGAGAGACAGAGTGAGAGAGAGAGAGAGAGAGAGAGAGAGAAAAGAGAGAAACTAATAATAATCCAATTCATGAAACCACCCAATCTAGCAATTTAAACATTCTTTTTAGGTAACTCACTTAAAAAAATGTAAATGCTTAGACTTTGAGATTTCTTTATTCTGCTCGCTGTTACTCTCCAAGACAGCAGGGTCTTGTATTGTCCTCTGGTTCCTCTTGACTCCATGGTGATATCTCTTGTCTGCTTGGTCACAGGAAGTCTTAGTGACATCTCTAGCTAATGTCTGGGACTGCCTTTCTCCCCACCAGCTTGTCCCTGTTCAGCTCCTCCTGGCACTATGGATCCAGCTGAGGTCTGGCTGTAGCACCTATTTGATCCCTGACCCTCTGTCCCTCATCCATGGCAGTGCCCCTAATAATCCCTCCAGTCAGCACTATCAGCTGCTTCCTGTCCCTTTGCAGGGCACAGGGGACCTCTGAAATCTTCCTCCTTCCTGCCTAGGAGCTGAGGAAGATGCAGGTGGTCTGAACTGTGGCCTTCCTCTATCTCAGATGCAGCTGTTTTTAATCTGATGTAACCATCTTGGGTTTGTGTAAGGGTGTCCTGGGAGTCACCTTGGAGGTCATCTCTTTACTGAGTTTAAGAAAAGGAAATGGGGCTAAATTCCCCAGCTATCCATTCTCTCCTTGCCCTGTCTAACAATCTCTTGCCTCAGGACTTTGCCCCAGAACTCTGATGTACTTCATAGACACCACTTTCCTGAGATTCCTCTTTCCACTGCTCCCTGGGGGTTCTCGTGGTGGGAATGGCTGTTGGCAGGGGGTATGGGGGAAATATAAACACAACATACTCTTCTCTGTCACACATCAGTGCATTCAAGTGGTAAAAATCTCTGCACTAGGCGGAACTAGGGTTTTAGGTGACAGAAGTCAAAATGGTAGATCACCCAGGCCACAGGTTTTAGCTTTTCACCTCTGATTCCAATGGAATTTCTTTTCTGAGAAATATGTGAATGTGGGGGCTGAGAGAGAAAGAAGGAATCTGCACCTGGTCCACAGCAAGTAATAGCAAATAGCCCAGAGCCAAAAGTCACACACAGACATGGCTTGGTGCAGATGGTTCATGGAGCCATATGTGTGATTATGAATTTTAAAGACCAGCCTCACTTCCAGCAAATATGCTTATTTTGTTCTATTTACACTAGGGCTGGACCAAGTTCAGCCATTTTTCAGACTTCATGGGAAGACCCATAATTAGGTGTCACAGCTGTCTGAGCTTGCCTTTGGCTCTGTCAGGCTGTGGACAGGGCAGATGCCCCTCTCCTGTGACCCCAGAGCACGGAGCATCACCTGGTATGGAGAAAAGAAGACTCCCTCTCAAGAAACACTCGATCGATAGCGTAGCTGTGAACACCACCTCTGGAGCTTTAAAAATTCTCACGTACACTTTGAGAGAGTCAGTAGCAAATGTTGAACATTCTATGATTCCCTTGTTGTCTCTTTTTACTTTAAGAGAGAATCATTTAAAGGAATTGTTTCTTCCTCTTTCCAGTCCCCAAGTCAGAGTCTAAAGCTCAATAAAGCTCATTGGAAAAGAATTCTTCTTTTTACACACAATGATAGAATATATTATGACACCATGTAGGTTCAAATATCATTTAAAACAAATCTTACAAAGTATGTTCCCAGATTTAAGAGGTTTTAGAAATGCTAAGCGAGGAAGTCCTGGTACAGTGGAGGCTCATGCTGTTCTTGAGGGACAAACTCCAAAGCACTAGATAATACTTTTAAAATGAACAGATTACCACCGTGAACAATGAGGGGTTGTTTGGGGCAAGTGGAGTGCTTTGTCCAGATTGATTCAACAGTGTTTGTGGCTATTACTGCTAATTCTTCTGTAAATCAACTCTCCTTGTAAATTGTGATAGAAATAGCTAACAGAGGAGGATTTTTTTTTCTAAATAGCTATGGGAGTTGGTCCTGTATTAGCGTTTACCTTGTGTCACTACCTGAGCGATATCAAGCTCATATTTTTAACCACAGAGAAAGCCAGAGCTATTTTAATAGAACTAAAAGTGAAAGGAGTCCCATTCTTCATCTACAAAGAAAGGGAGGTGGTGCTGGCAAGTGAGATGGGACTGCATAAGTAAGTCTTCCCAATTCTTCTTTTCTTTTTCTATTAAATATAGCACAAAATGAAAAAGCTTTAGGCTTTTGACACGTTCAGTTATTAGAATATACTGGAGCTGACCACAAACGACAATGAATTACTGGTTCAGATCCCTCCCCTTATCCCACCCCAAAGCTATTACAAAATGATGTATAGTTGGAAGGAAATTGAATGGTAATTACATTGAATACAAACTTGAAATGTTAATAATATGCAAATTGTTTTCCTACTTATTGGAAATGACTATACAACAAAACACCGTCTCCGTGACCTGTGTTTTCACACCCCAACTTGTCTACCCTCACTCCCTCACTCCCTTAGTCCATAGCTAGCTCTAGATTTCATTCCTTTCATTTTTTTATGGAATCGACTCTTATTTATTTTTAAAATTTACTTTTATTATAAGCTGACAATAATTGTATATATTTATGGGGTACAATGTGATGTTTCAATACCTATATAGATTGTGGAGTGATTAAATCAATCTAATTAACATAACAATTACCTCACATACTTCTCATTTTTTATGGTGAGAACATTTAAAATCTACCCTTTTAGCAATTTTGAAATACATAATATATTATTCTTCACTATAGTCACCATGCTGTGCAACAGATTACCAGAACTTATTCCTTCTGTGTAACTGGAACTTTGTACCCTTTGATTAACATCTCTCCTTTCCCTGTTCACTCCCTAGAGGACATTATGCTAAGTGAAATAAGCCAGACACAGAAAGACAAATACCACATGTTCTCATATTCAGGATCTAAAAAAAAATCAAACTTTTAGAAGCAGAACATAGAATGGTGGTTACTAGAGGTTGGGTGTGGGTGTGTATATTAATTTCATTCTTTACAACCCCTTCATGGCCAGCCTGCCATAGTGAAGCCACCCTCAAATTGAAACAAACTTCTGAGAATGAACTGAAAAAGGAGAGGGAAGATGCAAATCGTGCTTCATATCTTAGAGTCCCAGGGGATCACTGCCAGTAGAGGTGTAATTAGTGAGCCTTTAGTAAAGTCACTGGGATTCTTTTTCTCTCACCGTTTTAGTGTGGTGACCATTTGCTAGCATCTGAGTTTCTTCAGTTGATCCTGAGAACCTCCATTTGTCTTTCCCAGGGTTTCCTCAAGGCATGAGTCTGGTTCTCACCAAGCTCCAAGCATCACTGATTATAGCCCTCACTGGATGCTCTCCAAAGTCATCAGACACAGTTAGTAGCTCACTGGTGAACATTTACCCCTAACTCTCTTACTGCTGCTGAGGCCAAGCCGAAGGATCTGGAGGACACTAAGTAGACCACTATTTAAGAACAGAGAGACACTTATAAAACCAGCTGGGGAAAGGACAACTATGTCCAGCCTTTTGTCATCAATATTCCATTGAGCTGGATAACTGTGTCCCACTTTTTAAAACTAAATGTTTAATTTTGAGATAATTGTAGAGTCACATTATTGTAAGAAATAATACAGAGGAATTCCCATGTACCCTTTACCCATTTTCTTCCAATGGAAACATTTTGAAAAACTACAGGACAATTTCACAACCCAAGATACTGATATTAGCATAATCTACCAATCTTATTCAGAGCCCTCCAGTTTTATTGTACTCACGTGTGTGTGTGTGTGTGTGTGTGTGTGTGTGTGTATGAATGCATTTGGTTCTGTGCAACATAATTGCAAGTGTAGGTTTGTACAACCACCACCACAGTCAAGGTATAGAATAGTTCACCAGTAGGTTCCCTTTGTTGCCCTTCTTACACGTGTCTCCCTCTTCCTCTCCCTTCTCTCCAATCCCTGTAAACCCCTAATCTTGTCCTCCATTTTAAGAATATTACATAAATGGAATCATATAGTATATAACCTTTTGGGATTGGCTTTCTTCACTCAACATAATTCCCATGAGAACTGTCTCATTTTTGTCAAAATGCTTGGGAGATTATCTGATAATTAGGATGATTACGTTTCTTAGTTTTAAAGGATTTTAAAGTTAGAAAGTATCTTTAATATACAACATTCCATTTGACTCTTTCAAAGGAGCAGAAAGTAAAGGTTTAAAGGAAAAAACAAGTATTGGTGATAGGATTGCATTTTCTAGGTGGGGCAGAGATTGGCTGGATCTCCACTAAAACCACCACCTCTTCCTCTTGAGCCTACCACAGGACTGTGTTTTCCAGCTTCTCTCTTGGAAAGACGTAGTTAGGTGACTATGGCTTCTGGACAATTGGAAGTGACCAGGAGCAATCAGTTCCAGTTCCAGTCTGGTTCATAAAAACCTCTCGCACATGTCCTTTTGCATCCCTTTTCCTTCTGTGACAATCTTGGAAACCCATGGTGAACTTAGAGGAGCCACAAGGTGGGACAGACAACCCCTATTTAGCTCTCCAGGATTTCTTGACATTTAGAGTTCTGAGTCACAGGAGGTGTGGGAGCAGCTACTGTGCGCCTGGAGGAAGTGGAGTGGAGGGAAACAATAGCAGACTCCAACAGTTCCTTTCCCATCATTTCCTCCCCAGTGTGGTGGGGCTGCCTCCTGTCCCAGACCAAGAAGATGCACTGTCTTCACACACACATTCAAAGCGGCAGCCTCAGGTCACCTTAGAGGTTTCTCACGGTTTTCTTTGAGGTTTTTTTCCTATAATTTTTCTTGAGTTAATCTTAAGAAAGGGAACTGTGCCAATTCAGCATCTTGTTAGCCATTATTTGAAGGTTTTTAATCTATGAATTAATTTATTTATTTCTGTTATTATAAAAGAAAAAAGAAGTAGAAATGAGAAAAATGTAACCTTAGGTTTATCTTACCAAAACTTATATTTGTAGTATGGTAGAATTCCTGTGATTTTGCTGGCTGAGGGAGCTTTAGCTCCTCTGGATAATCATACCAACATGATGCAATTGAGGTTGAATGAGGAACTAAATTCAGAAAAGGAAAGCAAAGGAGTCACGGGACCGGGTTGACTATGAAGACATGGAAAGATGTGTCTTGACGTGTCTAGGCATGGGTTGCAACCTTCCTAAATCTTCCTGCAAACTTGCTTCTCATTTCTGCTCAGCTTCCTGTTCTCATTAGTGCCATTCAAAGATGTTTTTAGTTCTTCTCATTTCTTTGGTCTATTAAGACAGATGTTGAAGTGGCATGTTTATCAGCAGGCAGAAGTGACAGTGATTCTTTCCACATGAATAGCTGCAAATGAACACTGGCTTCTGGAACTTACCTCTTGGTAGTCTGTCAGGATCTTAACTGCTTCCCTCTCCCCAGTCCCCAGCATGGCCTGGGGTGGATTCTGAATGATGCTCTGGGTTGTATTTTTCATTCTTTTTTATTTCTTCACCCAGAAGAACAAGTGGGTTTTCATAATAACATCCTTTCCCAATAAGGTCTGCTCGCCTACAAACTTTGGAGAGAGAATGTTTACCTTCACGAAAGATTTTCTTAGCATAATTTGGAATCTTACTCTAAAAAAAAATCCGCTATGTCCTTTTAACAAAATGTGTGAGTTGATTGGCAATAAAAACAGGGGATAAACTGGTTTTTAAGAAACACTTATTTATAAGGCCAAGAATGACTGTTAGGGAGCTCCTTTCTAAAGTACTGCATTTGATAAGAAGTGCAAAGGAACAAAGTCAATATTATTGCTCAAAATGGATTAAAACTTTAACCCTGAGTCGTAACACCTTCTAGAGTACCATAAGAATAGAAGGCTTCTTTTGGACTTGACAGTGCATTTTGGCTGGTGTTCCCATGCAGTGAGCTGACACACTCACTTTGGACACACAGTTGCCCACATACTCTCACACCCACAAACATATATCCCCAAAGGAGATTCACTCTGTAGAGCAGAACAAGGAGGAGACTGAGCATGCAGGGCTCCTCTGTGGCATAGCTTCACGAAAACCAAAGGAATGGAAATATTCATCAGAAAATCCATGGCAACCAAGACAGAGTATGCAGTGATGCCCTTGACTGGGTATCCAAAGAGTGGGTCCCTGCATGTGGAATGGAACAATCACATGTAGAATAGGATAGTTCAAAAACAACTTACATTGCCTGTTTTCTTTTTTCTTGTAGCATGTTTTCTTGTCCACTTATGTTGTGCTTATATGAATATAAAAATACATATGCACATCCTCACACATACCAGCTGGATGTTGAAAGGAAGAGAGTTGGAATAGTGAAGTGGTAGAGGGACATGGGACCAGAATTAAATGCTTTATAATAAGTCTTGATATGTAGGATAGTAACAACAGTTTTGTTGTTTTACCACATCAACTATATTTCATTCTTCACATTTCTAAGTAAATTTTAGAATCGGTTTCCACCAAATGACTTGTGGTGAATTTGTTTGTAATTTAATCTACAGGTGAATTTAGGGAGAATTCATATTTCTAAATGTTGAGTGTTAAAATTCATGAGCATGGATTCTTCTTCCATTATTTAGGTCATTTAAACTTCTCTCAATAATATCTTACCATTTTCCATGTAGATGATTTTATATATTTTGTAAGATTTATTCCTAGAAACTGTTTCGTTTTGATGTTTCTGTGAATGGTACCATTTTCTAATTGTTTATTGCTGTTTATCAAGTGGCATTGCTAAATTCACCTCTTAATTAGAATAACTTATTTGCTGCTTTTTAAAGATATTATTTTTTTCCAGTCCTATGTCTATTATTTCTTCTTTCTTTGTTGAACTGGTGAAGACTTCCCATACAATATTCAGTAGATCAATTACTCTGATACAATTCTGTATCATTATTCTGATACAGAATTATTAATAGTTTACCTTTTTCTTATGTCAATTTTGATAAATTAATATTTTATGGAATTTTAAAATTTCATCTAAATTTTTAAATGTATCTTCAGAAAGGAATTTATGATATCCTTTTACCTTTCTAAATGTCCACAGAATCTGTAGTAATAGTCTCTTTTTATCCTTGATATTGGTTATTTATATCATTTCTCTTTTTTCTTGATCAGTCTTGCTTGACCTATCCATTTTATTAAGCATTTCAAAGACCCAGGTTTTGGCTTTGCTAATTATTTCTGCTGTGAGTTTGTTGCTACTTAAGTTTTGGTTTTGTGCTTATTTTTTGCTATTGCCTACTGTCTTTGGAGTAACTTGTTCTTCTAACTTCTTGAGGTGCATAACGAGATCACTTATTTTTAGACTTCTCCTTTTCTTTTTTTTTTTTTTTTTTTTTTTTGAGACTGAGTCTCGCTCTGTCACCCAGGCTGGAGTGCAGTGGCACAATCTCGGCTCACTGCAAGCTCTGCCTCCCAGGTTCACACCATTCTCCTACCTCAGCCTCCCAAGTAGCTGGGACTACAGGCACCTGCCACCACACTCGGCTAATTTTTTTTGTATTTTTAGTAGAGACAGGGTTTCACCATGTTAGCCAGTATGATCTCCTGACCTCGTGATCCACCTGCCTTGGCCTCCCAAAGTGCTGGGATTACAGGCTAGACTTCTCCTTTTCTAATATATTTATTTAAGGCTGCACATTTTCCTCTAAACACTGCTTTAGCTGCATACTACAAGGCTGTATGTTATTGTTCAGTTAGAATTATTTTGTGATTTAACCTTTGACCTATGGGTTATTTAGAAATCTATTTCTAAATTTCCATACACTTGAAATATTTCTAGCCATTTTTTGTTTTGGGTTCTAATCAATAACAAAATTGTGTTTCATTGTTGTCACAGAACATTATCTGTCTGAGTTCAATTACTTGAAATTTATTGAGAGTCTCTGTGACCCTGCACATGGTCAGTTTTGATTACTATTACATGTACACTTGAAAAGAATGGTGCATTCTGCAGCAATTTAGTGCAGTGTCCGGTCCATGCCAACTAGGTCAATTTTGTTCATGACGTTATTCAAAATCTTCTATAACATTACTAATTTTTTTTTAGTTAACAAGTTATGTAGTGAGGCATATAAAAGTATAGAAACATAAGTATGCACCTAGGTACTAATTATTTTTCTTAAGTGAAAAAGTAACTGGAGTCCAGTAATTTATTTCAATCCATGTGTGCATCTGCTTTAAGCAGATGTAATTAGAAACTGTAGAAGTAAAATTCTCTTTTATTTATAGCATTAACAAAAGGTAAAAGCTACATAAGTAGGCTATTCTTGCCAGTCATAATTTTTGTTGGCACTGTTCTTGTTTTTGGTTTGATGTTCACTCAATGAGGAAACCGCATGCCCCAAAACAATGTCTTTCCCAGAAATTCTTAAAAGCAACCATCCATACTACCACTAAACTCACGCATCACTCTATCAAATTTCCATCATGTGAGAGAGAGTATTCACACTGTGCTGTTCAGAGTATCAGACCAGCCTGATTACAATGGAAACATAGAATTTTCCATCTCACTCACTATGTGTGCTCCTCTACTCAGCTGCTAGATTGATCTTTCTAAAATGCCAATCTCATCATTCTGTTCCTCCATTTTAACATTCTCCAGGGGTTCCCCATTATCTCCAGGAGAAAATTACATTTCTTTAGCTTGAGATTCTAAGTCTACTGTGGTGTAGTTCCTACCTTCTTCTGTTTTATCTTTTGACACGCCCCTGAATAGATCCGAATAGATCTATTCTGAAAAGATCCGAAAAGATCTATTCTGAAAAGATCCGAAAAGATCTATTCTGAAAAGATCCGAAAAGATCTATTCTGAATAGATCTGAATAGATCACTGCCTTCAGTCTGCTCTCTCCATGCAGAGTCTGCCGTTTCCCTATCCCATCCTCTGTGCCTGGCTGACCCCTACGTGGCCTTCAAAATGGCTCTGGTCAACTCCACTGGGGAGGGCTTTGTTATTAGAAGATTCCTCTCCTCTGTGCTTTCTTAGCCCCCATCACACCTCTGCCATTTCGCTTACAGTACTGCATTGTGGGTGCTGGTTAGCTTTCTGTCTTCCCTACCTGAGAGAAGGCACTGCATTTCCCCACTTTGTATTCCTAGAGCCTATCTCTCCCAGTGCCTGCACACAAAAGACACCCAATGTTGAATGTTTTTCAAGTGTGGCCATCTTAATCAGCTGTCATTAATTATAGAAACAAACAATGGCCAGAAAAATGCTTGGGTGACATCATTGGATGGCATTAAAGCATAAGACTAAAAGTCATGTTGGGGCATCCCATTTGGAAGAGTTGTTTTAAGTTATTTCCTATGGCATTTAGGTAAGTGGCAGAGGACAGGAGTGACATGGAGGAGGCAGGTGTATGAAAAGGACACAGAGATGAGTATGCTGTTCGAATACATGGGTGTGATGAACTGAAATGAAGTTTTTTTAATTCAAATGAGTTTTTAGGGCTCATGATCCATTGGGACATGTAGAGAAAGTACTGTAAAAGATCCAGTTCTCTCTCATATCCTTTCAAACAAAACAAAGCCTTTCTGAGACAGCAGTACTTGTTGGTTACACTGGCATTTTAGGAGCTGCCCCCCCATCCTCAGAGGGAATAACCTTGGGCAGAATAGACAAACATGAGAAAGTATGTTTCCATAGCTTCTTTTTATAGTTCATTTTTATTTGTGCAAAAGAATGAAATTCTAGTAGGGTCTAATGCTCAACAAATGTATATGTTTTCAAGGCATAGGGTTATAGGGCTTTCTGCGACCTCACTGGGGTGGGGAATAATGCCTAGTCCAGTATAAGGCAGTTTTCTAAATTATAAAGTTGAACCAATAAGTTGCTTTTTAATGAAGCTCACTCCATTGGTCCTAGGAATTATCTTTGTGGAAAAAAAAGAAATATCTCTCCTCCCTAACATCCTTTTAAATTACAAAATACAGTGCTCTGGCCTTTCCTCACATAGTTCCCCTCTTCCAACACCTTTGTGCATCCCACATGTTGATTGGTGTGGGGTCAGGGGAAGTCAGCATCCAGGGCTCGCTCTGGATCTGAGGGCACAGGGAACTGAAGAGATTCAGTATCTCATCATATGCCTTGCAGGTAAGAAGCATACAGAAAGCAAACAGTTTACGCCAAGAAATGCAAGAGTCATGAAAAGATGCAATGGCTCATCCACAATGAAATTGCACACTGTCTTAACTGAAAGGCATCTTGCCAAAGTTGGAAGGCATAAGCACTTCCTAAAATGGTGTTGCACTTCTATACTGGAACTATTATCTGGCAGCTGCAGTGACAGAAATGGATGGAGTGCTGGAAACTATGAACATTCATTCTCTCAGAAGAGAAATCTTATTAATATTATTATTATTTGTATATTTTCCTACTTCTTTATCTTCCTTCCTTGTAAATTTATTTCAAATGCTCATGAAATAAATTCCCCTTAGGTGTCCAGACCAAAAATTCCCCTGGGTAGTATTAAAACACCAGATCTCCATCTTTCCCAAAATATAGGCTGCAGCATACCATGGGACCTGGCCTCTGAGGACATTTGCCTTTTAGATGGAATGGATTCACATGAAAAGCATCTAGACAACTTTACTAGGAAAACAAAGAAGAGCAGTTGAGCCCTCTGGCCTCAGCTAGTCTTTTCCAGTTGAACAAAAATACTTTATGACATGGGTATGAAAGATCCTGGCTAATTTTCAGACAACCCTTCTTAAGATAGATTAAGATCTAAGGAATACCTTCACTATAATGACAAATAGAGAGGGGTCCTTATTCTCATGAACTTAAATTGGCCAATGATAAAAGAGCTAATTTGAAACTCTTTTGCCCAAAGAATAGCCATTTCACCAAGAGGTAGGTAGGATATGGCAGGGCAGGGCTGGATATTCCAAATGGAATGGATAAAGAGCTAGAGAAAGGTGGGCTGAGGGGCCTATGGAGCATAAGCACCTGAACACTATGCTAAAGCTCAACAGAATTTGAAAGGGGCATCTGGAATCACTAGGCTTTGTGTGGCAGCTACATAAAGCAGAAAGTTGGCAGCTGCAGCTTGTATCTGACATGGGTGACACCCAAACAGGAGATGGGTATATACAAAGCTGGTCACCACTTAACTCTTTTTAACAATAAGTTCTTGTAGTCTTTCTATTGTCATGTTTTTTTCTTTTTAAAGAAACTTCTTATTGTGTTGATTTGGGCTTTTACCTTTGTTTCAGAGATCTATGGGTTTTTTTTGAATTGTATTGAACACACAGCAGATGCTCCCTAAAATTCACTTCTGTTTCCATTAGTGATTTTTTTTTTCAAAAGTGAATCCTTTCACATTTTGAATGCTGTATTTTCTTCTGTCTTTATTGCTGCATCTCTTCATGAATTTTTTTTCTGTTTCATCATCCTTGAGTAAAGAAAGGTGAATGTCAGCTGGGTGTTCTTCCATAAACAGAGTGACGGGTTGTTCTAGGTTCCCTCACTGTCTGCCAGGAAGTTGATTGAATCTTCTGCTCATCTCATAAGCTGGAAAGACAGGGTTACATATAAATTTCTAGTGCCTCCCACGCATCCAAAAGGTGCATTATTTCTGTGTCATTTCCTCTCTGGATCTGTTGAAACCACTTGGCTAGGGTTTTGCTTTCTATTTACAGCTTCCTGTTGGGTCAGAACTTCACACTGAATGCATAAATGTGACTGCCTAATGTCTGCCTGGCACCACTGGTGACTACATCAGGGAGAAGCCTCTGAATGGCTGATTTTCTGCTAATTGTGGCACAAAGCCTGGGTCTCCCTGATGGAGCCGATTTCAGTGCTACTCATTGGAACAGCTGAGTGAGATTCTAAGTGAAGCTTTCCCTGAAGGCCCCACTCCTCTTCTGGCCCTGGGGTCCCAGCCCCCTGATCACAAGGTGATATGAGGCCCCTTCATGACTTGATTCTCTCAATACTGTGCTTTCCCAGGAGTGGGAATTGTTAAAAATTAGTGGCTATACATCCATAGTCCATATAATGTCCTTAATAATTCCAATTATTTTTCAACTGATGAGAATTAGCTTTTAGTTTGTAAAAGTGGGAGAGGAAGTGTTTGTATGAGAAATAGGAGATTGTCCTAGTAAAAGGAGACGTGTCAGCTCATTTTCATGTTTAGTTGTCCTTGTATTATCAGCATTTTATTTTATCTGTCTCTTCTTTCCAGAATCTTTTTAAATTACTTGTCCATTTGGTACAGTTTGAGTTAGTTAAATCTAGGTCATGAATCAACAATCCATTTAACTGGAGACTCACGAATTCACTCCCTTGGAAGACCACTGTGCTTAAAGTTTTTGTTTTTGTTTTGTTTTCTGGAAAGGATATGAATGATAAATTTTGAAGTTGTTGACACCTGAGAATGTATTTATTGGCTTCTTATGTACTTGGTAACTCTGTAGATGTAGATATAAATGTCTTGAAGTTTCCCATATTATTCTCAAAAATTGGTACTGTTATTAAATTGCTTTTTGATGTTTGACATGATAGAAGTAGATGGCCAGGACAATTTTTTGTTACTTTGTAAGTATTATATTTCATTTTCTCAAAGATTTTCAAGTTTGTTTCTTTATTCTTTGAAATCAAAAATTACAGTAGCATACATTTGATGTTTTCATTTACTTTTAAAAAATTGTATTTGATCCCTTTTCATCTGCTTATACAGGTTTTACTTTAGCCTAGGAAAACTTATTCAATTAAAGCTGCTTCTGTTGTTTATTTCCTAGGGAAGTTCTATTATAGGTAGATAGGATCTTCTGGCTTTTACTTCTATTACTCTTATAATTTTTCTCATCATTTTCTTGGTTTTTGTCATTTCCTCTTAGGTTCTAGAATTGAGATGGATTCTACTAGAGTTACATGTCAGTTCCTGATAGAACCTGTAAGCCCCAAATGGAGAGAGGCATTTTTAAGAAGTTTAATTTTACTCTTATGTTTGAGAGTAAACTTTAAAAAGTCTAATTTTACTTTCATTTTTGAGACTAAACTTTGAAAAGTTTAATTTTACTCTCATTTTTTCGTTTGGGAGTCCAAACAGCCTAGGGGATAGCTGGGCACCTTGAGGTGAGAATCAGAACTGGAGGCAGACTTAGCCAGGAATGTGTTTTGCTAAAGAGCTTCCAATCCTTATTTGGAGCAGCAGTCAGAGCTCCCTGCTGCTGTCTCCCCATTCTTTGGCAGGCTGGCTATCCTTCTGTGTGAGTGACTGGCATGCCCTTCCCTGCCAACTCCCTGTCTCGTGCTGCCTCTGAAATTCAGAACTCTTCCCAGTGCTGCTAATGGCATTGCCAAGGCTGACCTTCACCTCCAAGCCTGCAGGGGCCTCTGCTGATTTCCTTTGCATATTTCCGTTTGATATATTGCAGATTCGTAATTCAGGTAGATACTACCTGAATCTAATGTTATTTGTATTTTATATCATTGAAACTCCTGGAAATTATTTTATGGTTGACCCTCTTGCTTACTTTTTAAGGTTGATCCAAGATTTTTTCTCATTCTTTATTGTGGGTCATTTTCATGCAAATCAGGAAGGGAGTAGTCTATACCTTGCCATGAAGGCAACCTATTTGAGGATATTTTGATGTCAGGAAGGTGAGAACAGATTGCGTATACCAACGGGAAGTGGAGATTTGACAATCATTTTAAATATCTTGCTAGAATTTTTCTCATTTGGTTATCTGTGGTGATCAAAGTCATTGAATAATGACAATAGCTATAACGATTGCCTTTTCAAAGAACAACCGAGTCACATACTCTATATCAATTTCATTTAATCTTTAGGTCAACTTTAGAAATTTCATACTTTGCTCTTCATTAAGATAACACTCAAAGATGTTACATAACTTACCTAGGGTTGCACAGCTAATAAGTTATGAAGTGAGCTTCAAACCCCAGTTCGTCTTCAAAGTCTCTACTCTTTTCATTGCTGGTTATCAAACAGCCTGAAGAGTTGCCCAATCTCCAAATCTCTGTGGTATTTACAGTATTCTCAGTTACCGCATGTTGATCATCTGTAGTCATTTTATTGTTCTCATGAATACTAAGTCCTCTGTGCAGATAATGTTCATATAAATAACAGAAAAAACATGTTTTATTGCTTCTCTTGTATAGTCTGGAATTCCTCGGTTTAAAATCAATCCTCATATTTTCTTTTCTTTTTTAACTAGGGTATTTATCTCCTCTCAGAGTGATTTTTTCTGTCCAGTAAAACAATTTACTTTCATCTATTCCTTCTGTAGCCCTCTTGTGGTTCTCAGTGGTTTATATGTTTTCATCTGTCTTGGGACATGCCTGGGTCATGGGGCTGCCATTATCTGGGGCCACTGCTGGACCAAGTGCCTTCAACAGAGCAGAATCTCAAGAGGTATTTGGTGATTTTGCTGCTGGTCAGGCTTTACTACATCCACATAGAACAAAAAAGATGAAAATTTGAGAAAAAGCAAAATCATTGATAATTTAGGATTCATAAAGATAAAAGCTAGCTAGAAAGTATGGTCAGTGCCTGGTTGGAGAGAAATTTTTTCTTCTTACTTCACAATGGCAAAAATGTATACATTTATTTTATTACCTGCTCCTTTGGTCCCATAATTATTTTCCTTTCAGATGTATCAGAATAAGTGAGAATATTCGATGACTGTAAAATGTATCACCATAGTTGTAGGATTATTCTTTGTTTCCTCTATTCTAATGAAATTATGTCTTTTTATTTTTCTAGATTACGGTCTTTGGTCAAACAATTAGAGAGAGGGGAAGCTTCAGTGGTAGATCTTAAGAAGAATTTGGAATATGCAGCCACAGTGCTTGAATCTGTGTATATTGATGAAACAAGGTAAGCTAAAAATAACAAAAGAGATTAGTATAGTGATAGTAAATTTTCTCTTAAATGGCTTTTCTGAAATTGTCCCCCATGCCAGGAATGGGGTGACATTCAAATTACTCATCTTTGAGTTTTAGTTTCCACAAACAAAGAGGATAGATTTGGACAAGTCACTTACTCTCTGTACCGCCTCATCTATAAAAGGAGCTAATAGAACAAATCTCATATGGCCGCCATGACAAGGAAGTGAGATCATGAAAGAGGAGAAAAACGAATTTTTAAAAATCCACTAAGATTTTAAAAATCAGATATAGAGCTCCATTGTAATTATTGTATGTTTTTAGTGTTAGTCTAAAAATTGAGTTTATGTTTTAATTCATAATGTCCATTAGTAAATGGAGGCTCCTGAAGTGATCGAGAAGCATGTGTTCTCTTAAGCACCCAGCATTCCCTCTTCAGTCTTACGTATGTCGCTGATTTACTTAGCAGGTTTATTCCACTTGAATTATCTAAACGTATTAAAGCGGTTTCAGTTACTACATACGTTTGAAAGTTATAAAATTGCATTTCTTTTGAAAAATGTTGAAATGTTGAATACGAAAGGTGTGGTTTTTTTTCCCCCTAATTTAGACAGGCTTCTCTGTCAGTATTTGTGATGTCTTTTATTTGCCAAATTCCAATCTGAAAGTATTTCACAGTAATCTAAGATTTGTATGGTTTACTATTATTATTATTTTGCTGACACACTTGGTTTCTAATTTAAGGAAATTCGATATCATAGCTTTTTTCCAAATGTTATGTTTCCTCCGCTTACCTCCACCCCAATTGGTAAGTCTAAAGGAAAAAAAAAATCCAAACACCTTTACATTGGCAGCTACTTTTACTGATGATTTTTAGTTGGGTTTACTGTAAATATGACATGCTATTTTAGGTTTTATTTTAACATTGCTCTTTGTGTTCGATTCTAGTGGTCTGACCTATGAACAAGTTTGAAAAATCAGCAAAACACAGCTATTAGATGATTAAATCATTGTGCGCAAATAAAGAACTGCATTATTTTGAAAATTTTCCTTGAATTTAGACATTTAAATTTTGGTAGCAACCTGGAAAGAATCTTAATTGTCATCACTTAGGATCACTACTTCAGAGGACTGGGTTGCTGTGATTTGGTAAATACTTTGCAAAGTCTCTTAAGTATCCATTTATATTTTTAAACAAAATAACGTCACATGGTCCATCTATGAAATAATACAAGGCTCCCTGTGAAGGCATTTTTAAATAGAAGGTTTAAATTTCACTCAAATGCCACAGAGTGCTTCTGGGTACAATGGACCAGTTCCTTTGTCCAGTCTGGTAGAGAGAACCATCCTGAAATATCAGTGGAAGCCAAGACCATCGCGAAACACACATGGCGAGCTTACATAAGCCTTACCAAAAAGGCACTGTATTTTTTGTGGCCAATTTAATTTGGTTTCTTTGCACCTAACATGCAGGTGAGGCAGAGAGGAGCAGCTGCTTTGAACAGAGAGCTCCAACTTCAGATTTAATCTCAGTGTGCTGATTCTGTTTCTTGTGTTCAGGAGACTCCTGGATACAGAGGATGAGCTCAGTGACATTCAGTCAGATGCTGTGCCTTCTGAGGTCCGAGACTGGCTGGCCTCCACCTTCACGCGGCAGATGGGGATGATGCTCAGGAGGAGCGACGAGAAGCCCCGGTTCAAGAGCATCGTTCACGCAGTGCAGGCTGGGATATTTGTGGAGAGGTAAAGATGTCATTCATTGTCATTTAGTGACTAAAGCAGCCAAAGCAACACGTTTCCAATAACTGGAAGCTTTGCTTTAATGTAGTTTTCCTATCTTTATAAATACTGAAAATTGTGGGTAGAAACAGATAGTCTTGAATGAGAAATGGCAAAAACATATCTATTTTAATCTCTGTAGCATCATTAGGAAAAGCTTTTGCTTTTGCTCAGAATTTTTTTGTTTACCAGAGAAGATTTAGTTTGAGTTCAGTCTCTAATTTTTAAAGCAGGAAATCATCTCATCTATCATCTTTTGAAATAGGTGGATGATGTCTCCATTTGAAACAGATCTGGGATGCTTTGAGGTTGCTGGCCCAGGGAAGACAGTTCATTTCAGTGGTTTGAAGTCCCCAAGACACTTCAGTTTTATTAGCTATTTTACTCTTTGAAATCAAATTGACCTCCTTACCCAGCAATAGATTCCAGAAATAGATATATTCTTCCTATAATCCTTATAGTGTAATTATACATTTTAGAAACACCACGGTAAGTTTAAAGATTACCTGGGACATTTTTCCTTCTTGTTTTTGACAGTTCTAAAGAACAAGCTATTCTAAATGGGTTACCCATAGGAGTTCTTCATTCAGGCTAAATTACTACTCTGCTTACTGTCTATTCTGTACTATAATTCACTCTGGCGGAAGAAGTGACCCATTTAATAATTCAATTTCCAGTCTGGGGCCTATAGAGTTAGGTTTTTTTTCCCCCATGGTTCATATGTTTGGGATTGCTTTAATTTCTTTTGAATTTAACACTTAGACCACCTGAGTGAATATTAAAAATGTCAAAAAATGAATTTTAGGTTCTTTGGATCACCCCACTTGACTTCTTATTATTTGTCAATACTTGGTATGAGTCTGTGGATTACAAATCCTACTTTATAAGATATCATGTTGCATTTTTCCCTTTTGGCTTTTCAGAATGTATAGACGGACATCAAACATGGTTGGACTGAGCTATCCACCAGCTGTTATTGAGGCATTAAAGGTAATACGAGTGAAAAGATTTTACAATGTACATGGTACCTAATAAAAAGTAGAGTTAAATTTGTTAGAAAATAAGAGGCTTTCATTTACAGTTACTTTTCCAGTTATTCCTGACTTTATTCTTTCATTATCTTTTTATTATTTGTTCTAACAGTATCACTGTCTTTTCACCCTTCATCTTCCCAATTTAAAAACAATCAAACTCTGTGTGGGTTTCATTTCTTTCTAGTACTCTAGAGTAGTTTAGATTTTATACAGTGATCTGTCATTATGAGAGTTATCTGATTTTGCCATACGAGATCAAATATGTTATGGCTGTAAGTATTCAGCATTAGGAGGATCTTCAGTATTTGCAATTGTCCCATTATCTGATTACCTACTCCAAGTCCATTTTATAGATGAAGAAACCGAGACTCAGCAAGATTTAAAAAAAAAGAGTTAATTAGAGACAGAGCTAATGTTTGATATCAGAGTTTTCAGCACATGGTAAGCTCTTAGTAATGTTTTACTGCATGAACGTATGGCCTGAGAGCCTTTGTCCCATCTATATAGCCCATTGTTTTCCAAAGACTCTCACTGAGCCAAATGTTCCCATGGAAGTCATACAAATGCTTGAGTTTAAATGGGCTAAATCCTGCAGAATTACCTCTAGTCAGGCAAGTTCTTGGAATTGTATAGAATATCTCCAGCAGCCCCAAAGCAGATGCATTCCTGAAGGCATTGGTCTGAGGGTATTTGAGATTTGCTAAACTTGATTTGGCTTCTGGATTCCAATGTGTTGCTGATCCTGTAGCCCAAGATCACTGAGTTTGTTGACATCACATGTTGTCTATGTATGGACTTGGGCCATGTGCTTAGGGACATTGTAGCATTTTGACCTTTGCTAAAGCCATTGTTTTCTTTCTCCAAAACCTGAAAAAGGTGATATTTTCAGAAGCTAAATTACCTATTCATGGAGTTAGGGGGTGGGGAGTGCTTCTTGATTAATTTAATGTCAAGAAAGAGCCCCTTGGGACAATCTTGATTATGTATTCATAGGCCTTTCTCTTGTCTCAGAGACATTTACTAGCTGAATTTGAGAGACCATATATACACAGATTCTCATTTCTCCTTTGTTTGTCTCTACCCTTTCCGTCTCTTCTTACCTAATCTTAAAAGCAGGAAGGATACTCAGGAAGGACCCAGCAAGAAGATGTATCTTTTCTCCCATTCCTCTTTAACCCCTAATCTGATGCCCAATACTTCAGTGTAATGTACAGTGATATTTCCCATTTTAATCAGTGAAATCACTTCAGGAAATCTGATATTTCTTAACATCCACTATGAAGTTGTATTAATTTTCATAATTGAACCTGAATGTTCAATCAAACTCTTAGAAACATTAAAAGCATCATTATTGTCTTTAATTTTTTCCTTTATCGGGAACATAAATACAAGAGGGTATACTGGTACCAAGACATTTACGAAAATGTTTCTTCCAAATTGAAGCCTCTTTTCTATCCAAATTGAAGCCTCTTTTCTATGCAGAATAACTGAGAAAGAATTGGAACAAACTGTGATGTGCATGAATTGTTATTTTATACTTAGAGAAAAGAAAATCTCAGATGCACACATGTTGTCTGAGGGGACAGGTACTTAGATTATTCAGATAAGGAAGACCTACTAGCTCTCTAAATAAATTGCTACTTCTCCTCACATATATTGTTGATATGTGCATTAAAGCTGAAGCTGCTATTTCTCTTGGCTATGTCCCCTGTTTACTGGGGAAGTTCAAAGCTTTTTACAATGTAATGTTTTTTCCACTTCTCCAGAGGCTGATTTTGTTTGCAATGAGTTGGAGCGATCACAGATATAGACTCTTTTGTTTCTTTCTTTATGTACTACATGTTAGAAAAAAGATTATTTCCACTTCATTGCCAGAAGTTCATATGGAATCATTACTGCTTTCTTTTATTACAGAAATTTTCCCTAAAGACTGAGAGAATACAATTCCCTAAAATAACCCTTATGCTACTGTCATGTTAACCTTTGTGGTTAACGTAAGAACATGACATAAAATGATATTTAAGTAAGATAGTAATGAATCAGTCTCTAAATTTGAAACATGTTGCATTATGTTATTTTACTTTTTCCATTATATATATATATATATATATATATATATATATATATATATAGATGTAAGCTTCTAACTTGAGGTGTTCTACCTCTTGTCTTCTGAGATTAGCCTAATGGAAATGTAGCTGTGTGCTCTTCTTTAGAAGGGCATCTGTTTTGTGACTCAGGAAGTGACACCTTGGAAAGACTCCAGGCTTAAAGTGGGAGGAGATGAGGAGGTTCACGCTTCCTTTGTGTTAGACTAACAGGAAGTTCCTGCAATTTCTCTACAGGAAGTGTCCTTGGGCAAAATTTGGTGAATGAGGAAGAATGGTTGAAGGCAGTTAAACTGGGTACTTGTTAAAAATGCGGATTCCAGGCCCCACAGCAGGATTCTCTGGAGTCCCCACTGGAGGGTCCATATTTTGGCCAAGCCCCTCAACTGGTTCTGAAGAACATTAGACTGAGAATTACAGCTAAGCCTTCCCTAACATGAGGGACCAAAGAGGACATCCGTCTCACTGTCTCTATTTGCTCATCCTCTTTGTTCTCTAAGTCCTGATATTCAGAATAAATCTTGGCTTTTTATCATGATAATCTCTTTATTTCTAGTGATAGAGAGCCCTTTCCTTTCTGGACACTAGGATTAAAAATTGTCAGAAGTGACACAGCATTTTCCAGCCTACTCAGTTGTCAGTGACTTTTTCCTTAGGACTAAAGATAAGACAATGTATGTGACTCATGGCAGTGCCAATGATAGTAACCAAGGTAAAGCTTTAGGTCTTAGGTTAATCTTAAGTGTCCTTGCTGTCTATAGCCTGCGCCCTAGTGGGATATTAAAGGGATGAGGCCTGGGTCACAGCACATATTCATGGCATTTACAATTTCATCTGTTGGCAGTGAGATCATTAAGGGTCATTGGTGAGGTTATTACCTGGCTCTGCTACCTTATGGCACTAGACATTTCAATTAATCTCTCTGAGGTTGCCATCTATAAAACTGGAGAAAGTAACACCTATCTCTAGACTTGCGAGGTTTTGCAAATGCGTGTAAACACTCACACTGTGCCTAGCACAGAAAATGTGCTCACAGAAATGTGCCTGTCACTATTTCTTTGGTTATTTTAATGGAGGGGCAGTTATTGAAGACTTAAGTGAGGTTACCACTAAGTGTGAATTGGAACAATTCAATTTAAACCCCTCTGGAAAAGTCTGATTTTCCTATATGCAATTCTATTTTCCCTGAAAACAGTTTATTAGCATCCAGGAGGGAGACCCTTGATGGCCTTGGGATGAATTTGACAGTTGGAATGTTTGGTCAGGAACAAAATTAGGATGGATGGATTATGTTGGAATTCAGTGAGGGCTGGGGTGAGAGTCACTCATGAGAACCAAGGTCTCTGCCAGTGTACCATCTGACACCTTGCCTGTAGGCAGTGTGGTCTCATGTGAATCCTTGCTGTCAAGCTCAAGTGAATATGCTTCACCTAACCACGGGAAGTGAGATTTTGGTGCTGTGAAAAGCCAAATGACTGTTGCTTTAACCATTGCTTAAATAAATCTTTGTTTACTACATCCACAAGAAGTTGGTTATGATAAGCCAAAGCTCAACAGACTGTATTTACATATATTTTGGAGTAGCTATTTACAGGCAAAGACTTTGAACTTCAGGGATGGTATATAAGGTGTGTGTTCAGTTTAGTTTTTCCTTTTACTTTTTTTCAGTAAAGTGACTAACAGATTTGAGGACAAGATCCCAGACTAGTGACTCCAGAAATGGTAGCATTTTTCTGTCATATGAAATGAATGCTTTCTTTTTGGTTTCAGCTCAGCAGTTTCGATTGATGTGGCATATTGTTTTGTGTTCTACATCATGCATGTTTCTGAACACTTCTAAATGAGTTAACATTCTTAACTGTAAACTTAGAGGAAGTCATTGGATAGTGTCAAGGGATTGCAGAGAAGTTCAGAGAAGAGAAGCATCGTAGGCTGTAGTGAATTAAACAGTAGCAGCTGCAGGGCTTAATGGAAAGCAACTGATCTTAGGCATCCAACCTATGTTTGTGTTCTGGCCCTGCCTGTATCTCTAGCACTTACGCACCTTGGGTGTTAGGGAAATTAGGTAATTTATCAGTTTTCTTATCCATAAAATGCGACTAATATCTATCACTTAGAGTTGTTTTCAGGATAATTTACATATTTATCACCAACCATAATGCCTGTCATACAGTAGGTACTCAATAAATTATGGCTATTTGTATTAGTAATAAGACTATTTAATTTTTTTAACAGTAGATACTATGTAGACTAGCCAGATTGGAAAAAGTTTGAGAGTGGAAAGTCTGTTTGAGTGTCACACTGTGAAATCTCCAGTGAGGGCTGCAGGCGGACTTGAAAGTGAGGAGACTGGTAGGTGTGTAAGTGTCTGTGGGCTAATGTGTTCTTTCTCCCCACCCTGTCCTGCAGGATGTGGACAAGTGGTCCTTTGACGTCTTTTCCCTCAATGAGGCCAGTGGGGATCATGCACTGAAATTTATTTTCTATGAACTACTCACACGTTATGATCTGATCAGCCGTTTCAAGGTCAGTACCTCTTTAAAAAGAAAAAATAAATAAACTACATGCATATGTTTATCCTCATATGACTTTTGGGTTCAGACTATTTTAATATGCGGAATGAAAACTGCTCCAGGCGACTGAGGAAGCATCCTTCGGATAGCCACTGCTGTGAATTCCTCTGTGGAGGGTGATTTTGATTGCGCCCTTGCTGGTGGGTCTCAGCGGCATGGGAGAGACAGGAGAGACCCATTTAGATTCTGGTCTTCCTGGAAGTACAACCCAAAGCCTGTAATAACCAAGCTCCCTTTCAGGCTCTGCCCAAAGGTCTCATTTCCACATGACTTTGTGTCCTATTGACCAACGCTGTCAGAGGGGCAGTAGTGGAGACAGAGTGAACATCTGCTGTCTCTGTAAACTTTTTTTTTTCCCACCACTTGGCTCATTCAGACAAATACTATCACTTATCATCTGTGACAGGTCATTGGTATTTTCCAGCCATTCATGCTTCAAATTGATTCTTCAACTTTACATAAAGAACTTGAATCATTTCCAGTGTTCAACTCCCTACAGCCTTCTAATACTGTAGACTCTCGAGGTGGGGTCAGATCCTCAGGGAGTTGATGTAGTCATCTGCCAACATCTATGGTATCAAGCTCCTCTGACTTCCCTCATCAAAGGGATGAGCCTCTGGAAAACACAAGTCTTTTTCTGTACCACATATTGATTTCTCCGGAGATGTGGTTCTTTATTTTCTCCTAGGGACTGTGTATTTGGAGAGGTATCTGTTTTTTAATTGGTACAAATATTGTATATATTTATAGGGTACATGTGATATTTTGTTACACGCATAGACTATGTAATGATCAAGTCAGGGTTTTTGGGGTGTCCATTACCCGCATTATTTATCATTTCTATGTGTTGGGAACATTTCAAGTCCTCTCTTCTAGCTATTTTGAAATGCACAATACATTCTTGTTAACTGTAGTCACCCTATTCTGCTACTGAACATTAGACTTTAATCCTTCTATCTAACTGTATGTTCGTACCCATTAACCAATCCCTCTTTATCACCAACCCCCTATACCCCCACACACATCCCAGCCTCCAGTATCTATCATTCTACTCTCTGACTGCATAAGATCAAATTTTAGCTCTCACATGTGAGTGAGAACATGTGCTGTTTGTCTTTCCATGCTTGGATTATTTCACTTAATGTAATAACTTCCAATTCTATCCATGTTGCTGCAAATGACATGATTTCATCTTTTTTATGGCCGAATAGTATTCCATTATGGTTGTATACCAAGTTTTCCTTATCCATTCATCCACTGGTGGACACTTAGCTTGATTCTATATCTTAGCTATTGTGAATAGTACTGCAATAAAAATGAGGGTGCAGATATCTCTTTGATACACTGATTTCTTTCTTTCTTTCTTTCTTTTTTAATAAATACCCAGTAGTGAGATTGCTGGATTGCATGGTAGTTCTACTTTTAGAATTTTTTTTTTGAGAAATCCGCACACTGTTTTCCATAGTGACTGTACCAATTTACATTCCCACCAACGTTGTAGAAGTGTTCCCTTTTCTCTACATCCTCACCAGTGCATCTTTTTTTTTTTTTTAACCATAACAGCCATTCTTACTGGGGTAAGATGATATCTCATTTTGCTTTTGATTTTCATTTCCCTGATGATTAGTGATAATGAGCATTTTTTTCATGTACCCATTGTCCATTATATGTCTTCATTTGAGAAATGTCTATATCTTTGCCCACTTTTTAATGGGATTATTTGTTATTTTTACCAAGTTGTTTGAGTTTCCTGTACATTTTGGGTATTAGTCCCTTGTCAGATGAATATTTTGCAGATATTTCTCCTGTTTAACAGGTTGTCTCTTTACTCTGTTGATTGTTTCCTGTGCAGAAGATTTTTAGTTTAATATAGTCCCATTTGTCTATTTTTGTTTTTATTGCCTGTGTTTTTGAGGTGTTAGCCATAAAATCTTTGCCTAGACCAATTTCCTGAAGTGTTTTATTCTCTTGTAGTTTTATAGTTTTGAGTATTATGTTTAAGTCCGTAATAGATTTTGAGTTGATTTTTGTATATGATGAGAGATGGATGTCTAGTTTTATTCTTCTATATATGGATATTCAATTTTCCCAGAGTTATTTCTTGAAGAAGGGGTCCTTTCTGTAAGTTTTTGGTGCCTTTGTCAAAAATCAGTTAGCTGCAAATACGTGGATTTATTTATGGGTTTCTTATTCTATTCCATTGGACTGTGTGTCTGTTTTTATACTAATACCAGAAAATACTATTTTTTATACTAATAGTATAAAAATATACTATTAGCATAAAAGTATACTAAAAATACTATTTTATACTAATACCATAAAATACTATTTTATACTAATACCATAAAATAATATATAGTGTTTTGGTTACTATAGCCTTGTAACATATTTTGAATTTATGTAGTGTGATCAAGGATAGTGGCCTGTAATTTTGATTTATTGTTGTTGCATCCTTGTCCAGTTTTGGTATCAGGGAAATGCTGGCAATGTAAAATTAGTTAGGGAGAAGGAGAAATTGCCCCTCAATTTTTTGGAATAGTTTGAGGAGAACTGATGTTAGTCCTTCTTTGAAAGTTTGGAGGAATTTGATAGTGAAGCCATCTGGTCCTAGACTTCTCTTTTTCAGGAGAATTTGTATTACTGATTCAAACTCATTACTCATTATTGGTCTGTCCAGGTTTTCAATTTCCTCATGATTCAATTTTGGTAAGTTGTATGTGTCCAGGAACTTATCCATTTCCTCTAAGTTTTCCAGTTTGTTAGTACATAGTTGTTCATAATAGTCTCTGATGACCTTTTGTGTTTCTGTGGTATCAGTTGTAATATCTCCCTTTTCACTTCTGATGTTGTTTATTTGGATCTTCTCTTTTTTTTCTTTGTTAGTCTAGCTAGCAATTTATTTATTTTGTTTGTCTTTTCAAAAAAACAACTTTTCTCATTTCATTGCTCCATTGCATTGTTTTGTTAGTCTCTATTTCATTTAATTCTGCTCTGATCTTCATTATTTTGTTTTTTTACTAATTTCAGTTTGGTTTGATATTGCTTTCTTTTTCATTGAGGTACAGTGTTAGATTGTTTATTTGGAATTTTTCTACTTTTTGGATGTACACATTTATTGCTAAAATTTCCCTTTTAGCACTGCTTTTGCAGTATTCCATAGCATTTGATATGTTTAGATTTTCATTTGCCTTAAAAATATTTTTATTTTCTCCTTAATTTCTTTCTTAATCCAATGGTAAATCAGGAACATGTTTAATTTCCGTGTATTTGTTCAGTTTCCAAATTTCCTCTTGTTATTGATTTCTAGTTTTATTTTACTGTGATCTGAGAAGACACTTGATATTATTTTGATTTTTAATTTTTTGAGACTTATTTTGTGTCCTAACATATGGTCTAGGCTGGAAAATGTTCTTTGTGTTGGTGAGAAAAATTTGTGTTCTGTAGCTGTTGGATAAAATGTTCTGTAAGTGTCTATTAGGTCCATTTGGTCTAATGTGAAGTTTAAATCCAACTTTGTTGATTTTCTGTATAGATGTTCTGTTTGATGCTATGATAGAGTGCTGAAGTCTCAAACTATTATTGTATTAGAGTCTCTCTCTTCTTTAGGTCTAGTAATATTTGCTTTATACATCTGGGTGCTTCACTTTTGGGTGTGTGTATGTTTAGAAATGTTATATCCTCTGGCTGAATTGATTCCTTTTTCATTATACCATGACTTTCTTTGTCTCTTTTTACCATTTTTGACTTAAAGTCTGTTTTATCTGATATAAGTATAGCTACTCCTGCTTGCTTTTGATTTCCATTTGCATGGAATATTTTTTATGTCTTTTTCTTTTCAGTCTACATGTGTCTTTACAGGTGAAAAGAGTTTCTTATAGGCGACATATAGTTGGGTCATGGATTTATTTTTAATCCATTTAGCTAGTCTATTTTTTGAGTGGGAAGTTTAATTGATGTACATTCAAGGTTGCTATTGATATGTGAGGACTTATTCCAGTCATTTTATTAATTAATTTCAGATTGTGTTGTATGTCCTTTCTTACATTCTTATTATTTATAATTGTGGTTTGGTGGTTTTCTGTAGTGGTAACATTTGGGTCTTTTCTCTTCCTCATTTGTGTATTTGCTTTACCAGTGAGTTTTTTCCTTTTGCATTTTCATGATGGTAGATGTTGTTTCTCTGTTTCCAGGCGTAAGACTCCCTTAAGCATTCACTGTAGGTCTGGTCAAGTAATAAGGAATTCCCTCTGCATTTGCTTGTGTGGGAAAGGCTTTATTTCTCCTTCATTAATGAAGCATACCTTTGCTCAATATAGCATCCTTGGTTGGCTTTTTTTTTTTTCTTTTAGGACTTTGACTGTATTATCCCATTATCTTTTTGCCTGTAGGGTTTCTAATGAGATATTTTCTGTTCATCTGATGAAGGTTTCCTTATAAGTGACTACATGTTTTTCTCTTGCTGTTTTTAGAATTTTTTGTCTTTGATTTTGACAGTTTGGCTCTAATGTGCTGTGGAGATCTTTTTGAATTGTATCTGTTTGGGAATCTTTGAGCTTCCTGTGTCTGGGTGTCTAAGTCTATTGCTACGTTTGGGAATTTTTCCACTAGTATTTTGTTAAATAGGTTTTCTGACTCTTTTGTTTCCTCTTTGCTTTTGGGGACCCTGAAAATGCAAATATTTGGTTGTTTAATGGTGGTCCATTCGCCACATAGGCTTTGTTTATTCTTTTTTCTTTATTTTTGCCAGACTGCATTTTTTGTGAAGACCTGTCTTCTAGTTCTGAACTTTTTTCTTCTTGCTTGGTCTAGTCTACTGTTGAAGGTTTCAAATGTATTTTGTATTTCATTAAATGAATTCTTCCATTCCATAATTTCTCTTTGCTAATTTGTATGATAGCTATCTCTTTGGTAAATTTATCATTAATATCCTGAATTGTTTTCTTGATTTCTTTGTATTATTTTTATGTATTCTCTTGTATATCACTGAGCTTCTTTAGAATCAATAATTTGAATTATTTATCCAAGACTTCGTAAATTTCATTTTGATTGGGGTCTCTTGCTGGGTAATTAGTCAATCATTTGGAAGTGTCATATTTCCTTGCTTTATAAATGTTTATTGTGTCCTTGTGTCAATATCTTTGCATCTTGTTAAACAGTCACTTATTTCCATTTTTAAAATTTGCTTTCACATGGGAAGACTTTTTCCTGAAGAAGTATCTATGATGTTGGTTGAGTAGAGAACTTTGGCTTTAATTCTGGCTGTGTGTAGTAGTGCAGTCTTTGTATGATTCCTTTGGCTGTAAACCGTGTCAGCAGTGTACGTGATTTCTTCAGTAGCTTAGAGTGTAATTGTTAGTGGAGGCTGTGGTGAAGTTTCACTGGAGATGGGATGCCAGTTGGGCCTGACCTTGGGCCCCAGTAGTGGCAGTGGTGGGCCAAGCATGCCTGTCCCATGCCTTGGGCCCCAGGGAGTTCTACACTTGCACTGGTGTTAGCAGATCCAAGAGGCCTGATTCTTGGGCTTCCAGGTGGCTTGCTCAGGAGCCAGTGGTGGCAGCAGTGGGCCAAGTGGATTGGGGGCTTCTCAGTCCCCTGAACAGTAGGCATGGCATGAGCATTGGAAGTAGCAGTGGTGAGACTAACCCCTCAGTTCCAAGCATCATAGAGGTGGCTACAACAGGCTAGGTGGGCCAGTCTCCAGGCTCACAGGTGGCATGTATAGGTGGGTGCCAGCTGTGATGGCAGCATCAGTTTGAGTGGGCCTGACCTCAGGTGCTTGAGATGAGTACTCAGTTCCCAATAGTAGTGGACTGGACTGGGCTATCCTCAGGCCCCCAGATGGTGTGTTGAGGCACTGGAAGGTGTGGAACTGGGCCTGTTGGATCTGCAGCCCTGCTACTGTGGAGGGTATTGTTGCTTTCAGTGGCAGCAGCTGTATACGGGTGGCTGGGGAGCATGCACTTCACTTGTGCTTTGGTCATGGCTGCAGCAGCCCTCCATGGAAGCTGCTGCAGGTGGGGGGTTTTGTCCTTAGGGTGCATGAACTTGCATGGTGGGTTTGTTCCTGGGGGCAGTGCAGTCTTTGCTGATGGTTCATACTTCATCCCTGGAGGCAACAGCCAGCCACAGTTGTGGCTGCAGGCAGAGAATGTCAATGGGGCTCCAGAGTTATGGGGATACAAGGACTATTGAGCCCCCAGGTAGTATGCAGTCTGGTGGGGGCTGGGCTCTCAATATGGTGCCTTGCTGTAGCTGGGTAGGGGGTTAGGGGATGTGTGGGACCCAGCATGAGCTCCCTGTATGGAGCAATGTCTTCATGTGATCTCCAGACAGCTCCCTGTCTTAGTCTCAGGGTCTGCCAGGGTTTAGGGGCTTTCTGGTGGCTAGGATACAGGAGTCCAAGGTGGGAATGTGGACTGCTAGCCATCACTCACTTACCTTTCTTTTCGCTGGAGAGATAGCCTCTCCAGGATTCCAGCCAATCCATGCCTTGATTCTCTCTCCTTCCTTGCTTTAGGTGTTTCCTCTTACTTCTCTGTTGAATTCTAGTGTTGGATAATCTATTTGAAATGTGATTATCTACTTGCTATTTTGGTTCTTTTTTGTGGAGGAGGTGAGTGCCAGATGCCTATAGTTAGCCATCTTGAAGCCCCTCCCACTGAGGAAATATGTCTTTACATGACCACAAATACTTCATGGCCATGGTCCTTAGGTCCTTAATTTTTCTTTGCATCGGAAATCTGTATGAAAATCTTGTGGATGCTGGAGAGGATGCTGGAGACTTTCCTTGGAACAAAGTTCCTGTGCACACACACAGCCCTTTCAGCGACTCTTAGATCTCTGTGAAACAACCCAAGGAGCCCAGGTTCATTGGATCTTTATTTTTAAAAATGGTAATGAATTCATCTCTGACCTCTTAAAGGTTGTATTTTAATTTTTAAAATTCTGCAAATGGTAAAATGGAAGAATATGACCAAGGGAGAACAGATTATGGAATCTCAGGAGTATTAACTTAGCATTTTCCTTATTTTTTTTTCACAAATGTAATTGTTAATCCTCAGGAAGACATATCCTCTCCTTTTCCCCTAGCCTTATATTGTATAATTTACCCTGAACCATGGAATGGATCCAGAAAACTAATACAATGAAAGTTTTCTGGATGCCCTTATTTTGTATATGCATTTTGCAATGTTCTTCGCTGTTACATAGAAAAGGAAGGCATGTATATTATACATATTTCAGACGACAAAACAATTAATCTAATTGGAAATATTCTGAGTGACTGGTAGTTGCAAATAAAGACTGAAGTATTTTATTCGTTGAGAAATAAATGAATACATACTATGCAGCATATCTCATTTGTAGGAAAACAAAGTGCACAAAAATCTTAAGTTATAAAATTATTGCAAAACAAATATAAACTGCCTGAAAACAATGCCCTTTGAAAGGAGTGGTTATATACATTGGACACATAAGAAAAACAAAACAAAATCAAAACCCAAAACCAAGCAAAAACAAAACTCAAAACCAAAATGCGATAGTCTGTTATATATGGGAACAGAAACAGGCTATGTTCTTATGTTTGTTACTTGGCAATTTATTGTTAGTGACTTGGAATTTGGAAGATTTCATTCTACTGATACTACATTACAAATAGTGAATGATTCCACAAATGGTTACTAATTATTAGTATTATTTTTGAATTCCTCAGTGTTATTTACAACATTGTTTGGTGTCCTATGTAGCATCTTTTTTTCCCTTAGGGTTAGAGGGGAAGGGTATTTAAGAGTAGAGGAGGACAAGGAAATACAGAAAATTAACATAGTCACCAACAACTCAGTTTTCTATGTGTGTATTAAAAATTACTGCTTTACATGTTACTAAAACTAAGTATCTTAAAATGATCAGATGTCATTTCTCAGGGATTCTAAAATGAGCAACAAAGAAAAATTTACAAGGCAGGCTATTTCTCAACCAAGGACTTCCTGTTAGATTTTCAAATTATCTGATAATTTTGTCAGTAATTTTTATTAACTGTGTAAGTTCCAATTTCCTCATGTGTTATGCCTTCAGAGAAAAAGCAGTCCTGGTGCCTTAGACTTCTGTGTCTCCATTGAAAGCAGTGAAGTCACTAGTTAATTAACCTTACTGCTCTCTTTCAGATCCCCATTTCTGCACTTGTCTCATTTGTGGAGGCCCTGGAAGTGGGATACAGCAAGCACAAAAATCCTTACCATAACTTAATGCACGCTGCCGATGTTACACAGACAGTGCATTACCTCCTCTATAAGACAGGAGTGGCGGTAAGTAGGGATAGGAACTCTTAGGTTCCCCAAAAGATGTAAGGATGAGTTTTTAATGGTGACTGTTCCAATTCTGATGAGGTGGAGGCCACGAGTCATGCATTGTTTTATGGACTTCCTGTTTCCCAGGAGTAATCTAACCAATATGGAAAGTCTTGGAGTTCTCCGTTGCCTCTGAAATTTTCTCCATCCTGAGCCTGATGAGATAAATACCTAGTAGTGATTTGCGTCTTCACTGGGTTATAACCAATTTAAATATAAAGACTACAACTAAATATGTATTTCTAGATATGGAGAGTGGTACTGTTAACCTTTTGCTATGGTCAATAACAATGATATTCATGTATACTGAAATTGTATTCAATGTACTTGGCAACCGTGTTACGCAAAGTTAGCTTTTGGTTTAAGCCACTAAGTCTTTTTCACAGGGACTATAGTTATTCACATCCTATTTGTATGCCTTTCATTATTTTAACCTAATGGTAAATCTTTACTTCTAACCATTTGAAATGTTCCTTGCTTCTTTTGGCCCAACATTTTAGCGCTTTAGATGTTTTTGGTTTTGCTTTAAAAATTTTTTTTTAAGACATGGAAATCTCAGTCTATCACCCAGGCTGGAGTGCAATGGTGAGATCATAGCTCACTGCAGCCTCGAACTCCTGGGCTCAAGTGGTCCTGCTATCACAGGCTGCTGAGTAGCTGGGACTATGGGCGTGCACCATCTTCAGTTGTTTTTGAATCTGTGTTCTGTGTTTACTGACCTGCTCAACTTGGTTGTCTTTGCTTTTTTCTTTTTTTCCTTGATGTAAGCCATTCATTTAAAAAGATATAGCCATTAAAGGCAAAAACAGGTCTGTATGAATTTTTACTTCGAAATCTCCTTTAGAATTGGCATTAAGATAGACATACTTTGGGTATAGTTATCAATTATCCCATAAATCCAGGGCACATTTGTTATCTTTTCCTCCAGTGACTGTTGAAAGACTTGGCCTAATATCTCACTGAATTAAAAATGGAATATGTGGGAGGATTGTGGGCTTTGGAGCTAGATACAGTGGCTATAAATCCCTGCCTAATTGCTTACTAGATATTGTGACCTATGATAAATTACTTGAGTCTCTGAGCGAAAACTTCCTCATTTTTTTAAAATGGTGAAAAATATTCCACTTTGTAGAAGTGCTCTGATGGTTAGAATAAAGTATCAAAAATATTAAGTACTCTGCCTCATAAAGGAAGCTCAACAATTAGGCATTATTGTTAAAACGTTGCAGAATTTTTGTAAAACCTATGATCATTTTTTCAGTTCTTCCTTATTATAAAGCTGATTTCTTAAAAATAGTATTTAAAACACTATCTTTAAAGTTATAACAAGATTATAAAGGGAACATTTTTAACTCAATAAAAGATTTTTACCAAACATTTAGAGCAAGCATCATATTGAATGATGGTTCCGTGAATACATGGAGCAAGACAGGGATACCCACATTAATATTCCTACTTGGCATTTTTCTGGAAGTCTCAGCCTCAAGAATGCAGTATGCAATATGATATCTTCAAAAGTTGAAGATATATTCTGTGAAATAATGTGATCATCTCCTTTAGAAAATAAAGCCCTTTTAGATCAAATAAAATACCTCGATAGGTCTAGACAAAAGAGCTCTCCTATGCACTGGAAATTAACGAGTGTAATAGAAAAATGTACATTCCCAGCAGTTTTTAAAAAGTATATAAATCACCTATAAAGAGCCTCAAAAACAATAAAAAGGAAACTAAAATTAAATCAAAGGGCACAAAAATGATCTTTAAATAAATGGAAAAGGCATCATGTTTTTAATGTGAGTGAAACCTCAGTACTATATAGATGTCAGTTTCCCTCAAAGTAATCTATAAATTCAAAGCAATACTATTCAAAGTTTCAAGGATTTTAATATGAAACATGATAATCTGAATCTGAAATTCATGTAAAATAGGTATTTCACAACCTTAGAAAAGACAATTTTGTAAAAGAACAATCTAATAGGGAATAGTTCTTACTCTCTTAGATATTACAATACATACTGAAGCTGAGCATGTGCTGCTTGTGAAAAAATAGGCAAATATATCAATAGAATTGATTAGAGTTTCAAAAAATAAACCCAAATGTGTATTGAGAACTTATATGCTGGGTCCTTTATTATGGGATACTATAGACTGAATGTTTGTGTTCTCCCAAATTCCTCTGCTGAAATCCTAACTTCCAATGTGATGGTATTAGGTAGTGGGGCCTAGGGGAGGTGACCAGGTCATGAGCATGGAGCTGTCGTGAATGGGATTAGTGCCTTTATAAAAATGAGTTCCCTTCCCTCTTCTGCCATGTGAGGACACAGTCATCTATAAATCCAGAAGCAGGCCCTCACCAGATGCCAAATCTACCAGCGCCTTGATCTTAAGCTTCCTAGCCTCCAGAACTGTGAGAAATAAATTTCTGTTGTTTATAAGTCACCCGGCCTATGGCATTCAGTATCTTAAGCTTCCTAGCCTCCAGAACTGTGAGAAATAAATTTCTGTTGTTTATAAGTCACCCAGCCTATAGCATTCAGTTACAGCTACCCAAATGGACTAAGATAATGGACAAGTTAAGAGGGTATCAGTACTCTTGTAGAACTTAACATTCTGGTGTGAAGTTACAGATAGAAGAGACCAATGGGAAGCAATCAAGAAAATGTTATTAATACTCTGTAGAGAATTAAAATAGAGGACCTACCCAGGGAAAGCTGGGTGTTTTATTACATAGTCAGGAAAGGACTCTCTCTGGAGATAGTATTTAAGCTGAGATAATTGTGTTTTTTGGCTTCAGCCATGCTAAGAGTGAAAGAAGAGTGTGACCACAGAGTTAGTGCAGGGTTTTAGTACAAGAGTCCTGTAAGAGAATAACTTTGCTACATTCAAGGAGCAGAAGTAAGGCAAGCCTAGTGGGAACAGCACATGATGGGGACAGTGGTGCATTATGAGGCTGAGGAAGAAGCAGGAGCTAGATCAGGTCTGGCTTTACAGGCCACGCTAATGAGTTCCAATTTTATCCTAAGTGCAGTCAGTAGGAAGCCACTACAGGGTTTTAGACAGGGAAGTGATGTGACCTGATAAAGATTCAAAAAGGATTACTGTGGTGAATGGATTTTAAGGCAGCCTGCTAGGAAAATTCTGCAGAAGTCTAGTGAAGAGATGCTGATAGTTTGGACTAGGAAGGATGCTGCTGGGATGGAGAGAAGAAAGTGCTGTTTCTGAGACAGAGTTCAAAGGACTGCTGTGGTGAATAGGATTTGGAACATTAAAGAGGGGAATCGAGAATACATCTTAGATTCTTGGTTTGATAAACAGTTGACAAGAATGCCTGGTGGCAAACCAAGTTTTGGAGGAAAGGGGATCAAGAATTCTGATTTAGACATGTAGAGTTTAAGATCCGTAGTAGACATCCATTTACAGAGGCCAAGCAGAAAGAAAAAGGGTGCTAGAGTTCCAGGGGAGATCAGGGATAAACATGTAGATTAGGTAGTCTTGGACATATCAATAGTATAAGAAGACATGGAACTAGATGAGATTATCTAAAGACAGAGTGAATAGATAGTTAGAAGGGGCTCTGAAGTGAGTCCTGGAACACTCCAAAGATCAAAATGAAGGCAAAGAATTAGAGCCAACAATAGAAACTAAAAAAGAGTGGCCAGTGACATGGGGTATAAACCAAGGGAGTTTGGGGCCATGGAAGCCATGGAAAGAGAATGCTTCAAGAAGAGAGTGGTGCATTGCATGGGACATGCCGATGGTCAAGTAAGATAAGGACAGAGAAATGACCATTCACTCTGGCAACATGGAAGTCATTGTTGACCTTGACATGAGTCATCTCAGTGGTTTGGTGAGAATGGAACACTGACTAGAGTATAATGAAGAAAAAAAATTGCAGGTGAGAACATGAAGACATGACTATAGACAACTTAATAGGGAAAATCACCCAGTTTAAAAAATGTTTTGGCTACAGTTATTTATTTAGAAAAAAGAGAATGCTTTCACTCTACTTCGAGTCATTCACCCCCAAAAAATCTGACAAATGAATTAAAGATGTAAGTACAAAAGTAAAAATTTGATCATATTAGAAGAAAAAATGAGAATATGTTTATGGCCTTGAAAAAAGACATTCTTTTTAAAATTAAGCTTTTAAACACAAAAGTTATACAACAAAATATTGATTAATTTGAATACATTAAAGTTAAAAGCTTTTGTAGGATAAAAAGCATCATAAACAAATTAATGAAGTAAGCATTTGGAGAAAATACATAGAGAACATAGATTAAGATCCAGATTGTATAAATGAATCAGGAAAATGACACAAATTCAGTCAAACAGTATGAGCAGGCAATTAACAGAAAAGGTAATACATTTAATCAATAAAAGAAATATGAAAAGATGCACCATTCATTAGTATCTAAGGATATATAAACTTATACAGTTTTAATCCATTATATACATATGGGTAAAAATGTTGAAAGTGTGATAATATTAACTGTTGGTTAGGATGTAGAGCAGGGTTTCTCAACCTCAGCACTATTGACGTTTGGGGCCAGATAATTCTTTGTTGCTTTTCTATGCATTGTAGTGTAGCAGTATGCCTGACCTGTAGTCACGAGATGCCAGTAGCACTACTCCCCACTCCAGTTATGACAACCAATAATGTCTCCAGACCTTGCCAAATAAACCACTGGTTGGAGGGGCAATTGTCCCAGGTTGAGAACCACTGATTGAGAAGAAATTATGTTCTCATATACTGCTCATCTGAGGGTAAATTGGTATAGTCATATAAGAAAACAATTTTGCAGTGATTACTATAAGGAAAAATATACATACCAATCCTCCAGCACTTCCAAGTGTACTCAGGGAGGCCTATACAATCAGGTTCATTGTAGCAATGTTTGCCATAGTGAACAATTACGGAGTATATACCTATCAATAGGGAGTTAGAACTCTGGAATACCATAGATTTCTATGACTAAAATTCAAGATGTATTATTCAGTTTAAAAAGTTGTAGAAAAATATGTTCTACATGATGTATATTATTAAACATAGCACATGTATATACACATAGATATATATGAAAGTATATTGAAAAACATCTAAAAAGATAAACAGTAAATTGAAGATAGTGGTTACCTCTGGGGAGATTCTCATCCTGAAGTAATGGCCAAAGGGAACTTTATATCTGTATTGTTTGAAGTTTTTGTTTGTTAACACTAGTGGGTCATCCCAGTAGTGGGATCATCTTATGGACCCTTATTGGGTCATCCTATCACTTAAACAGTTAAACATTGTTTAAATGTTATTTGTAAAATTACTTCTCTATGAGACCATTACTTAGGTAAAGTGAGCTGTGAACATTTTAGGATATTGGATATAACATTACAGGCTATTGTAACATTATATTATATCATATATCCTATGATATAACTTTATATTATTTATATTATTAAAGTTATAGGATATATAATATATTCTATATTATATAGGATATTGTGCCATTACTGTACATTGTACATTATTGTACCATTGGCTATATATATGGCCAATGTCCTATTTATTGAAACAAATAGGATAAATAAGTCTATAATACTGGGATTTATTGAAACAAACAGGATAAATAAGTCTCTAATACTGTGATCCTGACTCTCTCTCACTCTCTCTATATGTATATAGGCTGTTTACATATATATATAGTCTATATATAGTCAATAAATCATAAATGTACATAGTCAATAGTCAATATACATATAGTCTATATATATAGTATATATATATAGTCAATACATCATATATTATGATAGTTTCCCTATGTCATTATATATTTATTATAAGAAAATCTTAATAGTTCATTATTGGGTTATTCTATCACTTAAACAGTTAAAATTTTTTTTCACTACTGTAAATGATATTCTGGTTAGCCTCCTTGCATAGCAATATTTTCCCACTAAAGTTTCATATGTGTGTGTTTTTACTTTTTATTGTTAATACTAGTAAATTAAACATTTTCCTTATGTATTAACCACTTTTATTTTCTTTGGTTATAACATCTCCATTCCTGAGAACTTAATATTTTGCTGAGAAAATGTTTGAATTTCTCAGTATTCTTAATAAAAATGATTACCTAATGCCTAGCATACAGTAGAATATTAGTAAATGATAGTTATTATTATTACTAAACATAAGTAATCATGACTAGCAACACTTGTCATATATGTGAAATATTTCAAAACTTGTGATTGCCTTTTAATTGTATGACCTTATATATAGACTTTCTTAAAAATAACATAAGGTAACATATTAGTGGGAGAATGCATCTTCTTCACTCCTAAGGGTTTCATTCATTTGGAGTGTTTTCCTTAGGGTAGGCTGTATTTTGCTACAGGATCAAACAATCCCCAAATCTCAATGGTTTAGAAATAATATCTGCTTTTTTTCACTTCCCGTAACAGTAAGTTAAAGAATCTGCCTGTGTCATTCTCACTCCAAGGGCCTAGGTTTTCTAAACAGCCACCCTCCTGAGTGTTGTCAGGCATTATGGTAGAGAGAAAGGGGCTCTGGTTTTCCTATATCTGTATTTAAATTCTATGGCTCAGAAACTCTGCTCATCACTTCTGCTCACAACTCACTGGCCAAAATGACTCACACAGTCCCTCCCAACCATAAAGGGGCCAGAAAGTCTAATCCTACTATATGCTTGGAAAGAAGAAAGCCAAACACTCTCTGTTATTTATTTATTTCTCCCTGTCTGTTTTCTCTTCTGTCTGCTTCTGGCACTTCTCTTAGACCTTCTGAATGCATCTTCATACCTCTTAGCTTCTCCCATGTTTTCCAGTCTTTCGGTATTTTAATGATACCTCCTGAGAGATGTCCTCAACTCTTTCTTCCACATTATCAGTTTGGCCTTCCGATATGTCCTTCTAGTTATTCAACCTGTTTATTTAACATTTTTAGTTAGCAATATTTTTAATTTCAGGAACTCCTCTTTTTTTGCCCTTTGAATGTGCTATTGTCTTAGCAAACTTACATATTTATGAATGTACCTACACGTTTTGAAAACTTCCTTTAAAAGTCTTTTTAAAAACAGAATTATCTCTTTTAACTGATGGGGAATATGCTATTTGTTTATGAGAATCTTCTTACACTATTGGCTTTTTTCCCTCAAAATGTCTAGTGAAGTTTGGTTGTTGGAACATATTTGTAAGTGAATGTCCAGGTGGGTTAGATGGGTCAGGGGTGTGGGTGTCCTCTGTGTTTGTGTGGTCTGTCCAGAGAGACTTCTAGGGAGGGCATGGCAGCTCTTCATCAGCAACAGTCTTCTCAGTGTCCTTCCCACCTCTTTGACTGTAGCTCTTGTCCTTATGCTTGTAAAATGGCTGATGTACCTTTGCAAATCCAGGTAAGAAGATAAGGCAGAATACAAAGCACAAAAGTTGGAAACCAAATAAATCTGCCCACTTTTAAAGAGCTATCCAGAAATCCGAACCAGCAACTTTCACTTCTGTTTTATTGGCCAGAACTGTGTCTCATGGCCACTGCGATATATAGGGAAGTCTGACACACTGCCATCTCAAACAAAATCAGAGACATTGTTAGTAAGGAAAAAAAGGGCAGTTGGGCAATCAAAAGTGATTCCCATTACAAGTAATATTATTCTTATTTTAAGGAAGATAAATCTCTAATTCATAGAAATTAAAATTATTCTATTACAAAGTAGCTATATGGGCTAAATTGTATTTCTCATTGATTCATATATTGACATCCTAGTCCCCAGGACCTCAGAATGGGACTGTATTTGGAGAGATGGCCTTTGAAGAGGTATTAAGGTAAAATAAAGTTGTATGGATGGGCTCTAATCCATTATGACTGGTGTTCTTAGAGAAAGAGGAGATTAGAACACAGACATGCACTTGCAGGTAGAAGGGTCCATTGTGAGGATACAGAGAGAATATAGCTGTCTGCAAGGCAAGGAGAGAGGTCTCAGGAGAAAACAGTCCTGCTGACACCTTGATTTTGGACTTTTCTCCTCCAGAAACGTGAGAAAATAAATTTCCGTTGTTTAAGCCACGCAGCCCGTGTTATTTTGTTATGGCAGCCCGAGCAACTGAGTACAGTACGGGAGCCAGAATTCGGTCCCAGCTCTGACTTCAGAGGCCATGCATTTAAATATTAGGCATGCTTCTACAATATGCCTTTGGCAAAAAAAAAAAAAAAAAGCCTCTTATATTCTTACACCTCAGTATCCTCATGTGCACTTACTTCCACGTATTGTGATGAGGATGAAAATGGATGCAAAAATGCACTTTGAACTCATCTATTCAACACACCTATTGTGCAGAGTGTACTCTGGGGACATAAAAGTGAATCATGCACAGCTTCTTCAACTCTCACCAAAAACACCCAGCATTTATGCCAATACAAGTTATCATTAACATAAATGTTGTATCATAGCAGTGATCATGATTTACTGCATGCTTTCTTAAATGAGCTCATTTCTCATTTGCCGTTGAATTTCCGTGATCGATTCAGACCATATTTAGAATGATTCTTAAATATAGAAACTATTTCCTACCTACTCTCTCTTTGAAATGCAGCTCAAAACAAACTTCTTTCATTGTGAGCTTACAAAAACAGTGGGGAGCATTCTGATGAATGGAGAACATACTGTTACTCTAACCTTTCATTACAAACCAAGAGGGAGAAAACGCTTTAAATCATTTCAGTGTTATAAATTGTAAGACACGTAGAGAATCAAAACAACCCATTGATAAAGTGGTGTCTGGGCTTCAACATCAACAGTGATACTTTGTAAATGTAAAACATTGTAATCTGTTTGTATTACTCATTATTGTTTAACTTAAGTGCCTAGAAGATACTTGGATCCTTTCAGAATTATTTTGCTCATTTCCAAGAGAAAATCCTTAGACAGAAATAAATTGAAGAGCTATCTATTGATTGAATAGATGTTCATTAGATTCTAAGCTCTAGTGTACTTTTGATTTAGGTGAAAAGATTTCAAACTCCAAAGCTATCCCTTGGCCATTTTCCTTGCTTTTGTCAAGCAAGGTGCCAGTAATTTTCCCTTTGTCTTTTTTTTTTTTTTTTTCCAGAAAGGAGAAGCTGCATATCTTATTTTTATTTATTTTTTATTTATTATTTATTTTTTATTTTTTTATTTTTATTTTTTATTTATTTTATTTTTTATTTTTTTGGTCGTTTATGACATTACCATAATGTCATATTATTAACATATTAATACATAATATCAATGTATTAACAGGAAAGACTAAGGATATCAAAATTACATTTTGTTTGAAGAGTGCCAAATAATTTTATTGGGGTTGTTATTGGTAGACATTTGGCTCCTGCAACCTTTGTTCTCTGGTGTCACATGTGTTTATTAATATGTTACATTGGATTATAAAAGAGATTTTGCAGATGCAATTAAGGCTAACAATCAGAAGAATTTAAATAGGGAGATTAGCCTGGATTTTCCAGGTGGGCCCAATGTAATCACACAAGTTCATCAAAGTCAAGGAGATATGGCCAAAGTCAGAGGTTTGAAGTGTGAGAAGGACCCAACAGTCATTGCCAGCTTGAAGGTGAAGAGGGAAACTGTGGAAAAGGTTAGAAGGAAATGAATTCTGCCAATGCCCTGAATACTCTTGGGAGCAGATTTTCCCCCAGAGCCACCAGAAAGGAAACCTTTCCCAACCTTGATGTCAGCCTTGGGATACCCTGACCAGAGAACCCATCCACACTGGCCTGGGCTTCTGACTGGCAGAACTGCGTGCCAATAAACGGAAGTTTTTTTTTTTTTTTTTTTTTTAGACAGAGGGAGTCTCGCTCTGTCACCCAGGCTGGAGTGCAGTGGTGTGATCTCAGCTCACTGCAACCTCCGCCTCCTGGGTTCAAGTGATTCTCCTGCCTCAGCCTCCTGAGTAGCTGAGATTACAGGCACCCGCCAGCACACCCGGCTGATTTTTGTATTTTCAGTAGAGATGGGGTTTCACAATGTTTGCCAGTCTGGTCTTGAACTCCTGACCTCAGGTGATCCACCCACCTTGGCCTCCCAAAGTGCTGGGATTATAAGCATGAGGCACCTCGCCAGGCCCGGAAGTGTTCTTTAAGCCTCCAAGACTGAGCATTTGTTAAGGTAGCATGGAAAACTAACAGATTACTAAAGAAACTCTATCATTCACATAGAAAAGTCACAACTTGCTTGTAGTATCTCCTCTAACAATGAGAAATTGGCCATGTCCTTTCCCTTCAGGTTTCCTCTGCTCTGTTGTACCCCATGTCTCCTCATCTGCCCCTATATGCGGGAACAAGTGGCTTGCTTTCTTGAGTCATACACAGCAAAACTCAAGGTCCCCAATTACCACTTGTCAAAGCATCCTTTCAAATGAACTAGTTGTGACACTCATATTTTGTAGATAGGAAAATACTGATAGCATCTGTGACTTGTACCTTGCCACCAATTGGTAATTCTGGAATAAAATACCAGTGGGACTTTAATTTCTGACTTCTTATGGGTTGACATAAAACCTTCTGGGTTCACAGTAGTTAATTTGGAAGAGGCAAGGAAATCTGAGGTATATTAAAATAGGAAGTTCAATTTCCTCCAAAATAGCTTCTCCCACTTTCTCTGTTTCTGTTAATGATGCTATCTAATATCACCTGAGGGGTTTATTAGCCACTCAGTGAGGCTAGGAGTGTTGAGGTCATCTAACATATTGTTCTCCTTAACTGCAACCTCATCTGGTCCTCCTACCACTTCCAAAATTCAGATAATTGCTAAGTCATATGGCTTCTACCTCCACACTGTCTGTACATCCTATATGAACTTTTCAATCTAAAAATACAGCTTTTAGCCAGGCACAGTTGCTCACGCCTATAATCCCAGAATTTTGGGAGGCCCAGATTGGTGGATTGCTTGAGCTCAGAAGTTAGAGACCAGCCTGGGCGACATGGTGAGACTCCCATCTCTACTAAAAATACAAAAAAAAAAAAAAAAAAATAGCTGGGCATGGCAGTGGGTGCCTATGGTCCCAGCCCTTACTTGGGAGGCTGAGGTGGGAGGTTTGCTTGAGCCCTGGGGGCAGAGGTTGCAGTGAGCCAAGATTGCACCACTATACTCCAGCCCGGACAACAGAGTGAGACCCTGTTTAAAAAAAAACAAAAACAAAAACAAAACGAAAACAAAAAAACCCTGCTTTTTATCTCCCTTCTCTCCTCCTGTCCAAATATCCTTCCTGAAGTGGGGAGCTGATGGCATGACTCTCTTGCGTGTGAACTTCACTGCCTGCTGAATCTGGTTTACATTCCTCGCTCACTGTGTTTTCTAATGCCTGACCTCATAGGGCCTCAATCAGCCTTCTCTCCCGCTCCAGTCAAGGGCATCATTTTCTTACCTGAGGTGGACATGCTTTTGCTGCTGGGACTTGCTCATTTAGTTCATTCTTCTGAAAATGCCCACCTTCATTTCTTTCTCTGTCAAATTTTCAAGGCCCATCTTAAACATCTCTCCTCTGTGAAGCTGTTTCTCCCAGATACTACTTTTCTTTCTTCTTATCCCCAAAGCAGCATAACTGATTCTAAGCATGCATGGCGTTTGTTGAAAAACTAAGGTGGTAAAATGAGTTTTAAAGACAATGGTTTTGTTTTTTATTGTTGTTGTTGTTGAATGCCTGTTTAACCATTCATTGTTTTTGGTTTAATAGAAGTAGGTTATATCTAAGATAGGATTTTGTTCAATTATTTGGGTAAGGAGGGAAGCATCACTATGGTTGTAATGTGAGAACTGTAATTATACTGTTATTTAGATGCTTTCTGCTGCCTGGGCTGATGTTCTGTGACTAGGATTCGTTGAGATGTTACACTGTCTCCCATTCATAATCTTATTTTAAAAAGTGAAATTAACTTTACGTGACCTTAGAATAAGAGATATATGTGGGAGAGGAGGTAGAGGGAACCAGGGACAGATGGGTGGGGACAAAATATTGGGGAAGAAAAGAAAGACAATGCCAAAATGGAAAAAAAACTGCATATGTAATATATGTATGGATAATATCAAGAAAAATGTGCAATATAAATTTATGCCTATATAATTTTATGCAAAATTGAATAAACACATGAACAATGATCCAAAGAAAATACAATGTAAGATTATGAGTGAGAATTCTGCAGGCGTGGTGTGTGGCTTGTCAGATGACTGGCTGTGTGACCTTGAGTGAGTCCTGCACCTACCCCTGGCTTGTTTCCTTATCTGTCAAGTGGGGATAGCAACAGTACCTATGATTACAGAGCTGTGAGAGTTATATAAGTTTCTATATAAAAGCACCTAGCATAGTGCCTGCCACATGGGGGGCCCCCCGAGACAATGAAGAGGCTGATGAGGAGGCTCTTTGCTGCCTTTACAAGGGGTTTTGCAGCTTTGATTTTTCTTGCAATCTTTCCTTATCTTGCCCATCTTTTTTTCATCTCATTTTGTTGATTTTCATCTTAGTCTGTTTTCTCTTTGACTTTCTGTTCCGTGTACCTCAATTTGTGTTTTTGAGGTATATTATTGAAGATGCCAGAAAGCTTCCTGACATTTCATGCTGGATTCTGTTAGGAATCATTTTCAAAAGTATAGTGGTTTATTTTTTCATGAGTTATGTTTATGCTCACTCTGAAGTATTTTTCATAAGTTCTATGTCATTTGTTTATTTTCCCCTTACCAATTTTTAAAGAAGGCAATAATTCTCCAAAATTAGTAGTTAATTGAAAGATATGGCTTAAGTGGGAAATTAGAAACACTTAAATGTTCATTTTAACTCATTTTGCGTTAACTTAAATCATATGAATCTATTTTATGCACTGATCTTTAATTCAGACCACAGGGCTTTTATGAGTTCACCAGTTTGGATACTCACATTTGTCTTACATCAACCCTGCCCCTATCTAAGATTTCTAGTCTCATCTCTTTAAAGTTAAGTGGGAACTTAAAGATGTGCATGAAGCAAACTGAGTGCAGAAGCTCTCTAACTTTTCTATAAATGTGTTCTGCTCTTTCACAGTTGTCACACATATTTTGATAGCAGTTCTTTTAGTGACTGTCCAAAGCATTAAACTTAGGTTCTACAGAAATAACAACTCCAATTTTGTGTCCATATTTTATTGGTTTGTGTCATATTTAATTACATAATTATAATAACAAATACAATTTATTAAAATGTGGTTTAGAATAAATCATACTGAATCATGTAGGCATGAATTTAACTAGTAGCAAAAGTGAGCAAAGGATATGAGAAGGTGGCCTGAGTCAGGCATATTCTGTCGTGTGAGCATGGGGCAGGATGGTTTACAGAAGCGATAGGAAGTAAATCCACAGAGTCCGTTAAATGGAAGTCAGTTAAGGAAGCTTGAAACACAGCAGTAGTTTTCAAACTCTAGTGTGCATCAGAACTATCTAGATGGCTTGGTAAAGCACAGATTGCTGGGCCACAACCTAGCGTTTCTGATCCAGTGAGATTGGGGTGGGGCTGAAGAATTTGCCAGCATTTCTAACAAGCTCCCAGCTGACACCATCTGCATGTCCAAGGAACACATTTTGTGAACCACTGACCCACAGCCAATGTTGATGGTGTGGATGGGGAGAAGTCCTTTCAAACATCATCAGCATGCATAGAGCAGAAAGCCAGTATTTTTCCATCTGTCTCTACCCACTTCCTAGTGGATATCCTCCTATAATCAGACGTTAGGTTTTCTATTACTCTTCATTCTTGGTATTGCATTCAAATTTCTAATTTTTTTATGTGTGTGTGTGTGTGTGTGTGTGTGTGTGTGTGTGTGTCTACCTAGGAACTTTATTTGGAAGTTGGGGGAGGATGCAATGAGGGCTTTTCAAGTCTTCATGTTCATTCTCTTTGATTTCTTGAAAAAGATAAAACTACTACTTAGCTTATTCAACCTTGCTGAACACATTGTTAACAAATCACAAGTCTCCAAGTCTCTTCACAGGAAAATAACTTATTTCTGTCTCTCAGAAAACTTGTGTTTGGCAATAGCTTACCAGCTGCAGGGTAGAAAGGCAGCACTGTGGGTGTGTTGTCAGCAAGCTGAAGACTTTGAGAAAGAAACAGATTATCTGATTGCTCTGTAATCTCCTTTCAGAACTGGCTGACGGAGCTGGAGATCTTTGCTATAATCTTCTCAGCTGCCATCCATGACTACGAGCATACCGGAACCACCAACAATTTCCACATTCAGACTCGGTGAGGGTGTTTAAATGTTTGGAAGAGAGGCAAGAGGGGTCAGAGAGACAGTTTTAGAAATCAGAAAGGTGTTAGTCACCTTTCTTTTGCATAGGTTTCCTATTTTGAATTTCTGAAACAATGAACCTCTAAATGAGAGATCAGTCTGATCAGCTTCAATCAAGACTTAGAGTTTAAGAAGCCATCTGCTCCTAATTCTCCTATTTTGTTCAGATCTCATATAGATATCTTTTTCTTCTCTATTCTAATGTTCGCTATTTGTTTATGTATGTTCTGTACATACTTGACCTACTTCTAACAGGAAATGGGGCAGTTTACGTAAAGGCCCAGATGACACATAAAGGAAAAGAATAAGGACAGTGAGGATTAGAGTGTTTTTGTTGACATTAACAACATTGACCAATCTTACCCTCTGATCTCTGAGATTCTGATGAGATCTCTTCTCATCCTCTCTGATTTCGTATCTGCTCTGTTTAGTGCTTGCACCACTCCCTGGCACAGGGCCCCGGGAGTAAGTTTGTCTCCTGTAGGCTACTTTCACCGTGAGCAACCTGTGCATCCTTCCTAATGGACTGCACAGGTAATCACAAACCTCCCGTCGGAGACATTAAATATGGGTCCAAGTGCCCCACTCGGAACCTCCTGACCTGTAACAGATACTGTTAGTTGATTTTGGTACTTTTTCTTACTAAACTGTGGGTTTATTCTGAGTATTCCTCTCAGCACAGAATTCCAGGCAATAGCACCAGTCAATTGTCATTTCTACTTAGGATAAAACTTTCCTTGCCCTCTCCTAGCCTAAGAACTTGCCCTCTCTTAAGACAATGATGTGGAACTGGAGAGAGTCTGACAGTAGAGTTAGTTCATTATCCTTGACATAGTAATCAAAAGGAGCTAGGGTATGGGGAAAGGTGGTAAGTCAAAGAGAAAGAATGTAGCAGGGAGGGATGAGAGTTTAACACCAAATAAATACTTGCTGATTTCACTTGAAAAAGCAGGTGCACACTCTAGATAGGTTTGTGTTCATTAAATCAATCTACATGTATTTAATGAACTCAACACTTGATTACAGTATACACAAAAGAAGACAATATTGTCTGATCTCTGTTCAGAAGGAGAATTTTAATTGAATGGAAGCAGACAAAAGAACTTCAGCTACTTGCTTCAGTTCCACCTTCTTGCCTCCTCACTTAGTCTCAGCCACAGAAAAGCAGCTTTTTGTGGTTGTGTTCCAAGGGAACAGAATTCCCTTTAATACAGGGAATTCCATAGAGTAGCACTGTTTAATGTATGTCTGTGGGTGGAACCTTTGCTCTGAGGACAGAGACCATGGTGAATATCACCTGCCCAAGGAAGAGAGGTGGGTTGAACATATGTGGGTCTTGCCTGGAGACGAGGATCAAAACCAGTCCCAACACAGAGGAGAATGGCTTTATTACAGGAGGTGGAAAAGTGTCACGAAATATACATCAGTTGGTATCTAACTTACTCAACAGATGTAACAGCAGATCTTTCACCTCGGGATTTGAATGTTCTGCGTTATCTCCATAGGAGTGGGAAAATTCCAATGTGTTCAGTTAAGCTTGGTTTGGAATGAAATTTAAACATTGGCCCTGTTCAACAGAACTTTATCCAAAGCCTCTCAGCCTGTGTGATCCCTGTTCAGAAAACAAAGTCTGTGACCAGGCCCTTAATCCTTTGATGAATAAAATTTTAAGCCTAACAGTTTCAAGGTATGATAGATACAGCCCAAAGTTTGGCCAATGGCAGGTGGAAGTTATCTTGGGGAAGCACTGGCCCAACTGTCAGAAGATCTTGCCTTCATCCCAGCCCTGCCACTTGGCCACCAAAGGGCTCTAACAAGTTTTTTTAAGTCTCTGAAACTCAGCTTCCTTGGTGAGAAACAAATAATCTAAGCTTTCATTAAATTTAAGATCTTAAAATATTATACAGTCGTGTGTTTAGTGACATTCAGCTATAGTATGGTCTTTGAGATAGGAACTAAAAACTGACATTATAATCTTTATATTCTTTATTCTCAATTTTCCACATGTGGCTTTTGCATGGAAAAATGTTGAGATCAAGCCACTATCAGAGGCAGCTTACAGATAGTACCCACCAGGTGATATGTGTTCTGAAAATTACAACTAAAATAAATAAACCAGTGCATTCATTGAATAAAATAAAAATAAAAATAAATGTCATTCCAGAAAATATAAAGAAGTTTGACATGACCCATATTTTTAAAAAAACACCTTTGCAACTAATATAGGTAATTGAGATCTGGTTGTAAAACAGTTTTGAGAGAGTTCTCAGGCTGGATGTCACATATTTCCTGCCCACACATGTACTGATATAACATACCCTACATTCATCTATTGATGATTTGTAGTGTTAGTTGAGCTTTTGGTTCATATAACTGGCATGGGGACAAAGATAATTTCTAAACATGGAAAAAAGTGGTGGTGCGTTCTAGCCTGTTAGAATTACCCAAGTAAATCACAACTGTTTAACATTCTGAATTTTGCTTGGCTTTCTGTTCAGGTCTGATCCAGCTATTCTGTATAATGACAGATCTGTACTGGAGAATCACCATTTAAGTGCAGCTTATCGCCTTCTGCAAGATGACGAGGAAATGAATATTTTGATTAACCTCTCAAAGGATGACTGGAGGTAAGGATGAGAAAAGAGAGAGATTTGTAGGCCAGGGAAGGAACTTTGAAGTTGGATGAAGTATGCTGTTTTTGAGAAAAGAACACCTTGCTTAAAATGTTGATTCGTGTTGCTTTCTCTCTCTTTCTTTCTCTCACTCTCACCCTCTCTTTGTGTATGTATGTATGTCTTATTTCTCTTTTTTCTTTATACAGATATTCAAATATTTATAAATAAAGGCTATGGAATGTTATGATTAAGTTCCAACTACTTTATTTTGCCATCTTTACATTGCTTTTTATTGATGAATTGGGAAGTGAAACCAGTTTGAGTCAAATAATTCAATATTGTCCTAAAAATTCTCAAAGAAGAAAGTTTGAAAAATCACTTCTAACAGTGTTCAACTGAGGACACTTTGGATATATTTGCTTTTTTTTTTAACCTTAGGAAACTTGTGTTGCTTTTATCTGAATTCCTTAAATCTGAATTTTATCTTTTATTTAATAACATGTGTTTTTCACCCTATATTTGATTTGGACTTCTTATCAATCTTTTGACATTTTCTAAGGAAATTATTGGACACTTAAAAAAATTATGTACACTTAATTCTGTTGCATGAATGACAGAAATTGTGTGTTTGGATTTAGGCACATACCTGTGTTTTGAATATGGACTCAGTCACTTACTAGCTGTATGACATTCGGGAAGTGACTCAATATCTTTACATCTTTAAAATTTTAATTTCTTGAAAATAGATAGTAACATTTATTCTGCAGTTGGGATAGATTATGATAAATGACATAATCATTTTAAAATGCTTAGCACACTTTGTCTCATATATAGCAAGCCAATAAATCATCGTAGCTATAAATATAGGTTAAGGTACTTCAAACCCTGCAGGCAGAGATCATCTAAATCCTTACAAAACTCTGAATCCGTTGTGACTCAAATAGTCCTCATATTTTAATTAAATAATCAGCTGTTTATTGGGTATTTGTGTGCTCACCATCTTTCAAGGATTTAGAGAAATGAACTTTACTGAACAATCTGAGAGGCTGATTTTTATTAAGAGTGGCTAAGAGTTTCCATGTAGCTTTAGTTTATTAAAACATATGGGAATATTTGACTTAAATTTTATTGGAATATGCTAGACTCAGCCAGCATCTGAAAAATGCAGAGCAATTCAATTAATCATTGCACCACTTCAGGAAAAAAGGAACCCTCTATCCAATTTTACTATTGGTAAAAGTTATAATAAAAGGTTTGATTACAAAAATTTTCCCCCATTATGTAGGTTGCCCATTCACTCTGATGATAGTTTCTTTTGCTGTGCAGGAGCTCTTTAGTTTAATTACATCCCATTTGTCAATTCTGGCTGTTGTTGCCATTGCTTTTGGTGTTTTAGTCAAGAAGTCTTTGCCCATACCTATATCCTGAATGCTATTGCCTAGGTTTTCTTCTAGGGTTTTTATGGTTTTAGGTCTTACTTTAAGTCTTTAATCCATCTTGAGTTAATTTTTGTATAAGGTATAAGGAAGGGGTCCAGTTTCAGTTTTTTGCATATGGCTAGCCAGTTTTCCCAACACCATTTATTATATAGGGAATCCTTTCCCCATAGCTTGTTTTTGTCAGGCTTTTCAAAGATCAGATGGTTGTATATGTGTGCTATTATTTCTGAGGCCTCTGTTCTATTCCATTGGACAGAACAGAGCCTGGGTGACAGAGCGAGACTCCGTCTCAAAAAAAAAAAAAAAAGAAAAAAAAAGAAAAGTAAAAGTATGTATAACAGAAGTAGCATACGTATGTTTGGAAAATATGTTAAGAGGCAATTATGCAAGCTTTAGAACACTTTACTAGATTGTCAGGAAGCCAGGATTATACACGATCTAAATATCTAAATAAGCCCTCACACAAATCCTTCAAAACCATGATGTATCTGAATATGTGTGAAGCTGTTCTCTGCCATATTCAAACCTTTTATTATTATTATTATTTTGAGACAGAGTCTCACTCTGTCACCTAGACTGGAGTGCAGTGGCATGATCTTGGCTCACTGCAACCTTCGCTTCCCAAATTCAAGCGATTCTCCTGCCTCAGTCTCACAAGTAGCTGGGACTACAGGCATGCACTACCAGGCCCAGCTAATTTTTTTGTATTTTTAATAGAGACAGTGTTTCACCATTTTGGTCAGGCTGGTCTCGAACTCCTTACCTCAAATGACCCACTAGCCTTGGCCTCCCAAAGTGCTGGGATTACAGGCATGAGCCACTGTGCCTGGCCACCTTTTATTATTTTTTTCAAACCTTTTTAAAAATTTTTTTTATTATATTTTAAGTTCTGGGATACGTGTGCAGAAAGTGCAGGTTTATACATGTGCCATGGTGGTTTGCTGCACCCATCAACCCATCGTCTACATTAGGTATTTCTCCTAATGCTATGCCTTCCCTAGCCCCTGACCCCCTGACAAGCCCCAGTGTGTGATGTTTCCCTCCTTGTGTCCAGTGATATCTGATGTATTGCTTACTGAACCTATACAGAGTTTGTATTTTGAGTATAAACAAGTTAATTGCCTGCTAAAACAAAACATCAACAATCTTCAGAGCAATATAACAGAACCCAGATTCCCTACAACTTATATCCATAATGTTCAGGATACAATCTAAGTGACATATAAAGATCAGGAAAATGTGATTTCTTAGTAAGGGAAAAGACAATCAATAGATACACACTCTAGGATAAGCCATTGTTAGAATTATCAGATGAGGACTTTGGACTTTTAAAACAACTATTATTTCTATGCTCAGTGAGGTAATGAAAAATGTGCTTGTGTATAAAATTATTTTCAGGTAATAGAAAACAACAGGAGTGTGTCACTAATGGAGCTGTGTTATAAGGGATGCTAAAGAAATTTCTTTAGAACTTTCTTTAAGGTAGTTTCAAAAATATTATTTTGTTATAAGGTTTATGAGTAAAATGAAAACATAAATTAAAAACAAAGTTTAGAACTGAAAAATAAAATGTCTACATTTAGAATTTGCTACATAGGCTTAGTGCATGATAGAGAAGACAGAAGAAGGAAACAGTGACTTTTAAAAATTCATTTTTCAGGTTTCAAAGTTGGAAATTATTTGATTTGAAAAAGTAAGAGGAAAAAGCTGTTTTAAATGAGTAGAAGTTAGGGACATGTGGGATAATTTTATATGAGCCAACATAAGGGCAATTTGAGTCTCAGAAGGAGAGAAAAGAGAGAGAATGGGAAAGAAAAAGAATTTGAAGAAATAATGACTGAACAGTTTCCAAATATTGCCAAACATATAAATATACAGATTCAAGAAACTCAGCAAACCTAAAACAGGTTAAATTCGATGAAAAGAACACTGAGGCACATATTATAGTCAAACTGCTGAGAGGCAAAGATAAAATAAAGAAAAATGACAAATTACACTTAGGAGAACAAGTTGAATCACAGTAGACTATTCATCAGAAACTATAGAGGCCAGAAAACAATAGAATAATTTATTTAAAGTGCTAAAAAGAAAACAAAAAGCCAACACAGGATGCTACATCCTGTGAACATGAACTTCAAGAATGAAGATGAAATAAAATTATTTTCAGATAATAGAAAACAACAGGAATGTGTCACTAATGGAGCTGCGTTACAAGGGATGCTAAAGAAATTTCTTTAGAGCTTTCTTTAAGGTAGTTTCAAAAATATTATTTTGTTATTTTATATTTTATTAATTTTTAGATTAATAAATCTAAATATTTATTGGAAGGAAAATGATATGATAGTGAAATCAGACTTTTAGAAAAGAATAAACTGATAAATATCTGGGTAAATGTAAAATACCATTTTTCTTCACTTATTTAAATTGTGCATTTGACCATTTGAAGCAAAAATTACAACACCATCTCATGAGGTTTGTATGTAGAGAGGTGTAATACATGTGACAATGATAACATAAAGACCAGTTAATGTTAGTAAATGGACCTATACTGTTGCAGGATTTTTAAATGTTACATAAAGTTATACAGTAGACAGAAAATTAAAGATGTATGTTGTAATCCCCAAGCAACCACTAAAAAGATTAACCATAATAGCTAAAGATTGTTAAAGTTTACCTATTTATCAAAAGATAAATTTAAATTGACCATTTAGCAGTAGATAAATTAAAATTGATTTAAAAAATAAATAATACAAAAAATATCTCAAGCAGAAAAGTTAATGCAAAGGGAAAAAAGCAAAGGTGATAATTAGAAAACAAATAATAACATGCTAGACCCAAATGCAACTATATTAATAATTACATTAAATGTTAAAGGACTAAACATTCTACTTAAAAGGAAAAGGTTATTAGAATTGATAAAAAGGCAAGCTCCAACTGCAATTGTACAAGAGATACACTTTAAATATAAATACACAAAAAGGTTCAAAGTAAAAGTATGTAAGATGTACCAAACAGTAAGAATAAGTAGAATGCAGTGGTGTTATTAATATTAGCTAAAATGAACTGCAAGAAAAAGGATATTGTGAAAGAGAAAGGAGATTTTCTGATAATAAGAGTGTCATCAGAAAGATACATCAGTCATAAATAACTATTAGGTAACTGTAGACTTCCAAAACATAAAATGTAAAAATTGATAGGAGAAAAAGGAGAAATATATATTTTCACAATCATAGGAGGTTTTAAGATTCTTGCGTCAGCAGTTGATAGACAAACTGGACAAAAATATCACTAAGGACCTAAGAGGATTTGAACAACATCAGCCACTTTGCCTTAATTAATATTTATAGAACACCATGCAACAACTGCAATATACATATTCTTTTCAAGTACACATGCTGAGACATTTTAAAATAAGTTTTAATAATTTTAAAATATCATAAGCTTAAAGAGTATGTTCTTTGACCTTAATGGATTTAAATTAGAGATCAATAAGATATCTAGGAAAATCCTGTATATTTGAAAATTAAACAACATTCTTCTAAATCATTTGTGGATCAAAAAGTAATCAGAGGAAAGTAGGAAACATTTCAAATTTATCAAGAATGAAAATGCAATATATTAAAAATGTGTGCAATACTATTAAAACAGTGCCTAGAGGAAATTTACAGCTATAAATGTTCATAGTAGGAAAGAAAAAAGTTCCAAACACAATGACTTCAGGAAGCTAGACCAAAACAGTAATGTAAATTCAAAGTAGATAGAAGAAATTAGTAATGATAAGAGGAAAAATCAATAAAATAGAAAAAATAAAAAGAAAAAATTAAGAAAGCTCAAGCTGTTATTTGAAAAGAGCAACATGATTGACAACCTTCTACCTAGACTGGTCAATAAAAAGGAGAGAACACAAAGTACCAACAGTATATCCTATACATATGAAATACATAAGAAAATGTTACAAACAACTTTATCTCAATAAATTTGACAACTTTGATGAAGTGGATAAATTCCTTGCAAAATACAACTTACCAAAATTCACACAAGATGAAACAGAAAGTCTGAACAATCCTATGTCTGTTAAAAAATTGACTTTGTCATCAAAAATATTCCCACAAAGAAATATCCAGCCTTGGATAGTTTAACTGGTGAATTCTATCAATATGTAAAGAACAGATAATACCAATCTTATGCAAATGTATTTAGAGAAGGAAGAAATACTGTGCAATTTGTTTTATAAGACATAATTTTGATACCACACTCTGGAAAAAAATTCATAAAAAGGAATGTTAAAGACTAATGTATTTTATGAACATAGCTATAACAATTCTCAGTAAAATATTAACTAATTAAATGTAACAATATACTAAAAAGGTAATATATCATGTGTGATAGTTAATTTTATGTATCAACTCGCCTGGGCCTCAGTGTGTGCTGATATTTGGTCAAGCATTATTCTGTTGTTTCTGTGAGGGTGTTTTTGGATGAGATTAACATATAAGAGGGTAGACTGAGTAAAGCAGATTGCCCTTCCTAACATGAGTTGACCTCATTCAACCAGTTGAAGGCCTAACTAGAACAAAAAGGCTGACCACCTCCCAAGTAAGAGAGAATTCTTTTTGCCTGTCTTTGAACTAAAACAATGGCTCCTCCTGGGTCTTGAGCTGTCAGCCTTCAAGTTGGAAGTACAATATTGGGTGTCCTGGATCTCCACTTGCTGATTTACCCTGCAGATCTTGGGACTTGTCAGCCTTCATAATTATGTGAGCCACTTCCTCATAATAAATCTCTTTCTATCCTATTGGTTTCTCTGGAGAATCCTGACTCATATATTGGGCTTATCCAAGGAATGCAAGATTAATTCAGCATTCAAAAATTAATTAAAAGAATTCCCCATATTTAAAAACAAACAGAAAATCATACAGTCATCTTAATAGATATATAACAAGCATTTGACAAAATTCAACACATTCATCATAAAAACTCTCAGCAAGCCAGAAACAGAAGGGAGCTTCCTCAACTGGATAAAGTGCATGTGTGAAAAACCTATAACTAACATCAAGCTTAATGGTGAAATATTGAATGTTTTTTCCTTAAGACTGGGAGTAAGACAAAGATGCTTGATCTTACATTCATCAACATTGTTAAGATGTTAATAGCAAATGACATGATTGCCTAAGTAGAAAATCCTAAGGATCTGTAAAGGAGCTACTGGAACCGATAATGAATTTTGCAAGGTCACAGAATACAAGGTTAATGTAAAAAACATTATATATACACATATGCATATATGCACATATACATATATATATATATATAGAGAGAGAGAGAGAGAGACAGAGAGAGGGAGAGAGACACTAGCAGCAAACCATTGGAAAATAAAATAATTTTTTACAATAGCACATAACATATAAAATACTTAGTAGTAGCTTTCAAAAACAAATGCAGCTCATGTTCACTAAAGATTATGTAGTATTGCTGATTATAGAGGAACTAAATACATAGAGAGATATACTGTCATCATGTAGTGGAACACTCGGTATTATAAAGATGTCAAATCTTCCAAAATTTATTTATTGTTTCAATACAATTCCAATCAAAATTCCAGCAGAATTATGTTGGAAATTGCCATGATTATTATAAACTTTATATAGAAATGCCAAATAATACTTTTTAAATGAAGAACAAGGTTAGAGGACTCATATTTCTTGATTCCAAGCATGCTTAAGTTACAGTATTCAAGGCAGCATTTCACTGGTGAAAGATGGACATACGTAACTATGGGACAGAATTGAGAGTTTTGAAATTGACTCATCAATTGATTTATGATGCCAAATTAATTCAATGGGGAAAAGAAAATATTTTCAACAAATGGTTTTGGAACAATGGGAAAAGATAACTTTGACCCTTATCACATACCATACTCAAAAAATAGCTCAAAATTGGTTATAAACCTAAACGTAAAAGCTAAAATGGCAAGACTTCCAGAGGAAAATACTGAAGTCCTTGGAAGTAGGTGGCGGTTTCTCAGATAGGAGAGAAAAAGCATGAAGCATTTTTTTAATGATAAATTGAACTTTATAAAAATTAAACCTTTTGCTCTTTGGAAGACACCGTTAAAAAAAAGCAGGCCAAGACATTGGAGAAATTATTCACAACACTTATGTTTTACATAGGTTTTGAATCCAAAATGTGTAAGGTACTTTTATAACTCAATAATAAGTAAACAATTCAATTTTAAAATGAGAAAGGTTTGAAACAGACATTTCCCTAAAAAATGTATACAAATGGAATATAAGTACATGAAAATGTGCCTGACATAGTCAACAAAGAAATGTAAATTAAAACCAAGATGAGATAACACTACATATCCATCAGAAGAATGGCTGAAATTAAAGACTCATTAGAGGAGGCAAAGAAAAACTGAAAATGTTATATGCTAGTGGTCAAATGTAAAGTGATACAACCACTTTCACAAATATTTGGCAGTTTCTTTTTTCTTTTTTAATTGAGATGCAGTCTCTCTCTGTCACCCAGGCTAGAGTGCAGTGGCATGATATCACCTCATTGCAACTTCCACCTCCTAGGTTCAAGCAATTCTCCTGTCTCAGCCTCCTAAGTAGCTGGGACTACAGGCGCATGCCACAACACCCAGCTAATTTTTGTATTTTTAGTAGAGACGGGGTTTCACCATATTGGTCAGGCTAGTCTCGAACTCCTGACCTCAGGTGATCCACCTGCCTCAGCCTCCCAAAGTGTTGGGATTACAGGCATGAGCCACTATGCCCGGCTGGCAGTTTCTTATAAACACTCAGCTGTCTTATAAACCAGCCATTCTGCTTCTAGGTATTCACCCCAGATAAATGAAAACATATGTGTCTACACAAAGATTTATGTATGAATACCCATAGTAGCTTTATTCACAATAGTTCCAAACTAGAATCTAATAACTTGAATGTCCGTTAGCTAGTAAATGGATAACAAACTGTGGTATGCTCATATGATAGAATACCACTCAGCAATAAGAGAAAATGAACTATTGATGAACCACTATATAGATGAATTGTAAATCATTATGCTGAGTAAAGAAAGAGTACATTTTGTATTATATATGTGTGTGTGTGTGTGTCTATGTATATACATGGAAACACGTGTGTATATATCTAGTATCTGTGTTAATATATAATGCGTATGTATGTGTGTATAATATGTATTATCTATTATATTTTAAAATAATATGTGTGTATATTTTCAATGTGTGACTATTTTAAAATAATGTGTGTATATATGTATGTATATATACACACATACATACATATACGTATGTATACACACATATACGTATGTATGTATGTATACATACGTATATGTATGTGTGTATACATACATATATACATAATCTATATATACATATATACACACATATTTAATATATAATACATATATGTGTATCTATGTATGTCTACATGTATGTATATAATAAATATGTATATATGTATGAAATATATGTGTATATAATATATAAATATTGAAATCTATAATATATATTAAATATTTGAAATATATACTAAATATATATGTGTATACTTTATGTACACATGTATAAAACTAGAAAATTCAAACTATTTTAGATAGACATAAGCCAGATCAAACTTTGCCTGGGGCTAGGTTTGAGGATGATGGAAGTATTTGGTATCATGATTACAGTGGTATTTTCAAAAACTTACTCAACTGTTAAACTCATTACATTCTGCAATTTATGTAAATTGTAAGCAGTTTATTCTATGTAAATTATACCTCAATAAAGTCGTTAGAGGCAGTAAAAAGATCAGTGATTGGCAGGGGTTGAGGGAAAAAAGAGAGGGGTGAATCGAAGGAGCACAGGGGATTTTAGGGTGCTGAATCTATTCTGTATGGATATTGTGATGGTGGATACATGGCATTATGCATTTGTCAAAACTGGTAGAACTGTACAGCATGCCCAGTGAACCTTAATGTAAACTATGGACTGTAGTTAACATAATGTATCAATATTGATTCACTAGTTGTAACAAATGCACCACATTAACACAAGACTTTAAAAATAAGAAAACTGTGCTGGAAGTGAGGTAACATGAGAACTAGCTATACTATAAGCTCAATTTTTCTGTCAACCTAAAACTCTATTAAAAATCAAGCTATTTTTAAAAAGATGGAATACCTGTATCCAATGTGAAATACGGATGATTAATTTACCTCCAAGGATTATTTTCAAGTTAATTCTTTCTTAAAACTCTGAATTCATTTGGAGAAAAGAGCATTTTAATACAATTTTCAGTTTCATTGAATTTTTTCCTGTGAGTTAATTTTCCAAATGATATGTGTATTCCATGTATCATATTCCTAATAAATGATTTTCTTAATACTTAGCTTTCATTTATTCCTTATTTGAAAAGCTCACCTTAAAGACCCAAATTAGATTAGAAATGTCAGAAATCGTTGACTGATTTTCATTAGCAGTGGCAAAAAAAAAACACTGATTTTTACTTTCCATTTTTGACTTCCATCCTTTTTTCTCCATGGTTGTCTCTAAAAGGGAGTTTCGAACCTTGGTAATTGAAATGGTGATGGCCACAGATATGTCTTGTCACTTCCAACAAATCAAAGCAATGAAGACTGCTCTGCAGCAGCCAGAAGCGTAAGTGTGCTTGTGGCTTGTGTTTTTGTTTGTATAGGTGTTTGAATGGGTCCTCGTCTATGTGGCTATCCCTTTAAAGAGCATCTCCTTTAACACAACTTTATAGAGTGTTCTTATGCAATGATTATGTTTGAAGGAGAAAGCATAAAAGTTGTACCTACCACAATAAGGTATGTTCTCATCAGGGTTGAAAGAAATAATAGAGGCAGCATCAGTTGTCCCCAGTGAGAATTAAAAATAATTCCCTGTGGGAAACTAAATTATCAGAGATCCCCAATGCAGAAGCAACCAATAAAAGTCAGTGACTCTTGGATTCTTGCTCTCTTTTTGAAGGATGCAGTCATTCCAGAAATGGATTTGAGTCCAGAGAGTCCAATTCCGTAAATATGGAGACCAAGTTAATGAGTATCCCAGTTGTAGGATGAAATGATGTCTTTTCCTCAATTTAGCTGAAGTGGGGTTTGAGATGGAAGAACAAAAGAGATTAAAAACTTAATGATTTTTAAAAAACTCTTACTGAGGTTCTGAAGAGTGTGGTTATCATGTGTTTGGGTGCTTTTGGTTTACAGCATTGAAAAGCCAAAAGCCTTATCCCTTATGCTGCATACAGCAGATATTAGCCATCCAGCAAAAGCATGGGACCTCCATCATCGCTGGACAATGTCACTCCTGGAGGAGTTCTTCAGACAGGTACCTTGTTGCTCTCTCTCCATCAGGACTGTCATCATTGGATATTTTATGAATTTTATATCTCAGCAATGCTAGGATAAGGACTATTGAGATTACAGTAATTTTGGAGAGGGGAGGGGGGCTCCACAGATTATTTTGCCTCTTGGTCATGTGATATTTGAATCTTACCTAAATACTGCTTTTTAGGACATTATGGTATTTTTATCCTATGCATTTCTGTTTGGGGGAAAAAAAGTATTTCCTTGTAGCAGTCTTTTGTCAAAATGTCATTTGAGGGGTTCTTTTACTTTTTTTTTCTAGTGGCTCGACAAAATGACAGTTACTTTGGCATCACCCTATGGGATTAAGATGTTAATCTTGAACTCATGTCTCTATTATAATTGGTTGGGTTGTTTCTTTCTAATGGACAAGTCCAAGACGCAAAATTCCAAACCAGATGTGGCAATTTGGGGTCAGGAAATCACTAGAAACTGCCATTCCAGTTGTATTTAAACTTCACTCCATCCTAAGTTCCAGAGTTGTGTTGTCTATAAGAATAGGCAGGATCGGTCTGGTGCAGTGGCTCATGCCTGTAATTGCAGCACTTTGGGAGGCCAAGGCGGGTGGATCATGAGGTCAGGAGATTGAGACCATCCTGGCCAAGATGGTGAAACCCCATCTCTACTAAAAATACAAAAATTAGCCGGGCGTGGTGGTGGGTGCCTGTAATCCCAGCTACTTGAGAGGCTGAGGCAGGAGAATCGCTTGAACCCAGGAGATGGAGGTTGCAGTTAGCCGAGATCGCACTGCCGTACTCCAGCCTGGCGACAGCGCGAGACTCTGTCTCAGAAAAAGAAAAAAAGAACAGGCAGGATCTTTAATTATTATAAATTGTTTAAAAACAAATTTTAAAATTGCATGGAACTAGAGAAATAGGGAAATAAATGCATAGCACCAAGACCGAAGTCTTTCCAACTCAGGCACATGTGCTAACCTTATCTCTAGAGGTGCTGCCATTCAAACATCTGCATCCAGACATGCGGGCCTGAGATTGAAGACATGATACATAGATTTGGTGACCTAAATTATAATAAATTCAAGTTAATACAGCTAATTCAGTTAATTCTTGCTAATTCAAGAAAAGAGATTCAACAGCATGGATTCAGAGACTTCTGATTCCATAAAACACTGCTTAATAACACAAGTCACAACTTCGTCCCGCAAACTGACAAGAGATGGGCTCTTTTGCTATTTATTTAGTTTTCTGAATAAATTTAGATTGTGATAATTCTTACTCTTAGATTTCAAGTCTGAATGCAGAAATTGTAGAAGGCACCTGTGTGTGTGTGTGCCTGTGTGTGTGTGTTTTCCTTCTGAAACTATCTAGTAATGAAGTAGGGCTAGAGTTAACAGCACATTAAACAAATGCCAGAAGACCCTTTATTGGAGTTTATTTCCACTGATTTATGGCCTGAGTCTAATCAAATTGCTTCTCTAATTCCCTATGGTCTTATCTGTGATTTATGTTGGGGGAGCGGGGGGAGGGAAGGATTTAGGATAAGGTTGGACGAGATGTTTTCTTAAGACCCTTTTGTTAGGAAATGCAAGGCATTTCCTTCACTCTGTCTATGGTGCACATGCACGCACACACACACACACACACACACACACACACCGCAGCACCCCCCAGCTATTATATGTGTATGTCAACAGGTACCCTATTTAGTTTATGGTTAATTCTCTTTGCAGAGTCATTGCTCACCCTCTCAGAGTAATTCTCAAAGGGGACTCCATGGTGTGGGGGGAACTAGAACTATACAGGTGACTCCGCAAAATCATCCTTCACCAAGAGCTTCTTTTGAGCTATTTTTCCAAAGGCTGTTTTTCTAATAGTAGTAGGAGGATGTTCTCCAAATCTCCACTCCCCCTGTCATATGCTTTCTTTGATAATACTTTTGCAATATCACCCTGTACTAGTCTGTTCTCATGCTGCAAATAAAGACATACTCAAGACTGGGTAATTTATAAAGGGAAGAGGTTTAATTGACTCACAGCTCCACATAGCTGGGGAGGCCTCACAGTCATGGCAGAAGAGTAAAGAGATGTCTTGCACGGTGGCCAGCAAAGAGAGAGAATGAGGACCAAGTGAAAGGGATTTTTCCATTATAAAACCATCAGATCTCATGAGACTTATTTGCTACCACGAGAACAGTATGGGGGAAACCGCACCCAGGATTCAGTTATCTCTCACCAGGTTCATCCCACAACATGTGGGAATTATGGGAGCTACAATTTAAGATGAGATTTGGGTAGGGACACAGCCAAACCATGTCATTCCACCCTGACCCCTCCCAAATCTCGTATTCTAACATTTCAAAACCAATCATACCTTCCCAACAGTCCCCCAAAGTCTTAACTCATTTCTGCATTAACTCAAAAGTCCACAGTTCGAAGTCTCATCTGAGACAAGGCAAGTTCCTTCCACCTATGAGTCTGTAAAATCAAAAGCAAGTTAGTTACATCCTAGATACAATGGGGGTACAGGCATTGGGTAAATACAGCCATTTCAAATGGGAGAAATTGGGCAAACAAAGGGGTTACAGGGCCTATGCAAGTCCAAAATCCAGCATGGCAGTCAAATCTTAAAGCTCCAAAATGATCTCCTTTTGACTCTATGTCTCACATCCAGGTCATGCTGATGCAAGAGATGGGTTCTCATGGTCTTGGGCAGCTCTGTCCCTGTGGCTTTTCCAGGTGCAGCCTCCCTCCTGACTGCTTTCCTGGGCTGACAGTGAGCATCTGCTGCTTTTCCAGGCACATGGTGCAAGTTGTCAGTGGACCTACCATTCTGGGATCTGGAGAACAGTGGCCCTCTTCTCACAGCTCCACTAGGCAGTGCCCTAGTAGGGACTCTGTGTGGGGGTTTCAACTCCACATTTTGCTTCCACACTACCATAGCAGAGGTTATCCATGAAGGCCCTGCCCCTGCAGCAAATTTCTGCCTGGACATCCAGGTGGTTTCATACATCCTCTGAAATCTAGGCGGAGGTTCCCAAACCTCAATTCTTGACTTCTGTGCACCTGCAGGCTCAACACCATGCAGAAATCTCCAAGGCTTGAGGCTTGCACCTTCTGAAGCCATGGCCTGAGCTGTACCTAGCCCCTTTTAGCCATGACTAGAGCATCTGGGATGCAGGGCACCAAGTCCCTAGGCTGCACACAGCAGGGGGACCCTGGGCCCAGCCCACAAAACCATCTTTTCCTCCTAGGCCTCTTGGTCTGTGATGTGTGACATTTTCCCCATTGTCTTGGCTCCTTGTTACTTCTGCAAATTTGTGCAGCAGGCTGGAATTTCTCCTCAGAAAATGGGTTTTTCTTTTCTATTGCATCATCAGGCTGCAAATTTTCTGAACTTTTATGTGTCGTTTCCCTTTTAAAACCGAATGCTTTTAACAGCACCCAAGTTACCTCTTGAATGTTTTCCTGTTTAGAAATTGTTTCCGCCAGATACCCTAAGTCATTTCCCTCAAGTTCAAAGTTCCACAGATCTCTAGGGCAGGGGTAAAATGCTGCCAGTCTCTTTGCTAAAACACAGCAAGAATCATTTTTACTCCAGTTCCCAACTAGTTCCTCGTCTCCACTGAGACCACCTCAGCCTGGATGTCATTGTCCATATTATCAACATTTTGTTCAAAGACATTCAACAAGTCTCTAGGAAGTTCCAAAATTTCCCACATTTTCTTATCTTCTTCTGAGCTCTCCAAACTGTTCCAACCTCTGCCTGTTACCCACTTCTAAAGTCGCTTCCACATATCAGGTATCTTTATAGCAGAGCCACACTCTACCAGTACCAATTTACTGTATTAGTTCATTTTCACGCTGCTGATAAAGAATACCCAAGACTGGGTAATTTATAAAGGAAAGAAGTTTAATTGACTCACAGTTCCACAGGGCTGAGGAAGCCTCACAACTGTGGTGGAAGACAAAGGAAAAACAAAGGGATGTCTTACATGGCAGCCAGCAAAGAGACAGCATGAGAACCAAGTGAAAGGGGTTTCCCCTTGTAAAACCATCAGATCTCATGAGACTTATTCACTATCATGAAAACAGTATGGAGGAAACTGCCCCCATTATTCAATTATCTCCCACGGGCTCCCTTCCACAACACATGGGAATTATAGGAGCTACAATTTAAGATGAGATTTGGGGTGGGAGAACACAGCCAAACCATAACAAACCCTCTACAGCTAGGAGTATTTGGTCCATGGCGAAAGGATAGATAATAGCTAACTCATATAGTTTGAGGTATTAAAGTGATTCTTTTTCTAATTATGAGAAAGTAAAAATGAATTACTTAAACATATGAACATTTTTTCCTCGTAAAGGAAAACTTGTTTGCACATACATATACTCGAATAAAAATGTGCTAGAGGCAATATGAAAATAACCATATTGAATTTCTTGCCTGTTGGGAAGGGACTGTTAACTCATTGGACTGGAACTATTTTTTAGTAATTAAAATTCAGTAAATTATTTTTATTGACTTAATATTTTAACCTAGATGCCATAAGCTATAGTAAGTAACACATGTAAGAGAAATGCTGCCTCAGTTCTTAACTATAGATTTTTAAATTGGACAATTCAAATGGGAAATCTCAATGGCACTATAGAGTGTTTTTAAAAATTACATTTGGAAAGTTGGGTTACATTTTAAAATAAGGGCATAGTCTCAGTGCTGATGGACCACACATTCCATGGTTACTAAGAGAGTAAGTTACATCTTCAGTTTTATAACCATAATTTACAAAATCCGAGCCACTGCCTCAGGGTACTTTTTGATGAAATATTGACTTTAAAGAAGTATAAGTTCACCTCGTTGGTAAATATGTCATGTTGGAAAAACTGTGAGGTTCATTTTCTTTGTATTGTTGTACAATTTTATATTTTGCAAACATCTCTTACAATTCTTTTAATTTAATCCGTGTCTATAGTATTTTTCCCATTTTTATTTATTACACGTGTTGGTGAGTTTTTTCCTTTGTTCTCTATGAAATTATCAGATTGTTTTATTGTTTCTCTTTTTGTTTATAGTGCCTTCACTGGCCTTTTTATTTTTATCAATTCAGTTCTCCTTTGAGCTGCTTCCAGCACAATCTGCATTAATGTGATAGTTCTAGTTTTCTTCCCTTTTCAATGTCTTTCCTGTGCTCTGCTAGGTCTCATTCCCCTGAGCCCTTGTTCTTAACAATTTCAGGGGCTTCTTTCTGTTAGTAGTGGCACCATTTATCTGATGAGTATTCCCCATCTGTTGTTTGTTTGAAGTTCTTTATTCCTGCTTCTGCTGCTGATGGTATAATACTTCCTTCTCCTCCCTTTGCTCTTTTTCTTTTATCTCTTCCTTCCTCTTCTTCTTCTTCACCTTTTTCTTCTTCCCCTCCATCTTCTCCATCATCTCTTTGTCCTCCTCCTTCTACTCTTCCGTCTGCCCCTTCTCCTCCTCCTCTCTTTTCTTCTTCACTTTATTTTATTATTGTTATTTACAATCTTTGAGTGAAATGTGTTCTTTTCAGACCAACTATTTGCAGATTTGTACCACAGGGCAATCAGAGCAGTAGTATTCTAAGCTATCTAGAATTGTCCTTGGTTTATTATTAGGGTCCTATGAAGCGGTGTGTATGTGCGTGTGTGTGTGTGTGTGTGTGCGTGCATGTGTGTGTGTGTGTGCCTTTACTTCCTTACTTTTGTAGGGCCTCTTGCAATTCAATGTCTATTCTCTGCCTAGCCTCTTGGCATCTTGCCTTATTCCTCTCTGATATTTACAGCATTTGGCAGCCCTTTCTCATATAGTTTTGATTTTAGATTACAGATTTTTCCTAGGATGTGTGATTGCATTTCTGTTTCTTACTCTCCTTATTTTTGAGGTGATAATTTCTGAAAGAGCTAAAACTTTACTATGCTATCTTAAATCCAACATCACAATGCCTTTCTCATATGTTATATTTGTGCCTTCCTCCCCTGGGAAAGAAGAATATACATTGCTGTGCTTTGTTCAACTTGATCCTTCTGTTGCATTCCCAAACATTTGCTTTTTCTTCATTTCACCTGAAAAGACTCACTTGAGATATTACCTAAATGTCTTTGGAAGCTCTTGCATTGACAGGTGCCATCTTCTCTGTGAACTTCCAATACAGATGGAGCCCTTGTCTCTTTTGACTGGTTTGCTGCTTACATATAGCTACCCCCAAATGTATAACAACACACATAAACAGAAGTTTTGAACTCACTCATGTACAGTATAGGACTCATGTTTCTTGATTAGCAGATGGTTCTATGATAAGCAATGATTTTAGACCGTATTCTGCCATCTACCTTGCTTCCAAAGTGCTTGTCTACATCAAACCAGCAAACTGGGGAAAACATGGAGAAGTAGGCATAAGAGATATTGTAGGCCTGAACTGTGGTAGAAATGCATCCCTTCTCTCGTTCTGTTATTGAGCACTAACTGGCAGTGATTCTAGGCAATGGGGTCTAGCTGTGTAGACAGGAAATGGAGGAGGAGAAGAATAGGGATGTGGTGAACAGCTACCTGCCTAACTGCTGTCTTTAGTTTGTCTGTCATGAATGTCTGAGTGGCCAAAGGAACTTGAGTGTTTCTAACCAAATTAGTCTTTTCATTTATTCAACAAATATTCATTATCTTCCTTCTGTGTGCCAACTATGTGGCTTTATCAGTTGGAGTTATCTTAACCCCTACTGCAGGAATGATACTTATTTTTCTGCGCTGTCCTGGAAGAAAAAAAAATGAGTGAGTTTTTAAAAATCCTTTGTGTAAATAGAGACTTTTGCCCTCTTTTGAAAATGTTGACCTCTTCAATAAAGAGGAAGTGTATGAATAATTTTAAGCTATAGCTGTAGAGTCATACAGTATTGTGTTATCACTCAAGTTGGACTCATGAGTAGAAGTTTATTCCTCTACATTATCAGCACTGTTTTTTTTTTTCAATTCGTAAGTATATCTGCTTTCCAAAGGGAATTCAAGTACCTCTGTTTTAAAAATAAGCTTTTATTAGTCGAGTCTACACAGCTCAATTAAATACAAAGCATGTAAATTATGTGTATATTTGGGTATAGACAAGTTCGTGGAATTAGGAGTTATTTAGTATCAGGTGATTGTTCAGTAATGAAATCCAAATTAGTGTTTATATTTTAATAGTCATGGAGAGTGTTCACACCCTCCCCATTAAAATGTACTGACAGAACAATTTGTATCCCTGCTACATGGGAATAAAAAGGGTTTTGTTTGTTTTAGCTGAACTATCCCACCAAACCATCTACACCACTAGAATTTATGTTATAAATGCACTTCCTTTTCTACATATCACCTAGGTAGAAATCACTCAGGAGGAAATCATTTTTATCATGCCACTTGAGAGAGCAGTTTTCAGTAGTGCGTACTTGAAATAAAGAAGCCATTGTGTCCGCTGGGGTGTCTATATAGGAAGAGGGTGCAGAAGGAACTGAGCCACTTAGGGACTATTCCTGAGACCCTTGGATGTCCCCAGCTCCCATTGTGACCCCACTGTTGAGCTGCCTCAGACACACACCCCTTTTCCGTCCTTTCAGTTAATGCTACATGTGAGCCAATATCCATTCTCTTTGGTAGCATGCCTTAGAAGGAAGAATCATCCAGTTTTGAACCAGGCCTGGTTGCAGGTTGTTACTACCCTTTATTTGCTATTACATTAATTTATTGACAGTACTTATTACAATCGGAGTGTATTAGGTGAACAAATTCACTAAAGGTTTCTCGAGTCTTGGCCTTAAATATTAGAGCCACCTGTTGGGAAACAACAGTAGTTCTTTTTATTTATTTACATGCATTTTCCTCTTTCATCCTTATAACCCTATGAGGTAGAGATTACTATCTCACATTTAGCAAGTGATAAAAACTAAAATGTATGGAAGGAAAATAACTTACCTGTGATCTATCTCACATCTAGTAGGAGAAAGGGATTCAAGCACAAGTCAGTAGCTATTATCCTGAGCCAGTAAAATGAATTAGCACAGCTTCACTACTATAAGAAGGGTGACATATTATTTTTCCTTTCCTCTGGGGGTATGACAAGTATTAAGCCTCTGGCCCAAGTTTTTAGAAAACATCTCCATTATTATTTAGACTCTTCATAATGCTTATTATGGTGATGCTTTTTGGTGAGATTGAGAATATATTGGTTAGACAATTGTGTTTTATTGTTGTCTAACTTCATAGACACAAGCAATTATTTATTCTCTTTTTGGTCCACTTTTCATTATGGACTGGTCTCTGAGGTTAAAAACCCAGAAGCACTTGCTCCAAGTGTGTGTGGCTTTAGGTAGCACTAGAAGAATCAGTCTGAATCAGTCCAGTTTGAATTTTAGTTTCAGACACTGCCCACATCTGGGAGGAGTTCATTAGCTAAACAATGGCCACAGGTTGACCCAGGATGACTTGAGAAAACACAGAAATTCTGCCTGCAGTGCTGGCTGCAGGCCACAAGACATATTGCCTGTTGCCTTATTTTCCATGGAGGTCCTAGTACTGCCCAATGAGGCTTTCTTTACAGCAACATGAACTTTGCAGTTGGGTGGAACTATTGGATCCCAGAGGGCTTCAGCCTTTTGGTGTCTTTTATGTAGAGAAGCAGGCTCCATAAAGACTTATTTTATAATGTAATTGTAATAATTAAAATAAAGACCAGTGGCCTCCGTGGCGGCAGAAGTTGCTAAATGAAATCTGGGTGACCCAGCCTACTGTTCCTTAATTTACTATGACCTTTTATTTTTCCAGGGTGACAGAGAAGCAGAGCTGGGGCTGCCTTTTTCTCCTCTGTGTGACCGAAAGTCCACTATGGTTGCTCAGTCACAAGTAGGTACGTGTTTGCAGCTCTTTGGATAGAAGCACCAAAGCAGGAAGCCTGTAGAAGTAAGCACAGATGATCCCAGTGGTTCTTTGGCTGGGAAACTGGCTCCATTCTGCCATGTTGTGCTCATGGCTCTGCCTGATTCAATTTATGGAACCACTCTGTCCATTCTTTTCCCTGGAATGTGGCTTGTTCATGGGAGAATTGGACAATGATACTCTTGGTGTCTCTGTCATTCCCTGTCAAGAGAAAGAGGGGGCCCCAACTTTCCAAGGAGATAACAAGTGTCATTGGCAGGAAGCCCATTCTACTCCATCCCGCCATTCTGCATGCAGGACTGTAAGCTAACAAGGCATTTCTACTCACTGATGCTTCTCCTAGCCCTGTTTTCAGGACAGCCCCATTTCCTTGTTGAATCTACTTCCATGAATGGATCTTTTAAAATGTTTTCTTCCTTGTTTCCTGTCTTCCTTCCATCCTTTCTTTTCTTTAAAGCACTTTTTTAAGGTAAGAATAACTTTTGAATTGCTAATAACCATAATATATGCATTTTAAAAATCTTCATCTGTGGGAGAGGACACCAGTGCCCTATCTAAGTTAAATGTTGTCAGTGATCTCCACCTTTGAAGAGTCTGAAGTCATTTAAGAAAATTCAATAAGAATTAGGCATTTTTCTACTTGTGTTTTGAGTGCTTATGCTTTTTTTATAATGTATATTGAGTCTTCATATATTGGGCACTGCTAGACATGATAATAGATGTTATAGGAACAAAGACAAATTATATATGGTACCTGCTCTCAAAGACATTAAACCAGTATTGGGTGATGGGCAAAATGTTACAAAAACAAAAATCTATTAGAATGTTATAATGCCAAGGTAGACTTTTGTACCTAGTACGATAAGGTACACAACAGAGTGTGTGAACCATTAGGTTTATTAAGGGATAATATTTGAATTGAGTCCCAAGAAGTGAGTAGGCATTGTCTGGGCAAATGGTGATCTGTGTTGGAGGTGAGCTAGGGGTGGGTAGAAGGGTATTCCAGGCAGAGAATGTAGCATATACAAAGCAGGGAAACTTAAAACTGCCTGGTATGGTCAGCAAATTCTAAACATTTCCATATGGCAAGAACATTGGGTACGGAGTAGGATGTAGTGAGGGACGTATCAAGCCCAGATTTTATATAGTGTTAATAATAGCATGTGTTTATACTTTCTTGTAGGAAATGAGGGCATATCTAAAGAATTTTAAGTGAGGTTAAAAATATATAAATTTATGTTTTAGCCTGTGGGCTTAATCTGGCCCACCACCTGTTCTTGTAAATAAAGTTTTATTACAACATAGCTAAGTGCATTCATTTACATATTGTCTATGGCTGCTTTAGCACTTTAGTGGCAGAGTTAAGTGGTTTTGATAGCGATGATATGGCCTGCAAAGTCTAAAATAACTATCTGGTCCTTTACAGATAAAGTTTGCCTACCCTGTTTTTAGAAGATTTCTTTGCCAGTAGCATAGAGGATTAATTGGAGGATTTTCAGTAAGATTAGAGGCAAGGAAAGTAGTTGACTGCCTCCTACAGGATTACAAAGAAGAGATGATGAATATCAGAACTAAGGTAGTAACGGGGCCTCTCCAGAAGAGAGGTGGCACATAAGGTATCAAGGATTTGGCTGAACGCAAAGCTGAGATAAAGGCAGAACTCTACATTAAGTGGTTGGACCATGATCCCATTTACAAAGGTTGTGGGGAAGCTTATGAGTTAGTTCTGGTTTGGACATGTTGAGCTTAATTTGTCAGGAAAAAAAAGGCAAAAATGGTGTCATCAAATACTTTAGTTTCAGCTTAAAACTACACTATAATTAACCATAATACACAATACATACTACACATACACAATTACAACACTGTATTAACCATAATACACTTTTGGCTATCACTGTTTCCTTATCAATCACGATACTATTGGTATTTGGTTGAGACAATTCTTGTTTTGTCAATTACATTGTAGGACTTTTAACATCCTTTACTGCTGGGCATTAATGCCAGCTTTACCTCTACCTGGGCCATTGTGAAAACTAAATATGCATTCATACATTTCCAAACATGCCCTTCGAAGGAGAATGGACAACATTTCCTCTGGTTGATATTTAGTTTCCTTCCGGTTTTCATGTGACTGTGTAATGAATTACCAGCATCCCCACTAGCTTCAGCTCCTATTTTCTCTCCTGATTGTCGCAGAACATTTGGGTGTCTGAGCTGTTGGGACAATCTCTGTAGCCCGACTTCAGCCATCTCTCTATCACTATACAAAGGTATAGTTCTAGGCCTGAGCCCTCTTCCACTTTCCAATCCTGTTTCTTCCAACTCTGTTTGCCCTCTCCCATCTAGATGTGCCCCCCTGTACCTCAAAGTCAGCAAATCTGAAACTGAGCCCATTGTCTTTTCTTGGCCTTATTCTCCTTCTATTTCCTGTTTTCCCTGCTTTGTTGTTGGAGTGTCTTTGGCAGATCCCATACAGAGGCAGTACCACCTCCTGCTGTGCAGGTATCTGTGCCTGCTTTGCATTTCCACTTTATAGTGGCACTGGTTCCAGCCTTCTTTATCTTTTGTTTAAACAATTGCAATAGCTTCTAAATGATTTTCTCATCCTTCTCCCTTCCTGCTTTCTTCCTTCTTATCTATCTTGCCAGATTAACTTTCCAAAGAACATTTAAAAACTCTTATGACAATGCGGCTCAAACATCTCCAGGAGCCTCCAGTGTCCACCTAAGTCCCAACCCTCTATCTGAACACTTAGAAGCCTCCCTTCCTAGAGCTGTCGATAACCTGCCTTCCCAAGCTTTCCTTCCCCAAATCCAAAAGAATCCCTACTCCCTAGTCAGTCCCCAGACACATCTTACACCCTCCCATCTCTGTCACTTGGCTTTTTCCATTCCCACCGCCCAGAGTGAATAGCCACATCTTCCTCTCCACCCATTCTTAAGGGTTCAGCTCAAATGTCACAACTTCAGGCAGGTTGTGTTATTCAGTCTTGGTCTTTTACACAGCTCTTATCACAGTGCTTGTTCTATAGTGGGTGTTGAGTGTATATTTCTTAGGCACTTTATTGAACTGTATCCTGAAAAGTCATAGGAAGTTATGTAGGAGAAATGAAACTGACATGTAATATTCAAATCAAGGAATACATACAGTACATAAGATCAAGCCATTCTCTTTTAATCTGATCTGGAACTTCTAGATCAGTTTCTTCTGGAAAGTATGGAAAGGCCCAAGGTAATATGTGGTTCCTCTGAAGCATTGCTGTTTCTCTTCAGGTTTCATTGATTTCATCGTGGAACCCACCTTCACTGTGCTTACGGACATGACCGAGAAGATTGTGAGTCCATTAATCGATGAAACCTCTCAAACTGGTGGGACAGGACAGAGGCGTTCGAGGTCAGTGGGGAAGCTTGAGGGCTGAGGGTGAGGTTGGCCTGTCCTTGAGGATAGAATTCTTCTTTTGCTGGGGATGGGGATGGTATTTCATAATGGCATTTGCCTTAGCTCCTTCTCAGAAAAATTTGTCTGCCTCTTTCCTTTTCTCAGAGGAGTTGAAATTGTATTATCCGTACTCTCCAGGCTAAACTGTAAAGGGTGACCAAGGTCTAAATCGTGACCAGCAGGCACCTGGTGCTGCCCCCCTGCCACCCTATTTGCTGCATGTTTACCTGCTGTGCCCAGACAATCCTTGCTCATGTAATACTCCACAAAGACAGTACCACTCATCAAGAATACTTACAAAGAAATGAAACTGACTTTCATTTCAAGGTTTGCACAAAGAATGAAGTAGAGAAAAAGAATCGAAAGCTTGAAATCACCTTCTACCACCACATCATTATATCAAGGGCAGCTCCTCATCACTTACTCCTGACCTCATCACTTACTAGCTGTGCAATCGCAGGCCAATTGTCTCACTTCCCCCATCTGAGAAAACGTGGATTATAATACTCAGAGGTGACTGGGAAGACGAAATAAGTTATTAAAAATATGTTAAACCTTACAACAGGATCTAGAACAGAGGAAGTGCTAGCTACCATAAAGTCTTTATTAGATATACTACTACTATTACGACTACTACTAATCTCCTTGTTCATGTAGAACAGTGGGCTTTGTCATAAAGGAGGAAGAAGAGAAGTGGAATGAATAGGAAAAGAAGAAGCAAAGAGCAGGAAAAGGAGTAAAGAAAGACAGGCGTTAGGACAGGGGACCCCAGGGATGCTCCAGATGGATAGACCCTCTTAAGTTTGCTAACAAGGAGGACAGAGCCCCCTGCCAGAGTCCCCATGGCCCCACAGCTCTTCAGGCAGTGACTGAAATATATTCTGCTTGTCTAGTCCATCATGAATTTGTATTCCTACCAGTCACTTCTTTAACCACTTGGTAGCAGTAGTTACTTCTTTGAGATTTTCCAGAAAGATGGTGCTTTCTAATATTTACAAAGTTACCCATAAGGTCTTTTGCATGACCTAGTCCCTCACAATCTCCATGCTGTCCGCATTTCCATCTTCTTCCAGCAACTTAAGGAAATTATCACTTCCCCTGGACTTGGGTATGCTGGGATCAGAAAGACCCTTGCAGGGGAATGGTAGAGCTGGAAAGAAAGAGGAGCAAGTTGCTAGGTAACTTGGAAAAGTGGTCAGTGTGGAAGCAGGTAGGTGAACTGTGGAATTAAGTAGATGTCCCAGTTCAAATTAGTCAGTTTCAGAGAACAGAGCAGAGAAAATTCACATGAGGGGATTCTGGTTATGGGGAAAAAAGAAGAGGCCAAATAGCAAAGAAGAAATATGAAGAATATAGAGACTCTTGAGACTGCAATGTTGATGTTTTTCCTGCTGAAAATTCAGAATTTCCCACCGGTCATATGTGGAAAATAGAATAATTATAAACCTCAGGATCCAGATATTTCACAGCAATAACTTTAGGAGTGCTAACCATTCCTCCTCTGGGCTTGCTCATTGGCAGACATTTTCCAAACACTAACTCTCTTCTTTGGTATGATTTTTTTGTTTTCCAGTTTGAATAGCATCAGCTCGTCAGATGCCAAGCGATCAGGTGTCAAGACCTCTGGTTCAGAGGGAAGTGCCCCGATCAACAATTCTGTCATCTCCGTTGACTATAAGAGCTTTAAAGCTACTTGGACGGAAGTGGTGCACATCAATCGGGAGAGATGGAGGGCCAAGGTACCCAAAGGTAACATGCCACAGACCTGTCCAAACCAATTCAGCATAAAACAAGGTTGTCCTCTCTGAGTTATGTGTGTTACAAATAAAGCACAGTTGCTCAGGATGCAGATTCAAATTGCCGAATATTAGAATCTACCATCTTTTGATCTTCATAATATCTACGAATCAATGCATGATAAAATGCAGCAGACCTGCAAGCCTCCTGACATGATTCCCTTTATGCTGTGAGACTAAACTCCTTTTTCTAGTATGAAGACTCTACAGGACATGGGTGTTATTATTTCTTGATTTCTGCTAAACATCTTGTCGTTTTCACTTGATATCATGTGGCACAACTGTGAGGCTTTTATTTCTTCTTTTACCTAAGTAAAGACCCGCTAATAGCCACCTTGCCTTGGCCATTATGTTGGGATATAAGGAGCTTTAATTTTCTTACAGGCATTTTTATATTCCTTTCATATTCTCAGTTTCCCTTCACTCATTGCTCAAACCATATAACTGATCTTCTGAGATGATGGTAAATTGTCGGTAAACAGAAATTCCCTGAAGCAGACATCATCAAAACTAAAAGTTGTGGCCCTTGGTACTATCAACAGAAAAATATGGAAATTTGTATGATTTGGAAAGCTTACATTCCTTTGTTCATATGTGCATTTGTGACTACTGAGCATGTCCTCCATGATCGGTACATTCTACATTATCATACTAGGGAGAGATGCCCTTGTGCACAGGTAGCGCAAACCTGAGATAAGGGGTCTGACACTGTGATGTCTGATTCCAGGTAGGGACAAAGACATGGTGGCTCTGGGAGCCCAGTGAGGGGACTGGGCTTCCTAGAGGTGAGCCTTCAACAAGAGTCGGTTTTTGCTAACATCTATTGCATGCCTACTGTGTGCCAGGTTGTGCCCGGTGCCCAGGGTACAGAGATGAGTAACAGACATCCTTGCCCTCAAAACTCACAATCTTGTGGCAGGGGAAGGGAAGAGACATTACTACAGAATTTCATTCAAAGGAAGAATGGAAGTTCAGTCAAAGCCCTGAAGTTGCCACCAGCACCACCAGTCTAAGCCCTAGGCCCTCACATCAGACAAAAACACATTATCCCCTCCCCAAACACAACATCTCACATTTTTACCCTCCTGGTGTCAGTATACCAGGTGAGAAGGGTGGGGACGGTGGGTAAGAGCATGTTCTAGCAGTGTTGGTTCCCATATATTGGGTTGGGGCTGGGGGTTCTGCTTCTAGTGTAGGAAAGCAGCAGCCTCACTGTTGGAGTTATTCAAAGGCTTGTTCACAAAATTCTGTCCAATTTTGTGACTTGTCCATAAAATTCTGTTCAAGTGGCTGCTCATTTCAGGTGAGGCAAAGGGTTTATATTTATGGCACTTTTAGGGCATAATTGAACCCTTATCATTTCAGGACAGATGTTGCACCCTGAGCTATGGAGGGAGCCAACACCTTCCATATTTTAAGTGCACCCTCTCCTAGTCCATTCAAATGCTTTAAACATTTCAATCTTCCCTGTTGGCAGGCATTGCAAGCAGCGATGGCAGCTACTGCATCATCTGCAAAGAAACACTCTCTTATAATCAATTACACTCATTACACTTGAAAATTCAATTTCTGACAACATGCAATTTAAAGAGGTACTTCAAAATAATTTGTTTGCAATTATCTGGCTTACTAAAATTACCTTCAGAAACTAATCACCTGGGGAAGCATTTGACAGTTTCAGGAGAAAACTGGCCCTTTAAAAAGAACAGATAAATAAACAGCTAATAATTTTTAAATGCATTTGGTATGGGGATAGAGATAACTGTGTGTTTGAACTATTTTGGAAGCACAAAGAAGTTGTCTGTAGCCTTGCTTGGGAGTTTGGGAAGGCATCATGTAGCAGACTTCTGGGATTAAGACCTGAAGGAGGTGTTATATTTAGAAATGGGAACAAGAAGAAAGGGGTTGGGCAAAGGCACAGAGCCTGGTGTTACGGATATCTTGTGGGAGAATAGTTTGGTTATCAGGGCACATTTCAATTAGCAGGGAAGGGGAGAGAGAATTGAGTCTTGACTTGCAAGGTTTTTTTTTTTTTTTTTTGGCAAATTCAGATAGGTTCTTTGAGACTCACTTTGGGGATGATAATGTACATCGCAGAATTGAGGTGAATAGAAGTAATACCTATAAAGCACTGAGAAAGCAGCCTGCACAAGGTTGGTACCTAAGTAGTAGCTGTTATGTATGCAAATTGGAAAAGAAGGTTAAAGGTTTGAATACGAAGTTAAGGTGGTGGTGAAAATAGCAACCTGTAACTAATATTTTATAACATTCTTAGCAGCTCAGTAATGCTGTTGACTGGTTGACTGGTGCTAATTAGAAATCTAGTTCGCATCTGTTTTCTGTTGGTGGTGGCTGTTTTGTTTGTTGCTCTTTTTTTCCAGATGACCCTGATTTCAAGAAAGGCTGTCCTCCGTGGGGCACTTGAACATGTATTGTTAGTAAATGCACTGGAAATGGGTCTTGGTTTTGTTAACCAACCTGATTTACAAAACTAGGTAGGCAAGAACTGATAATTATTAGGAAAGATTAAATAAATATTTTTATAGCCCTTAGAGTTAAAAATCACTATTGCCAACTAAAGATGTATGGACATAACAATTTTCAAGTCTGATCAATATTGATTAATTTCCATTCAGTATTTAGTACTTTTTTTTAACATTTATTTTCTGGTGTAAGACTAACATGTTTAGGTTACAAATGCTGAAGTATAAAAAATATATATAAAAGAAAATGAAAATTACTAATTACCTCTCTAGACATATATAACTATTATTAAAATTCTGATGTTATTCTTTGTAATTTGCTTTTCTGTACATATGTATAAGTAAAAATTTTGCCGACAAATTGGGATCATAATATAATATTGTCTTGTATTTGGCCTTTCTTTTGAATATTTTATTCTGATACTGAATATTTAGATTTACAGTATATGATTCGTTTACATATTTTTCTCATTTTTGAGTTTTTAATGTTGATTGAAGTTTTCTGTCAGCTGGAGCACTTCTTTCTTTGACTAAAATTTTCAGGAAGCGGGAACACCTTCTATGTTCTTAAATGTCTAGAAGCACCTTTCTTTGTTCTTGTATAGAACTGAGATTTGAAATAGTCAAAATTCATATAGTATTTTGGGTTTTCTGGTCAGTTTCTCTCTCTTTTCTCTGTTTTTTCTCTCTCTTTCTCTCTCTGGTTGTAGGTAGTTTAAGTAGGCATTTCAGAAAATTATATCAAGGGATAATTAGCCCAATACAGTTTTTAACTGAGACCCTATAGTATCATTATTCAGGAAGACAAAGAAATCAATGTATTTCCCCAAAACTGTACGGACATGCATTGTGGGGTAGAACTGGCTCTCCACTGGGAGGAAGCAAATTTATGGATCTCGAGGGCTCTGCTCTACCTTAACTCTTAGCTGCTTGCTCTTGGCTGTTTTCATCCCAAGTCCCAACACCACAGACAGTCTGACATGGGAAGCCAAAGGAAACAGAAATGAACCGCACATCTCTTGCTTTCTACTAGTCAAGAAGCCTAGTAGATGCTAAATCTAAGACCTGAAAAGTGAATTCTCTGTATACTTGCTGTCGTTGGAAGCTGTGAGCATGTACAAAATAACTGTTCTCAAGTCCTTTTTCTTGTTATACGAAAATTTCATCTATACCGATAATTTCACCCAGAAAATATAAAGGAATCTGATTGCAGTTAAAAAGACCTACCTCCTGTCAATATATTTTCTTTTTTCTTATTTATGTGCTTGCTTGTTTCAGTCTACAAATTTTGAGTTGTACCACTTTGGGTGTCATGCAGTCGATCACACTAATGTCAGCTATCTCAGAGATGTGACTAAGAGATGGAAATTGAGTAGAAAAGCTGCAGGACCACCTGCTGGAACATGATTGCTGTAGAGAAATCATACAGTAGGATAGGCTCGTATCTGATTAGATCATGATGTCAGAAGGGCTACCATTCATTCATGTAAACTTGAATTGCCCGATAGCTACAGTTGAGGAAAAACCAGGTTTGTTTCTGAAATATACCCCCCGCCACCAGTTTTTTGTATGCTTTTAGCTAGATTTCCCATGGGAAATTGGTCTGACTCAGTTGTCAAATGAATTTCTCTTGCTCAGATAATATTTTATACTCTCTTATAGCAAACCAGCATTTAATACCTTCAGTTTTTATCAAAATTATTTCCAACTTGGGGTTATTTTGAATATTGAAAATTTGCCATGGATTCAGTGGGGATTCTGTGAGGGGCTTATAAATTATTTTCTAAAATTGATACCAGGTTCTGGGTATGAATGAATTCTCCTCTTCCTTGCCTCAGTTTCCCACTCTGTAGTAAAAATAGTCATCTTTTTACTCACCTACGTTATTGGTTAAGGAAACTAACATTTGTCAAATGACTACTCTTTCAGAATAAGACTTAGAGTTTATATACTTTCTGTATTTTATGCCTGTTTAATTTGCTGAGGACTGATGAAGATACATACAGATAAGGTTACACTTGCATATAGGATAAATCACACCCGTAGGGTACATTTCATTTAGTCAACAAATACTTCGAGTGTGTGCTACGCACCAGGCACCATGCTAAGCACTGGGAATTCAGTAGCAAAGATGACATTTAAACCCCATCCTCAGTCACTGAAGAAGGAAGAGATAAAGCCTGAGTGAACATTCCAGGGAACCTTTTGTGGTCCTGCATCCTACTGAGAATGCCATCTCACCATCTTCTTCTGCAAGAGCATTCTTTCACTCTGTAGTTGTACCTTTCTATAAAGGCCAGAAGACATTATACTTTACATGCACATAATTATGTTATTTGTAAAGAAATCTTTCCTCACCTTTTCAATGTAAATTACAAATACATCCTTTTGGGGAGTAGAATGTCATGAAATACTGAATGGCAAACATTTAACATTTAAATCAGTGCTTCTCAACTCTGTATGTTTAAATCACCTGGAAAACATTCAAACTATCCTATTCTTGCCCCTCCTTCTCCAGAATCTTATTTAATTTGTTTGGGGATGAGGCTAGGGCATTGGTTTGGATGGATGGATGGATCAATGAATGAAAACATAATATATTAAGGAAGACATCTTAGGTAAGCAAATATAAAGTCAGGAGAAGTAGACTAAACAAGATATCATAGACTTTCACAAAATACATGTCATAAAGCCTCGTGAACGTGTGAATCTGGACCAAATTTGGGCTTTGAGCTCTTTAGCAACTAAAACAAAGGGAAACATGATAGATGCATAGTCACTCTGGTGTCCATTAGATTAAAAACAAATGGATTATTTATGAGCATTAGCTTTTTTCTAGGACCAAGGCTAACACAAAAGAAATAAAGTAAACACCTGATAATGATGTGTGGAGCATTTTAAAACACATGTAGAGAAAAATGTAATAATACTTTTCCCAGTGGAAGTTGATGGCACAGGCTAGAAGACCTTGGCAGTGAATTAAGCGCTGCATGGGATGAGTCTCTAGAACCTTGGAGGATTGGGCTCTGTTATGTGTCTTCTGTGTAGGTTATTCTCCATAATGCAATGCCACCTCATTGCCTCCAAAGCCCTGCATGATCTGAACCCTGCTTGTCCTTGGTCATTTGACCACGTCATCTATCACTAAGCCCTTGTCAAATTTACTTTAACCATACTCAATGTTCTTTGAGCATACCAAGCTCATTTCTACCTCATGGCCTTTGCATTTTCTAGTTCCTCTGACTGAGATACTATTTGTCCAGATTATTGCATGGCCAGCTCTTCATCATTTAGGACTTGGTTAAATGTCACCTTGTCAAGGAGGCCTTCCTTCTCCACCTCCTTGTCTACTGCAATTTCCCTCCCCTATGCTGATTATATTCCAGCATATTACTCTGCTTGGTTTTCTGCAAAGCGCTTTTTATAAACTGCAAGTATCTTAGTCATTTGTTTACTTAATTATGATCTCCTCTTTATAAATCCACTTGCTTGCTGCTGTATTCCTCGTACCTAAAACAGTGCTTAACGCTACAACTGCTCAATAAATATGAGTTGGATGAGTGAACCAATCTTTTCATAAATACTTAACCTACGCATTTCTGCGGTGGTTTTGACTAAGCACAGAGCCAAGCCCTTTTATAATCAACTGGATTAGAAATAATGCTAGCATCTTTTCATTAAAAGGAAAGACACAGACCAGGTACCTGGCCAAACTAAAGGCTACCTCTCATCTTGTGGACAGTTTGAAGACCATGTTTTTTTCATAAGGCTCAATTATCCCCTTCCTTGTTTTAAATTAACAAACAGTGTCCTCAGTGTGTTTGTCTTCAATTGCTCTAGTGTTGGATATTTTCCCTTTTTGTTTTGTAATCAATTGTTTGTGTTTAAACTCTAGGTCTTAAGCAAGCCCACATGAAGCTGCAGTTTTTACTGTGGCTATGGGAAAGTTTTATGATGTCTCTCAGCCTTGATTTCCACATTTGTCAAATTGAGTCACAGTAATAGTAGCTGCTGTAAGGTTGTTTTGAGGATGAAAATAAATAATCCCCAAAAAACACTCAGCATAATACTTGGCAGAGCGAACACGTTCAATAGAAGCTATTAATAACGGTGATATTAATAATACAATTATAATATTGGTTTATTAATTATTATCCTTATTATTTTCTCCCTGACCTCTCCTCTAACTGTTTTCAGAATGACATCATTATGAACCTATTTTATTCGTTTCCTAAGTATACATGCCAATCTGATGAATTAAGCAAAAATGTACCCAAACACTCAGTAAACACCTTAGATACTCTTTGTGTACTAAAACAGGCCATTCTCCTAACGGCATGACCTCTTTTTCTCTTTTCTGTGGCTTTCCCAACTTGCCATGGATGCAGAGGAGAAGGCCAAGAAGGAAGCAGAGGAAAAGGCTCGCCTGGCCGCAGAGGAGCAGCAAAAGGAAATGGAAGCCAAAAGCCAGGCTGAAGAAGGCGCATCTGGCAAAGCTGAGAAAAAGACGTCTGGAGAAACTAAGAATCAAGTCAATGGAACACGGGCAAACAAAAGTGACAACCCTCGTGGGAAAAACTCCAAAGCCGAGAAGTCATCAGGAGAACAGCAACAGAATGGTGAGTAGACTTACACTGGTGAAGGGCTCTTTTCGCGGCATTAATGACATAATGAATGGAAACTGGTGAACAACCCTACTGATGGGGTCAGCTCACAGGGCAAGGCTTCCCTGCTCATCCAGTTCCTTCTGATCCCACCTCATTGGGCTGCAGGATTCCAGCAGAAGCAGCTACCAGCTCACCTGTGCCATCCTCTTCAGGGAGATTGATACCTTTCTGGCCATTTCCAGCTGCCCTGGAGACTCTAGCCAGTGCCTGCCTGCCTGCCAGCTGGGGGAAAATTACCATGATCAACCCCAGCACATTCCTGAGTGTAAAGTGGGTAAATGGAAAGTCATTTTCCCATATATACCATCGCTCTATGAGGGCCAGACCTCAGGTTTGCCTGAGCCTTTTCCTGTAATAGATATCTGTATATCTGTGTGTGTACAAGTGTGTACTTTAGGGGGACCAGCTGTTTCAGTTTACCTGGGACTGGGAGACACAGAGCTTTCTGTTTTAAAAACAGAAGAGCTCCAGGCAAACTGGGGTAAGCTGGTCACCATAGTGTGCATATAGTTATTGATTTCTTATATTTAATGCAACAAATATCGATTAACAACTACGTGCCAAGCACCATGCTTAGCACTAGGGATTTAGAAATGGAAAGGCCACAAGAAGCCCAAAATATCAAAGGTGATAGAGACATCCTCCAAATATTTCTAGTGAAATGTGCAAGTGAAAGTAGTGACATGGCAGATAAAATGCCCGAGGAACATGTGCAGAGAAAAACACATTAGCTTTTTGGGGACTGGGGATTATAAAATGGGGTAAATGTCAGAGTAGGCTTCAAGAGGGGGTTTTGAATGCTGAAGCTGGCTGGTCAGATGGGCTAAAGATACTTCTGAGTGGAGAGAACAAGATGAGCAAGTACACAGGGCTTTGATTTGGTTTCCTTGTTTAGGGGCAGGCAGGAAGTTCTGAGTCTCCAGAGCTTGCAATTGACAGGTTGTGGCTGAATAGCAAGGTAATTTAGCAGTCAACAGACCTAGATTCAAGTCAAGCTGTGCTTCTCCCTTTTCAGTGTCCTTGGCCAGGCTACTTAACCTTCTACTGTTTCTACACAATGTATATAGTAATACCTATTCACAGCACAGGCCTCATGGAACCTTCAGTAATACTCATGATAGTAAAAACAGTGAAGAGAATAACAACAAATAGCATGTATTGACTGCACACTAGATGCTGTTTTAAGTTCTCTTTGTACATATTCATTCTCTTGCCTGCCTGGTGCGACCAGGTAATCTACTCAGAACCGTGTTCTAGCTATTATGCCACAGGGCCGTGGTCAATGATTTCTACATGTAGAAAGTGCTTAGCACGATGTTCTCCAATTATTTTTATAATTAACCATTTATAACATGTAATCAGAGAACAATATTTTAACACATGTAATAATAATGATAGCTTATATCATATTCCAGGAACCTTGCAAAAATTACTTCAGTTAATCCTGGTGACCACCCTAGGAGGCACAGAAGGCCATTGTCCCGACTCGTCCTGCCCCCTTCTGGAGATTGCTCTTAATTCATTTGCTTTGTATTCAAGTGCATTATAGTCTGGAAAAAAAAGTTATAAAGAATTTAATAAGAATTTTTCATGTACCCAAACTACCATTTGATCCAGCAATCCCACTCCTGGGTATCTACCCAGAGGAAAAGAAGTCATATGAAAAAGATACTTGCACATACATGTTTATAGCAGCACAATTCACTATTGCAAAAATATGCAACCAGCCCAAATGCCCATCAATCCATGAATGGATAAAGAAATTGTGATATATGTGTGTGTGTGTGTGTGTGTACATATATATGCACGCGTGCGTGTGTGTACATATATATGTATACACACACACACACACACACGATGGAATACTATTCAGCCATAAAAAGGAATGAAATAATGGCATTTGCAGCAACCTGGATGGAATTGGAGACCATTATTCTAAGTGAATTAACTCAGGAATGGAAAACCAAACATTGTATATTCTCACACATAAGTGGGAACTAAGCTATGAGGATGCAAAAATATAAGAATGATACAGTGGACTTTGGGGACTCAGGGGAAAGGGTGGGAGGGGTGTGAGGGATAAAAGACTACAAATTGGGTTCAGCGTATACCGCTCAGGTGATGGCTATACCAAAATCTCACAAATCACCACTAAATAACTTACTTATATAACCAAACACCATCTTTTCCCCAAAAACCTATGGAAATAAAAATTAAAAAAAATAAAAACATATGTTCATACAAAAATTTTTTAAAACAAAAATTTATTATGTACCTGTTACTGTTTTAGAGGGCAGTACAGGCCCCTCCTTGCTACCCCTTCTGAGGACTGAACCAACTGAGAGATAGGTAACAAAATCAGAAAGTCAATGATCAAGACATCAGCTCCACTAAAACTGGAACTTGGGAAACACAGAGTTGGTCTGCTGAATACATGGGCTTCTTTACATTTTGCTCTGAAATGAATTTACACAACCAGACACTGTATAGCCAGGCACAGGACTTTTCCCCCACCCCAGCACCCTGGCAGGCTGCTTCTAGAGTGACAGAAAAGGTGTGTGTCTTACAGAAAACATATCTCAAAGCAGTCTGGGATGTGGGTGGCTGGGCCGGGCTGTGCATGCTCAACCCTACCTCCCAGATAAATAATCACTCCTCTCAAAAGAGGAACATGTAAGGGGTGGTGAGAAAGGCAAGGTGTGTTTCTTCCCTCTGCTTTTTCTTTTAACAGAGTGGGTTAGAAATGTCTTGCCCTTAGTAAAAGCAATAACAATAATACCACCATTTTATTGAATGCTTAACATGTATCAGACATTGTACTTGAGATTCTATCTACATTAAATCATGTAAAAGTTCTAACAATTCTATGAGGTAGAAAAACTCATTCCCATGTTGTGGGTGGGAATACTGAGTCTCAGAGAAGTGAAATCACTTGTGTAAAGTCAAGCAACCATTAAGTAGAGATCTCAGGTTAAACTCTGATCTGTGTGAGTCTCAATGCTCTGTTAGGTAAACAGCTTGTCCCTGTGGTTTGGTGCCTTCAGGGAGAGGGGCCATCAGAGAAATATGGAAACTTAACTGCTGTTTATAAGAGGCTTACAATATACTTATTCCAGGGATTGGCATGCTTTTTCTATAAGGGACAAGATAGTAAATATTTTAGGCTTTGCAGAACATAAGGTCTCTATTGCAACTACTCAACATTGCCATTTTAAAGCAGCCACAGATAATATACAAACAAATGAGTTATCCTGTTTTCCAATAAAACTTTATTTATAGAAATTAAAATTTGAATTCTACATAATATCATATGTCATAAAATATTTGTCTTCTTTTAACCATTTAAAAATGTAAAAGCCATTCTTAGTTTGTGGGTCATGAAAAACCAGGCAGTAGGGCCAGGTTTGACCCATGGGCCATAGTTTGCCAACCCCAGGTCTAGTCAGTGGGAGAAACCAATAAATGCAAATAAGCTAGTCACAAAGAAGGATATGAATTCTACCATAGGGAAACAAAGACCCAGAGAGGGCAGATGTGGAAATAATAATTCATTTTGAAGTTGGTTAAGGGGAAAGCCTGAAAGAAACAAAACAGGAACCTGAGTCTTCAACAAGGCTGGCTTGATTTCACAACTGTGCTTATTTCCTGAAATAAGCAACAGTCTACCATTTCCCTTAAAAAGTAAGCAGTAAATGAGAGGTGGGAAAAGAAAGCAGTTTAGAGCAATAATAAGAAAGCCTAATGGTGGTTCGGGACTATATTACAGCAGCCTAATTAAAATGATTTATAACTGCACAGAAAGTCTCTTTCACTTCCCCTTGTTTATTGAGTAACAGCTCACGTCAGCCATTACTCCAGATACAACCCATGGGAAATTACTTAATGGATTTTGCTCAGGCAACATCATCAAACAAGCATGTGTCACTGTCCCAGCCCCCTTCTTTGTGGAGTGCCCAGGATATCTTCCAAGTTAGAGCTGAAGGTTGTTGGTGAAGGAGGGGTTTTCAAGGTTTGGGCACCCACTGGCAGTGACAGGATCTTCTAATCTTTGCCCTCTGTTGAGATGACTTCCTCCCACAGCCTCCCCATCCCTGGCTGAGAACAGGAACCATCATGGGCTGCTGGTTAGCAACCAGCAAAGGGAACCATCTCCACGACTTCCAGAAGACATCCTGGTGTTGCTGTAGCTGTGGGTAAAGCTCCAGTTCAGAGCAACCTAGAGGGCTTAAAAAGCATGCATTAAGAGTGTGGGGGCTCATTGAGGGAAGAATGAACTAGAAGGAACTAGTTTGACTACAGTGCTCAAGATCCTTGAGTCCATCTCTGGCTTCATTAAAATAGGGAAAAGCCAGTATTTGGACTGTTTTGTGGGACCTCTGAAGGATTTCTTCTCTTTTGGTGGTGGAAGAGGTGATGACCATGTCCTGCACTTAAAATCCTCCTGTTTGGACCCTGGCCAGAGTAGACTCCCCTGCTCCTCAATTCTTCCACCTAGTGTGTATTAGTCTGTTTTCACACTGCTGATAAAGACATACCCAAGACTGGGTCATTTATAAAGGAAAAGAAGCTTAATGGACTCACAGTTCCACGTGGCTGGGGAGGCTTCACAATCATGGTGGAAGGTGAAAGGCACATCTTACATGGTGGTGGCAAGAAAGAATGAGAACCAAGCAAAAGCGGTTTTTCCTTATGAAGCCACCAGACCTCGTGAGACTTATTCATTACCACAAGAACAGTATGGGGGAAACTGCCCCCATGATTCAATTCTCTTCCACTGGGTTCCTCCCACAACACATGGGAATTATGGGAGGTAAAATTAAAGATGAGATTTTGGTGGGGACACAGCCAAACCATATCACGGTCCATCCCATTTCAGAATTAAGAATGAGAGGGAACCTGAAGAGTTTATTGACTTCTAGCTTAGCTTAGTATTTGTCAAATTCCATTGCAAGTATGTGGTTTGTAGAATATATTACAGCCCCCAATAGTCCTGAATCATGCTTAGATAATCAGTTCTTTATAAATTCATAGGCCAAAGGCATTTAGAAATGGAAATAGTAAACAGAAGTCTGAAATCTAAAACTTGAACTTCATAGAGAAGTTGCAAATACTATAGTTGAGGGCTTGGCAGTTATGCCAAGAGGGAGATCCAGGTGCATGGTTGTGGCAGATGTGAGTTCAGGGTGGGGTATGAAATGTATGTGTGGGCAGTCCATACCCCTTAACATAGATGGAATGGCCTGTGTTTGTCTAACTGGCTGCAGGAACCTCAAGAAAAAAACTTAAATTTGGAAAACATCCTCAATCATTTGGTGAGTGGGATATTCAGCAAATTTTACAAATTGGACATTTAGTGAATGAATCTTTGATGAAGTTGTCTACTTTCAATAATAGTAGCCCCTTCATAATGGGGCTATTAGAAGATTTAATAAAATGATGCATGCAAAGCATTTAGCATACTGCCTGGCACAAATAAAGTAAACAAGAGTAAATCCTGTCCCTCATACACATTCCCTGGAGGCCCAGCTCACTCCAATTATTATTGGGATCTTTTGGCTTCAATAAGTACCAGTATTTGAGTGAGAATGTGTTCTTGGTTTTATGCAGGCTAAAAAGAAAGCTTCCATTAGTAAGACTGGTAAGAAAATATCCAACACTTGAAAATAAGGCTGGGTGAAGAGGCCCCTGACCTTTTCATGTAATACTGGCATATTGTTGAACACACATGCCCAGGGATTATTAAATTATTTTAGATAGGGATGCAGCACTGTTATACTGTAAAGAACCAGAGAGAAAATATTTCTGGCTTTGCCTGTCTCTTTGCAACTATTCAGCTCAGCTGTTGCAGCATGAGAGCAGCCAAGGACAATAGGTAAATGAGTAAGTGTGGCCATGTTTCAAGAAAATGTATTTGCCATAATCGATGGTGGGCACCATTGACCCAGGGGCCTTAATTTGCTGAATGCTACTCTTGAAGAACATGACTGTGTTTAACTTTACTTACTATTTGATTCAAGCCTAGGTACTGTGAAGTTATATGCTAATTTATAGATTTTTGACTGAGAGAGAAGATAACCCCAAACGTTATGGTTTTATTGCCCTGTAGGATATACCCAGTTTTGTCTCTAACTTAGCAAATATATTTTCACGTGTTTCTAAAATACCTGTCAATACCCAGCTCCAGTACTCTTGGAATCCTCTTACTATTCCCTCATAAGTGGGTTAAATACATTTTTGACACGTGTTCTAAGAATAGCATTTTACAACTTTTACAAACTACATTTTGACAAGATCATTTATTAAAATACCATTTCTAGCTCTGTTTTAGAATAATAATAACTGTATTGAGTGATATGCCTTCTAATTTATCCAAAATGCCTATAAGGTAGGTATTAACATACCCATTTTACAGATAGGAAAACTGAAGCACAGAGAAGTTAAATAGCTATTAATTGGTAGAACTTACAGTTAGCTCGGGTTTCTCCTCACTCCACAGCTTAACAGTAAATCTTAACTGCTTCTCTTAGAAGATAAGCACATAACTTAACTACAACTCTGTTTAACAAGAACTTTCAGCCTCAATTTCTGCATCACAATCCAATTTCCAGGACCTAACGTGATTACAAAAGATATTTACACTCAGACACATACACTCTTATGACTATAAAATTATGCTGCACTTTTTCAAAACTTGGCAGACTTAAAGATGTTTATAACAACCCCCTCAGCTGCATACATATACTGTTTGTCATGTTTATTACTTTCAGGTGACTTCAAAGATGGTAAAAATAAGACAGACAAGAAGGATCACTCTAACATCGGAAATGATTCAAAGAAAACAGATGGTAAGAGTATTATTCTCATTACATTTTTCCATAAAATGTGCAGTTTAATGTAAGCTTGTTAGAATCATACCCAAAATTGAAATAGTGGTTGTGAATATATTCTTATATCCTGAAAAAAACCCTTCACTATATTTAAAGGGTACTATTATCCCTTTATCAATAATTTATAAATTATTGCTGTATCTCTTCCCCTTCACCCCACTTTCTCCATCACAAATGTTTTCTATACCCTTTCTTTTCCTACTTGCCATTTTTCATCTTAAACATCATAAAAAGTTTATTTTAGACTTGCTGATCAGACAGCTAGAATGGAGTATCATATACTGCTAATGTATTTATAAGTTTTTTGATGGGGAATCATGCAGCATAAATAAGAAATGTTCCATGTTTTATGTTTTCATGTTTTTTTTCCTTGAACTAGTTCTTATTTTTGTTTAAAACAAAAACAAAAACAGGGGTCTTTATAGTGCTAATGTTGGGAGGCAGCATATATGGTTGTAAAATACAGTTTTGCCAGCAAGAACAAGTCCTAAAGGCAATGACAATGCAAAACGCAAGATTAACAACATTTTACTGTTTCTAAAACCTGAAAGTTCAAATTATATTACCCTTCACACTTTGAACTATAAGATTGAAACACCTGCCCTGGCCTTTTACATAAACTTCATTGTTTCAGCTATCACACAGGTTCATTACTAGTTATCCCCTCATACACAGACATCATATTAAGCTAAAAATTAAAGTTTCCACGGAGTGGTTTTTGAGAGAATCCCAGACTCTCTAAATCATACCTCCCTGGAGACATCATATTTGATGCTAAACTCTTCTTTGAATCATTTGGTTAGAATACCTTTGAAGAACAAATGCTGGGTAACCAGGTGGAAGAGTAAGAATAAATTGGAACGTAATTCTTTGCACATCTATTATAAAGGAAGCAGCCCCTTTAGCTTTCAGCCCTAAGCTGTTATGACATGCTGTCTTTGCTTGCATGCATGAAAACCGTTCTCAAACTTTTTCTAAAAAGACAATGCAAATAATTAACTCCAGGTGTCTTATTACATAATACCTGGGGAACACATACCTGCAATTTTTTTTTTTTTACCAATGTGCTTATGCAAATGGAAATCACTTACCTAATGAGTGTACCCTTCTTGAATAATTGTGACTAAGAAGTAAATTACACAGAACAAAATAGAATTTAGAATGACAGTCTCTGAGCCAGACTCTATTATAGGTAAGGTTTGTTTAAATACCAGAGGCTCTTTGCCAGCCATCAATACCAAATCAAGGCAACCAAAGCCAGAAAATGTACAGTGGAGGAACGCTGTCAACTTCAAACCCAGAACCCAGACACTTTCTCCATCCTGTATCCAACTATTGGCCCACAGCTTCCTGTTAAATTTCTATAGCATAAAAGCCCAGAATAAATCAAGTCCCAAATTTTTCGTATGCCATTTTGAATCTTGTTGCATTTGTATATTGTGGTACAAACATCTGCTATAATGATGTCATGTGGGCATTGTGGATTATATTTTATCACCTTCATAAAGCCTTTTTAACTGCGCCCTTTGTAACTGAATCATACCCAAGTATTTAAAAGAATTAAACAGGTTTTTTTGGGGGGAGGGGGGAAGTGATAAAATAGATTTTATGTTCTATTGTGCAAATAAGTGTAAAGTTTGATTGTTTAATGAGCAGGATTCTGGATCTCATGGGGCAGTAAGCAGACTGCTATAAATAAAAGAGACATTTTTTAATGTCTGTCTCTGTTTCCCTCCATAGCCTGTTCTTCCACTTCCTCAAGTAGGTCCTGGTGTGTCTGTATACTTGGAAGTTTGCACACAAACATAATCATGAACAACTTTGCATTTTATATTCATTGATGGACTAATATGACATCATTACTGCTTTGGTATCAATAGAACTTAGAGCATTGAGCTTCAGTGACTTGCACTATTTTAGTCCAAAACCTTTAACAGGACTAAAGCTAATTCTTGGTGGCAGGAAGTGGAAAGCAATTTGATGAGTCCCACCTATCCTTTTCTTTTTGGTCATTAAAGCTCTCTACTTCAGAAAAATTTAAAAAGGAAATATGTAGATCAGGAGATATATTGATTGTTTTTAAAACTATGTAGAAAAAACTGGATACATTTTTGAACATTTCTTTTTGGATCCTATTATGTCAGGTAATGAGTGGGAGTCAATTTAACAATTTTTAATGTCCCTACCCCTAGACCAATCCCTGGGAACCATTGGTGACTAGTTCTCTTTAATATTTGAGAGGGAGTATCTGGGTACAATTCATGCCCAATGTGAACATTGAGAGAGAAACCCAGTGGAAACTGAATCACAGTTGGCTATTCCCAAACTCCCATGAGCCAGGGCATGCACAGGGGGAAGTAGTATGTGCTGAAAGGTAAATTACATCCTGGCATAATGAACACATTGCAGCTGTACATTATCTCTGTAAGTCTACTGCAGTACTATTTCATACCTTGCAGCAGTAATTTTCTAACTGACTTCAAAGAATGGATGTCCTTTGAAAGTACCTTACTTACCCCTAGGGAGAAATGTATTGACATAAAAAGATCCAGGTCTCTGAGCCAAGATTCTAATCATCTTTAAACTTTTCCATTGGCATCGGAAGATTTGTGGGTTACCACACAAATATACTCTTTTCAGTGCATTTTTAGTCATGTTTGTAATAACATAGCCTCATGGACTTGCCATAATTTATTATAGCTATCCAGAAATACAAACTTGCCGTTAACTTTACTTGATCACATTAACAGAGAAATAAGAGATAGCCATCTTTTGTGCCTCTCAAACAACAGATTATGATTAGGCCCTGCGTGGTTATAAACCAAGTCTTAGGGAGGGAATTCAGCAGGAGTTTCTCCTTTATTGAATATCCTGGTAACTGGAATGTTTATGGATGGTCTCATGAAACTGAAAAGTGAGTTATGAAGAGTGGAAAGGGTCGGCAAGACAGTCTATGAATGTCTTCTTTTGCCAAAGATAAGTAACAAGAACTGGATTTACCCTCCCACCTGAAACAACCCAAAACCCCAGACAGCATATGTGGAAGAGTGCTTTTTAAGATACCAGACATCAGGAAATGGAGAACAGTGATCTTTGGGAGCCAGGAAATAAATGAAATGAGCCCTACGATTGTCTCAGCTTACTGCCTTGAGAGGACTTCCAGGCAGCATAGAGAGGAGTGACATAGGCACGTCTCAGTGACTCTCTGAGTTAAGAAGTTGGATAAAAATCCAAGAAGACCAAGATGGCTTTAGTTAACAGGAAAAATACTGGAGAGAAGAGGATTACAGAGAGATAAACTCTAGAGTTCTGAAGAATATAAGAGTACAGTAGTACTCCCTTACTAGCAGTTTCACTTTCTGTGGTTTCAATTACCCATAGCCATTGAGAGTACTTCCAGACAGCATAGAGAGGAGTGACATAGGCACATCTCAGTGACTCTCTGAGTTGAGAAGTTGAATAAAAATCCAGGAAGACCAAGATGGCTTTAGTTAACAGAATAAAATACTGGAGAGAAGAGGATTACAGAGAGATAAACTCTAGAGGTCTGAAGAATATAAGAGTACAATAGTACTCCCTTATTGTCAGTTTCACTTTCTGTGGTTTTAATTACCCATAGCCAACTGTGGTCTGAAAATATTAAGTGGAAAATTCCAGAAATCAACAATTATAAGTTTTAAATTGCACACCATTCTGAGAATGTGATGAAATCTCATGCCATCCTGCTTGTATTAGTCTGTCCTCAGGCCGCTAATAAAGACATACCCCAAACTGGGTAATTTATAAAGGAAAGAGAAGTTTAATGGACTCACAGTTCCACATGGTTGAGGAGGCCTCATAGTCATGGTGGAAGGCAAAGGAGGAGCAAAGGCACATCTTACGTGGTGGCAGACAAGAAAGTGTGTGCAGGGGAACTGCCCATTATAAAATCATCACATCTCGTGAGACTTATTTACTATCATGAGAAAAACTCATCCCCATAATGCAATTACCTCCCCGAGGGTCCCTCCCATGACACATGGGGGTTATGGGATCTATGATTCAAGATGAGATTTGGGTGGGGACACAGCCAACCATATCACTGCTCTATTCCACCTAGGATGTGAATCATCTCTTTGTCCAGCATTATCCGCACTGTACTGGTTCTACTTACTACCCACCTGTCACTTAATAGCCACCTCGTTTATCAGATTGACTGTTGAAGTATCACAGTGCTTGCAATTAAGTACCTTTATATTACTTAACAATGGTTCCAAAGCAAAAGAATGGAGATGTTGGCAATTCACATATGCCAAAGAGAAGCCACAAAGTACTTCTTTTAAGTAAAAAGACGAAAGTTCTTGACTTAATAAAGAAAGAAAAAAAATTATACTGAGGCTGCTAAGATCTATGCTAAGAATGAAATCTTCTATCAATGCAATTGTGAAGAAGAAAAAAGAAATGTGTGTGTAATACATATAGGTTTCAGCACTATCTGAGGTTTTAGACATCCCCTGGGAGTCTTAGAAAATATCCTCTGTGTGTAAAGGGAAACTACTACACTGAGCAACCCATGCAATGAGGAAACTACCTGAGGCCAGAACAGAACCATCCAAGAGGATTAGAGGGAACAGTCCTGATGCTCACACAAGTCAGGGAAAAGTGCCTATTCCCACTAGCCAGATTTATATATCTCATTATTTAAAGAAAATTAGGTAAAAGACTCATATTTGTCTTGCTTTAGTCATGGGGAATAATAAGCTGTAGCCTATATGCTGCTCTGGTTCTATCTAACAATCTTAAAAGCAAGACATAAAAGGGATCAAAATGTCTCAAAGTAATTTAACTGCATCCCAGAATAAAGCTCAAGGATATACATAGAGTACAAAAATATCCAGCACCCAACAAGGTGAAATTCACAATGTTTGGCATCCAATAAAAAATTACCAGGCATGCAATGCAGCAAGAAAACACTACCCACAATAAAGAAAAAGCCCAACCAGACTGTAAACTAGCTCAACCATTGTGGAAGTCAGTGTGGCAATTCCTTAGGGAGCTAGAACTAGAAATACCATTTGACCCAGCCATCCCATTACTGGGTATATACCCAAAGGATTATAAATCATGCTGCTATAAAGACACACGCTCACGAATGTTTATAGCAGCACTATTCACAATAGCAAAGACTTGGAACCAACCTAAATGTCCAACAACGATAGACTGAATTAAGAAAATGTGGCACATATACACCATGGAATACTATGCAGCCATAAAAAATGATGCGTTCATGTCCTTTGTAGGGACATGGATGAAACTGGAAACCATCATTCTCAGCAAACTGTCGCAAGGACAAAAAATGAAACACCGCATGTTCTCACTCATAGGTGGGAATTGAACAATGAGAACACATGGACACAGGAAGGGGAACATCACACACCGGGGACTGTTGTGGGGTTGGGGGAGGGATAGCATTAGGAGATATACCTAATGCTAAACGACGAGTTAATGGGTGCAGCACACCAACATGGCACAGGTATACATATGTAACAAACCTGCACGTTGTGCACATGTACCCTAAAACTTAAAGTATAATAATAATAATAATAATAAAAAGAAAAAGCCCAACCAATTGAAACCAATGCAGAACTGAAACAGATGTTAGAATTAGCAGACAAATACATAAAAGCAGTTCTTATAACTGTAGCCCATATGTTCAGAAGTAGACACATGGAAGATCTTTTTAAAAGACTAAAATCAAACTTCTAAATATGAAAACTACAATATCTGATATGAGAAATGTGATTGATGGTATTGACAGAATAACATTAGATGAGATTAATGGTGAGTACACTGGATGGAATTAGACTTCGGAGAGGAAAAGAGTAGCAAAACGATAGCAATAGAAACTACCCAAAAGGAAATAGAAAAAAAGAATAAAAACAGAATTGTAGGACACCTTCAAATAGCCTAATAAATGTGTACTTGGAATCCCCAGGTAGAGGAGAGAGGAGGAAAAATATTTGAAAAATCAGGGGCTATAATTTTGTCAGATGATGAAAACTATAAATCCACAGATTCAAGAAGCTCAATACATCTCAAGCACAGGGAATATAAGGAAAACTGCACAAAAGCATACTATAGTCAGATTGCTCAAAACCAGTGATGAAGAGAAAAATTTAAAAACTGCCAGAGAAAAATTACACATATGTACAGACAAACAAACATAAGGATGACAGTAGATGTCTTGTGGGGAACAATGCAAATAAGACAGTGGAGCTAAATTTTTTAATTAATGAAAGGAAAAAAAATCAACAAAGAATTCTGTGCCTAGCAAAAATATTTTTCAGAAACCAAGATGTGATTAAGATGTTTTCATCAGACATACAAAAACTTAATGAATTCATCACCAGTAGACGCACCATGCAAGAAATTTTAAGGAAAGGTGAAGGATAATTATGCCGTATGAAAATATAGATCTGTACAAAAGAATGAAAAGCATTAAAAATGGCAACTACATAGGTAAATATATACGATTTTTCTAATTTATGTTAATGATAATTGACTAGGTAAACAAAATAATATAAATGTACTGTTTATTTTATAACATATACAAAAATGAAATATATGACTACAGTAGCAAAAAGTCCAGTAGGGGAGAAATGGGATATCTATTGTAAGGTTCAGTATCATGCATGAGGTGTTATAAAATCATTGGAGGATTGAGGTAAATTAAGAGCATATATATTATAAACTCTAAAGCAATCACTAAAACAACAAAACAAAGATATATAGCTGATTAGCCAGCAACAGATAAAATGAAATCATAAAATAATTAATCCAGAACAAGGTAGAAAAAGAGTAAGAAGGGAACAAAGAACAGGTGAGACAAATAGAAAACAAATAGGAAGATCACAGAATTAAAACAAAGCAAATCAGTTATCACGTTAAATATAAATGACTTAAGTGCCTTAATTAAAAGGCAGAGATTGTGAGATTGTAATATTCAAATATATTATGCCTTTATACAAAAAGACACAAATATAAAATTCCTGACTTCACCACTATTAAACATATTAATGCAACAAAATTACACTTGTATCGCATAAACATATACAAATAAAAACAAAAACAATCAAAAAAGGACACAAACAGCACAAAAGTAAAAGGTTTTAAATTGGTATACTGTCTTAACACTAATCAAAAGAAAGCCTGGTGGCTATATTAATATATGACAGTAGATATCAGAACAAAGACAGGAATAAAGAAGTTTCAGCAATAAAGAAGTTCATTTCATAATGATAATGTTGTCTGTTTATCAAGAGAATATAATCATTTTTTACATTTATGCACCAAATACTTGAAACAAACTACAAAAACATTTTTAATTCACAATTTATTTGGAGACATTATTATCTCTTTCTCAATAATTAATAGACTAAGTAGATATGAAAATCAGCAAGGAAACAAAGACTTCTACAACACTGTCAATCAACTTGACATAATTGGCATTCCTAGAATACCCAACCATAGAAGAATACACATCTTTTTCAAGTGCATACAGAATATTTAAAAAGATAGACTATATTCTGGGAGAATAAATTAGTCCCAATAAATTCAAAAGGATTCAAGGCAAACAAATATGTTCATGGACCATGATAGAATTAAATTGAAAGGATGTTTGTATTATGTTATTATTCTTTTAATATCTGTAGAATTTTTAATAATGTTATCACTCTCATTTTTTATATGCGTAGTTTGTGTTTTCTCTCTTTTTCCCTGATCTGCATGGCTAAAGGTTAATATATTTTATTAATCATCACCATTAATATTTTCTATTGTTTTTCTGTTTTCTATTTTATTAATATCCATCTTTATTATTTCCTTTCTTCTGCTTGCTATTGGGTTTACTTTGTCTCATAGTTTCTTAAGGTGAAAGTCATGGTTACCGATTTGAGATTTTTTTTTCTTTTTTAATGTAGGCATTTAGTGGTGTAGATTTTCTTAAGTACTGCTTTAGCATCATGATCCAAACTCTGATATGCTGCATTTTCATTCACATTCAGCTCAAAATACTTTCTAATTTCCATTTGGTATCTACATTGACCTAAGAGTTATTTAGAAGTGTAATGTTTAATTTCCAAATATTTGGGGATTTTCCAGAGACAGGTGACATGTAAATTCTTCCCATGTTGATCTATAGGTTCAATACAATCTCAATTAAAATCCTAGTATGCTTTTTTTTGGTAGAAATTGACAAGCTGATTCTAAAATTCATATGGAAATACAAAACATCCAGAATAGACAAAGCAACTTTGAAAAAGGAAAAAGTTGGAGGACTACAGAGAAGGTTTGATTTCAAGACTTACTATAAAGCTATGGTAACTAAGGCAGCATGGTATTGGCATCAACACAGACCAACAGATCAACAGAATAGCTTAGATACTCCAAAAATAGATCTACATGTGTATGGACTATTTATTTTTAATAAAGGGCAAAGACAATTCCAAGGGAAAATGATAGTCATCAACAAATGATGATGACTGCTTGAAATGTCATATGCAAAATAAGGAATTTCTAACTATACATCACATACAAGCGACATCTCAAAATTTATCATAAAGCTAAATGTAAAATGTAAAACTATCAGTTTCTAGTTAAGAAAATATAAGAGAAACTCTTTTTGATCTTGGGTTAAGCAAAGATTTATTAGGCATGACCACAAAAGTACAAACCATAAAAAACAAATTGATAAATTATGCTTTATCAAAAGCCTCTATTAGGAGAATAAAAAGGCAGTTCACATTCTGGGGGGATATTTGCAAAACATATATTTGTTAAATAACTGATATTCATTAAATATAGATACTCAGTATTAAATAATAAGAAAACGACCCAATTAAAAACATACAAAAAATTGAACAAACTTTTCACTAGAGAAGATATACAACTAGCAAATAAGCACATTAAAAGATCCTTGACATCATTAAGGATGTGAAAATTAAAAGCCAAATTTAAAACCATATTAAGATAAAACAAAGCTTGTATGAGGGGATATGTATATTACATCCACATAATAATTTCTTAGCTCTGCATTTCACTGTGGCTGTCAGGACACAGCTTTGTCAGTTTGTTTTCTCAATGAGGAAATTGTATTTCTTACAACCATTCTTTCTGAATATTTCTCAAGATAATCATATTCTCCTATTTAGAATCTTAGTACAGAAAAAATGGAGGAGGCAGGGTAGCCAGTATTCTTGTTAGTTTGCATAGAACAAATAACTGTGATCAAAAGGGTTATTGCGTACATTATAGGAATTTGCCTCTAATCATATCTACATTATATAATTCTTCACAAGGCTGTTGTCTCATGACCTTGACTTGCTACATGGCTCACAGTGGTCACCTGAAGAAATGTATGTGTTTTTTCTGTTTTTTTCTTTTTTAATTTTTTAAAAAATAGATGATTCCTAACAAGTTAGTTTGAAATGGAGTACATAAATGAATTTGGAATGGATGACTCTGAGCTTTTAAGGCATCTTTTGTTCTATTTGAATTGATTTGCCAAGCCATTAATGAAAACAGCAGAAGAATACAACTTTACACTTGAGTGGTATTTAATTTTCATCATGTTCATATTTTGAAAAATGTTAGTTGCCTATAGGGTGAGGCATCATGACCTGCTCTTCAATGAAGCTGGTAGTGAAAGATAGGAGGGGCCTGTACAGATGTGGAGGTATGCCCTGCTTTGCAGATCTGGGGAGAAAAGAGTCAAACAGCAGGCTGTGGGTAGAACTGACACATGTATGTCTTTACTAGAGATTGTTTCTGTCTTAGGTTCATTTCCAGAGATTTGAGAAACAATAAATGCTTTGTCACATGACCTTTATTCAGCAGGTGTGCATTCACTGGTTATACGGACCCTGAGGGCATTATCAGTTTTCTTACTGGCATGGACACCTGTATTCCAGTTTTCTCATCTCAAGGAATCATACTCACGTTATTCTTTCTTCCAAAAAAAAAATGTCCCCATACTACTTAGGACGATAGTTTTGGATTGTCTTTATATGCCAGAATAAAGAACTGCCCTATTTTAGACACCTCAAAACCTTTCTTTTGGTTGATGTTTCATTTTATCACCTTAGTTTTCCAATCTCTGCTATTTCTTCCCACAGGGCTTCGTGTTATCACTTGTAGTTGACACTGGCTATGCATTGGTCCATGCAGAGCCATAGCAACACTTGAACACACTTACTTGTCTTCAGCACACTCATATTTGAATGAATCTTATACCCCCTTGATATAGAAGATGTTATGGAGAATTTTGTAATTCCTTTAATATTTTTCTCAATTTCTGAAAGATCTATTTGTTTCTAAGGAACTGTTGATATGATTTTTGACCAAATTCTAATGGATTTACCATTCTTAGAGGATGGTGGTCTTAGTGACCATTTTTGTTCAGACTTCTACTCTAGTTTATGTTGCGTCACTACACATAAGTCATAGAAAATGTTTGGCATTTTGAGAATTCTTGACATAGGACTTTTTAGTGAAATTTACTTTGCCATTCATCATTTTGTTCTTTATATAAGAATGGTCTCATTTGGGAAACACAAAATTCCTTCATCTGGGAGCTCGGGATATGTGATGATTAGAAAGAGAGGCTGCTGATTAGCTAGAAGAGCTCTACACAATGGCAGAACAAGGAATTCCATATTGACAGTAAAGGAAGAGTTGATTATGCTGGAGAGGATTTGTTGACACTGAAATGAATACTTGTGACCAGTGCGTAGTTTTGACTGACAGTTTACTGATGTACAATGTGAAATATATACTCCACATATGCTGGGATCCTCATGTCAACTGGCCAGTTGGTGGTTTCTTCTTGAAGGAAAACTTACTTGGAAAGTCAAATTGTATCAGAAGGTTGCTTGGTGAACTGAACATGTAAGGGGACTTAGTTGATGAATTGTGATCTTAAGGTAGAATATCTTGAAATCTGTTTCTATCATTGGGACGGAGCTGCCAAGAAGAGTGGATATGGGTCATCTTGCATGTGCTATATCCTGACAGTGCAAGAGGCACCCCTCTATGGCACCCCTTTTCTTGCCTGTTTTTTAGCCACACATTAATTCAGCCATGAGATGTGTTAATATCTTGGAGTAGATTATTATTCTTGTTCACTTTCAGTCATCCTTGATTGCTTTTCTGGGCCTTAATCTTGACGATACTGCGTTGTTTTTAAGGTAGATGTTCTCGATTTTTTTTCCTCATTATTTTTTGTCCACTTTAGACTACCAGATTTTCACTAGCTCTACACCCCTCTGAAGGTGTGCCCAGATCATGTGATGTGTAAAATAGGCCAAGGAATGTGAATTGGGAAGACAAGCTGTTACCCCATCCTTTTCTCTCACACCCAAGATAGTGTTGCCATAGCAATAACTTTGAATCTCTTCTACTTACCTTAAAAATTAACCCTTTATAACTTCAGTGCTTAACTGTTTTTAGTAATGAATCATTTGTAATATACTTCACTAGTGGTCATGCCACTGAAGTCAAAATCTGCTATTTTGAGGCAGTTTATACATATAGTTAATCCCATCCTTTAGGTTTTAAACTTGTTTCTGTCTCAAAGGATAATATTTCTTAGGTCTAGGAAGGTATCCCACTGCAGCCTTCTATGTAGTGACAAAAAGTAGACATTTCTTTAATGAAGGAATTGCTTTCAGCATGAGAATCCAGCATCTGCGTAGGTTATTTTTCATGAGCAAAGAGGGACCAAATATCTGGAGTGCTTTGGGTTCCAATTAAGTCGTCATAAGAACACAAATTCTGACTAATATCCCATTTCCCTTAGCCATTTGTCCATGAAAACTCCTGTGACCCATTTCCTTAACATATTTATGTCATGTGGAACATTAATAGTAAGGAAATGCCATGGTTTAGCAGGTGTTTTCTAAAGCAGTTACAACCTTATTTTCTCAAGTAGTTTGACAAGTATCTAAACTCTCCACTCCAATGTCCCTGCCCAAGGAAAACAACAAAAAGTCAATAAATGGAGGAGAGAGTTGTAATATTATTTTTAGGTGTCTGTTTTTCTCATGAATCTGGGTAAAACTTCACTAATTAAACCCTAAAAGGTTTTTTTGATTAAACATTTTGATTTAGATACTTCACTGTCATTTTGTAATTAAATTTGGAAGCTGTGCTGTAGGGTGACCCAACAATAAGAGCTACTGTGAATTCAGTGATGCTTAAACCCAACGTAATTGGTTTTTTTTATAGATTTGGGGAAAATCTATTAACCAATCCATAATATGTGAGTGGGAAGTGGCCAAACGGTGTTAACCTGAAAAAGCACCTTGTTCCTTTTTTGCTATGGACTTTTAGTCTTGGGAGCATGGACGTACAAAACCTGTTACTTATTCATGGTTCTAGCATTTCATCTGAGTCATAGTGAATCAGAACAGTTAGCGCTTTTGGTAATAAACGTCCATTTCAAATCAATGCATTTTTTATATACTTTTAGGTTCAGTGAATGTCCTTGTGCTTTTCAAGGATGGTATATAATGAATATAAAGGAATTATAAAGGAACAAGATGGCAGGTGACTACCATTGTCTTCTTGCAGATTTTTGTGTCTGGAAATTCATGTTTGTAGTATGAAAATAGCAACTGAAATTACACACACACTTATGTACACATACACATATATATGTACACACATACATAAATCATACATATGATATATGATACAATATGATATATCTGATATATGATGCATATATGACATATAACATGTAAGATATATTAATATATATCATATATACATAATATATACCCTCTATGATAAACTATATTACATACATCTTAAATCATATATACATATACATATATATATATGTGTGTGTATATAGATATATATATGTCCCTGTCCAAGGAAAACAAAAAGTCAATAAGTGGAGGAGAGAATTGTAATATTATTTTTAGGTGTCTGTTATTCTCATGCATCTGGTTAAAACTTCACTAATTAAACTCTAAAAGGTTTTTTCGATTAAACATTTTGATTTAGATACTTCATTGTCATTTTGTACTTAATTTTGGAAGCTGTGCTGTAGGTTGACCCAACCATGAGAGTTATTATTAATTCAGTGATGTTTTAACCCAACATAATTGGTTTTATTTTATGAATTTGGGGAATATCTATTAACCAATCCATAATATGTGGATTATATTATATATTATATGAGATTGATGGGTTTAAATAAATTGTGTTATACTAAGGGAAACTTCTAACATCAATTCATGTTTTTTATGTAGGTGTTTAGATCCCAGTCTCTTACCAAGTAACTCCATAGTAGAAATGTCAAATAAAAGTATATTATGAACTCTTTGTTAATGATAAAATTAGACTTTCTGAACAACTTTTCTTTTGCAATTATTGCTACATAAGCTTTCATTGTTTCACTCTGTCTTCTAGATACTTTGTGGAACTACTAATGTACCACTGTATTTTTAAAGGAATCTGGTTTGACAGAGGGAATTAAAATTTTGTAACTACGGGGCAAGGTGTGATTTTTCTTTTTTCCTTAATACTGATGTTCAAGATGTTTAAAATAAAGCTTCTTAGTAATCATGAAATAAATATTTTCTCCTGGAAAAAAATGATATTTTGTCAGATTCTATGCAAGGGATTGGAGAAACACAAGTAACAATATATTTGCCAAAAGAAACTCTATTAACATTATATTTAAATATTTAAAATAAAGGGAACCTTTGAAGTAAATATGTGCCAAAGGCAGAACTTAACACTATCTACATTGGTAATGCCATTTCTTTTCTAGACGCTCACATGCTAAAAAAGCTATTAAATGCAGTATTCAGCAAGTATTCAAGCTTCCCCTCTTTGCATTTTTTCTTAGCATTCTCCACTGATGGGCATCCTGCTCTCCAAGTGACCATGTCTACATTTCTTAAGTATTAGTCCGCTGCAATATATGCTATTTTTATTCTATGCCCTGGAGCCATAGTGAAAACATGAGAAAATGATTGTTTGTTTGGTTTTCTCATCATTTAGAATCTTTTCTGCTTTTCCTGAAATAATAAAATTGAGAAAAACATGAAGAGTAGTCAGAATGTTTCATGTCTAAAATCCAAGCCTCACTTACTGATCTGAAGGACTTTCTTTACGGTCCTGGGCTTCTTCCTGACTTCACAGATTCAAAGACTGATCAGAAACTAAACTCTTTTGTGCAGACAAGGGTGCTTAACTCTACCCTCACCTGCACCTCTGTGAATCAGGGATGTTGACTTATCATCAGAGGAGTTGTAGGAGTTACTGATGCCTGACTTTTACTTGTCTGCTAAAAGTGGGCCAGGCATTGGGGGCATTTAGAGAGTTCAGTGTTTTAATCATTGTCTTTGTGTTAATGTGCTACATTCTTAAAACAGAGCATGATAGCAGTAAGACACCTTGGGCAGTGTGAGACAGAAGAACAGAGACAGTTGTTCACATATTTTATGTTTGGAAAGAAAGAACATGCTAAATGAAAGAGAGAAAGCAACAAGGGTAGAGAGGAAGAGTTTAACATCATTGTTATTTTCAGTGGTAGCACAGATGCAGTGGAGCAAAAGGAAAGACAAAGAGGGAAAGGGTTGGACCTAAGAACTATTAGATTGCTGCAAAAGTAAATGGGGTTTTTGCCATTGAAAGTAATGGTAAAGACCGCAATTACTTTTGCACTAAACTAACTGTTCTTTGTACTGTTCTTATTCTGTGTGTTTGGATCAAATGGGTAAATTTTAGGAGTTAATGGCATAGGCAAGGTTTTAAGAAGTTACATTCCCACAAATGTCTTCTGTCTGTCTGTCTGTCTGTCTGCCTGCCTGCCTGCCCGCCTGCCCATCTATCTGTCTATCTATCTGTCTGTCTGTCTGTCTGTCTGTCTGTCTGTCTGTCTGTCTGTCTGTCTATCTATCTATCTATCTATCTATCTATCTATCTATCTATCTATCTATCTATCTGGTTTATCTATGTGTCTGTCTATCTGTCCTTCTGTTTTATTTTTCTGTGCTGGAATAATACATGATGAGAGGATTTTGTCTTAGCAGTGCTGTAGCATGGATATTATTTGTAGTGAAAATATAATCCTATTATAATAATATGCTCTATTATTTAGGGCAAGGAGAAAGCATGCACATGTTGAAAATAACGCTTTAAAATAGCTGTCATGTACTTGTGACCTAGGACAATTAAGTCCATACCTGGATAAAGCCTAACAGATACTTTAAAATTGTTTTTTCTTAATGTTTTCTTCTTATTTAAAAAAAAAAAAAACGAGGACCCATTCATATGCCCAATAGAAGTCTTACATGACATTTCAAATTGGTTTTGGTTTCTCTACACTTATTCTTCATTCGTTTTTTTCTATTTAGAGTTTTATAACTTGTCAGGTGTGTGCTGTATCACTTTGCTGTTTTTGCAGAAAGTTGACTCCATAGGGAGGCAGCTATGGTACAGAGTTCCTAGGACCTGAAAATCTGGTTTTGAACCCCATCTCTCTCTTCAGCCAAGTCAACTTACTTCTTTGAGTTTAGGTGATAGTTGAATCAGGCTGTAAAAACATCAAATCCAAGAAAAATGGAAGAGAAATGCATTTAAAATATTTTTTAAGCCCAGTGGCAAATTCTTATGAGGGCTGCCTCATTGACACTCCATTTGTGATCCAGGAATAAACATTATAATGGATAAACACATCTTTAGAATCAAGTCATGTTAAATTGAACTTCAATCTTCTTCTAAAACCAATTATCTTTAAATCACATGGTTTTAAGACCTATATACAGCATCTGCACTTACCTTTGGGAGCAGCATGGTACCATAAATAAGGCCACATTGTTTTAAGTCCGTCTCCCATTTTTCTAAATGAAGTTGCTGAAACATGATTGTATGCTCCTATAGAGTAAATACATTTCTGTGAATTCATATACCATGTATTTGCACTTCAGGATTTAAAGTTCTCACAGCTTTACCTTGTGAGGTATAAAAAGTCTTGGGTCAAGGGGCAGGCACTTAAATAGTTTCCTGAATTATTCCAAGATGTGGCAAGAAAGTTTCCATTTCAATTCATCAGTCACTCTTTAAAAAGTGGAAGGATTTAACTACTTTTTGTGGCCTTCAAAAAGTCATGCATCTCAGTTACACACAGAGTGGCCTATTAACACTTTGTCTTCAGGGTCCTCATTTTCATATACTTTGTAGTCTTGCTGATGCTTACTGAATTTCAGTTTATATTGAAAACAAATACATAAAACCAGAACACAATGAAAGATAGGATGTGGAGTGAAAAGAGGACCAGGCCTGATTTGCAAACCATGCCAAAGCTGCCTGGATAGCAGGTGCTCCTTCTCTGTGAGATTAGCTCCATAGAAAGCCATCCATAATTGGGTTTCTTCATAGGGAATGTAAATATTTTGACATATCATACCTTACTATTGAATAAAATATATAATTGGTGTGTTTATTATTTTCTTTTAAATTTTTGTTTCATGCTGTGAAAGTCAAAATTAGAAAAAGGGTGGAGGGAAACCTCCTATTCATCACCACACCTTATCAGTCCCATCCTCCTCATGCTTATTCAATTCTCTTCTTTTTCATTAAAAATATTGTTGAGCATATGCTATGTGTCAGGCATTGCACTACATGCAAGAAGTGTTATAAACGATAAATGAGGTGTTTTCCCTGTTCTCAAAGAGTCAGCAGTCTGGGTTGGAACATTATTTTGCAGGTAGCTATGATATAGGGACCTTAGGGTATTTCTTAAGTGACTTAAGAAATTCACAAACAGAAGTTACTTTTAGAGGGCATGTGTTTGGGAAGGCCAGGGATGATGACTCAGGTCATCACGTCACAGACCCAGCTATAGAACATATGCTTCTTGTTCTTTTACTGCTGGTGGTATTTAATGACAATGAACACAGGCACAGCTTAAACACACAAACTTCTTTTATTCACCCTTTCCCTTCACCCCTTGACACAAAGCTGGAGGGGAGGATGGAGATCCACAGCCAGAGGGAACACTCCACCATCTCACCCATAAGCAGTGATTAGAAATGGAGGAATATCTCGTTTTAGCAGCCTTTGGATTTCATTAAGACCCTAGATAGGCCTCTTTCCATCTCTGGGACCCAGCAGTCTGGACCGTGGGTCTCTGCTAACCCAGTCTGCAGGAGGTGCATCATTCTCCTTGTTGGCCAGGTGAGGCTCACTGAGTTAAATAGTGGTCTTTATCAGCTGTCCCCAGCTATCTGTCTCTAGCTTCCTTCCAACCAATGGGTCTGTTATTAAAAAATCAAACCCAACCTTCTGTCATCCTAACAAAATTGGGCTTTACATTTGAGGGTCTGGGGACATCTCTGAAGGTGGTTAGTATTATGATGACTCTCTAAAAGAAGCCTCATGACGTATGATCCCAAGTTGATAATGGCAGGGTCAGAGTACTAAGGACAAAGTCATGTATTGCAATTCCATGTGGACCAAACTGTGCATAGACTATCAACATCAATGGAAAATTTCTCATCCTTGATTTCAGCTTTTGTTTCACCTCCTTCTCTCACTGGCAAGTTTATCAGTGCTAGTATTGGAGTAAAGTGATTGGTATGAAGCCTCACTTTTGTCTGTTATTTCTCTCAAATGGGTGAAGGTGTTAATGGAGGGTAAACATAATGAACAATCAAGAACATAATAAAGTTAGAGGAACAGCAGGAAGCTTGGATCAATGGCCCCTGGAAAATTGAGAATTGACTGTAATTACAATAGATCAGAAGGAGTTCTCCTATCTCCCAATGAGTTTTCTGCTAAATTCACCTAAATCTTAGGAGAGTATCTTAGTCTTTAAAGTTGAATGGGAAACTTTCCTTGTCCTGTAAAGGCTTCTAACATCTCTGTAGATAATAGTGTTACCCTTCTTAAAGTCCAAGCCAACTGGAGCCCTGCATAGAAGGGAACACTTTCTAACTATAAGGCATGATGACTTGCAGAGCATGCAACACCAATTGGAAGAAATAATATGGTGGGTTTGTTGTGGTTGTTGTTTTAAATTCTGCCTAAGACCTTTGAGGTTACATGGGGTAGAGCATGCCAGTTGAAAAGAAATACAATATTGTCTATTGTCATTAACCTAGTCCTTTTTCCATCTTTGTCGTCTTCCTCCACCCCCTTGCTCTGGGTCCAGTGGAGAACTCAGGTGATTCACCCATCTGCAAAATGATTTGGGCTAGGATACATCTTGCTTTAAATGTCTCTGGGAAACTTCTGAGGGTGGGGCAAGAATTCTGAGAGGGAGGAGTATTGCTTTTGATATGAAAACAGTTGGGATTAGATGAATCTGATTTCTTCCAATCCCACTGACCCTTGAGACAGATTGACCAGATCTGGCAACAAAACCGTCATCTCCATTGCAAAAGAAGGTGGCTTAATATCCCTACTGCATGACCAAATGTTTGCTAATCTAGTTTACAGCAACTATTAAGATTTCAAATGTACTGATATTACAGTTTTGCACTGACATTTTCCCCTTATGAATAGAACAAATCTTGTTACAAGGGAGACAGCAATGACCAGTATGGAAATGTTTAATTGGTTATCCCATTTTTTTTGGTCCCCTAGATTTCCTTCTCCTCAGACTTGGAGGGTGGAGGTGGGCGGGGGGAAAGGCAGCATTGACACTTTTCTTTTTCTTTTTCTTTTTTTCAGATTCACAAGAGTAAAAAAGACCTCATAGACAATAAAAGAGGCTGCCAGTGTCTTGCATCATTCTAGCTGAGCTTCTTCATTCTCCTTCTTCTCCTTCTTCCACAAAGACCCATATCTGGAGAAGGTGTACAACTTTCAAACACAAGCCCCCCACCCCCTGACCCTTGGCCTTCCCTCACACCATCTCCTTCCAGGGGATGAATCTTTGGGGGTTGGTTTGAGGTCTTAGAACTCTGGGGGATATTCCCCTGAGCAAAACAAACAACGTGAGATTTTTACTCAAACAGAAACAAAACATGAAGGGGCATCCTCAAAATCCTTTGCTAATGACCTGGCTTTCAAGGCATCTGTCTGGCCTGATGAGAATGGACATCCTGGATATGCTGGGAGAGGCCTGAAAAAAGCCACACACACAGTAATTGCCATTTTATGACTGTCAATGCCGTTACTTTAAATGTTGTCATTTTTGCACTGGCTACTGATGATACAGCCATGCTGACATTCATCACCGCAAAGATGATGATTCCAGTCTCTGGTTCCTTTCCTGAGTCAGGAACATTTGTTTTCTCCAATTTCCTTTCAGACTTAAAATTGTTCTTATGCTTTTTTTCCCACTTCTGTAATACAGAATTCTGTTTGTTTTCTAAAAAAGATTATTCTATAGGAATCTTTATTTGATGGCTAATTTATTTTCTCTGTGCATTCATTAGTATAAACCTGAATGTTCAGCTGGTGACTGTACTGTTGAGTGGGAACCCATTGTTTCCACTGGTAGCATTGATAACTAAGTGGTTACTGAAATTTTTACCACTGGCTGGACATCTTCTTTTGGATATCTGTGGTTTTATTTCATCACTCTTCTTTTTATTCAGTAAAGTGCTAAGGGAATTAGTATCAGGGAGATATGGCAGATAATTCTTTGCATTTTAGTGAGTTTTTAAAAATACAAGATAGAAGTGGATTAATAGCACGAATAAAAAATAAGAATAGTAGATGTAGCATGGAAAGAGAATAACATTGCAGCCCCCTTGAGACCAAATTACAGGTGGGATCTAAGGGAGTGCAAGTAAAGTGGGATTTTATGAGTCTAAATGATGTGATTTAGATAAAAGTGATTCTTAAAATGTGGTTATTGGTCACACAGGAATCTCTGAGTCCTTCCCAAGAGTGAAGCACATGAATATGCTGATGATGAAGTGGGGATTAGTAATAGAAAGAGAGCTAGGCAATAGGTTTAAGTGTATTCCCCACTACAGATTTAATTTCTACATGAAAAAGCACGAGAACAGATATTTAAACGTCCTTTTATTACTAAGGTGAAATATTGGCATTTTTTCAGGCAGAAAGAAAGAGACTGTATGTGGTCTTCCTGGACCTTTGCCTTGCCAAAATGTTCCCCAACAGAAAGATCTGAAGAACTTTGTAGTATCGAATGCACAACAGCATGCTGATATTTGAACAGATTTCTTCTGTCAGCTTTACATTTTGCCTTGGAGAAACACTTAGATTTTTCTGTTGTGCTCCCTGTGTTCATAACAATGACCTCACCACATAATGTGGCCAGAAATTCAAATGACTTCAGGGGCCTAGCAGGTCAAGTAAATGAATAAAGCAAGCCATGTAATATCACAGTCATTGTGGTAAATGGCAATTCATAGTGGGCCTTTGTATCAGCAAGACAGGAAGGAGCAATGGGGACTGTGAGAAATTGGAGAGGGTGGGTGCTGTCAAAACAGGGTAGTTGGTAGGCAGCAACTGAATTTGAGCTGTGTGGGGATGGGGGTCCTAGATACCTAGGATTTGATATAAGCTCTCTCCAAATTTTTACATATTGACAACTAACTCAAAAACTTACAAACACTGTGCTAATCAAATGAAACATGCCTGTGAGCTGCATTCAATCCATGGGGCATTGGTTTGCAAGCTATGTTCTTAGAGGTGGTATGATTTTGTATTGAAATTAAATATAACCAAGAGTATGTCAATTTTTGACCTTGGAACCTGGACCTTTTACCTCATTTATATTCTGTATTTTTGTATGTGGGGCTTTTTGGCCAGTCAAAATAGAAAGTCTACAGCTTCCATTTTATAATCTAACAAGCAACAAGAAACAACATTTGAAAAAGAAACAGGAATATAGCCATTTTTTCTAGCACCAATAAAAATGGAAATGTTTTTCATTTGCTTTAAGTCATTAATCAGCTGAAAAAGAATAGAAAGAGAATTTCATTCCATAAAGAACTTCACCTAAAACTCTCAGTGAAGCAAAACAAAACTCCATGTAACTCACTCTTAGCTTTAAATCTTTAAAAAGTGTTTCGAAGGGATATTGAGTAAAAATGCAGTTATCTATTAAAAATACAAAATGCTATATTATATGATGCTATGAATTGATACTGGAGCTGATAAAACATTAAAGTAATTATTCCAAATCAGTGCTGACTGCAAAAGCAATATTTCCAAAGCTCTAGCTTATTTTCTGCGGTCTTTTAATTCCCTTGAAATAGCTTTCTTCAAGTTGAGCAGCAATTTGGGACAAACATTATTCTATTGCACAGATTATGGCATCTTACTCTGGTTTACACACACAGAGCAAGGGCTTACACACCTGAATTAAGAATTAACTAGCATGTGGGGACAGCAATAGGGATAGTCCTACCACAGACGAAACCATGCGCTCTACACGTCCCTGGATAAAATGTGACAAGTTAGCCCTTGAATTTGGGTCCCCATGTCACCAAATAGCTCTATATTTAAGTTGTGTTAATGTGGTACGTTTCAGTGGCATAATGACCCATTCTTATCGAGGCCTTTGTTCCATATTTTATTTGTGCCAATCTTTCTTAGGTTATGAGCCCTAATAGTTTATGGCAGCAGACAAGAGACTCATTTCTAACCCATTAAATTCAAATGGACTTTCTTCCACTGTCCATTTCATTTTTGGAGCTGTTATAAACTACCGAAAACATTTGACAGGATCCCATTGTGGATCTGATACACTTAAACAGTAAAATGATATCTAAACATCTGAAAGCCAAAGAATAACCTAGTGCACGTGTTCATTCATTTGTAGAATTTAAGCCATTGTATTATATTTTCCACTTGGAACCATGCCTTTAGATACAAAAGTGTAAAGTAAAAAGCAACATTATCATGGGATGTGAGACGGTAATCCAAAAGTTGAAGACCAATTTTTGTTATCCATATTTTGGAAGTATGGATACTGTTTATTTTAATATCACTTCTCTCATGGGTCACTTTTCCTTAGATAGGTAGGTAGGTAGATAGATAGATAGATAGATGATAGATAGATAGATAGATAGATAGATAGATAGATAGATAGATAGATAGATAGATAGATAGATAATATAATATATTTTCTTCTTTCTTAACCTATGAGCAGAGACTTTGATGATGGAAATTACTTTGTAACATTCCCCATGGAGCCTAGGAAAAACAATAGAAAAAAAGCATGAAATCTTTTTCTCATAGTGAAATAGAGAAGATTCTAAGATTGGAAATCTGTGTATGTGGTGTTCTATCCCAAATAAAGAGAATTTAGGGAATTCAGGCAACAATTTTTTTCCTAATTGGAAACTTTGTTCTGATCCTGAGATGCCCACACACCCCACAGGAGACGCAGTGCTGGCCCACCACAGTGTTTGGAACACGGTCAGCATTCAGGAAACACATTCAAAATCGTCTAACTGAATTCCACTATCCACTTGTGAATGCAAACAAAATTCAAATTTCCCTGAAAATTTATTCAACTTCTATATGCCAAGCACACTGCTAAAGGCTTATCTTCTAAGTATATGCAGGCATACCCTACTCACACAAATAGCTTATTACCAGAGATAGGAAATTGCAGGTAATTTGGGAGAAATTGTCATAGCCAAATTTATGGAAAAAATAAAATAAAAACTTCTCTATGGCCTCTTGATTTAAGAAAAAAACAGAACAATACAAAAAAAAAAAAGCACTAAAACAGGATTTATCTGAGAATGTCTTTCCAAAAGGGAAGATGACACCAATCTATATAAAACGTCAGTGGATTTACTGAGAATCCGAGTGGAAACTTTTAAAACCTTAAACAGACTCTCCTACAGCAAATAGATTCTCTATGTGCAGCATGAGGAATCACTGCATAGTTCTGCTCCACCAATAATATGATTGGTACAGCACCAAACCATGGCAAAGTTAGATGTTAAAGAACATAATGTTGCAATAATGATGTTATATTGGATCTTATGCATGAACAAATGGAAAGTAATAATTTATCAACTGTGATCCATGATTAAAGGCCTCATTATCACTAAGAAAATGAACTTAATGAAAAAAATTATAATGAGCAATGACAATATTCCTATAAAACCTCCCTCTGGGTATCAAGAGACATATTACCTGCCAAGGCCAGATTTTACTTTTTAAGGTTTCCTCTCTCTCACCAAAGACACTAGTGGGCACAGAGGTGACACTAGAGTTAGAATGTTACCAGAGTCATTTGCATTAGACAGTTTATCTGATCATGAACATGTTCCCAGGGAGATTAGAAAAATGGGAAGCAGGCCTCTAAAGATCCTCCTTGGACATTTGTAAAAAGGCTGGCTGCTTCTCCAGGAATGTCTGAATTAAGCAAGAATTGTGCCACTGAAATAGCTTCTTGTTTTTATATTAAACAAGGAACGATTGTGCAGTGGATGACCTGGACTGAAAGATGTATGATGGTCAAGTTTAAACATATTAATTCCTGATTGTTTTCTTAAATACCCACCCTAGTCATTTTTTGGAAAATATTGCCAGACATATTTGACATGAATTCATGTTTATTCTGGCTTCTGTTCCCAAGCAGAAGTGGATTAACCCTGGCAATGGCTGGCTTCACTAACTGTACTTGCACCCAGCCTGGGCTGCCATCTGCTCAGCCAGGAGAAGCAGGGAGTGGGGTGTGGGCCCTTTAAGTTCGCTCAGGGCACACTCATTCAGTCTCCCCTGAGGAGACCTTGTCCCCCTTTGTGGGGTGAATGCTGGCTGTTGCAGGCCAGAGGCAGTGCCAACTGGAGACTCATCCTCTCAGCTTTGGTCAGCTTCAGCCACGTATTCTTCATGAGTGCTGGCTTCTGAACCTGCAGGATCATTTCTCAGTCAGTTTATGGTGCAGGGTAATTCATTTAAAATAAAGCCCATTAAAACCCCATGGCTATAGAATGGGTTTTAAATAGATTGTCCTGGAGACACATCATTGTATAGTCTTTGCTTCCCTCTCATGACCTATCTTGGAGTAGAATTTGTGTACTACTGTCCTTGTCTTTGAGTGGGTATATGTGTGATGGTACAGAAATACAGTCACATATTATATTAATATATATAGATGGATAGGAAAAACCTACAGCCATAGGTATTGTCCAATAACTGATTCTAGAGGTAGAACTATAGAGTATACATTTCCTTTTTTCTTGCTTTGATGATATTTTTATACAATTTTATATGCTATAAAATTTTCAAAAATATATTTGCTATTTTCATTTGTAGAGCTTGGTTAGGTTTTTATCAGCTCTTGTGCCCACTGTACAACCAGATTCCCCTCATCTAATTTAAATGTCTTCCCTTTTTCAAACTCTCCTTTATGTTTTCCTTTTTTTTTCCTCCCATTTTTCTACCCTTCACAAATTCCTTCTTTTGCTTCTGTCCAGGTAACCCATTCTGCTTGCAGTATCATTTTAGCACGTACAAACACAAAATAATGGGAAAAATAAAAGCACCTTGTTCCATGCAATTCGTATGGGAAAGTTTTGGGTGTCAAAGGTCGCTGGGGATAGATGGGGAGGCAGAAATAGCTTGGGAAAAGGAAGCAGGAAAAAAGGAAATCTTTATGGGAAATCAATTACCCAAAGCAAGGTGAGTCACCTAGAGGTGAATATGATGTTGTTATTGTCCTCCCTTAGTGTACAGCACAGTTTTTGCTCTCACAGGGTTTTTCTCTTTAGGATGCGTAGCACCCTATGCATTAAATACATAGCATCCTAAAGACACCCTACTCACCTTGAGTCTGTAGGCTCTTTCCTGATGAGGGCACTGGCCATATATGAATGGAAAACTCAACTCATCTCCTCAGCTTTAGATGTTGCTGCTGTTCAGCTGGATTTGTGAGAAATATCTGGATTACTATCAAGAACATTTAGCAAGACTCAAAAGAGAGAGGCAAGCAGAACCAAAACCCAAACCTCAACCAATGACTAGCTGAATAAACAATTCTTTGGAGGAATAAGGAAGGTATTTCTGGATGTATTCTGAGAATGCTCTTCCAAAAGGGAAGATGGTAATAATGGACTTGTTTTGATTTCATGGTTGTGATAGAATGTACTTCCATGATGTGAAATACACTTCTGGCAGATAAAATGCAGGTTGTAATTTGCATTTGTACATCACAGGGTAAAAGAATGGCCATCCATTCTGAGGAAGAGTGTTCTGTTCTCTAAGATGCTGCTTAACCAATGTTATCCAAATGCCATAGCATCATATCTCCAAATACAAGATTAAATCATAAGGATTCATGTAAAACAGAGTATACTGAGCTGTTCTCAGAAAAATTAATGATGTGTTTATTGTAAATCTTTATTGCACAGATGAGCCTGACAGTCCTTCAATGTATAATTTTCCCCCAGCATCTAGTAATGCATAAGTACTTGTATGTTCTTCTGATTACCAAATAAAAACAATGAGTTAACCTCTTAATTGGAATTGGAAAAATGAAAAGACTTTTTTTTCTTTCTTTGAATGTTTCCCATTGTTGTCCATGTTCTGTCTCAGATATAGAGCTGTCCAAACTCAGTCAACCATCTGTCTCTTTTGTATTCCCTTAAACGTCTCATAATACCCAGGCACCAAGTGCCTTTGCCTGCATGCTGAAAGACATACACAGAGTATGACTATATCACGTTTCATTTCACCTTTTTTGACTGTGAGGGATGAAGTAAATGGGTTATCAGAAGCTTATCAGAGGCATAAGAAATCTCAGCATTCATGGAATTAAGCTGGATTCCATATGTTTAATTTTCTTCAGGGTACAATGATATGGTTTTACAGCCCTGTGATGCTAGCTTTCTGAATTGCAAACTTTTTCTTTCTCCTACTCTTGAAAGGGGTATATTTGGCAATATTTTCCTGCTCAAGCCATGAACATAAGGAGTCTGACTAGGGAATGCAGATGTTCCTTGACTTACCATGGGGTCACGTCCCAATAAACTCATTGTAGGTTGAAAAAACTGTAAGTCGAAAATGCATTTAATATGCCTAACCTACCAGCTGTGTTTGAATCATAGCTTAGGCTATCCTGCCTTAAGCATGCTCAGAACACATTATCCCAGAGTTGGGCAAAATCGCCTAACACAAAGCCTATTTTATAATAAAGTGTTGAATAGCTCATGTAATTTATTGAATACTGTTCTGAAAGTGAAAAACAGAAAGGTTATATACGGTTTCTTCTGAGTGTGTATTGCTTGTGCATCATCATGAAGTCCAAAAATTTAAGTTGGGCCATCATGAGTCAGGGACTCTGTGTAGTCATTCATTACTCCCCTTTGTGGGGATAAAAGTGGTTTACATCCTTTATGGCATCCAGCCTGATGCCTTCAAACCGGCCTCAGAGAGAGAACCCTCTAGTGGTGATACTGAATATTACACAAATACCACCCCTTCATCAGGGCCTCCTGGTGTATCGTTTCGCATGGTATTATTGCTCTGATGAAGGCGACTGTGATGTTTCTCCAAAGCAGCCATGCTTGCCATTCACTGAAACATATTTTTAATTTTTTTCTTAAAGTAAAAATAGAATTTACTCAATTTGGAAAGTATCGACAGTATAATAGGAAACTTAAAATCACTTGTAATACCCCATCCAACAATTAATCATTGTAGATACTTTATTTTCTTATGATCTTTCGCTATGCATTTTTACACAGTTAAGGCCATATAGTATAGTTAATTTTGAATTATGGTTTGTTCACACAACATTGGATTGTAAGCATTTTCTTGTGAGTGTTTTTTTAACTTCTCCATTAATATAATTTCAATAGCAGCATAATATTTTATTCTGTGGCTCTAGCGCAATTTACTTAACCACCTCTCTGCTGTTGGGCAATTAACTTATACGCTTTTATTTTATTTTTTGCAGTTGTAAATAGCAGCAATGGAGCTCTTTGTACATAACGCTTTGTCACATTTCTGAATATCTCCACTGGACAAATTTCCAGATATACAATTACTGGGTCACAGGTTGTTAACACTTTTTTTAACTCCTCATTCATATGTCCAATTCAAGTTCAAAGCACATTCAAATATTTTGAAAGCCACATTTAAATAGCTTGTGGTGTTGTATCTCTGAATAGCTCTTGCTTTTAATCATTCTTCTTTGTGATGAACAGACATATTCAAATCACACGAAACTAAACCTAGTATTGATGGTGGTTGTATTGTGCAGGAAAAAAGCATTAAATACTCTGAATATGCAGCTCTAATTTATATACTCTTGGTTGATAACTCTTAGGGCAGTGTGTGGGGGGTGGGGGGTGGGGCGTTGAAGACCTCCAGACTCTTTCAGTGTTCCCACAGCCTGAAGCAGAACTTGGACTTTTACTGATGCTCTCTCTTCAAAGCTGTAAAGGGGCAAAAACGATGATTTGTTCTGAGGCTTCAGGCAATGGCTTGTTGCCCTGTGCCCCAGCCCAAATGGAACACAAAGAAGATGTTGGCAGATATGCTCAGCAATAATGATCAGAGGTCTGTGGGTATCAGAAAGGCAGTCATTTACAATATGCTAAAACAGAGAAATTGAAAATGGCCAATAAGTTGACAGAAACTTTCATACCTCAGCTTTTCAGCATCCTCCTCTGCCCTGTGGGATCTGGTTGTACTATAATAACATTGCTATTGCCAGACCATTAATAATGATGATGTTTGGTCTCAAGAGCTCTTAAATCACCCTTTCTCCAGCAGGCATAGGCTTGGCCAGGCTAACCCCATTTTGCAGAAGGGAAATTATTTGTTTGAGGTTAAGCTGCAAATCACTGTGCTTTAGCACTAACTTTGTGAAGTCCCGAGTCTTAGGTGTGCGTTCACCCTGAGGCGGGTAGCCTTAGTTGTCACTTCTATCACTGTCCTCTTCTCCACACTCTTGATGAATTGGATTCATTGCCCTCTAGTTGAACCAAACAAGGACATTAATTTGAAATATCTGAAAGCTATTCATTTGTCAAAGGATACCTCAAGTCACATAAGCTGCAGTGGTGACATCTCTGCCCCTAGCTGACGGATTGGGTTGTTTACTCCTTAAATGGCCACATGCTGTGAGTCAAGGGAAATGTAATTCCTGACCTTAAAGTGTTTATTTCCCAAAGATGACAGATTACCTACTTAGACACACACACACACACACACACACACACACACACACACACAAATGCACACGTGCACACACACGCATGCGCACATGCACATACACACACCTTTCTAAAACAAATAATAAAAACTGTGTTGTATGACACAGTTTGCTAAGCACTGTCATGTGTGTACTCTTACTTGATGCTCGCAATTATTGTCCTGACATTGATGTTTTCTCAATTTCATAGATGAGGAAAATGAAATTTAGCAATAGCAGCATTGACATAGTTGTTTGTTCATTTGCTTTTATTTTACCTCATTTATCAGATATTTGAGAATTCTAAAATCATGCAAATTTAATACATTGCTTTTTTAATGATTAAGTAAATGGAATAAAACCAGAGTCACAAAGTAGAGCTAGCATAGATGGAACAAACCAGGGCAAATGTTAATAAGCAGACGTGCAGTCTAAATCGGCCTCCCCTGATTCCTAGCATTATGCCATAAACTGGGTCTAAGCTTTCTGGAATCTTAAGTTTAAATGGAAATAAACCATTTACAAGATTCACATCCGTGAGGATGAGCACACCAGTTGTTTCAGAAGAAAGTAAGGCTTCCCTCCCGACAACTGAAAGAAACATCTCTGGGTATTCAGTGAAGGCAGTGTTTCTCATGGCTGCAGATCAGGCTCACCTGGGAACATTAAAAAGTCCTCATGCCCAGGTCCCACCCAGACCAACTAAACAGCATCTTGGGGTGAAGGGTCAGGTGTCAGCATATTGTTTAAGAACTCCCCTGATGATTCTAATATGTAGCCAGGATTGAAAACCACTGACAGAGTAGATTTCTACAATGAATCCAAGAACCAGTTCCATGTGGTGGGTGGTCTGAAGCCTTCTGTGTGCATCATACAGTACAGTTTAGAAGCTGGGTCAGGACTGGCTGTTCCCACCTGGTTTCTGATGTTCTTCCTGGACATGAGAGGGAGCAACGGAAGGGTGAAGTGCGAAGGGCTTTAGAAAATGAAACTCAGATGTGTTGGGTATTACTCCCATGAGTGGAACTTTGAGTAAAGTGATAGGTAATTTGGTAGCTTCCTCATGGAAAGAGATTTCAAGAACACATCCTCAGTGAACTGGAAGCCAGTGGGAGGCTGACTCAGAACCTAACCCCCCGCCAATGGCCCGTGGCAAAATCAAAACCAGTTTTATTTTATGTATCCCCGCCTGCTACCTGTATATGGCTCATGGTTATGAGAGGTGGGATGGCTTCATCCCTGTCCTGATATATTGGGCATCTCACCAAGCTAACAGAGAAAATAACAGCATTTCCAGAAGGCCTTGTAGTTCTGCTTTTTCACTGACTCAAGGTTCCCAGAGTTCCCTTACTCAGTGTTTGCAAAGAAGACACCAAGGGGATGAAAAGCTACCTCTACGAAAAGCTATCAAGCTGCAGGCTTTTGGAAGATTATAGTCAGTTATTTTTTAAAAAATTCCACCAAGCATTTCTATGAAATAACCTGGCAATAGCGTTTCTACAGGTAGCAACATTGGAAGTTTGTGGTCATTGAGCACTTTGCAGTTTTTCAGGTACTCATGTAGGCAACATTAAATTTGTTCTCTCAACTTCACAAGAGTATCCACAGAAAGCAGAATGCCACACTTTTCGTTAGTTCGACAAAAGGAAATTTCTACCACACAAGGTGTTCCAAGCCTGTTTGATGATGGGAATCACCTGGGCCACCTGTGAAATACCCAGGTCCCTAAACCTCGCCTCTGGAAGTGCTGGCTCCGAGAGCTTAGTGAGGCCTGGGAAACTGGCTTTGTTTTTCATTTTTGTTAAAATAATTGTCCCAGGTTTTTCTTCCTCTTAGACAACTTTGGGAGACTGTGCTTGAAGGAAACCCAGACAATGGGTTGGTTAAGAAGCAGCAAGAGTCAGGGGAAAAATTTCTTTGAGTTTGAACTTTGAATGATCTTGACTTAAGTTTTTCCCTCCTCCCACAACACTCAGTAACATTAGTCAAGTTCCTTAAACAAAATGTTTGGAGACAAAAATTGTCTTCAAATCCTGTAAAATGGGATAATTTTGTTGTCAGAATGTTAAAATCAGAAACAACAACAAATCTATATTTCACGGTGCCTACGTAATATGGCACCAGGGCCACAGTAACTGCTTAATATGTGGGAGTGACTATTAGCAATGACCAAGCAGCCAAATTGGGAACCACATCTCTAAATAAAAACTTGAAGCCCTGTCTGCAACCTAAAATAGAGATTCTCAATGGAGGGCACTTTTGCCTCTAGAGGATATTTGTCACCATCTGGAGGATGTTTATGATCGTCATGACTAGGGAGGAGCTACTGACATCTCATGGGTAGAGGCCAGGGACACTGCTAAACATTCTCCAGTGCACAGGACAGCCCCCACCACAAAGAATTGTACAGCCCAAATGTCACAGTGTCACTGCTGAGAAACCCTATCCCAAAGGTCAAATGAGACAAGTAAAAAATCTTGTGGGACACAGAGGCATTTCGGGCAGAGAAGGAACGGCTCTGGATCACAACATAAAAGACACAGATGTGCCCTCTGGTAGTGCCTCCTAATGGGGCCTATTTGTTGCACACCCAGGGTCCACCATTCTTTGTGTAAGATACAATGCGACGGGCATCCACTGGGGTTGTGCATTGTGGCAGCACTGGCTTTGACACAGAGTATCACTTTGCGTAAATCTTTCACCCCGGAGTGTCCAAGACACTTCATTAGACCAGTGAAGTGCCAGATTACAAGATCATCGTTGGAATCACCTGGTGAAATTGTTAAAATTCAAATTGCTGGCTCCATTCCCTGGAGATTCTGCTTCAGGGTCCAATCAAGGAGCTTGGAAGTCATATTTATAAACATCACCTCAGGAGTAACTGAGTTACTCAACTGAGGTTCAAGAACTGAAGCACAGCTACAGCCAGGGTTGGACCCTCTATGTTCTCCACCAACTCTGACCTTCAGGGCATCTGTGAGACCTGGAAAATGGAGAAATAAAGTCCCGCCAGATACAGTTCCCTTCACTTCATACAAATTAACAGTTTTTGTAGGTCTGAGCTATTTGGATTAATTTTATGTTTTCTATTTTTACTACTACTGCTGCCAGAAAAGAAGGAAAGAATAATAATGATTAACAATAACATTTGTTATTGTCTGGAGGGCATTTGTCACACAATGTCAGGATTGGTGCCCTGTTGTTTAAGATGAAAATGGGGCTGGGTGCGGTGGCTCATGTCTGTAATCCCAGCACTTTGAGAGCCCGAAGTGTGTGGATCACGAGGTTAGGAGTTTGAGACCAGCCTGGCCAACACAGTGAAACCCCGTCTCTACTAAAACTACAAAAATTAGCCAGGCATGGTGGTGGATGCCTGTAGTCTCAGCTACTCAGGAGGCTGAGGCAGGGGAATTGCTTGAACCCGGGAGACGGAGCTTGCAGTGAGTCGAGATCGCATCACTGCACTCCAGCCTGGGCAACAGAGCGAGACTCCATCTCAAAAATAAATAAATAAAATAAAATGGAACGATATCAAACGTCATCCAAAGTGCATGTCTCCACTCTTCCCCAGGGATTCTGGGGTAGGGAAAGCTTACCGCTCTCCCACTCACCTCCAACCCCAAGTCTCTGCTTCCTCTGACACTGCCCAGTCTTCAGATTCTTTTTCTTTTTTTAATACTAATTGTTTCTTTCTTTTTTTTTTATTATACTTTAAGTTTTAGGGTACATGTGCAGAACGTGCAGGTTTGTTACATATGTATACATGTGCCATGTTGGTGTGCTACACCCATTAACTGGTCATTTAACATTAGGTATATCTCCTAATGCTATCCCTCCCCCCTCCCCCCACCCCACAAACTGATTCTTTTGTTATCTTTATCAGTGACTATATTGACACATAGGGTCTTCTCAATCAGCACAGCTTCCACTTACACCAGGCCTCTGCATATAAAGTGGACTTAACTAAAAGTTTGGGAAGTTTGTGGGGACTCCTAACGGAAGTAACCTAACACTGACTCATGGATATCCTCTGCTGAGGAATTCTCTCTGCATTTCTGCCAGCTCAGACTGCAGGCATCTGCCGTGTTGCTAGAATCTGGCTTCCAGGCCTCTTCCTTCCCACTCTGGATGACAAAATAAATGAATGAATGAATAAATAAATATTTATGTTTATATATAAGATATGTGTCCATATATGTGTCTGTGTGTATATATTTATACGTAAATATATGCGTATGTATATACGTACACACCCACATACATATATACAAAAAATGTAAAATTTTTTGGCAGGACCTCTCAGTTCTCCCTTTGTCCCTTTATTCTGCTCTCTCCTTATTGATCCCATCCTGGGGTTTGACTTTTCATTGCCTCGTGACCCATTAAAGGGTTTATTAGAACAAAGATAATCCCCTTCCTCATAGGAATTCTGTTGCCAGTTGCTGGGAAACTAAGAAACCCCACTAAACTAGCATTTGTGAAGTCTCCCATTGTTCCTGAGCACTGGACACACTTTGCTTCCTTTAATCCTCACTGGAACACTTCGACGCAATTGTTGTCATTCTCGTCATTTTGCAGATGAAGACCTGAGCTTCAGAGAGATCCAGTTCATTGCTTGAGTTCCAATAGCAAGTAAAGCCTATAAGGACAAAGCAGAGACAAAACCCCCGATTCCCTCATTCTAAATCAGAACTTCCCCTTCTTCAGATAGTCCTCCATCCTGTTCCATCCTGGATGCACATTAGAATGAGGGGTTTTAAAAACATGAGTGCTGGGCCTCCACCCCTGTACTGTGGGGGTGACGCCCAGGCAACTTCCTATTTAGAAAACTTCCCCTGTGATCCTAAAATGTAGCATTGCTCAGTGGCACATCGGTCCCAACATATCAACCTTCCAGCCAGAGGAACTGCGTACTGTCACACACACAAAGGCAAAGGCGATGCTCCCAGCTTTTCTGGACCACAGAATATGCACCACCCTGCAACCTCACCTAACCTGCTTCTAAACATTGTTTTCAGACCCCAACTTGATAACATTTCAGATGAACATTTACTTGTCCAACAGGTTTTTCCACAATCCTACTTTTCCTTATCCTCTTTTTCCTCTTCACAGGCACAAAACAGCGTTCTCACGGCTCACCAGCCCCAAGCACCAGCTCCACGTGTCGCCTTACGTTGCCAGGTGGGTAAACAGCATTGCACCATTATCTTAGTGACCACAGACAATGGAAAGGCCTGGTTTCTCGGGAATTGGGTTGATAAACTGAGAACATGGCCCCATAGTTATCCAGTCTACTCACGTTATCAGAGAGCTTTGTCTCTGTCACCCTCATTTGTGAGGCCCCTCTAGGAATGGACATAAATATTTCTATAATTGGTTCACAATCGTCCCCCTCACCTATGGAAAGAATAGAATTTTGGTCCTCTTTGATGTTCATCTGTACATGCTATGGAAGGATCTGCCTTGTAGAGGCAGATCGTGCAAGGGAAGTAGTGTGAGTCTGTGGTGAGATCGAGACTCAGGTTTAAATCCCAGCTTTTCTGTGTTCAAATTGTGTGCCCTCACATGTGCTTCTTCAGCTTCTTGGAATGTCTGTTTTCTCATCTGTTTGGGAGAAGATAAGAATTAGAAATAATGCTTGTAAATTTAGCCCAGTATTGACATAGTGCTCATAATAATCTCTACTATCGAGAAATATGGAAGGCATGTATGACCTCTGTTCGACCCAATCTCACATGTACTGGCAAATCATAAGTATTCATGAGGATCAAGTATAATTATTGTTTAATATAAGGGGCACTTATTGATCATTCTGTCTCCATGCATGTGCTTACATTCTCAACTACAATTTAATTTTTATTTAATTTTAACGAGCAGAATTTGGAAAAGCACATCTGTTTGGGGCAAGGAAAGATTATAAAAGATAAATACCGTCATTGAAGAAAATTTAAAAAATGATAAACATAAGAAGGAAAAATGTTGCCAATAATGCTACCACTCAGGGTTAACCAAGATTACCTCTCCTTCCTGTCTTTATTAAATACTTTTTCTCTAGATTTGAATTAGATTAATACTTTATGTAGAGTTTTGTTTCCTTCCTTTTAAAACTTACCACTACATTATGAGACTTTCTTCATGTTATTAAATACTTCAACAAATATTTCAGTAATTGACTAACATTTCTATGACTATGCCACAGTTTATTTATATGTCTATTGATAATTTAGCATTTATATAACATGCATTTTTATAAGTGACCTTACATTCTTGTACATAAGTCTTCTGAGTCTGTAAGTACGGATTTACCATAGATTCCACTAAGTAAGATTGCTGGCTCAAAGAATGCAGACATATATAGGTTCCTGACACATTATTACCTAAGTGATTTTCAGAAAGATGGTATTAATGTATGGTTTTAGTGTGAGTTTGTCCATTTCATGATCCCCTTGCTAATGCTAAACATTATTTTCAATATTTTACTGATTTGCTAAGAGAAAAATGATATCTACATTTGGTTTGAATGTATCTTTCTATTAAAAAAACAGTTTTTTTAGTGTTAATTCACCTTTACATTTCTTCTTTGGGGAATTACCATATTTCATCCATTCTGAGAGGCACATTGCCTTGCATTTTAACCCATTTTGAATTGGGATGTTTTGCAGTCAATGGTGTGTGAAAATTCAATTAGCAGCATTTTTTTTTCTTGGTTGTACATGAAATAATAGTTCATTTTACAATTAGTGGCATTTTAGATGAAATATGACTTATGTCTGCCTGCTTTTGTAACTTCAATTTCTGTAGCTCCCTCACCCAAGTCAAACAAGTGGACTCCACATCCGCCGAATAACCCTTGAACTTTTCTTGCCTCTGTGAGTGCCTGGGATGCTCCTTATTCTCTTCTTCCCTTGGCTAATTTCTCTTTGTAGTCCTGTCAAAATCATCTAGGTGGAATTGACAGTGCACTACAATGGTTTGCTTCTAAGTCCTGTTGTACATTGATAGGTGGCTTTTTCCATGATGAGGACTGTCTTATTCCTTTCTGCCCCCAGTGCTGCCAAGGTGACAGGCACTTACTGGGTATGCATTAATGTTTCTAAGCTGGGTACGTGGTGCGTGAGTGAGCAGCCTCCCATTTAGTTTACGACTACACAGAAGGGAACCATCCTCAGAAAAAAAGGCTCATCTTAAAGTTTGGATTTGTTTCAACTCTACAGACTTGCTTTTGAGTAGTGAGTAGATCTTGTTCTATAGTTTCTGGAAGCCCCTCGCATCTCGTCTCTGCTTGAGGTTATTATGCTCTTGGGACTACAGAGTATCAGGAAGAAATCAGCTTTAAACCAAGCAATTCCAGTGTGAAGTGATGGTGTTTGCTCCTGACAAGGTCATAGCCTTGCTAGATCAGGTGGGATTTCTGAGGGCATCCTTGTCACCTCCAAGAATATGCAGAGCTGTCCTGGGACCCACTTGCTCTGCTGGGGACCCAGGGATGGCCACTGGGTTCCCAAGGCCTCTGACTCAGAATCACAGCTACCTTGTCTTTAGCCATCCAAAGTGGTCCCAAAAGGAGTGTCTTAGGCTCTGCATTCTGAGCATCTCCAAAGCCTACAGGGCTGTAAACCACAATCCTCTGCCCTACAGGACTTGAGAGATGGTCAGAGGTGGAAGTGGGTAGTTCTCAAAACACCAGACATAATTAATCTGTGTAACTGGTACTACACAGTGTGCAGATTGACACTACAGGACAGAAGCTGCAGGGCAGCTGTGCTTCACATCCTGAGGGGTGCACGGAAGGAGCTGGAATCATGCTTTCACTAGCAGATGTGCTCACCACCTCATTGCAATACCCAGCTCTCTACTTCCCTTCCTGCCTCAGGAGCATCACAGATGCCTCCCTCTGGCTTGTGTGCCATGGGGGCCCCTGCCCATGCATGCTGGCTCCTGCTCACAGCTCCACCTTACCATCTCATAGCTGTAGAAGAGATGACTCTTCTGAATGACCACCAATAGATAGAATCTTTTAAAAACCTTTGATTTTACAGCCAGTGAATGGATTTAATTGGAATTTTAGGGTTTTATATTTCTTCAACACCACCTACATGATTAGATCCAGTGCAGTCAAATCAATCTGCTGTAAGCTGATCCAATTCAGTCATTAGGAGATGAAAACATTTGCTGTGAATTCCGGTCAAGATGGTTGAGTAAGTTCATTTTTTGACAAACACTCCTCTGCTCAAACACACGCCAAGGTAGGTAAAATTATAATAAAAAAATATATCTTTTAAAAAAACTGGTGCCAGAGACAAACAACTCTGGGAACCAGAAAAAAAAAAAAGAGAGAGAGAGAACTGCAGAAGCCCTGGGACAGCTGTGATCCACATCCTGAGTAAGGAGTGGCAGGAAGGAGCTTGAATCCTGTGGAGCAAAAGGGACTAAAAGTGCTGCAGGGGACACTGGGAATCAGAGCTAGGGCTATAACCTGAATACAGGACATGGGGTGGACAGGCTAAAACAACTGCTGCCAGCCTGTTTCCTCCAAGCCACAGCTTAATAATATTAACAGGAAGCTGTTGGCCTAGAGAGATGGAAGGACATTGGGACAGCTTTTCTGCCAGACCGAGCTAGCTTTGGAATTGGATCTGCAATATGCCAATATGATTATAGAGCATTAGTCATAAAGTGCCATTATAAGGCTCTGAAGTGGAAGTTTAAGGGAGGAGGTGGAAGTAACTACAAAACTCTAGGCAGGCGAGAGAGAGAAAGAACCCAAAACCCAAATATCTTCTTTTTTTTTTTTTTTTTGAGACGGAGTCCCGCTCTTTCGCCCAGGCTGGAGTGCAGTGGCGCTATCTCGGCTCACTGCAAGCTCCGCCTCCCAGGTTCACGCCATTCTGCTGCCTCAGCCTCCTGAGTAGCTGGGACTACAGGCACCCACCACCACGCCCAGCTAATTTTTTGTAGAGACGGGGTTTCACCATGTTATCCAGGATGGTCTCGATCTCCTGACCTTGTGATCTGCCTGCTTCGGCCTCCCAAACCAAGTATCTTCTACTTGAAATTAGCCAAAATGTCACAGGCAACAAAAGAAGCAATAGATAAATTGGACTTCATTAAAATTAAAAACTTTTTATACATCAAAAGACACATGAATACAGTGAAAAGGCAGCTCACAATATGAGAAAATATTTTCAAATTATATATTGGGATAAGGGGTTAATATCTAGACATATGAAAGATATAAAGAACTCTGGCAGCTCAACAGCAGCAGCAACAACAACAAAAGTAAAACCCAATTCAAAAATGGCCAAAGGACTGGAATAGACATTTCTCCAGAGAAGATCTACAAATGGGCCAATAAGCACATAGAAAGATGCTAGTCATTAGGGAAATGCAGATCAAAGCCACAGTGAGATGCCACTTCACACCCATTAGGATGGCTACTATAAAAGACAAACAGCAAATAGCAGGTATTGGTGAGGGTGTGGAGAAATGTGAACCCTGGTATATTGCTTCTAGGAACATAAAATAACACAGCTGCTGTGAAAAATGGTCTGGCCAAAGGCAAAGTCAAGAAGCAGGGAAGTGCAGGTTAGAAAGCAAAGGGCACAGGTACAGGAGGAAGAATTGGTGCCAGTAGCAGAGTGTACCACAGAAATTGGCAACTGGAACATGAATTTCTTCTAGAAGAAGTTGATTTTTGGTGCAGGCTGTCAAACACTTTAAAATGTATTTAGGATACTCAGACAGCCAAATGGAGGAAAAATTATCCTAAAAACAATGAAGAAAAATTGTACAAACCCAAGAAAGCAGAGATATGTAAAAGAAGTGGTTCAAAATCTGAAATTTAAAAAAAGGAAGCAAACATATAGTCATTGCAATTTTAAAAAAGAGAAAACTATCAGTTGATAGTATAAGTTCAAGGTAGAACACAGTGGAAAAGTTAATTAATGTTGGAGGATAGTCCTGAAGACTTTACACCAAATATAGCATGGAGAGGGAACCATATCAAAAAAATGAAAGATCATGAACCATAAAAATCTTAGAAGGAAACGGCTGGGCTTGGTGGCTCATGCACTTTTGGAGGCCAAGGCGGGTGGATCATTTGAGGTCAGGAGTTCAAGACCAACTTGACCTACATAGTGAAACCCCATCTCTACTAAAATACAAAAATTAGCCGGGCATGGTGATGGGTGCCTGTAATCCCACTACTTGGGAGGCTGAGGCAGGAGAAACACTTGAACCAAGGAGGTGGAGGTTGCAGTGAGCCAAGATCATGTCACTGCACCCCAGCCTGGGCAACAGAGCGAGACTCCGTCTCAGAAAAGAAAAAAAATAAAATAAAAAAGAAGAAAACATAGAGGTAAATCTTCATGACCTTGGATTTGGCAGTGGTTTCTTAAACATAACAACGTGCAAACAACCAAGAAAAAATTAGGTAATTGGGCTTCATTAAAATAAAAAACTTTTGTGCTTTGGAAACCACTATCAAGAACGTGGAAAGACAATCCACAGAGAGAAAATATTTGAGAATCACATATCTGATGAGGATCTTGTATCCAGAATATGTAAAGAATCCTTACAACTCAACAATAAAAAGACGACCCAATTAAAAAGTGGCAAGGATTTGAACAAACATTTCTCCAAAGAAGATATACAAATGACATATGAAAAAGATATTCAACATTATTAGTCATTAAGGAAATACAAATCAAAACCACAGTGATATACCACTTCACATGCACTAGGATGCTATAATAATAATAAAACAAATGAAATAACAAGTGATGGTGAAGATGTGGTGAAATTAGCACCCTCACATGTTGCTGGTGGGAATGTAAAATGGTGCAGCCACTTTAGAACACAGTTTGGCTGTTTTTCAAAAAGTTAATCATAGAGTGACTTAAATGAAGTACTCATACATTTTACAACATGGATGAACCTAGAGAACGTTTTGCTAAGTAAAAGAAGCCAGACACAAAAGGTCACATATTGTATTATTCCATTTACATAAAATACCCAGAATGGGCTAATCCATAGAGACAGAAAGTACATTAGTGGTTGTCACGGGCTGGGGAGAAAAGAGAGTGGAGAGTGACTTCTCATGGATATGAGGTTGTTTTTAGGGGTGATGAAAATATTCTGGAATTAAACAGTGGTGATGGTTGTGAAACATTATGAATATAGGAAAAAACCCTCAAAATATATACCTCAAAAGGGCAAAATTTATGGTTTGTGAATTATATCTCAATAAAAAATTTAAAAGCATGGAAGATAGACAAATTGCCATAAACTACTTCTCTCAGAAATTTTAGCAGGATATGGAGAAAGTTGTGGGAAAGCAATATTTCAACAAAGAGGTAATAATTTCCCAGAAGTAAAGAAAGACTCAAATTCTTAGATGGAAAGTACATCTCCAGTGCCATAACTAAACAAAAACAAATTCATACCTAAAGACATTGAATGACATTGCCTAAAGCTACATCAAGGGTGAGGAAACCTTAAATGCTATGAGAAGCTGATTATGTGCAGGGAAGTTGCAAGTAATCAACTGACAGCAAAATTTGCATTGGTAACAGTAGAAGCCAGAAGACAATGAAGAAAATATCTTCCATATGCTAAGGGAAAATAGAGCAATATGTAATAGTTAAAATAGCTAAATTATTGCTTATGAGTGAAGGCACATTAAAACATTTTCAGGTATACAATGATAATTTACCACCCACAGACAGACTTTCATTAAAAAAAGTGTTAAGGCCAGGCACGATGGCTCACACCTATAATCTCAGCACTTTGGGAGGCTGAGGTGGGCAGATCACCTGAGGTCAGGAGTTCAAGACCAGCCTAGCCAACGTGACAAAACCCCATCTCTACTAAAAATACAAAAATTAGCCAGGCGTGGTGGCACGTGCCTGTGGTCCCGGCTACTCAGGAAGTTGAGGCAGGAGAATTGCTTGAACCTGGGAGGCGGAGGTTGGAGTGAGCTGAGATTGTACCATTGAACTCCAGCCTGGGCCACAGCCTGGGCCACTCCATTCAAAAAAAAAAGTGTTAAGGGAAGTATGTCAACAAGAAGAAAAGTGAACCCACAAGGAATGTATGAGACACAGGAATTAGGGGTGAGCACATCAGTAATTAAAACATGTTGGTAAATTTGAGTGACTAGTGACCATAAAATAACATCCGACTTTTGTGTTAAAATAGGAAAGAGAAGCTATAGATGGAAGGCGGGATGTTTCAATATGGACCTAAGGAGTGCTAAGATCTATCTTGTCTTTGGTCAGAACTACGTAATTTTTGTAACTTTTTAACACAAAGGATCATCAGTAAAATAATGGAAACATAATAGCATTGTTATTCACTGAATATTTGTGTTCCCACCAAATTCATATGTTAAAATCCAATCCCCAATGTTGCAGCGGTCCGTCCCACAGACCTTGATCCAACAACAGATGAATAACATACACTGACACAGATATTATGCTTGTCAGTCCAGCTGAGAGTCTGGGCCGCTTACAGACCCCAAGGAGAGTGCTGTAAACAGTGGCAACCGCAGCCTGGCCCGACTCACTGGCCTTCTTAGCATTTATTCAGCACACATTAAATGACAAAAGTCTCAAGTAAACACCACTAGAAGGTAATTACCATTGCCAACCCCCCAAGTAGAAAGCAGTCATGCACCTGCTGATGGCAAAGGTTAGTCTTAGGACCACATGATTAAACAAGCTATTTAGATAGACTCCTCTACATTCCAATGTTAATTACCCTTGCTATAGCTCAAAGAGGATTAGGCTGCCTTCAGCCATAACTCTATCCTGAGGCTTTTGCTAAAACCTTCTGGCCTTTCAAGAAGGTTTATTTTACAATTTTTCCCACCATCCTGACTGAACCCCCACACAATGTGATGATGTTTGGAGGTGGAGCCTTTGGGAGGTAATCAGGTCATGAGGATGGAGCCCTCACAAATGGGATTAACGACCTTATGAAAGAGACCCCAGAGAGCTAGCTTGGTCTGTTTTTACCATAAGAGGGCACAACAAGAAGTCAGCAGTCTGCAACCTGGAAGAGGAAGAGGGCCCTCCCTGGAAGCCAACTGTGCTGGAAACCTCATCTTGGACTTCCAGCCTCTAGAACTGCAAGAAATAAATTTCTGTTGTTTGTAACCCACTCAGTCACAGTACTTTGTTATAGCAGCCCAAGCTGACTAAGCCAAGTGTATTAGTCTTTTCTTGCATTGCTATAAAGAACTACCTGAGACTGAGTAATTTATAAAGAAAAGAGGTTTAATTGGCCCACAGTTCTTCAGGCTGTACAGGAAGCATAGTGGCTTCTTCTGGGGAGGCCTCAGGAAACTTAGAGTCATGGCAGAAGGTGAAGGGGGAGCCAGCACTTCATATTGCCAGAGCAGCAGGAAACAGGAGGAGGTGCCGCACACTTTTAAATGACCAGATCTCATGAGGAATCACTCAATATCATGAGAACAGTACCAGGGGGAAATCTACCCCCATGATCAAATCACCTCCCACCAGGCCCTACCTCCAACATTGGAGTTTACAACTGGACATGAGATGTGGGATGAGACACAGATCCAAACCATATCAGCAGGCACCTAAATCAACAAATGAACAACAATAAACGAAGAGAATGTATCAACTTAATAGAAGGCTAAAGGAAGACAGAGAAGCAAAGAATAAAGAATGATAAACACAAAACAAAATTAAACAGTAGAAATAAGTCCAAAAATATCAGGAATAACAATAATTGCAAGTGGCTTCAACTTGCTTTTAAAATATAGAGATTATTTGATTAGATAAGAAAGAAAAAATCCAGGTCTATCTTGTTTTTAAGAGATGGCACCCACAGACAGACTTTCATTAAAAGTTTTTTCATAAAAAAACTTTTGCCATACATTAGGTTTGCTAATGCATAGTAAAAGAAATTCTATGCAAAATATAAAGCTAGTTATTTGAAAACCTTCATCCACTTTAACATTTGTGTAGTATTTTATAATGCAAATATTCCAAAAGACATATAATCATTCTCCTATTAATGGTTGTCTTCCACTTTTTGCTATTACAAACAATGCTGAGCATAATGTCGAGCAAGTAAAGCAAGTTGCAACAAGATATATGCTTTCTAATACAATTTATATTGTTTCAAAACATGCAGAAATATTAGATATTTTGTGGATACAAATGCAATAATTTCATACATAAATGCGCAGCAATGATAAATACCAAATTCTGGAGGATGGCTTTTCCAGAGGGAAGAGAGTGAAGTATCATAGAGAGGATCTGCCGGGTAACTTAATTCTATCTGTGTTAATTTCTTTCAAAAAATGTTTAAGCAAATGTAAAAATTATTAAGATTTTATTAAACTTTATTGAGAGTATGGGTATTTATTATATCATTATTTATACATTTCTGTATGCTTAAATGATTTTATATTAAAGATTTTTTTTTTTTTGAGACACAGTCTTGCTCTGTCGCCCAGGCTGGAGTGCAGTGGCGCCATCTCGGCTCACTGCAAGCTCCGCCTCCCAGGTTCACGCCATTCTCCTGCCTCAGCTTCCCGAGTAGCTGGGACTACAGTCGCCCGCCACCACACCCGGCTAATTTTTTGTATTTTTAGTGGAGACGGGGTTTCACTGTGTTAGCCAGGATGGTCTCGATCTCCTGACCTCGTGATCTGCCTGCCTCAGCCTCCCAAAGTGCTGAGATTACAGGCATGAGCCACCGCGCCGGGCCCAACCACAGATATTTTAACATTTATTGCATATCTACAAATATCAGGACAACATTAGGTCCTTAACATGTATTATGTCATTGAATCCTCACAATAACCCTCTAAGGGAGGTACTATTATTTCTATTTCACAGATTAGGAAACTAAGGCACAAAGAGATGAATAGCTTACCCAAAGTTAGCAGGGGGCAGGCCTGTGCTCTTTTCTCTGAAGGTCATTGCCAATGGTTAAAGACTGATTCTAAATAGTCCTCACTGTAACCACTTTTCTTTCACACTTGTATTCTGCCTGGGAGTGAGATCAAGCTCCATGTACCAATATCAAGCACATTGTTGGGGTGTGGGAGGGATCCTGCACTATCTTTTAAGTGAAGACTCTGGTAAGTGTTCTCTCTGCAACTGTCTTTTACCTGAGTTGATTGAAGGATGGCAGTTGTCACTTACTGTGGACTGGATTGAAGCCTATCCCACTTGATCCAGCTTTGTTATGCAGGAGCTCTATCACCTTGAAGAAATGTATCTTTATAGGCTTCTTCTGAAATTGGCCACTGTTAGTGTGAACAAAGGACATAGGAGCTTCTGAATAGCCTTACATTTCCCATCTTCTCATGCACAAGTGGGAAAATGCACACGTTGTTAAGAAAAATACAGCAAAAGACTTAGCTTGCGTTATCTCCAAAATATGATTCTCCATTGAAACAACTAGAATCATGCCAAGACAAACAAAATGAAAACGAAGAAACACATTAATGATGAGAAAATTTATAACCACATTATAAATGAGAAAATTAAAGATGATCATCACCTTGAGGGAGTTCATTTTTAGTCTATTTTTATATCCTTAGCATTAAATCATGAAGTCACAGGGCATTTGATAGGAAGCCATCGTTTGAAAAAGAGCCGATTTTTCCAGCCTCATTTAAATTGCTCCTCCCCTTTCACCTATTTGTTCAGGGAAAGAAGGCTCAAAAAATATGTCTCAGTGCCTCCCCATATTATCATGAGACCAGTAGAAATGAGCTAAGATTTTAGCATTTGTGTAAAACAAGGACTCAAACTTGAAAGCTTGAGAGGAAAGGAACTTGTTGACATTCTTCTCAAGCAAACATGGGCAGCAAAATCTAAATATCAAGACACCGCTGAAGAAAGAGAGAAATATTCGGATCTGTAGATCCCAATCATCATTTCCAGCTTGTGTATATTCAAAGTGATTCATTTATTCTTTAGTAAATGGAAGATTTATGAAGGTTACTGAATGTGAAGTAGAGTAGTTTATTCACTCATTAAATATTTCTCACCACCAGTTAATACTGTGATTAAGTTCTGGGGATGCATATACTGCATACCTATCCTCAGGAAGCTGATAGGCAGGATTGAGTTATTTATGGAATAAGGCACAAAGAAGCTCCAAAAAATCCAGGGAATCACTGGCTCAGGAATGGCTTCCAATGAGTGACTCAAATAATTACCATGACTCGGCATAATAAACGCAACGTGTCTTAAGAATGAGAAGTGTCCTTGACAGTTTTCTAATGATTTCAAGATTAAAATTCAGGGACTGGAACTCCTTCCGTCTTGGTTGGTTATCTAAGGCATACTTCCCACTGGGATTTCCAGCACTCTTTGTACTTGAGGTTAGGTGTTACTCAAAGTGATTGAATGGGCTGGGCAGGGTGGCTCATGTCTGTAATCCCAGTACTTTGTGAGGCTGAGGTGTTTGGATCACCGCGGTCAGGAGTTTGAGACCATCCTGGCCAACCTGGTGAAACCCCATCTCTACTAAAAATACAAAAAATTATCTGGGTGTGATGTTGCATACCTGTAATCCCGGCTACTACAGAGTCTGAGGCAGGAGAATCACTTAAACCTGAGAGGTTGCAGTGAGCCGAGATTGTGCCACTGCACTCCAGCTTGGGCAACAGATCAAGACTCCGTCTTAAAAACAAAAACAAAACCAAAGTGAGTGAATGAACCACTATATTTTTGCATTGCCTAAATGGTTTAGAATGTGGGCTAGCCATTTTTCCTTTGCTTAAAATGGCACATAGTTTCAGCAAAGTGGCTTCCTCAGGTAGCAGAATAGAAATATATGTATATAAAATATATATATAAAAATATATATAATATATACATAATATATATATTTTCACAAATGCAGATTTTAAATAACTGGTCTTTTGTGAATCAAAGTGGTGTATTCTCTGCCAAATATTCACAAATAAATTCATTAAGTTAATCTCTTCATTGTGTGGTGAGATCTTTCATGTAATAAAACCCATCCTGTGGGGAATTATGTGACTTTTCTATATTGTAATAAGAAGATCCACCAGGGAGGGCGCTATCACGAGGCAGCAATGATGACCTTTTGTCTTCCTGTGCTGTGTAACAATGATGGCTGTATATCAAATACCTACAACATTCTGGGCATTGTGTACTGTGCAATGGCACATGGGTACTGCATATGCATATTCCCATTTATATTTCCTTTAAAATCCTCACCACAACCATGGAAGGCAGTTACTATTCTCATTTTAAAAAAGGAAGAAAGAAAACCAAACCCTGAGTGCTAGAACAGATTATTTACTTAGGATTTCACAGCTAGTAATAGCTTAGCTCTGTGACGTGCCCCAAGCCCATGGTTTTTTTCATAAGACCACCCACCTCTCCCAAAAGCCTCTCCATGGGCTCATTTTCCTGTCACAGACCTTAGCACTAAGATCCTGTCTTAGATCTATTCTTAGTTTAAGAATAGATTATCACCTTAGACAACACTACATCTAATGCCCATGGTAAGAGAGTAATTTTCTCTCATACCATGGGTTAAGTTTGCTAAATTGTGTTTCTACAATCTTAGCACATGGCTGAGGGTTGGGCATTCCCAGACAACAGGAACAGGGAGCAGGTTGGCCGCCCCATTATCCTTCTAAAGCTAAGTATAAACCAAGTTGCTCTCAAAACAGACTCAGTCCCAAAGCCAGTGGTTTTCAAGCCTGGTCACACATTAGGATAACTGGGCATTACAAACATACTGATGTTTGGGCTCCACTCCAGGGTGATCAATTACTTCAGAGACTCCTGGGGGTAAGGCTTGGGCATCAGTACTTTTCAAAGCTCCCCAAGCAATCTGATGTGCACCCGGGATTGAGAACCACCAGTGGGAGAAAACAACTTCAGGTTGCATGGAAGGTAGCAAAACTACATGGTTTATCTGTTTTCTATGGATGCATATCCCTCTAGGGATCTGGAAATGCTGGTTGGGTCATCTTTCCATACCATACTAGTGGCCGTTTGGTTCAGACAGGATCAACTCAGCTCCTTCTAAATAGCTTCTCAGACTGCAAGCTTCCTGTCCCCTGCATTCTTTGCTCTGTGTGATGAAAAAATGGAAGCCATAGAGAATTCAGCATTCTCACTTTCTTGAGGTAAAGTCCTTGGAGAATCTGGGTCTTTAAAAATGTAGGTAATGGGGACAGGCTTGGTGGCTCACACCTGTAATCCCAGCACTTTGGGAGGCCGAGATGGGCAGATCACTTGAGGTCAGGAGTTCGAGACCACTCTGGCCACCATGGTGAAACCCCATTTCTACTAAAAATACAAAAATTATCTAGGCATGGTGGGATGCTTCTGTAATCCCAGCTACTCAGGAGGCTGAGGTGGGAGATCACTTGAACCCAGGAGGTGGAGTTTGCAGTGACCCGGGATGGCGCCACTGCACTCCAGGCTGGGTGACAGAGCGAGACTCCATCTCAAAAAAATAAAAAATGTAGATAATGGGCTTAATCATTCTAGTTTTTAATATGAAATATACCTTGAAGAGTTTAAGAATAGATTATCACCTTAGACGACACTACATCTAACGCACATGGCACGAAAGTAATTTTTTGGTTGGGTTAAAGTTGCTAAATTGTATTTCTACAAAAGGAAAGGCTCTTATTAATGTGGCCTCACTATAAGGCTTTTGTGTCTTAGAGAGGCAAATAAATTCCCTAGTTGGGAAAGCATGCTGCTACTAAATTTTCCCGGCACTTGCAAATCTTCTAGATAGTTCCTAAATGTCTTCATCTGAGGAAAGGGATGGAAATTGATACTGAATGAGCACCTACTATGTGTCAGCACTGTGCTGGCTGTTTTCACATGTATGATATATTTTTATTCTTACCATTGCCCTGTGAAGTGAGTGTTATTATTTCCATTTTTTTAAATGGAAAACTGAAATAAAGTGTCCAAGTCCTATGGGGACAGTGCCAGAACTGAATCTGGCCAGCTTCCAAGGATGGTGAGGAGTTGCAAATAGCTCATGGAAGATGAAGAATGAGAGGATTGGAGAGATGAAGACAGTAGTTTTGAAACTCCAGTACAGTAAAATTATCTGAAGAGCTTAAACAATTCCTGAAGGCTTAGTCCTACCCTCATAGATTCTGCTTTAAGTGATCTGGGGTACAAATTGAGCACTAAGAGTTTTAAAAGCTATGTGGTTCCCATATGCAGCCAGGATTGAGAACCACCAAGTTAAAGAGTCCTGGAGCTTGCCTGGCTAGACTCCACTGGCCTAGAGTTTTGGAATACTTGTTAATATTCCAGTCTGGCAGAAGGGAGGGAAAAGATGAAAGCAGTTATTTAAGAGAACTCTTTAAGTCAGGACCTTAATGTAGTTACTTCCTGAGCCATTGCCACAAACTATTTTAAAGTGGGGTTAGGGGATGACTTACTTTTGTTTACAGGGAAGCAAGATTATTGCTTCAAAATTATTGATTATTCAAGGGTATTCAATAATCCAGTATATGACTCAGGTACATACCTAAATGTTAATAATATAAATGAGATACAATTTTGACTTGACTCTTTTATTATTGGTAGTTATTATAACTTACTCTGCATTTTGGTACAAGATTATTTTAGATATGGGAGGATAGGAGGAAGGGTGTGAATTCAGATTGCATGTGTGTGAATCCAGAATCAAGACTCCTTTGTGCTAACTGTGTGATTTTGGCCAGTTACTTTAGCCAAAATACATGCCCAGTACATAGTATCAGCTATTACAATGATTTTACCACAGCGGTTCCTGAAATGAAAATCACAGGATCAAATCTCATATTGTCCCATCCTCAGTGGGGCTCACGTTAACATTCCAGTCCCTTGCAGTTCAAAACTCCTGGATGGTTTTTGTGCATTTTGATAAGGGCTTTCTACCACAAACAGATACTGATTTTAGAAATAGAATGTATAGTAGAGTTTTTTCCTTCATGTAAAATAACATTTAAGTGGCAATAAATGATTATTTTAATTTCGTTAGTTTAGTATATGTGGTTTGGTGTGTGTGTGTGTGTGTGTGTGTGTGTGTGTGTGTACACATTGCAGATAGAAAGTGTCTATAGGAGAAAGTGCTTTTTCCAAATGTCATATCATAGCATTATGTTTGAAAGAGAAAAAACAGATATCCAACACTTATTTTTGTTTAAAACTAAGGCTACCAATATTAGAATTTACTCAAAAGCTCCAAGTAGACCAAATTATTGCCATTTGAGGTGATGCTCACCTGAAGAGGTTCAGAAAACCTCCACCTGAAGATACTGCTGCACTGCAGTGTGGGGTTCCAAAGGTCACACTGAAGTCACAGTGGATTGAAAGGACCAAGGCCAGTGCTATGGGAAATCATATTGAACTCAAGGGAATGAGGCCAGACCCAAGCGTGGATGAGGACTAGCGGCTGTTCTCTCTTGATTGCTCTCATTTAGTGGAAAACAACAGGGTATACTGGGTTAATGACTTGATATAGTGTGATACCATATGATAAGAAATTAATTCCATTTTTCTGAAGGCGTTTTCACTCTATAAGATGTCCTTGATAAAAAGGAGCTATTTAGCCAAATAAAATTGAGAGAAACTACATGCTATTGGCTGTTCTCAGGGATTCTTAATAGATGTTAGCATTATTTAAGGTGCTGGTAAGTCCTGGTGTGAAGATACTAGTTTAACTCAGTTAAATTTGATTGAGGAAACCCTCTCCCCACAACCACACCTATTACACAGCTTTGTTGAAGGGCACTTTGGTTTCCAGTAGACTAATATAAATAATCCTAATAGCTGTATTTGATATATGAATAAATGTGAACCTGTTTCCTGGAGAAAAATAATTCTGTACAACTGTTCCCCATACCAAAACAAAAAAGTAGCCACGAAGAAAAATGATGAGAGAGAGAGAGAGAAAGAGAGAATGGAGAGAGAGAGACAGAGAGAGAGAGAGAGAACAAAAGATAGGCTGGTTGTGGCAGTGAAAGGGGAGAAAATCATAGATACCTTTGGGAGAAATTGTTATATTTATGAAAAATAATTAAACAATTGAGAGTTAAAACTCCTAAAAGAGCATTGCTTTTATGAAAATCAAACATGGAGCATAATTATAAAATAAAGGACGGTGATGTATCAATTTTTGGCTTGAACTTTTGTTTTTCTAAGCATGTTTAAAAGTAATATAGATAATTTTCCCAAGTTCAGGTACTGTGCTGAGATATGTGCCTTTGTCACAATCTTCATTAACTAATTAGATCATTTTCTCCAAGCAAATTGTTCTAAGAGATGAGGCCAGACTTTTTTAAAGTATCCCCAAGGGGAAGAAGTGTCCAACTTGCTGATAATCAACCATTTATTTGTGGCAGGGGTGGGGATCCAGGTTTGGTTCTTCTCCACTAGTGGTCGGGGATTGTACGACTGGTTGGATTCAGCTGTGGGAAGTGCCCAGTCGTTGAAAGGAGGAGGGTCGGACCCCTTCCGATAGTTTAGGTATAGCCAGACAATTAATGAGGGTACCCTCAGAAGGCCATACCAGGACCCCAGAAGAATGGTCCACATTAAATTCAAGATGGTGCCCTCATGCCTGGCTCTGGTGTTTTGCTCTGTCACCAAATCACAATCCATTGCAGAGGGGAAAGGCAATGAATGCATACAAAACAGCAATGTACGAAATTTTCCTTTATCCCACATTTTGAGTGAGGGTGACAGCAGCCATATAAGTATTTCCACAAACTCAGTGGGGAGTCTACCTATATCAGCAGGTTCAACTCTATTTGCAGTGACTCCAGTGGCAAGGAGAGGTTTTGTTCTGACAATCAGAATCCCAGCAAATGGTAAATGTTTCTTCATGCTGAGAAGTGGGAAATTCAGTAATACTTTGGCTGAGTTCCTGCTGAGTAGTGAAATAGAATGAATATGGAGAGGGACGGTGACTTGAAGAGCAGTGAATCAGCTGGCTCAGACATTGCAACAATCTGCTTTTAAGCTGAAGCCCTCTCCCCTTTCTACACCATTCTCCAGGGTAACGGCACTGCTTTTATGTTTGTTCCTAGGCAATTTGATGCCATAATTTCTTGTTTACCCTAAGAAACAGAATTAAGCACTCTGAGATCTAATAAACAAACCTATAATAATATAGAAGAATATATATTACTATGTAACAACAGAGCCATTTGCTGCAACTCTTTACTTCACGTTAGGATATTGCAATGGGTGAAGTTGGCATGGGTATTAAGGAGCTTGTAGCCATAGCATAATTTATACCTGAACACTTTTTATTTCTGTGAGTGAGTTAAAAGTTTCGAAGGATCTTATTAGAATGGAAGCCCTATAAAGGCAGGGATTTCTGTCTGTTCTGTTCACTGTTATATCAATAGCACACAATAGGTACTCTAAGAAGTGGGTGAATAAATATTTTTTGAAGGCTTTTATGAGGCATACTTGGGAGTATGGGTACCTCATAAGTATTTTAAAAAGAGAAGTAGCATAATTTTTTTTTAATTTTTTTTACCATTTTTTAAATTATACTTTAAGTTCTAGGGTACATGTGCACAACGTGCAGGTTTGTTACATACGTATACATGGGCCATGTTGGTGTGCTGCACCCATTAACTCGTCATTTACATTAGGTGTATCTCCTAATGCTATCCTTCTGCCTCCCCCCACCCCATGACAGGCCCTGGTGTGTGATGTTCCCCTTCTCGTGCCCAAGTGTTCTCATTGTTCAATTCCCACCTATGACTAAGAACATGCAGTGTTTGGTTTTTTGTCCTTGCAATAGTTTGCTCAGAATGATGGTTTCCAGCTTCATCCATGTCCCTACAAAGGACATGAACTCATCCTTTTTTATGGCTGCATAGTATTCCATGGTGTATATGTGCCACATTTTCTTAATTCAGTCTATCATTGATGGACATTTGGGTTGGTTCCAAGTCTTTGCTATTGTGAATAGTGCTGCAATAAACATACGTGTGCATGTGTCTTTATAGCAGCATGATTTATAATCCTTTGGGTATATACCCAGTAATGGGATGGCTGGGTCAAGTGGTATTTCTAGTTCTAGATTCTTGAGGAATTGCCACACTGTCTTCCACAATGGTTGAACTAGTTTACAGTCCCACCAACAGTGTAAAATTGTTCATATTTCTCCATATCCTCTCCAGCACCTGTTGTTTCCTGACTTTTTAATGATCGCCATTCTAACTGGTGTGAGATGGTATCTCATTGTGGTTTTGATTTGCATTTCTCTGATGGCCAGTGATGAAGTTAATCTGTATGCTGTGAAAAGTGTACTCAGCTATGGCTTGTCTGAGATGTCTAGTACTAAGGTCCAAGGTGAACTTGGTTTGACTGATTTTCTCTCAGGTGTGATTTCGTAGAATAACTCTGATAGATGATTCTATAGAAGAAATGTTTACTAGTATGTTTCTTTTTTAAAAGTTACATGACTAGAACATGATCATCATAGAAAAATTAGAAAGTATAAACAACCAAAGAGATAAAATAGCCATGTTTATGCTACTCAGAGATAACCACTGCTATGATTTAAATGTATGTTCTTCCAGATTTTCCTATGCACATATGTTTATATTTTCTAGTAATGAGGTTAGATAATATATCCTGCTTTTTCATTTAACACCATTACATGAACCTCTATTTTTGTTAGTAGTCATCTGTATCATCTTTCCATAGTATCACAGTAGCATATTCTAAGAATGGACCAGAATTTAACCAATTCCCTATGATTGTTCATTTAAGTTGTTTCTCATCTTTTGTTTGGTCACAAGCACCATGCATGTCCCTGTTATTGGAAGAGATGTGCAGAGCTGGTTTTTCACAAGGAAGCCTCAGGCATTGGACAGATGGGTCCCTGACCTTGGCCCTTCCAGCAGATCCACCGTGTGTCCTGCTCCTGCACTGGCTTTTTCAGTGACAGTGGAGGAGCCTGCAGGGAAAGCCAGTGAGCAAGGGTTCAACTGGCTCTGTTTCCTTGCACTTTCACCTAGTTATTATATCTCATCTGTTTTTGATGATCATTTGACTTGTTTTCACCTTTATTCATGTTGACATTATCTCACTGACCAAACACTTTCCAGCAGAACCTAGAAGGGATGAGGTGGGGGCTGGCACAGAGAGGAGCAGGGGGAGGAAAAGTCAATGAGTATTTTACCTTCTATGTCTAGATCTGCAGATTAGATGCTGTCCTTATTATTATTAATTATTATTATTATCTGAAGTTCCTACTTTATTTAAATTTCCCTACTTGTTACCCAGTGTCATTTTTCTGTCCCAGGGTCCCATCCGGGATAACCCATTACTTTTAGTCATCAACTTTCCTTAGACTTTTCTTGGATGTGACAGTTCCTCAGACTTCCCTAATTTTTGGTGACTTTGACAGCTTTGAGGAATACCTGTCAGATATTTTGTGGAATATCTCTCAATTGGAATTTATTTGATATTCTTCATTTTTAGAATGGGGTTATATATTTTTGGGAGGAAGACTCCAGAAGTAAAGTTCTATTTTCATCACAAAATATTAATTTTCATCACATGCCACTGGTGTCAACCTTGATCCCCTGGAAGAAGTGTTTACTAGATTTCTCTATATAAAGTTACTCTTTTGTCTCATATATTTATTTATTTATGAGAAGGAGTCTTGCTGTGTCACCAAGACTGGAGTGCAAGTGTACCATCTTGGCTCACTGCAACCTCCACCTCCCAGGTTCAAGCGATTCTCCTGCCTGAGCCTCCTGAGTAGCTGGGATTACAGGTGTTTGCACCAACCACCACACCCAGCTAATTTTTGTGTTTTTAGTAGAGATGGGGTTTCACCATGTTGGTCAGGCTGGTCTCAAACTCCTGGCCTCCAGTGATCTGCCAGCCTCGGCCTCCCAAAGTGCTGGGATTACAGGCATGAGCCACCGTGCCAAGCCTGTCTCATATTTTAGTCTGTACTTTTTGGAAGGATGTCACTTTGTCCAATCCATACTAAGGGCTCCTTCTCCTTAAGGGAGGCATATGTATATAAATTATTCTCCCACAATTATTTATTTATTCAATCATTTATTTATATCAGTGTGGACTCATGGATATTTATTTTATACTTCGGGTTAAAATGCAATACTGCCTTGTTTATTTTGTTGCTCAATTTGATTCAATTTTGATCATTCAGTAGATCTTTCATTCAGGGCTCCTTTGTCTATTGTTGTATTTGTTTTTTGTTTTGTTTTGTTTTGTTTTTTTTGAACACTTCAAATTTTCTGGCTCTACAAGATGCTTCAGGTACTTCTTGTATATTTTGTGTCCGAGTTCTGGAATCAGTCATTTCTGCAAGGAGCCCTGGTTTCTGCTATTAGCAAATGGTTTTAGAAACCAAGATCAGGGCAGTAGATGTGCTTATTGCTGCTGAGACTTCTAGATTTGTAGTGACTTCGTTGGTCCTAGACCCCCTCCCCTTCAGCTGATAGAGCAAGACAATATATGTGTGAATGCCAACTCATGTACATACACATATCTATAAGTATTTTATATATAATCACCTGTATCTCTATTAAGCTAAATATTAATTCATATTGATATAATCAAGTTCATTACCACATGGACCATTCTAACCTCCTCCAACATTTCTCACCATCCACCCTCTGTTTACGTAATTGTTGAATTCTGGTATACATGTAGAGTGGTCTTAGAGTTGATAACCAATAGCCCCATGGGAAACAATTTTATCAGCTAGAATAGAGTGCTTGTGTACAGCTTCTTCGGCCTTTAGTCTTGCAGATTCTGTTCATATACAAGGTTACTTCGATGACCGTCTTGTCCCCCACTCTTCAGTGAGGTTGTTTCCTACATTGGCAATGCATTTACATTGTCTTGTTACAATTTGCATTTCATTCTAGGATTCCTCCGACCTCTTAAATAGTTTTTTTATTTGCATACATTAAGGATTATTCTATGTGCTATAAAGTTGTATGGGTCTTGACAAATGTGTAGTGTCATATATACACCACTACAGTATTGTATGCGAGAGTTTCACTGCCCTAGAAATTCCCTGTGCTTCACCTATTTAACCATCCCTCCTCTTTCCAAACGCCTGACAATCTCTGATGTTTTTATCATCTCTATAGTTATGTCCTTTGAAGAATGTCGTATAAGTGGAATCATATGCTATACAGCCTTTACAGACTGACTTCTTTCACTTAGCAATATGTATTTAAGATTCATTCATGTCTTTCCATAGCTTGATAGTTAATTTGCTTTTTATCACAATGAATAATATTCCATTGTATAAATGTATCACAATTTGTTTATCCACTCAACTATTGAAGGACATCTTAGTTGCTTCCAGCTTTTGGCACTTATGAATAAAGATTCTACAAAAATTCATGTGTGGGTTTTTATGTGGACATACATTTTCCATCAATTGGGTAAATACCTAGGATGCACAATTGCTGCATTGCATGGTAAGACTATGTCTAGCTTCATAAGAAACGGTCAAACTGTCTTCCAAAGTGGCTGTACCATTTTGCATTCCAATCAGCAAGAATGGGAGTTCCCATTACTTTACATCCTTGCCAGCAATTGGTGTTGTCAAGTTTTTTAGATTTTAGCATTGTGGAGGTGTGTAGTAGCATATAGTTGTTTTAATTTGAAATTCTCTAATTGTTGAGCATTTTTTCCTATGCTTATTTGACACATACATCTTCCTTGGTGTGAAGTCTGTTCAGATGTTTTGCCCATTTTAAAATTGGGTTGTTTCTTTTTCTTGAGCTTTAAGAATTCTTTTTATATTTTGAATACAAGATCTTTATATGTGTTTTATAAATATTTTCTTAATGATGCACTTTTAAGTATCCCTTGGGGATTGAGTGCCACTTTCCAAACACTAAAAGCTTACATACAATGCTAAATGCTGTTAATGATATACCTGTGTTCACCTTGTTTGCTTTGCTGTTCCCAGAAATGACCCCAATGCTTCCTCTCACTCCCTTAACCCCATCCATTCATTGTCAAAGGACCTTTATGTACTGCAGTTATCACTGTATCTCTAGAAATTTCTTCCATTTATTTATTTTAACTGAATGACCAAGGTGGTAACGTGCTTATTCATCTATCTGCCATAAGGTTTCCAGGGAGAATCCAAACTGCTTCTTTCCTGGTCTTGGAGGAAACAAACAGGTCTAGAGGAAGTTGCTCACAATATTTAGGTTGTGGCATGTCGTGGGTGAGGCTAACCGTTGTCTGTCTTCCTTTCCATGGCCGCCAGTCATCAAGCCTCCTTTGCGTCATTTTAAACGCCCTGCTTACGCATCTAGCTCCTATGCACCTTCAGTCTCAAAGAAAACTGATGAGCATCCTGCAAGGTACAAGATGCTGGATCAGAGGATCAAAATGAAAAAGATTCAGAACATCTCACATAACTGGAACAGAAAATAGGCCGAGGGGAAGAAGAGAGGGAGTGAAGGAGGGTCTACCTATCTGCTTCTCAGCACCCACTGGCCACAGCAGGACACACCTCCAAGACCCTTGGAGGCTGTTGGAGCAGGTACTATCCTGGTTGACTCCACCAAGGTGAAATGAAAGTTGTATGTGATTTTCCTCTTTGTTGTTCTTGTATAGACTTTTCAATTGCTGTATGTGGGATCAGCCCAGACGCCAGCAACAAACTAGCAAGAGGGGTGTTTTTATGGTATAAGTCTCTAAAAGTCTAAATTGGACCAAAATTAAAATGACACAAACTTAAAAAAAAATAAAATTCCTCTCATTGCCACTTTTTTCAATCTCTAAAAGTTAGTTGCCCCCAAAAGAATATTGGTTTAATAATCATCATATTTAAGAAATGCACTGATAAAAACATATTTTCCAATTTTAAATACACCTATTTAAAATGTAAATACACTTATTTAAAATTCAAGTAAATATGTAACTATCAAAGTAAATGTATTCAAAACAGAAGTTGTGCTTCTGAATGTAAAAATATTAAAAGGAAGAGAAGACGGATGAATTGTTGTATTCATGGACATTTCAGAATTCACGCTTATAAAGCAAATCCAAGTTAAAAAACAAAAAAAGATTTTTGTGCCTCATGAAGATTGTGCCTCATGCCCAATAACCTCATGTACTTTGAAGGATGTGAAGGTTTGCAAGAGATGCATTTGGCTTCATTTTCCTCTAATCTTTTACTTCTACCCACAGTAGATGATACAAAAAATCTTGCCTTAAAGACTGCAGGTTTAAGAGTCATTGCAAAAGATGTCAGTTTGATTTTGTGGTCCTAGGCCAAGAGGGTGTAAAATTCTGAGCCTAGTTTAAATTCTTTATTTTCAGATTGTTCTGGACTGAAAATAAAGAATTTAAACTAGGCTAGAGATGCCTTTAAGTTACATTTCAGATCCTCTTCACAGCACGCTACATATCTAAAGCCCTTGAGATCCTGATTGTTCTCACAGTTGTTGGTGGAATCCATAGTTTTATAACTCACCTCTTTTTATGGTGGCATTGTTAGCCCTTCTGTGTCTCTCCCTAGGATTTTTAATTCAGGACTAAAATCACAGAAGTAGCAAGGAAAGGCTCAAGACTAGAGATAGCTTTCAATCTCTTCAGAAATAGCCTGGTGCAGTGAGAAAACTAGGTTTGTTTTCAGGCCAGTCTGATCTTCATCCTATTCTGTCTATAACTAGTTGCAGGTCCTTGCTCGGATGGCATAATTTTTTGATGCCTCCATTTGCTTAACTAGAAACTAGGATTCATATACACACTCTGCACTTTGTATTGAAGATTAATGATAATGTAGGTTTTGGTTGCTGTGGCTGAGCCTGGCCAGTAATAGGTGCATAACAGAAGTAGCTAAGAGCATTTCATAATCAGGATGAACTCTCCAGGACAGCCCTACAAAGAAGGAGCTGTTTGTTCCCGGATGGCCTCGACCTTCCAGGCTTGATTGTAAAGAGTTTAGTGTCCTCTCCTTCTCTCATTCCCTGCAGTTCATTTCCAATAAACTGCAGTTATTCAAGTTGAGCAAGTTCCGGAATTTAGTGCCTACCATGCTATTGGGCAGTTTATTTATAATGTGCTTTATGATGATACTTCAGAGAAATTTAATTGCTATACAAAAAGACGAATCATTGTGACTTTTCGTTAAGGAGGCGATTGCAATTCTTTGCTCCCTGCCTGGTGTCTGGGTTAGAAGGCCCTTCTGCAGGCTGGTAGTGTCTGTTCCACCTGGATTAGGTTAACTCAACAGGTAATTCCTATCTGTTTATACACAGATGCTTTAGCGCTTGCTGTACAAAGTCATTTGGCTACACACTGAGGAGGCCCATGGGAGTAGTAGCCTCCTCAAATAATGTTCCCTACCTATCTGTCAATACCTTCCATCTTAGGTATTGAGAATTTAATGAGGCTGTGTTTTCTTGGCTGTGCTTCTTGATGTTGGAAGCCATGTTCCTGGGGAACAAATCTGTATTCTTTTCTCCTAAGATGTGAGTTTTTTTCAACCTTTGCTAATATTTTAATGGAGCAAATGTACAGATGTTGAGATTTTGCACTGCTTATAAAATGCCTACCATGTTTTTTGCATAATGGATTGTATAGAAATGCAGATTATATTCTTACAGCAAATAAAAAGATGCTTTTAACAGACTTTCTTGTATGTGAGCCATTTTCTTCTCTGAAATTCCGGGATGTTAGATGTTAGCTAAATTTGCTGCTGTTCAGCCCTGAACATCTTGTCAAGGTGAATAGTATAACTTACCCATTTCAATTTTCTTCCTTATTGTTTAGGTGGTAGTTCATTTTTTAACCTTTTTCTCCCTATACACCCAGTAAATAAATTTGTTAATATAAATAACCCATAATAGAGTTTAGTCAGCAGGTGAACACCTGTATTATCAACTCAGTTTATATCATTCCAGACCAAGCTATCTTGCTAGTGGTTAAGAATTGGGACTTTGCGCAGCTACTCAGGAGGCTGAGGCAGGAGAATGGTGTGAACCTTGGAGGCAGAGCTTGCAGTGAGCCGAGATCACGCCGCTGCATTCCAGCCTGGGCGACAGAGCGAGACTCCGTCTCAAAAAACAAAACAAAACAAAACAAAACAAAAAAAACAATTGGAACTTTGGAGTTTAGAAAAACTTACAATTAAATCCTGACACTGCCTTTTGTTTGCTCTGGGAGCTTTACTAAATTGCATAATATCTCTAAACTTTAGTTTCTTTAGCTGTAAATTGAGAATAATAAGAATTCCTGACTCATTATAGCACAGGGCTGGCCTTACAGCAAGGGCTCAATAAATATTAGCTATTATTTCTTGGACAGAGAGTGGAGTATGGTAAAAAGAAGTTAGGCCCTGAGTTCAAGGGTAATGTCCCTTACTAATTCCATGACATCAGGTAGATAATCTCCAACTTCAGTAAAAAGGAGTTAATTTCACCATGTATTACCCATTTAGCTATTCCCACAGGCACCAGCTTCTGACATCCCCACCTCCAACAATTTCTCCACCTGTATCCCCACGCCCTTGGCCTCCTTGGGCCTTCATCTACTGTGGCCGTCTCTTGCCCTCATGACTGACTAGGACTCTCCCACAACCTCCCTGAGACTTACTTCCTGCAACCACTGCCCTTCACTCTGTTCCTATTTACCCTATCTCCTTCTCCACACACAATTAATTGCTTTATTCTTCCAAATTTCCACTAACACAAGTCAACTGCAGAGAGCAGACTTTTCCTAAAGGTTTAGGATGATAGCACAGCAGAATCAACTATTTAAAAATTTAAAAATTAGGGCCAGACGGGGTGGCTCATGCCTGTAATCCCAGCACTTTGGGAGGCCAAGGTGGGTGGATCATGAGGTCAGGAGTTCGAGACCAGCCTATCCAATATGGTGAAACCTGTTTCTACTAAAAAATACAAAAAATAGCTGGGTGTGGTGGCACGTGCCTGTAGTCTCAGCTACTTGGGAGGCTGAGGCAGGAGAATCACTTGAACCTGGGAGGCAGAGGTTGCAGTGAGCCAAGATGGTGCTACTGCACTCCAGCCTGTGCGACAGAGTGAGACTCTGTCTCAAATAAAAAAAAAAAAAAAATTAGACAACAGCGACCACAAAATATCAGCCTCCCTTTGCAGAGGATTTCTCACAGGCTGTGGATTCCCGAAGCACCGATTTGTCTGCATCTTCTCGCCCTTCTTCTACCAAGACCTTTCTCCTCCCCTGTTGCATTCAAATTCCTGTGAATGTGCAGCATGGTCCACTTCTCACCCCCTACACCACACATTTTCAAGGCGTAGAAGCTCACCACATTTTTTCAGCACCACATATTTTCAAGACATGTGAGCTCACCCTGACAAACAATGGGCATTGACTCTGGGTCACACTCCTATAAGCACAAAAAACCCATAGCAGATTTGAAATGGCAGTGTTTCCCTTAAACAAAATCCAATCCTTAGGGCAAGACCAATCCACGTAAGGAAAGAACCCAATAAATATATCCTTTCCACTTCCACCACCACCTCTCCTGCCCACCCCACTTGACCCTGCCCAGGAGTTCTGCTTGTTTATTTTTTTTTCCATTCAGTTATAATATCAACCTCACAAAGGTAGGGCAGTGACTTTCATTTATAGGTGCTTAGAGAATGCAAATTCTCTTGTCTTCCTACCTTTTCCTTCTGCAAGCCAGTTAAGCCTTATCATGAGCACAGCCACCAAGCTTTTGAAATAGAACAGACACTCCAGCATCCCTCTGTTAGGATTTCTTGTCCCTGCAGGATAGAAGGAGAAGGTAGAGATGGTTGATAGCCACTATTTTTTAAGTCTAGGATTTTCATCCAAATCTCTCTTCCTTAGATGAAAGGCCACTTGTACATCAGCAAGCTTTCAGTTTGTTTTCCCATTGGCTGCAATTTCACATGATCAATTATATTCTCTTTGATCCATTTTCAATTTAAAAGAAATCTCTGTTGGAACAACATGCTGATTTATTGAGAGTTTGTCAAATTAGGTTGGAACTGGGGATGCCCTGGGACTGAGGGTGGGAGTGGGTGAAGGCTTCATGACTTGGCCTCCAAGCGTGGCCCTGATGTAGCCTCAAGTGCCGTCAGCAAGGCCAGTTGAGGCAAGAGAAGGCCCTGCATCATAGATGGTGACAGTAGGCCTTTGCTAGTGGTTTTATTTTTAAGACTGATCTAGGAGACTTATGAGTATTCATTATACTTTTGTTACATTCACAGAACATGAAAAGCTGCTTTTGGGGAATAACAAGTGATAATAACTGTGGAATACTCTCCTCATCTGCATATTTTAACTTCACATGTTCATATTTTAACTGCATCTTTAACTCATAATGTTCAACTTGGGTTCTCTGTGAATGTTCACTGGCATGCTTTGTTTTGTACACCTGAATAAGAGATTCAGCTGAGCCAAGCTTATAGAACCATCTCGTCTAGATATCAGTCATTATGGAGACAATGCATGTATGGTCATTGCCCTTTTAGCAGCATCTCTTATGACTCACTAGGTAAAGAAAGATTCCAAACTTTTGTAAGACACAAAGGTAAAAGGATACTAAATAAATATAACAAGAGAGAAAAATATATGTGATTGTGAAACTGCCTTTGCAAAATTATGACAGTAAGAGAAATCTGACATAGTTGATTCCCTCTTGCTTCTGATCTCCAAGCTGCCCTTGGTTATTCTTGGGTGTAGGCTAAGCTAACTTCAGAAGGAATTTAGTTTATAGTTTAACTTGAAAGGGAGGATAAGAATAGTCCCTCCCTAAAACTAATCCCTTCCTTGCTCAGGGACCAAAAACTGCCTTTGTAAGACTGACGAAAGGCCACAAGAACAGGATTATGGGAGGAGCCTGAACTCTGCTAAAATGTAAGCACAGTTTTTATAATCCTTTCTTGCTCAGGAGTTATATGGCCAGAGGGTTGTAGAACCCAAGACTGATTTTTTTTTTTTTTTGAGATGTTTTGCAGACTGACTCCACCTGGACTTGTGACTCCTGACTCAACTGACCCTGTGACCACACCCAGGGGCAGACTCAGTGCATGAGGGCCATTTTCCACACCCTTATGATCTCATCCCTAACCAATCAGCAGCTCCCATTCCCTAACCCCTGCCCACCAACTTGCCCATAAAATCTCCTCAACTCAGAGCCCTGGAGCCTTCAGGGAGACTGATGTAAGTGATAAGTAAGTGTAAGTTCTCCAGTGTAGGCCAGCCTTGTGTCAGTTAAACTCTTTCTCTACTGCAATGCTGAGATCTCAGTGGACTGATTTTTTTTTCTGTGCAGGAGGTAGGAAGAACTCATCAGGTGATTACAATCATAGTGGGCAAAAATTTGAAATGATAGAACACTGCTCTAGCATAGTCGGTTTCAAAATCCAGGTAATAATTTTTGAGAACCCACCAGGTTCCTGGCACTTTAATATATGCTAATATATTTTTTAACTCTTATAATGAACCTGTGTGGGAAGACTTACTGTCCTTATTGTTGATTAGCCAATGGGTTAAATTTTTCAGAAAGTTTGCAGAACTAGTGAGGAAAGGTAGAAAGGAGGTTCAATTGAGGTCCTTTGATTGCACTGCTATATATTTTTTCCATGCATTGTGTTGTTCACACAGACTTTTCTGGTGTGCCCCTTTGTTGAGCCTGCTCCCTGGCATCACAAGTTTTTCATATTCAACCATGCTCCTGTCATCCAACATAGAATTCAGGACCAGCAGCAATGGCATGATTCTTCTCAACACTCAGGATTGTGAGTTTCCCTCTCCCTCTTAGGCCAGGATTGATTGTGTCCTCTACTGAACCCATGTCATGAAGCATTTCTAGAAGAAGACCTACCTACCTTTCTAGGAGAAGAGCTGACATTACCACCCACACATTTGGACCTCTGGCCTCCATGCACCATTGCTCATTGAATGCATCTTCCCCACCTCTCATCAGTTAATCCAAATGGTTGGCTCTTTCTCCAACTTGTGGCTTTTTTTCCCTGTCCTCTCAATTAGGACATGTCGACAGCATAGTCCATGTGGGAAAAAAAAATTCCCTAATTTTTGTGTTTCCTACTTCTGTGGATATCTGACTCTACACCATTCTCATTCTTCCCTGAAGTCTCAGAGGAAGCTGTGTTCTCATGTTTAAAACTGGTTTCCCCCACTGAACCATATCCGGTTTCTACTGCTGAAATATACTTATATTTGATTTTTATAGAAAGTCAGCAATGGAATCCAACTATTTTGGATAGATATCCAAACTGCCAGAGCACAGTGATATTTCCACAGGCCCATTCCCCTTGAACTTTCTGAATCTATGCATTTGTCCTTGTCACTCTCTCAGTCCTGTACCTGCACTCCTAATGACTTGCTGGACTTCTTCATCTGAGTGTCTTGGAGTGCTGTAAGTGTCACTCCCATATTCTCCTGCAGCTCTTGTACAGTCTTCTCCCTGACGTCTATATTTCTGTTATTGCTACTATCATTTTCCTAGTGACTCATTCTCAAAGTCTTTATCTTTTACATTCCTCCAAATCCATCTTCACATTTGTCACTGATTCTTCTCTGGGATTCTGCTTCTACCTCTGGGTTCCTTCCTTAGGAATTACAGCCCTCCATTGCAAGAGAGATATCCCCTCTCATGTCAGACTCCCCCTGGAGCCAGAAAACCCACCTCCAGTGACCAGTGGCAGAGGCTTTATCAAGAGAAACATGAAGAACAAGTTTGCCAACATGTGCATTCTCCACTGTTGGAGAAGTTTGTCCACTCCTGTCTTACCCAGAGGGCTTCTCTCAGTCACTGAGAAGACTCAGTACCTGTCAACGAGAAGCGAACATTTTACAGAGAGATCTGGGTACTCCTGACACCTTGCTCAAAGGTCTCTCTTTTCCCCTACTCGCCCACCATACTCAGCATAAAGAGATCAAATGAGTGCAAAGCATTTGAATTCAAATATTCTAAGCCAAAAAGACATAAATATCACCAGACAATTCTGTTCAATAAATAAATACATGGGGAATATACTAACTTTCAAAGGACAAAGTTTCTCATGAAGTGACATCTATTACTTATTACTATTTTGCACCACCTACCTTCACATGGAGCTGCTTGTTGACTGAGCCAGGTCTATTCTCATTTTTGTTCACATGGCTTCATTTTCATTAAATGTCTTTTACTTGCCTTTTGCCTTTGGAAATCTTAGTTGTTCTCCTAGGCCCCACATAAACTTTCAACTTCTCTGGGACTTGGTCCCTGATCTCTCCAAGTAAAAGTGGCCTTTTGCTGGGATTACTCCTCATCATGCTCATTTTACTTATTTGAGACACTTAAATCATTCTCCCACAAATTACATAGATCCTGGTGCTTTCCTACTATATTATCATTTCCTGGAGAGCAGGGACCATCCCATTTCTTTTTCATACTATATCCTCCGTAGTGATCAACATAGTGCTTTATGTAAAACAGATCCTTGAAAATGTAATGAGAGGATGTGGTACCAAATGGAAACAAGATAGGGATGGGAAATGTATAAATTCAGGGAAAATATTACCACTCTTCATCTCCCACTTCCAGCAGACAATCACTAACTTTTCTCACCAGGCTTAGAAATAGTCTCAGAAACCTTCTCGACACAGAGCGCCAGGCAATTGGTTCCAACCCACTGGAGTTTTCATTCTGTTAAAATCAATTAGCATCCATAGATGAAGAGAGAGCATAGTTTTGCCTTTATCTTAATGCTCTGTTGTGCTGGTTAAACATCTCTTTATGTGCCAAAATCTCACTTCATCCAGATAAATAAATTTATGTTTAAAGATTGAAATGTCGTATCTTTCAAAAAAAAAAGCTACTTTGCTCTTCACATATCTCTGCTATATTTTTAAGATTCAAAATCCCTGGTGAAGAGAGGAACACAGCTCCAGCCCTTAGAGCCTTACCTTTAAAAGTAGGCAATTTGTCTGAACCTTTCTTTTCCTCAAACATCCTACCACTGAAAGTACTGCAGTTTCCCGAATTTTGGAAACAAATATCAGAGTGTGATCTCACCACTTACTAAACTAGGCTAAAATGCCTTGGGAGATGTTGTGTTAGATAGCACAGTTGTGTTTTCTATGAACTGCCTCCCATCTTAAAAGAATTTGAATGTTAATAAGCCACATACAATGGTGTCACTGAAAGGGCATATCATGCCTTGATCATTTCTAGAAATGAGATTGAAGCCATGATGATTAAGTGGCTCAAAGGTTTCCATAGGCACGCAAAAAATTATACTGGTTTATTTAATTTGATGTACTCAAGCAACAGATCGCACCTGATACGCTCACAGTCACTTCTTAGGCTGCACTGCCACCTGGTGTCCTGTAGAGGCATGAGTTTCAGGGAATCCTTCAAGGTAGTTTTTAGCTGGATGAATGTAGTCTTAGATTTCAAAAGTGCAAGCAGGTTGTGAAGTATACCATTTTCATTCACTACATTTCTGTATAGGTTTGTTTCTTCATCAAACACAGGGATTAGCTTCTTGAAAACTCATATTGTTTAGGTGTATGTGTGTGTGTGTGTGTGTTTGTCTACATAAAGAAACCTTAATCTGTGAAGAAAATAGAGCTCAGGGAAATAGTGTGAGAGGAACTGTAGGAATCATAGTAAATATAATAAAGACAGAACTCTAAATAAATGACAATATCCATGATATTTTACATATGGAAATAATAATGACTACAGCACCATTAATGTATATTTATTAATCTTAGTATGCTAATGCTGACCCAACTTCCATTTCTAAGGCTGTTCCCCCGCCTGTCTCTTCTAGAGAAGCTGTAAACACTAAACACTCAACTTCCCAGTTGTCCTACATCTGGGGGCAGCCTCTTCCAGTTCTCCTTTTCCTGCCTGGAGTGCCCACTTGAGCCTGGAGATATAGCAGCCCATGAGTTCATGACAATCATGGAAATGAAATCTGACATGCTCTATGTGGCAGAGCAGAAAGACTGAATTTGCCTGGGCTCCAATTAAATTACTGAACTGCTACACCAGCCCTGGCTGACTTCTTGGGAGTTACTACTGTATGAGAAAAATAAACCCCTATTATTTCTTTAAGTTGCTGTTAAGTTAGTATTTCTGTTGTTACTCCAGAAGCCAGTTTCTAATTAAGTAGAAAACCCTGCTTCCCTGAAATTTGAGTGAAATGCTTACACATTAGTTTTATTTTACTTTTTTGCAGAACAGAATTGGTGTGTGTGTGTGTGTGTGCGCACACACACACACACACTGCATCCTCCAGCGAACTTCTCAATGCTGATGTGGTTTTATGACTTCAGTCATTGACAGCATGGTTCTAGCGTCCTCTGAAGTGGAAACTGTCATTTTTTCTTATACTCCTATTGACTCTCCTGTCTTACTTGTGGCAGGGCTGCAGCCTCAGGCATCTGAAGGACAGATAAGCACATTCCAAGGAGGGGGAAGAGCGGGAGCAAAGAGCATACACTTTTGATCCGAAGAAGGCCCGTGTTATGGTTGCAGAGTGAACAACTAGGAGGCTGGCATAAGATGAGACTCTCAGGATAAGCAAGGGCTACATCATGTTATGGATTAGACTTGATATTAAATGTAATGAAAATAGTTTTTACAAAGACTTAGCAGGATCCCAGCAGGATAAAAGTCATATTTCACAAAGATTGCTGTGGCTGCCAAATGGAGATGGATTGGTAGAGGGTAGGAGAAAAAATTAAGAAGTCAATAACAACAACAACAAAAAAACTATAGAGATAGGGAGGAATTGAGGCCAGACTAGGGGGTGGCATTGGAAATAGAGAGATAGTAGATTTGTTATGAACTTGGGAAGTAGAATCAACAGAATTTGGATAGAGAGTTGAAGAGAGTTTGGGCACCAGTGAGGGCGAATGTAGGCACTGATTACTGAGAGATCATTGGAGTAGGGTGGGGAAGGTGAAGAGGGACCACACTGGGGACAGAATAGAAAACAGTTTTGCATTTGCAGAGTTTATAAGACACACAGTGAGCAGTTTGATTGGCTGGCCAGGTGCTCAGAAGAAGGTTCAAAATAGAACTAGAAACTTCAAAAGGACCACACTACACAATTTCCAAATGTTCCTGGTCCACCTGTCCTCCCCCTCAACTATATTTATCATGACTTTTGGTGGCCTAGGTGGGTTCCGTGAATTAATCTTTGAGAATGTGGAACGCAAAGATCTTAGGGGAGAATGTAACACCAGTGTGGTGTTTCAGTGAAGGAAGATTGGCAAGTGCTGCTTTAGAAAATAATTTTAGAGATAGGGTCTCCTTGTGCTGCCCAGGGTGGCCTCGAACACACCTGGGTTCAAGGGATCCTCCCGCCTCAGCCTCCCAAGTTGCTGGGACTTCAGGTGTGCACCACCACAGCTGGCTTGTGCTGCTTGAATTCGGTTAAAATGTAGTCCCAAGGCTCTAATTCATAAGAAACTTGTAGTTATTAAAAGAAACAGAAACTGCATAGTCTAGGCAGCCATCAGCAAATGGCTTTAGGAAAGTGTTGGCTTCTGAGTTTATGTTACAAACTGGTTAGTGCCGGAAGAGCACAGGACTCAGGGTCTTCATGAGCAAGTGGAAGTCCGATGGGACGTTTGTTCTTTATTGTTTTCTTACTGGAATGTGCAGGATGCGTGTACTCATTGTCCACAAATGTGTACCAGTCTCATTCTCTTTCTTCATGCCTTTATTCCTGATCTAGAATACCACTGATTCATTCCTTTGTTCAATAATATTGGTCAAATTCCTTTCCTGTTTCAGGTGCTAAGAATGCAGCAGTGACTAAAACACAGTCTTAGGTCTCCGGAGCTCTCATCCAGTGGGCAGATAGTTTTAGGAGCAAATAGCTAGCAAACAATGTGATGAGGGCTATGCCTGAGCTGTGAAAACAGAAGTTGTTAACTCTGGGGAGGCTGCAGGAAGAGAATTGGGGCACATGGGACCTGGTCCCTGCCTCCCTCCCCAGTATCTTCTGCAGCCACAGCCATTTTCCACCCCTTATGCCTTTCATGCCAGTCATACCAAAGCTTGTCTTCATCCCTAGGTAAGCTCATTTCTTCCTGATCCCTATGATGAGCCACATTCTGGGAGAATATGTCTGTAACTGCCTAAAAGGAAGACAAAACTTTCTTGCTACAGGCAGGTAAAATATAGGCTGGAATAAAACCCAGTCACCAGAACCTTGTTAGAAGTCTAAAGAAGATGAAAATGGGTAAAAATAACTGAAAATACATGTGAAAATTAAAGTGAAAAATAAGATACAAAGCAGTTAAAACATAGTAGAATGAAATTTAGAGAAAAGTGAAATAATGTAACAATTTGAGAGATTATATTAGTTAAGGAAAGGAATGAGAAAATTGATAATACTGCACATAATTGAGTGGATAAATTTATTTTAGAATAGGAACAGTTAAAGATTAAAAATATGAAGTTAAAATATGGTAAAGGATTGAAGCTGGATAAGGTAAGGTATATATTATGAAACTTTAGAAAGATGTAAAATTCAGCTAAAACCAGTTAATCTAGTTACCATCACCTTATGTAGACTTTCCAAATTTCTCATAAGTAATAATACTCAGGAAAGATAAAATATAAAGAAAAATAGAAATAAAAAAGGTGAAAAGTCACAGCACCACAAAGCTGAGACTAAAAGATCAAAACAACATTATATTATAAATATCGTTAAACAAATTAGTAAACATAAAATGTACAATATGCAATTCTATTTTTTTTTTTTTTGAGACAGGGTCTTTGTCTGTTGGCCAGGCTGGAGTGCAGTGGCATGATCACTGCAGCCTCAAACTCCTAGACTCAAGAGATCCTCCCACTTCAGCCTCCTGAGTAGCTGGGACTACAGGCATGTACCATCACTCCTGGCTAATTTTTCAGTTTTTTGTAGAGACAGGGTCTTGCTACGTTTCCCAGGCTGGTCTCAAACTCCTGACTTAAAATGATCCTTCTTCCTCAGCCTCCCAAAGTGCTGAGATTACAGATGTAAGCCACCGTGCCTGGCCTGAAAATGCAATCCTTGATGAGATAGTGAGGCATTTTTCCTCAATTAGTACATGAATCCATTGCCATATATTATTTATTGCTAGAATGATATGATGTTTCATTTTTAGCATTGAGAAAACTAGTTCACATAAATAAGGATATGGAAATAGAAGAAGTTTTATTATAGTAATGTTCCTTAAATCTTTGAACTCTCTTTGGGTAATGTGTCAAAAATAAGCACATGGTAATCTAGCATTCTGACAGCTTAAATAGATCTTATTTCAATTTTGTTATAAGTGAAGAATTGGAAACTACTTGAGTTGGAGAAGGATTTATAACCCAGGCATTTGAATCATGCACTTTCTCAATTTTTTAAAGTGCACTAAAAGTCTTACTTAGACTCATCAAATGATTATAAATTAGATATCTATATGTGCCTGTCTGCATGTGTATACATAACATATGTATGTTAGTCATTCACTGCTTGGAAAAAAAGAAACATTAGTTATAACACACCTTTGCCAATATTGTTATTTTTCTTGTGTCATGTTGGAGGGTGGCATAGTGGGTGACTTTGTTTGCAGAATTCCCTAAATAGCAGCAAAGAGCCCATTGCCATCCAAAGGAATCCCATGAGGGCAGCTCAAAGAGAGTGGAAATGCCACATTCTAGCCCTTCAGAGCAAAAGGTGCAAGACATGGGGAGACAAGTGCTAGAGAGGCTTACACAGCCAGTATTTCATGGCATGCCTTCCTTTTGTAGAGTGGGAAAAGGTAAGATAGGAAATGACAGCCTGCATGAACGTGTAGGCCAGTTCTCAGGCAGATCGGTTTTGGGAAAGAGAGAGAAAGTAAAGTCAAAAATTAGGAAACTAAATTATTTAAAGTGTTCTACGTCAATGTGCCCTCTGAAAGTTCATGATCCACATGGTGGGCAAATCCCATTTGCAGACTGCTGTTTGAGACCACCATTTTGGGTGCCTAATTGGTTCTCCTTGGGTGAGGACACTAATTCTAGGGTTTTACATTTTTGTTTAGTTGGGGGAGAGGGCAACACTGACTGAGTGTTCACCAAACTGGTTCCCTTTCCTGCACTGAGAGTGTGCTTCTACGTGACCATAAGGAGGACCTCCACTCGTGCACTGGGCTTCTGAGCACACCTCCATTATTGAACTTATTCTGTAGCTCCATGGCTTGCTAGCTGTGTGACCTTGGACAAATGATCCAATCCTTCAAGTAACCACTTTCTTTGGATTAAGTGCATATCCTAGCAGCCGGAATGATTACATTAGAAAATGCACTAAAGCTCATAACATAGTGCCCGACACATGGTCAGTGCTCAATGAATGATTATTTACATTCCCATCAAGATCACGATGCTTCCAGGAGCCTTTATAAAACAAGGGCATTCCCTCTCACCCATGGCGTAGATTTCTAGGGACCCCATGAAGGCTCTCTTGCACCCTACCCTTTCTATAAATTTTCCTTGAACTGGCTGATGCCTGAGTGAGGCTTTATTCCACTCATATAAAGATGAGATCATCACTAAAATTTGCTCCAGAAGAGCTGGTGTGTGTGTGTGTGTGTGTGTGTGTGTGTGTGTGTGTCTAAAAGTTACTGCTGACGTCAATCACTGACGTTTTAGTGAACAGGAAATCTTCCAGAGTTCTGCAAGAAGAACTCAATAGGTAATCAGACAGCATGAGCAGAAGGAAGTCAAGGATTTGAGGATGGAAACAGGCAGGTGGGGGCATTTATAGGGGTGTAGGATGAGGTACATGCATATGTATATGTGGGGGGCAGGGGTGTGGGGGAAGGGGAATGAAGTCAGGAGGGGAACTGGTATTCTCCAAGGAGAACAAACCCGTCCTGAGCATTTCCTGTGAGAAGGTCTCCATGGCACAGGCTTTCCTGTGCTAGTTCATCACATACTCACCACATCCTGAGGCAGCCATTACCATCCTGGTCTACCTGGGAGAACATGCAGGCTGAGAGTGCTCTGTGCCCCGCTTCAGGTGACACAGGTGGCACCTGGGGATGCTTCTGTTCCAACCCAGGTCTTCCTGAGTCCCAAGTCTTATTTTTTCCTCACCAGCTGGCCACCATCTCCAAGAAGCCCCTGGGCTTGCTGCCCTCCTGGCCCATGGCGGCTTGGTGCTATGGGAATTATGCCCCCTGGGATGGCCTTGCAGAAATGCCTCTCCTAGCTGGGTTGCTTTTCAAGCAGCACCTGTGATATGGCTTGGCAGTGTCTTCACCCAAATCTCACCTTGAATTGCAATAATCCCCACCTGTCAAGAGCAGGGCCAGGTGGCGATAACTGAATCCTGGGGGCAGTTTCCCTTATACTGTTCTTATGGTAGTGAATAAGTCTCGGGAGATCTAATGGTTTTATAAATGGTAGTTCCCCTGCGCAAGCGCTCTTGCCTGCCACCGTGAAGATGTGACTTGCTCCTCATTCACCTACCGCCATGATTGTGAGGCCTCCCCACCCATGCGGAACTGTGAGTCCATTAAACCTCTTTCCTTTGTAATTACCCAGTCTCAGGTATATCTTTATTAGCAGCGTGAGAACAGACTGATACACCCTGATTCCATTGAGATTGGGCTCATGTATCCTCTCTTTAGCCCTTCTCACCTCACCCTCGACTCTTCCTGGGTCTCGCACTGGCCTGCTAGGCTGCGTGGCTGGAGGGAGGTGTACACTGAGCATCGTCTAAAGCTGATGCCAGCACTGGGGCACAGGAGAGGACTGGGTGACAGCAGCGGAAAGGTGGGCAGGGATAGGTAAAGGAACTCCAGCCCAAAGGGGAAGGAGACAAATCCCTATGGGCATCTACTAGGGTTTTTCAGGTTTTCTATGCTGTTATTTAACCTATATAACAGTCCTTTGAGGCAAACAGGGCTTAAATCTCTGGTTCTTACCTCTCCTTATTTATGATGATCAAAACTAGAGTGTTTTTGAATGGTTATTGCAGAAGAAATGGACTTTTTTTTTTTTTTTTTTGAGATGGAGTGTCGCTCTCTCACCCAGGCTGGAGTGCAATGGTGCGATCTTGGCTCACTGCAACCTCCGCCTCCTAAGTCAAGCAATTCTCCTGCCTTGGCCTCCCGAGTAGCTGGGATTACAGGCACCCACCACCACACCTAGCTAATTTTTGTATTTTTAGTAGAGACAGGATTTCACCATGTTTGCCAGGCTGGTCTCGAACTCCTGACCTCAGGTGATCCGCCCACTTCAGCCTCCCCAAGTGCTGGCATTACAGGCATGAGCCACTGCACCCAGCCTGGACTTACTTTTCTACACTACAATATCTTGGAGTAGAGGCAATGTTTTATATTTGAGAGTGAATTCAGACTTATGTTGGCATGTCAGTCTGAACTACTGAAAAGCTACATTTTTGATTCTGGGTTTCAAAAGAAACAGTTTTATTGTATATGAAGCAAAGAGACCAAACTAGGTTAATGGTGGTGGTATTCATTTATCTATATATTTTTTTCTATAGCTATGGTTAGAATTAGAAGAGTTGGTGGGGTATGGTGGCTCACACCTGTAATGCAAGCACTTTGGGAGGCTGAGGTGAGAGGATTGTTTGAGGCCAGGAGTTCAAGGTCAGCTTGCTCAACAAAGTGAGATACCGTCTCTACAAAAAAAAATAAAAATAAAAATAAAAAAGTAATAAAATAAAATTAGCCTGGTGTGGTGGTGCATGCCTGTAGTCCCAGCTATTTGGGACACTGAGGCAGGAGAATCACCTGAGCCCAGGAGTCAAGGCTGCAGTGAGCCATGATCACACCACTGCACTCCAGCCTGGGTGACAGAGTGAGACTCTGTTTTGTTTTGTTTTTTTTAAAGGGGGAAAAAAAGAATTAGAAGAGTTGTTATAATGAACAACTAGTTTGTAATTAGAACATCAACTGCGTTAAGTGGCTACTTTGCAGATGCCTGAAGGAAACTTGATTCGGCCTCCCCACCTAATTTTACACTGAGCCTCCCCCCACACAAGGGATTCTCATAATTTGGAATATCATGTCTCCTTTTTTGTGCACCCATAGCATTAACTCTATAACATTTTTATCTGTGAGAAAAAAACATTTTGCCAGGCAGAAATAAACCTCAACCTTGCATGAAGGATCACAACACATTGAACACGCAGATTCCAAATCAGTGTTTCCCAAGTGTTAAAGGCTCTAGCATTAGCAAGCAACTGCAATGTGACAATTTTTCCTGCAGGTGGCGGTGGTGTGTAGGGAAAAAAGCCACACGGTTGGACCAAGGTTTCCCAGGATAGAGAAGAATGGAGGCTGGCTTGGTACGTTCCACTCAAGTCAGCAAACACATATTGAGCCCTTCCAGTCTCCAGGCACTGCCTTAGGTGTGGGGTGGATCCAGTAGGAGTGAACCTGGGTCTCCAGTTTGGGGAACTCACAGTCTTAGGGAAGAATGTGTCCTTGTCTATTAGGCAGGATTATTCGGGCTGCCCTTGGAAAACTTAAAAATCAAGCCCACAGCCAGTTTTTCTCTGTCTACAGGCCTCATTGTAGGGACAAAGAAATCCCTAAGGCAAGCCTGCCCACATTTCCAGGGAGTACCTGCTGGTACAAGACCTGGAACGAGAGTGCGTCTTTGCATGTGCTTGGCTGTTCTCATGGGCGTTCATCTCCCCACTGACTCTACAATCAATCAGCCCTTTGTATTTGTGGGTACTACAGCCTTGTGTTCACTCAACTATGGATTGAGAATATTTGGGGAAAAAAAATCCACAAAAAAATTTGCACACAGCAATGCACTGTTGAATCCACGTGAATGTGTAGGCATTGTATTAGGTATTATAAGTATTCTAGAGATGATGTAACATATATGGGAGGATGTGCATAGGTTATATGCAAATACTATGCCGCTTTATATAAGAGACTTGAGCATCCTTGGATTTGGGTATGAGGAGGAGGTCCTGAAACCGATCTCCCACAGATACGGAGGGATGACCGTATATACAATTTCGCCACTTCTGCAATTATAATCTATCAAAGGCACAGAAGAAGACAAACAACATGCCCTAGAGCCACAGACCCAAAAGGAAAAAGAAACGGTTGTTTTTTCACCTTCTACTCAGGAGCAGACATTCTATTTTGTAAGCATTATTTCATTTAACATTTATGACTACCCCAAGGTGACAGAAGCAGCTGTTATTCTCACTTGACAGATGAGGAAACTGAAATTCAAAGTTCACAATGTCACCTAACATCCACAGCTACTAAGTGTCCAGGGCAGGATCTGAAGTCTGACCCCAGCGGATAGATGCCTTCTGTATGGTTTGATGAGGCAATAGCAGGCCTGGGACGTTTGCTTATACTGCCCTCATGACACTTAAAGGCAGTGCTTTTTTTTTTTTTTTTTTTTTTTTTTTTGAGACAGAGTTTCACTCTTGTTGCCCAGGCTGGAGTGCAATGGCATGATCTCAGCTCACTGCAACCTCCGCCTCCTGGGTTCAAGCGATTCTCCTGCCTCAGCCTCCCAAGTAGCTGGGATTACAGGCATGCACCACCATGCCTGGCTAATTTTGTATCTTTAGTACAGACAGGGTTTCTCCATGTTGGTCAGGCTGGTCTCAAACTCCCAACCTCAAGTGATCCGCCCATCTCAGCCTCCCAAAGTGCTGGGATTTCAGGCGTGAGCCACTGCACCCTGCCTATGCAATCCTTTTCAAATATTAATCAAGTGCTTACAAATCACCTATGGATCTTGTAAAAATGAAATTCTGATTTGGGTGGGGCGGGAGGCTCTGCATTTGTAATGAGCTCCCAGGTGACATCAAAAGATGCTGATTGGGGGACCATACTTAGAGTAGCAAGGCTTCAATTTGCAGAGGTCCCTAAACTTTTAAAATAGTCTCGGCAACTCTAGGCCAAAAGATATTCCTAGTCTACTTTTTAAGTTATTAGGTCCAAACAACTAAAGTCTTTATGTTCTAACAACTTGGCAGCCATATGAAAAACTTATTCATATATAAAGAAGAAATTTTTTTTTGTTAGATTACCACAATTACTTACTAATGGGACATATGTGCCCCGGGGCCTCACAGCTTCTCAAGCCTTGAAATGAGATGGGACAACACCGCCCTTATTTCCTGTTCCATCTTGATTTTTTTCGATAATTGCTCTTGGGCACGAAACAGTTTTAAGACACAGCTTGATATGACATCATCAAAAGGAATTTTGTGCATGTTGAAATGGGAAGCTAATTGGAAATACTAGTTCACATGGAGTCTGACAAATATCCCTCAGAAATCCCTGCTGTATTTCCCTTAGAAATTTAAAATATCCTGTGGCGTCCCAGGGCTCCTTGGTGCAGGGGCTTTCATATACTCTCACTTGTATTAACCAACAGCAGTGCAGAGAAGTGGACCGACCTTCGGACGAGGAGCCAAGAGACTCTTTTGCTAGAATTCTGTGTGGCTTTTGCAGGTTGCCAACCTCTGGGGCCCCTTTTCTGATGAAAGAGGGGGGCCCTAGAGCCGCTTTAACCTTTACGACCATTCAGATATAAAATATGTGATTCTAATATTCCATACACACATCTCAGCTCCCCTGTGAGATTCAGCTCTTCCAGGGCAGGGGCTGTGTGTTACTCGGCATCACACCATACGGTGCCTTCCTCATACTAGGTGCTCAGTAAAGAGCTGTGGAACAAATGCCTTCTGAAAACATCTGAATCAAGTTTTGGTGGTGGGGGAGGGGTAGTTTTATTACTTCTTTAAGATCCAAAACGTTTTTATGCATGAAAAAAACATTTTTTTTTTCTTTGAAACAGAGTCTCACTCTGTTGCCCAGACTAGATTGCAGTGGCATGATCTCGGCTCACTGCAACCTCCGCCTCCCAGGTTCAAGCGATCTTCTTGCCTCAGCCTCCCGAGTAGCTGGGATTACAGGCACCTGCCACCATGCCTGGCTAATGTTTTTGTATTGTTTTTTTTAGTAAAGACAGGGTTTCGCCCTGTTGGCCAGGCTGGTGTTGAACTCCTGACCTCAGGTTGACCCACCCTCCTCAGCCTCCCAGAGTGCTGGGATTACAGGCATAAGCCACTGTGCCCGGCTGAAAGAAGCATTTTTAATGGCCAGTGTTTTAGTAATAACTTCAAAAAGAGATGAAGGCATGTAATGTAGTATGTATGTATGGGTATGTAGTGTCACTGCATTCCAGGCAGCAGGAATATAAATGGCAATGTATGAGGATTCAGATGCAAAAGCCTGGATTCTGATGACAGGATAACTGCTTACTGCTTCTGAAAACTTGGGCAAGTCACCTGATTCTCTGCACGTCAGCCTCTTTATCTGCTTAATGGGAGCCATAGTGGCTGTTCTCTGCCTATGAGATAAATAGGAGCATCAGAAAAACACTGAATGTGAAACTGCTTTGTGAGTTAGGAATCCCAATTACCACCACCTCACCACCCTGGTCTTCTCACCATCCCCTCTACAAGTTGACTGTGCAATATGCTCAGCAATGACATTGGCCTCCCAAAGCCATAATCAAAGATTAGAGATCCCTGCCCAATGCCACCACCTCAATCATGGGCCGCAGATGTTACCCAGGTGATTGGAAAGGAGGTATTAGGTGACGGCAAGGAGGTGCTCAGTCTCTATCCATTTGAGAGGTAACAACCTAGGCACCATAAGTCCATTTAGCTCATAAATATGTATGTGCCCTTTAGGGGAAAACCTTTAACCCTGATCCAGGGAACAAAAGAAAATAGACATTGAAAGAATGCTTACTATTTTTCTTTCATTGGAACAACCTTATGGAATGGCTTTCCGTTAGGAATGGAAATTCTAAGCTCACAGCCTGACATTTTCCCCTAAAATGATAGCACCACCTTCCAATCCCGCCTTAATGTACAGATGAATCACTTTTTTCATTCACCTAATTCGTCAGTCAGTGCTATCTTTTGAAGAATTAGATCCAAGGACAACTGTCAAGAAATCCCCGAGGTCCCCCTTGGGTTACAGTTTACCATTATTGATTTTCCTAACATTAACGGTTAAATGTAAAGCAGACCAAACACACATTGTGGCAATAAAGAGCTCTAAGTGTCTTGGTGTATTAGGGTTCTTCAGAGAAGCAGACCAGTCACACACACACACACACACACACACACACACACACACACAGAAAGAGAGGAGAGAGAGAGAGAGAGAAAGATTTAAAGGAATTGGCCTATGTGATTGTAGAATCTGGCTAGTCTGAAATCCAAAGGGTAGGCCAGGTATGCTGGAAACGCAGCCAAAGTTTCTATACTGCAGTCCTGAGGTCAAATTTCTTCTTCAGGAAACCTCAGTCTTCGCTCTTAAGACCTACAACTAATTGGATGAGGCCCACCCACATTGTGCTTTACTCAGAGTCTACAGATTTTAATATCACTTACTTCTAAAAAAAAATCTTCACGGCAACACCTAGACTTGTCCAACAACTGGGCACTGTATTCTAACCAAAGTGACCCATACAATGACTGGACATTGATGTCCAGGTGGTGTCCAATAATGACTGAAGCCCTCAAAAATAGCCTAAAATGAGTTATTTACCATAATTCAGCTGGTACCACCACAAGAAGAGAACAAATGAATGGCAGAAAAGATTGGAAGAAGGAAGAGCTTTCCCAGGGAATGTCTCAGGAAAATGAAGTACTAAAGCCCCTCCTCCCGCACCTCGCATCTGGGCTGTGCGGGGCCGCACAACCAGCGGGAATATCTGAGTGGGTGTGGGAGCATCTGCGTGCAGGCGTCCTCTGGGAAGCAATCCATCTGGGTTGATACACCCTCCTCATCAGTATTTCCTCCTCCAATGGGGCGAGTCCTGCTGTGTAACATCCCACTTTATCAGGGTCAGAACTGGAGGAGGTGCTGGAGCACTAGGAAAGGTAAACCATGCAGAAGTAGTCACTCAAGGACTCTGGGAAAGAAATATCTTCTCTCCTCAACCCTGTCCTCTCCCTCTGCCAGAATATGGGCCACATTGGCTGACGGCAAGAGATTAGCCTGGGGGAAGGTTGGCACCAGACCCGGGTGCTAGTGAAAAGGAACTTCTGGAAATATTCTGCCTGCTGATTGAAAACTGCCAATTCTGGCCAGGCGCAGTGGCTCACGCCTGTCATCTCAGTACTTTGGGAGGCCGAGGAGGGTGGATCACGAGGTCAGGAGTTCGAGACCAGCCTGACCAACATGGTGAAATTCCATCTCTACTAAAAATACAAAAATTAGCCAGGCTAGGATTACGTGCCTGTAATCCCAGCTACTCAGGAGGCTGAGGCAGGAGAATCATTTGAACCGGGGAGGCGGAGGTTGCAGTGAGCTGAGATCACACCACTGCACTCCAGCCTGGGTGACAGAGCGAGACTCTCTCTCTCTCTCAAAAAAAGTGCCAATTCCCTGCCTTTCACCCCAATGTTGTACTTAATGATATTAGGAGGTGGTTCCTAGCCAGTGATTGGCTAGGGCTCCTGAAGAGCTAAATGAACGGGCCAGTTGATCCTCAGCCCCACTTTGGCACCTACACGGGTCCTGCGGGTTCCTGTGAGCTTGGTGAGGTGTGCTTCCTATTTTCCCTGCCCGCCTCCCTCAGGGCTTGATCCCAACATACCACCCCCACCTCCAGCTTCTATGAGCTTCTGCAACAGAAGTCACACGGCATCATTCCTTCTCATGATAACATTCAAAGTCTCTTCTTGATGGGGCAAGGAAGGTCACTTCCCCCTGCACGTAGCTTGGGAACCCGCCCCCCTCTCCATGATTTGCCTATCTGTAAATTTTCTAGTTTGACTCTCCTTCTCTCCTTGTGTCTTCTGATCCAGTAGTTAGATTTTTCTGACTTATTGGGATATTTTAGGTCCATTTTTTGTTGCTTCCTTTGTCTGCAGTGTGCTTTCCTCTTTTGTTCATCCTTCAAACCCTTTTTTCAGACTTGTCATCTTATCTTTACATTTCTTCCATCCACTCACTTCCTTCCAAGCAGAAGAAACCCGACTATCTCATGTGTGACTTCTGTGTCTCCGATGCATAGCCATGGTTGCATTTATTACAGAGGCTTGTGCTTATTTATTGACATGACTGTCTTCCCTGGCTCATCAAGGACAGAAACGACTCAACCTCTATATCTGCAGTACCTAATAAAGTACTTGGCACAGAGTAGGATTCACTTTCCAACCGGAAAAATAAAAAGGCATTTAGTAAATGTTTATTTAACTGAGTTAACCTGGAGGCCTGCTTTTCTTTCCCATACTGCACAGGGGCAATTCTCAGATGGATGGAATCAGATCAGACTGAGACAAACACCCTGGTTAGTTTCCAGTGGGGAGGTTAGAGAGGCTGAGATGTAGTGGAAGGGTGGCTGGGATGACACTGCAGAGCACGAGTGGCCCTGAGGTGACCCTGGAAGTCTGGTGCAGGAATGAGGAGACGGCAGAGGGAAGAGAGCAGAAACTGAACCTGAGAGCTGAGATGGAGGTCAGCATTCCTGAAATATGTCTTTTGAGCTGAAAGGCTGACATCTGGGTATGTGAGTGTGTGTGTCTGTGCTGTGTAGGTTTGTGCAACACAGTATCTATTGGTGAACTACCTAATTAGTGTAAACACGTTCGCAGCTACCAAGAGGAATATGATGGGAAAGGACGGTAAACCAAGACTGAATTAACGTCTAGGGGAATCAGATGCTTTAAATGCATGATCTCACTTACTCGTCAGATCAACCAGGTGAGGAAGGTGCATCAAATCATTGTATAGATGGAGACATGGATGCTAAGAGAGGTAGAGTAACTTGCCACAGAAGACATAGCTAGTGAGTGACGGGGCTGATACTTGTACCCCATGAGTCTCATTCCAAAGTTCCCTGTTATACCACGTGTCCTTCCTGGAAGTATATTTGGCCCCTCAAATTGTGTCTTCATGCTTTGTCTACAGAAGGCTCCTGAGAATAGTTTAAAATATTTTGCTTCCCCAAGTGGACTCAATCAGAAAAACTTGCCCCAAGTAGTTACAGATCCTGGGTTAAAGGGAGAAGATCTCTCAAGATTCAACACTAACCCCAAACCCACTTCATTACCTGACCCTGATTCCTTACTGGACTAAGCTTACAATTTGGGCCTGGTGTGCAGTCAACATTCTCAGTGTGAATCAGGTAGGTTGTAGCCCTGCCTTTCTCCAATACACTTGATGTGAGTGGCTCTTCCTTGAGAGAAACAGGTGAGTCACCTACTAGGTACTTTAGATTCAGAGTCAGCAGGTAATGCTGAAGTTAAATTTACTGCTATTGTTAAATTTAAAAAGGTAAAATGCAATGCAACTGGGAAAATAGGTTTTACACAATGCAAGACGTTTTGCTTTTTTCCTCTCACTGGGTCCTCAGTAAGTGCCCCCTCTTCAGGCTTGTGCTATATTAACAGTTGAGTTTTTGTAAGATTTGTGACTACTTCCAGAGCAGAGCCTTCGATAAAGAGCAAATGGAATTCATGTAAGCTAAGCTAACCTCACACAAGGCTCATCACTGTGGTTCTCTGAGCAGGGTATTTCCCAGAACGGCCCAAGTGGAAGAACAAAGAAACAAAACTTTTACTGAAAATCTTTTATTGTTTATTTTGTGCTTTTTAAAATGTCAGGCCTGGTGCTAAAAACTTACGCATTTGTTTTTACATTTGGTCCTCGTAATAACCTAACACAGCCTGTATTTATCATTTATATTTTTCTGATGGGGAGGCAAGGCTCCAAAGAGGTAAAGACACCTGCCTAAGGTCCAATATCATCTGCACTATGCAGCCAGAAATTGAACCAGTTCTACCTGATTACAAGGCAAGAAGTCTGGGCTCTAGACTGGAAAGATTTAGCCCCATTGGGTGCAGAATATATTCTTTCACTTCCACCCCTCTTTGTACTTACTCAGCCTTAGCTCTAAAATGTTCTCTTTCTTCTTTCCATACTCTCTTTCTTTGCTAAATTACTAAAACAAAGCTCAAATGTCACCTCTGTGAGTTCCTCTAAGACTTCCCTGGCAGGACTTAACTCTACCTCCTGCTTTTGGGGTTCCAGGACTGACATATATTTAACTCTAGGCAGAGTAGGCTGTCAATATTTGCATGACAGCCTCCTCCAGGATGGTGTGAACTCAGGGAAGGCTGGAATCATGTCTTATTTTATCTCTATATCCTCAGTACTCGGAAAACAATCCACAAATACCTGAGGAATGAGGGAATAAACACATGAATGAATATAAGTTCTAGAACTTAGGAATAGAAAACTGGCTATAAAGACTATGAAATAGCTTCCAAAACAGCATAGGCAAAAACAGAGGGGGATAAAACAAATGTTGCGTTTCTCTTACTTTGGGTATTTGGTTGGCCGGGAATGACTCTTATTAGCCAATGGAAGAAACAGGTTCATGTCTCCCTGGGACTGATTGGTTGCACCTTATGGGCCTGGTTGTCTTCACCCATTAGAGAAATGCTGGCTTGTTTTCTTTCCCAGAGGACAAATGGCAGCTCTAGGCTCCCTTGGGCCCACAGGTTCTAGGATTAGTACCTACAGGACCTACGCACCCAAAGCACTTAGGAAGGATCCTTGTCCGCAGTGGCCTGAGAGACTTGAGTGCAAGATGGTTTCAGAGAACCTCAGCATGGCTGAGAACTGCTCACAGGATTTACCCCATGTTGGGTCCCTATAATCTCAGTGACTATAAATCAACCTTAAGTGGATATCACATAAAACTTTTATTTATTTATTTTGAGAAGGAGTCTTGCTCTGTCACCCAAGCTGGAGTGGAGTGGTGAGATCTCAGCTCACTACAACCTCTGCTTCCCAGGTTCAAGCGATTCTCCTGCCTCAGCCTCCCAAGTAGTGAGGAATATAGGTGCATGCCACCACGCCCGGCTAATTTTTTTGTATTTTTAGTAAAGACGAGGTTTCACTATGTTATCCAGGCTGGTCTTGAACTCCTGACCTCAAGTGATCCTCCTGCCTGGGCCTCCCAAACTGCTGTGATTATAGGCATGAGCCACCGTGCCCAGCTGAAACTCTTAATTTATTGATTTATATGCACACATCTCCCATTGTAGTCTAAAAAAATTAAAGAAAGCTGTGTTTAGAGTCAGGAAATCTTTGTCTTGAACCTGATATTAGATAGTTATTGATTTTGGACTAGTCATTTTCCATCTGTTTCTCAGTTTCCTCCTCTATAAAATGAAGAGAGAGACAATATGCATCAAAGGCCTTAAAAATGTCCAACTATTTGTCTTGGGAATTCTATTAATTTTACCTGAGGAAATCACCAGAAATATTTATGTAAGAAGGTGCATGTCACAGTGGTATTTACAAAATGGAGAACCTGAAGGATAACTGAAGGTCTATCATTAGAGTCAAATGAACTATGGGCCATTCATTGAATGGAACATAATGCAACTATTAAAAAGGAGAATGAAGATGCATGTGCCATAGCTCAGTTGAATGTTTATAATCTTGTTTCAATGCCCTCCAGCAAAAGGCCACCAGAAACACACTTGTAGTTGAACAAGCTAAGCTTATTACTCATTGCAGCAAGGGAGAATGGGCACCACAGAGAACTGTGGGGCGTCTCAGTAAGGTGTTAGAAAGGACTTACAGAATTTGGGCTTGTGATGAATTATTTGGAAAGGGCTTTGAGGACTATGGCTTTGTTCTGAATTGGATGCTGCCAGAAAATAAGGGGAATTCTAAGACTGAGCATCTTTTTTTGTTAATTTTTTTTTTCTTTTTTGAGACAGAGTTTTGCTCTTGTTGCCCAGGCTGGAGGGCAATGGCATGATCTTGGCTCACTGCAACCTCCACCTCCCGGGTTCAAGTGATTCTCCTGCCTCAGGCCTCCCGAATAGCTGGGGATTACAGGCACCTGCCATCACACCCAGCTAATTTTCTGTATTTTTAGTAGAGATGAGACTTCATCCTGTTGGCCTGTTTGGTCTCGAACTCCTGACCTCAGGTGATCCACCTGCCTCAGCCTCCCAAAATGTAGGGATTACAGGCATGAGCCACTGTGCCTGGCCACATCTTAATAAATCTTACCTAGGAGGGAAGACTAGACTGAAGCTAAAGCTGTAATTGATAGAGAAACAACAGTCACTCATATTGGCCAAGATGAGGGATACTTTCTTTGGTTATTTTGTGGTTTGGAGAATGTTTGTGTTTTGTCTGTGATCAGACATGACTACGAATGGTCTTATTTCTGTTTAGGTCCATATCATGGACACAGAGTGGCCTTGTCTGACGGTTGTGTTCTGTGAAATTGTTCCTGTTCAGCAGGAGAATGCCAAGGCCTGCTTGTGAATGCCTGGCCAGCCCCCAATATAAGAGGCTGCTGTTTTCTTTCTCAATTGTTAATTTTAAAAGCCATAATACAAAATTAAATATACAAAAGTACAATATTAAGAGTATTATTTTGCTAGGTGCAGTGGCTCCCACCTATAATCCCAGCACTTTGGGAGGCCAGTGTATGATGATCACTTGAGTTCAAGACAAGCTTGGGCAACATACCAAGACCCCATCTCTACAAAATTAAAAAAAAAATGATCATGTTGGTGCACACCTGCAGTCCTAACTTCTTGGGAGATTAAAGCGGGAGAAATGCTTGGGTCCAAGAGTTTGAGGCTACAGTCAGCTATGATCATTCCAGTGGACGCCAGCCAAGGCAATGGAGTGAGACCCTATTTCTATAAAAGACAAACAAAAAGAGTATTATTTTTAACTCTGTAAAAGTCACGTGAAAACAAATACACCAAAATGTATACCATCATCAAATTCATGAAGTAGAAGTAAGCATAATTTGTTCTACTTTTGTTTTTCTTCCTATTTTTTGGGATTTTTCTCTCTCTCTTTTTTAAAACAGACTTTGCTTCTGTAAGAAAAAGTAACCTGTAAAGGGTAGTTAGATATAACTCTAAATCTAGTAAGAACAAACAAACCAAAAAATAGAAGGCATTAAACTTGATTATCTCCCATCCTTTTTAAAAAACTTTAATTTTGAGATAATTGTGGATACATAAGCAGCTGTAAGAAGTAATATGAGAAAATCCCATATACCCTTCACCCAGTTTCCCCCAGTGGTAACATCTTGCATAGCTATAGTACCTTATCACACTAGGAACCTGGCACTGATAACAATCCAATCCCTTTTTACTTCAACATTCAAAGATTGTTGATGAGTGTTCCCTCACTCCTGATGGACAGTCCTTAGAACCAAATGGACAAAGTGATCTGCTAGCATTTCATAATTTGGTAGACAAACATCACCATCCCAGGGTCTATGTTTGGGGTGAGCTCAGGAAGTTCTCAGTTGTAGCTCTCCTTTTGGTAAGAAATGCCCCATTTAGCTGCCACAAGTTTTTCATGCCAAAAAAGTTGGTTGGGTCTCATCCTTTTGATGGTCTTTTACCAGAAATTGCAATAAATCATGTTGTGAGGACTCATTTTTAGGGCCAAGGCCACTGTTGTTTGCCTGTATTGTGGCTGACGAAAGCAGCAATGTAGAGAGAGCTCCCTTCATACCTACCAGTACCTCCCGATGGCCATCAGGATCATCTTTGTGCAGGCCACAGAGACCCCTGTGGTCCTGGAGAGATGGATGCTGTGCAACACAAGTGGGAGATGCGGGTGGCAAGGTGGCGGGTGTTGCTGTGCAACACAAGTGGGAGATGAGGGTGGCAAGGCTTACACTTTTCCCAGACAAGTCTGTGCTAGGTCCAAAGGAATGAAGGGAACCCTTAAATGCTTACCATATGCCCTGTGTTTTATATATAGTAGCCCATGGCATAGGATTTTTAAATGGTATTTTCCTGTCTCTGTATGGGCTGAGGCTCCACAAAGAAAGCAAAAACAATACTTGGCACATACCCCTGCATTCCAGAGTGCTAATTCACCGATATAAGACTTTCAGAAAGGGCGGTCCCAAAACAGTTTTGCAACCCTTAGCGCACAGCCCACCTTATATGTCTATCAAAGAGTAAAGTCCAGAGGCCAAGAGGAAAGGTATTTTGGAGAAAGCTGTTGGGAAAAGAAAAAAGTTTTGAAGAGGATATTGTGCTCTCTGGATGGGGCAGATATTTAGAGCTGCTATTTCCTGTCATAAGACACTTTAGCAGGTTTCTCAGTCTTTCCTACTAGAAACTTCTAGTTATAATTTCTATGAAGAATCAGAGCCTGGGCTGTGGGGCACTGGGCTAAGGAAAGAATGAGCAAGAATCGGGAAAGAACGATCAATGCCCTTCCCCCATAAGGTTGACAGCAGGTGGGAGATGCTTTGGATTGGCTGTCAGATCAGAATTTCGGATGATATTGGATAAATATTTTAATGCCTGAAAGTCAGTCTTAATGACCACATTGAGACTTTTCTTGTAAGTAGAAGTGCTTGGAGAGCCATAGCATCTTTCCAAGTTGTCATCAAGAGGTGAGGGGACATAGATAGGGCAAAAGGTTGTGCAAGGTGATGGGTAGGAAGACACTAAAATTTCAGGAGAGCAGAAAATGGCAGTCAGACAAGGCTGGCACTTCCATGCCCCTAAGCATGGGCACCTCCTTCCATTTTGCACCATAGACACCTCACTTGCCTTACCTTAATCAGCCCTGCATTCAGCCACAAAGACACCAAAGAACAAAGGATGGTTGCCAGGATAACAGCACTGAGGCAGAATATATTTGACAGCAGAGGTAGGGCAGATATAAAGTTGTTTCTATCTGTACCATTGAGTTCAGACATAAAAAATAAATAGATCGCAAGCTAGCGTGGGGTTTTAGCTTCTTTTCCTGACCCTGACCCTGAGATGATATAGAAGTAAGAAGGAGTGGAAGAATCTAATAAAATGATGCAAAGGCAGTAAGAAATGCTCAGAGAGACTGAGGGTGGTAGGAGCTTGCTTCATATGTGGATTTGCGTGTATGTATTTGGGGGTCAGGAGCGGAGAGACACAGCCAGAGAGGCCAGGATGCTGTAGACGAGAATTAACTAAAGAAAAGTGTCTTAATTTTTGTGTTCCTTTTTCTCCCAGCCCTATTATCCGATATGAATAATTTCTTACTTTATAACCATTCTGTAGCAGAATAGAAGCAGCATCCACTGGCATGGTGGGGAAGTGTGAAGGCTTAGGGCTGGCTGGAGTAGGGCCCAGAGGACAACAGGTGTGGAAGGACCTGACTGCCCTGACTCCGCCTCCTCTCCCAGGTGTGTCTGTCCATCCTGAGAGCAGCTTATTACAAACAGGACAGGGAGAACCACTGCTGGCAATAAAGGGACTTTCACAGGCACTGAGTGACTTGGGGAGGCCCAGCACATGGAACTTAGTGCCTCTGAGTTGACACTAGAGTGCCAGGCAGGCTCCACCAACTCCCTGAAACATCAGGAGGGGACCAATCCTGACTTAGGCCAAAGTTGTTTCCTAGGCACAAATTCTCAGCTGTGTTAGCTCTTGCACCCCAGGGAATACGAGCTCATATATGGGAAAAGTGGAAGGTACCTGAGGAGGACAAACCAACCAACCAAGAGGTGTCAGGCTGCAAAACTTAACACAGATGAAGTACATCTAATGGACCTGGCAGAATACAATTTTAAAAGAATCATCCTATGCTTATTTTTATTATCATAAGCATCATAGAAAGGAAATTGAGGATGTTGGTGGCATGAAGCAGGAATGAGCAGTTATTACAAGGATTGGGTGAGAAAAATAGAATAGCTGATATGAAGAATTCCACAGATGAGTTGAAGGGCAGAATGAGTAAAGGCAAAGAATAAATGAGTTAAGTAAAAGATCAGGTGGAGAAATTCTCCCAGAAATCCTTTCCAGAAGACACAAGAAAAGGATGAAGATATGAGAAAACATATGACACACTCAGGAGAGAAAAACTGTCAGATTCTCTGTGATAGGAGCACTAGAAAAACTGAAAACGAACTGGAGGGATAAACAGTAAAGACTGAGAACTTTCCTAATTTAAAGGACCCTCCACCTCATCTCATACCATCCCCCTGCTTCCTGCACTCCAATCATGCTGGCTTACTCTGAGTTCCTCTAAGAAGCCTTGATCCTTCCTAGGCGGTTAACACCTGCCCTTCCCACCACCTGAAACAGCTCTCCCACCATCCTGCTTCTTCACCTGGTCAGCTCCCGTGCATTCTTCAGATCTCAGGTGGAACATCATTCCTTGGAGGCACATCTTCCTAACAGCTCCATCCACCCTCAGATAGGTCAGGCTCCCTTGTTATAAGCTCTCATAGCCCCAGTGTAGCCAGTATAAGCGTGTATGAATACATAATTGAATGCTTTCCTGCTTGACAGCTGTCCAAAAGTAAACTGTGAGCTCTGCAGGTAAGGTCCTTGTCTACATTTTTACCACTTTGTCTGTTTTGTGTCTAGCCCAGTGTTCAATAAGTATTTGTTGAATAAATGTTGCTATTACATTTTATATCAGGAGAACATAGAACTTTCAGTTAAAGACCATAAAAGCAGTCAGGTTGACAAGACCTTAGTTTCAGAACTAATGTGTTTGAGCATGAAGTGGGAGCAAGGTGCCTGCAATAGCAACTAAAGATGGGGGGCCTGGAGCTTGCAGCAGGGGTGGAGAGAACTGGTGGGTAGCTAAGCTCACCAGGGGTGAGATGGAAGCACATTGGGAGGAGATGAGAAATGGAAGGGAAAAAGTAAGAGAAGGGAGTCGAACATGGAGCTGGTCCACTGGAGAAAGCCCTTATCAGAAGAGAGACACGATGCCTTCTGAGGGGTTCTGGTGCAAATATGACCAGAGTTTGAGCCGTAAGAGTTATACTTAATCTCTGTTTAAGTCTTGAGCATTTACTTTTCTGAGACATTATCTCCTTCCTGCTCTCTGGGAGTGGGATTGTTGTGAAGATAAAATGAGAGTCCCTTGGTGAAAGCACCTGGTACAGGGTAGATATTCAGGGAATATTATTTTCCTTCCAGCCCCTTTAGGTTCAGCCTTCTTTGTGCAACCACAAAAGTGGCTGGACATTTAGCCTGGCTCTTTCAAGGCCAAAACCATCTCGGCAGGTGGTTGTACATGGGTTGAACTTCCTGATGACAGCGTGTCCAAGTATTGCTATTACTCCTATCAAATTCCATTATGTTGATTAGCATTTAACATGAAGTTCCTAAACCCTACTGTCTCTGATACATGAGGATGCTAAGGTATCTTGCAACTTCAAATCTCTGGTTTCTATATACTCAGACTGACTGCCTGAATGGTTGATTCTATGTCCATCCACAACCTCCCAAATTAGTGTCTTAATGTTCCAAATCTGTGGTGCCCAATGCAGTAGCCAGTACCCACATGTGGCTAGTTAAATTAATTAAATAAATTAAACCTTTAGTTCCTTGGTCTCACTAGCCACATTTCAAGTGCTCAAGTAGTTAGTGTGGTAGTTAGTGTCTACCGTATTGGCCAACACAGACATAGAACATTTCTGTCATTTTAGGGAATTCTATTATCAGTGCTGCTCCAAATAATTGAATGTCATTTGCTAACTTAAGCACCAAGATAACAGGAGCTCTGTTGCTGAGGGTCGATCATTTCTGAATGGTGAACATAATCTCTGCTCTAGAATTCTCTTCCTGCTGACCTCTTCCTTTTCCCCTTTCAATAAGGGCTGAGCTTCAGATACAATGGACCCTGGAATGTTCTCCCTTTTGCCAAGCATTATGTAGTTAACATTGATTAGAGAGAACATTTTGGGCTGAGATGTACACACATACAGTCATACACACATACAATCATGCCACTGAGGATTTGGTGATGGGGCCTATGTTTTTAAACCTCTTGTGGCAAATCAAATATACTCTTTTTTTTCTCTGAAATTATATCTGCAGCCAAGAAGAACTTTATTTCAGAGGTAGTGTTTGGTAAAACAAGGCACTGATTCTTCGTAACTCCACGGCATCTGAGGCAAGGCGTTAAGGTACTAAAAAGTATCAATATTTGTACTCTTGGCAAATGTACATTGCTCCTTCACCAAATACCCAAATGGAGAAAAAAACAAAAGCATCCTCTGTTTTGGGTCGTTAGAGCAAAGCTCTAGGAGGGGATTTATAACTACACAGTTACAAATTATGAATGTGCATTTGTTCAAGAACGACACCCTGTTGATTTGCTATTGAGTTTTTTTATTGCTGGCTTTTTGCATTGCTCTATGGGAGACCGGCTGCAGATTTGGCTGCTGCTCAGAGTGAGGAGTCGCCAGGGACATTGTTCCTATTCAGAAATGCACAGGTTATATCAAAGACAGAGACTGCAAACTTGAATATTAAAACCCATACATTACCCACACAATGAAAACCCTCATCCCACTCGACACAGGAGGCTTGGGGCTGAGTGTGAGCAGAGACGCTTACGATGTAGGCAGTGGAAGGGAAGCTCGGAGCTGCCTACTTACCTAGTGCGGTGCTTTCTGACCCTGCTCTCAAGGGCCCTAGGGCTTTCCTTAAAGGCCATTAGATGAAGGCAGTGGTTGAGGGGGGCGGTAAGGTGGGTGCAGACTTGGGGCTACCTCCCCTACTCCAATTTTGCTCCTCTGCTTTTATGTGTTCTACACATTAGACTTCTTTTTTTTTTTTTTTTTTTTTTTTTTTTTGAGACGGAGTCTCGCTCTGTTGCCCAGGCCGGACTGCGGACTGCAGTGGCGCAATCTCGGCTCACTGCAAGCTCCGCTTCCCGGGTTCACGCCATTCTCCTGCCTCAGCCTCCCGAGTAGCTGGGACTACAGGCGCCCGCCACCGCGCCCGGCTAATTTTTTGTATTTTTTAGTAGAGACGGGGTTTCACCTTGTTAGCCAGGATGGTCTCGATCTCCTGACCTCATGATCCACCCGCCTCGGCCTCCCCACATTAGACTTCTAAGTATGATTTCCTTTGAACAAAGAATCCCCCGAACATTTGACAATAGAAACAAGATGCTTTCCTCTGGGATAGAAGAGCCTAGGGTAGAGCAGCATTGGCCATGGTGCTGGTTTCTTTCGGAGTAGAAGCTTTAGGCAACGAATATTGACTGGTATGCCCAAACACTTTATCTGCCCAATGGGCTTATTTAAATTAATGTGTGGAATTTATTTTTATTCCAGCTACTGTCTGTCGGACAAAATGTAGAGCCACACGGCCATGCATTGTGAGGGGATGGGGAGAGAATCGTGTGGCTGGGGAGAGCATGGAGGGATTATGTCAAGGAAAGATCTTTGTGTCCTGGAACTTGTGAGAACATTGCACCAATAAATTATAATAGCATTGACCAGGGTAAAGAGAGTTGTACTCAGCTGCTCAGTGTTGAAGGACAACATAGACTGCGCTGCAAAAACAGTGGAAAAAATCCTTTTTTGAATTTCCTGAAAGAGCAAAGGAAACAGGTGTCGACTTGCTCAGGATTATAGCAGCCCCTTTCCCCTCACAGGACAGGCAGCTGTCTGTCTCTTGAGCCCAGCTAGGGGCAGATTTTCCTGGAAGTTAATGAAGCTGAAGTCTCAGGACTTAAGGAGTCCTCACTTGCGAGGTCCATCTCGAGTACTAGGGATGGCTGGGAGCCATAGAGTGTTCAGGGAGGAGAGAAATCCAGGCTACCTTCAGGAAGCATTCTTGTCAAAACATTTCTGGTAGGTTGTTAAAGAAATATTGGAAGGGATCTCAACAATCAAGATTGCACAACCTGGATGTAACACTGGAGCCAACCCCTGCCTCTATCCTACCTCCTATTTGTTCCATCTTCAGATACTTCTTTCAAACGTCCTGGCTGTCTCTCAGCCTGCCTTTGCCTGCATCACTGCTGAAGTTTGGCAGTCCCATGCTGGTAACTGAGGGTCTGCTTGGTATTAAGATCCTGGTTCCAGAATGCAGGAGGAGACAACCTTGACTCTACTTACTCTGTAGGGTGTTTCAGACACTTCCCCCCGAGGTGATCCCAGGACCTATGATGAGCACAGGAAAAACTCTGGGTGCCTAGCAGCAGCTAGGGCTGCTGAGGGTCATGCATGATAATAATTCACCCTTGTCCAGCTGCCAGGTCTGTGCCCTGAGTTCCCACCTTTTGGATCCCAGTTCCTATGGGAAGGTGGTTGGTACACAGGGATTCCCCCTCTTCATTTCACAGTGTTTGCCTGCAACAGGGACATATGAATGGGGGCCCCATGTGCCCAGCCCCTAGCACTCTGGTGCTGATCCTCATATCCCCAAAGAGAAACCAACAGCAGCCTGGAGACTCTGACCTCCTTTCCCTTCAGATGTAGTTGAGCCATTACCCGCAAACTCCAGGAAGACAGTGATGGGAGCCTTCCTAGTTTTTCGCTTAACTGGGAGTCACAAAATAAATTCTTACGTCCAGAGAGGGCCAGGTTTTCTATGCACTGTGGTTTCCATTCTTGTCTTCAGACCTGTGAGTAGCAGAGGAGAGCCAAGTGTTCTCAATCTGCTATCCATGCATCCTGAGGTTCTCTGTCTCTCCCATCAATCTCTTGGTGGGCCCATTTTCCAAGCCTTCCTCCCGGTCTCAATCTGGGCTATTCCTCTGCCTGTTGCCAGAGGTTCCAGAAAAAGATGCAGCCTGTGGAGCTGGATGTTCTGTGGGGAAGGACTCCTATGGTCCCACCATGCCCATGACCGTGCAGTCCACCTGGTGCTCTGGGACCAAGATCCCATACAGCGAGAGTATACTTTCAGTCCAGGGCTGTATTAATATTCTCCAGAAGCCAAGTCCTGGAACCTCAGGGGGTCACATAGGTAAGAAGGCCATGCTACCTGCTATTTCACCTACTCTCATATCCTTGTATTAAATCATCATTTTTGAAAGCAATTTGGTTGTGACATTTCTTCTCTTTGCTTCTCCATTTGCTCTGTCCACGGTAGATACCAGCCAGTTTTGAAGACTCTGACGTCCATTTCAGGTCCTAGACTACTGGCCCAGGGCGGAGATCACCTTCTCTCCTTCCGCATTAAGAGGATTTAAAATAGTAGAAATAGACTCCTAAAGACCCCTAGATCCTTTAAGGGCCTGTCTCTGTAGCAGAGAAGTATTCATTACTATGAATAAAAGCAAAGCCTTAGGCATATCTAGCTCCAGAACTGGTATAGCTAATGCATTGAGAACCTGCTTAATTTTTGGTCTTTTTGTTACTAATATTTATTTATTTTCTCTTTTGTTTTTCTACCTTGTCCTCTAGCCTGATTGGTTAGCTTCCTAGCTTCCAACTTGGGGCCCCATTCTCTGGATTCTAATCAATATTTCTTCTTACTTTCTGGATTCTCTGTCCACTGATGAGATGCAATCTTCCCCTACCTTCCCTTCTGCCCCCCACCCAAGGGCAAACATTCACACACTCTGGCTTGGCTCCCAAGGCTGAAGGCAGGCAACCTTTGCTTTGCATGGTATTTTGGGACTGTTAAATAGGACAGTTCAAGCTGAAACTGTGCAAAGTGACCTTAATAATCCATTGGAAAAATTACCGTTGTTCTGTGATCTTGAAAATTTTTATGAAAATATTAAACATTCACTAACTTTTTAAATAAATGTATAAAGAAATTCAAAATAGTAAAAATTATGTTTAGTACATTGTAACTTGTAATTTAAAATTTTAGAGGCATTGAGAATTGAAGTGTTTTATTTCTTTGCAAAAACTAATCAAGAGTAACTTGAAGATCATTGACCTTATTCTTGCCATATAACTTACAATACAGAGCAAGTGCCTTTCCTGTGTCTTGGCAAATTGTCAGGTTTCCAAGTTTGGATCAGCTTCCAATATTTTATGCTTTGCATGAAATATCTTCAAGAGCTCTTTTATGTGAAATTTTGGTTGGTGTTGCTTCCTCTCGACAAATTCATTTTTTTCAGTCTCATTTATCTTGGTAGGTTGGTCTTCATTAAGTTCCTCTGGCTCTGCAGCGAGGGTCTCTCCTATGGTGGCAGTGTCAACATGCCCACAGGTGGCCATGTCTTCTACTTCAGTTCCATTACCTTCTACTTCAGTTTCACTTTCAGCATTATCACTTTTTGTTTCTTTCCTGTGCTTTCCTTTTTGTGGCCAATCCCTTCTTTCAATTATTTATAAAATGCCATATGGGTTTAACACTAGGAGACAAGAAAGCAATATAACTACGTGGTTTGCTGTCTGTGCAGGAACTAAATAACAGATGCATAGTGACCACTCACCCTCAGACTCTGGAAACAGTTACATGTGGTCAATGATCATGGTGCACATCTATTATTGCACAATAATTTATGGACTGAAGAGCTATCAGTAAAATTCATATTTTATGTAATTACAGTTAATATATGATCAGTATGTCAGTATTAGATACTATAGTATCTGAAATGTGAACCATATTATTGTGGGTCTGGTGTTATTTAACTAAATCATGGTAATAGCTGACCCTCCCTCTCTCTGCATATTTGTGCATATTAGAACTGTGCAATTTGAGAACTCTTAGTACTCTCTACCTGGAGAGCTCATAGTGGGCAGGATCTGGCCCCATAGGTAATAACTTGGGCAACTGAATGAAAATAAGGCTGTGGAAGGTGATGGGTAGGAAGATACTAAAATTTTAGGAGAAAGGAAAATGTGAGTCAGACAAGGCTAGCACTTATATGCCCCTGAATGTGAGCACCTCCTTCCACTTTGCACCACAGACACCTCACTTGCCTCACCTTAATCAGCCCTGGATCCAGCCACAAAGACACCAAAGAACAAAGGATGGTTGCCAGGATAACAACAATGAGGCACGCAGTTGGTCCTTAGCTGTCCAGCAAAACCATCAAAAGATCAGGGATCTTTGTAACAGGAGGTCCCAGCAAAACTCATGGCAAATACAAATTCTTCTAAGACCTATGCACAAGTAGGCAAGGGCTATGCACAAGTAGGCACAGGGTCCTTAATGCCACACTACCAGCAGACTCTCTTAGAAGTCTCATGGAACAGTAGGGATGATTTAGGTACTGATGAGTCTCAGACCTGTTTACCTCAGCTTGTTAAGGTATTTAGTGCACAAGGGGACATTTATTCTCAGAACTCTAAGATGCACAGGACTATGGGTTATAGCCAATGGGATGGAACAAAACTCTGTAGGCCCAAGGTCAAGAAGAATGAAAGTTACATCTACTAGTTCAAGGTTGCCCAGCATAAGCTGTGAGCATCTGGGCTATAATGTCAACACATGGAGAAGACAGACTCAAAATACAGAGAGGGTTATTCTATGATTAGAAAAGAAATTGGACAAAAATGCCTTTACAGGCTGGATGCCGTGGCTCACACCTGTAATCCTAGCACTTTGGGAGACCAAGACAGGCAGATCACTTGAGGTCAAGAGTTTGAGACCAGCCTGGCCAATATGGCGAAACCCCATCTCTACTAAAAATACAAAAGTTAGCTGGGCGTGGCGCTGGGCATGTGTAATCCCAGCTACTCAGGAGGCTGAGGCAGGAGAATCGCTTGAATCTGGGAGGCAGAGGTTGCAGTGAGCTGAGATTGTGCTACTGCACTCTGCTCTGGGTGACAGAGCAAGACTTTTTCTCAAAAAAAAAAAGAGGCCTTTACATATAATTAATGAGGAACCTAATTGCTATTACAATAATAACAATAATAATACATATTGTTAATAGTAAATAGTTCCACAAATGATTACAATTGTTGGAATATTTTTACATGAGGAACCCAAAAATTTGTTTTTCTTTTGTCATTAGGTTAGTTCTCAAATATCAGCGATGATTGGCTTTTTTCCCTCATGCTACATAACCAGTTGGGTGAGAACATATGGTGATAATCCAGCATCTTATAAAGCAGATGCCTTAGATGCCAAAGGACAGCACCCCCTGCCCCATACCTCTTATAGTGAAGCTCCCCAACTTCAGCATCTGTGAGGTCCTCATCTTGGCTAGTGATATGGTTTGGCTGTGTCCCCACCGAAATCTCATCTTGAATTCCAACGTGTTGTGGGAGGGACCTGGTGGGAGGTAATTGAATCATGGGGACAGGTCTTTCCCATGCTGTTCTTGTGATCATGAATAAGTCTCATGAGATCTGACAGTTATATAAAGAGGAGTTCCCCTGCAGAAATTCTCTTTGCCTGCGGCCATCCATGTAAGACATGGCTTGCTCCTCTTTGCCTTCTGCCATGATTGCCAGGCCTCCTCAGCCATGTGAAACTGCAAGTCCATTAAACTTCTTTTTCTTCCCAGTCTTGGGTATGTCTTTATCAGTAGCATGAAAACAGACTAATACAGTAAGTTGGTACCAGTAGAGTGGGGCACTGCCGAAAAGACACCCGAAAGTGTGGAAGTGACTTTGGAACTGGGTAACAGGTAGGGGTTGGAAGAGTTTGGAGGGCTCAGAAGAAGACAGGAAAATGTGGGAAAGTTTGGAACTTCCTAGAGACTTTTGAATGACTTTGAACAAAATGATGATAATTATATAGACAATGAAATCCAGTCCAAGGTGGTCTGAGATGGAGATGAGGAACTAGTTGGGAACTGGAGGAAAGGTGACTCTTGTTATGTTTTAGCAAAGAGACTGGTAGCATTTTACCCCTGCCCTAGAGATTTGTGGAACTTTGAACTTGAGAGAGATTATTTACAATATCTGGCAGAAGAAATTTCTAAGCAGCAAAGCATTCAAGGGGTGACTTGGGTGCTGTTAAAAGCATTCAGTTTTAAAAGGGAAATGCATAAAAGTTTGGAAAATTTGCAGCCTGACAATAGAAAATCCTATTTTCTTAGAAGAAATTCAAGCCAGCTGCAGAAATTTACACAAGTAATGAGGAGCCAAATGTTAACCACCAAAACAATGGGGAAAATGTCTCTAGGGCATGTCAGAGACCTTTGCAGCACCAGTCATCTCACAGGTTTGGAGACGTAGGAAGGAAAAATGGTTTTGTGGGAAAGACCCAGGGTCCCTCTGCTGTGTGCAGTCTAGGGACTTGGTGCTCTGCATCCCAGCCTCTCCAGCCATGATTAAAAAGGGCCAAGATACAGCTCAGGCTGTGGCTTCAGAGAGTGCAAGCCCCAAGCCTTGGCAGCTTCCACATGGTGTTGAGCCTGCGAGTGCACAGAAGTCAAGAACTGGGGTTTGGGAACTGCCACCTAGATTTGAGAGGATACATGGAAATGCCTGGATGCCCAGGCAGAAGTTTGTGCAGGGGCAGAGTCCTCATGGAGAACCCCTGCTAGGGTGGTGCACAAGGGAAATGTGGGGTTGGAGCCCCAACACAGTGTCCCTACTGGTGTACCACCTAGTAGAGCTGTGGGAAGAGGGCCACTGTCCTCCAGACCCCAGAATGGTAGATCCACTGACAGCTTGCACCATCCACCTGGAAAAGCTGCAGACACTCGACGCCAGACTGTGAAAGCAGCCAGGGGGGACTATACCCTGCAAAGCCACAGGGCAGAGCTGCCCAAGGCCATGGGAGCCCACCTCTTGCATCAGCGTGACCTGGATGTGAGACATGGAGTCAAAGGAGATTATTTTGGAGCTTCAAGATTTGACTGCCCTGCTGGTTTTGGGACTTGCATGGGCCCTGGAGCACCTTTGTTTTGGCCAATTTCTCCCATTTGGAATGGCTGTATTTACCCAATACCTGTATCCCCATTGTATCCAGGAAGTATCTAGCTTGCTTTTGATTTTACAGGCTCATAGGCAGAAGGGACTTGCCTTGTCCCAGATGAGACTTTGGACTGTCGACTTTTGAGTTAATGCAGAAATGAGCTAAGACTTTGGGGGACTGTTGAAAAGACATGATTGGTTTTGAAATGTGAGGACATGAGATTTGGGAGGGGTTGGGGCAGAATGATATGGTTTGGCTGTGTCCCCCCCAAATCTCATCTTGAATTCCCACATGTTGTGGGAGGGACCTGGTGGGAGGTAATTGAATCTTGGGGACAGGTCTTTCCCTTGCTGTTCTCGTGATAGTGAATAAGTCTCATGAGATCTGATGGTTTTAAAAAGAGGAGTTCCCCTGCACAAACTCTCTCTCTTTGCCTGCTGCCACCCATGTAAAATGTGACTTGCTCCTCCTTGCTTTCCACCATGATTGTGAGGCCTCCCCAGCCATGTGGAACTGTAAGTCCATTAAACCTCTTTTTCTTCCCAGTCTTGGGTATGTCTTCATTAGCAGCATGAAAAGGGACTAACACAGCTGGCCATGGCATTCTGAAGCCATGACACCAGAGCCCTCAGGTGGGCAAGCAGCTGACCCCTGCTGTCTCTGCCTCTACTGACTCCTGAGAGTAGGAGGATTTGATGGACAGGGAACTGTTTTTAGGGAGATGGGCTGCATATTGGGAGGACTCCCTGGTGCCACAGAGGAGACAATGGGTCTAGGAAGCAGACCACCTTCCTGTGGCTGACATTTGTGTTCGGCTCCATAGCGACTATCTAGTCTATTATCAGAGTAAGTAACCTTGTGTTCCTGCAATTAGGCAAATGGTAAGGCAAACTTAGGCTGTTAGGCTTGGCTTCTTACAAAGTCTTTTTATTCATTCATTCATTCACTCACTCACTCACTGTAGATTTTTTGATCATCTACAGCATGGTAAACCCTATGCCAGGTACAAAGGACAAGTGGTACAAAACCAGTTGATATCCCTGTGTTTATGGACCTTACACAACAGTGAGGAGACAAACACTAATCAGTTATACAAATGGATGATCACAAGAAGAGGTAGGAACTATGGAGAAAAAGATTAGCATGGCTTGTGATCAGGTTTCTCCTGATCTAATTAAGAAGGCAAGGAAGAGTTTCTCCTCGAGAAAGTGGCACTTTGCTGAGCTCTAGAGGACGAGCAGATCTTCACTGGGTGGTGAGGGGCAAAGAGTAGGAGATGGGTAGGAGGGAAGGGAGAGGAGGGTCCCCAGCCATGGCAGAGGCCAGTGTCACTGGAATCCAAAGCAGGGTGGGGGGAAGCAGGGCCCAGGCTTGAGATCTCTACCTTTATTCTAAGCAAGGAGAAGATCTTCAGGAGGGCTCCCACTTGCTCAGATTTGTTTGAAAAGGGTCACTTTAATTTCAATGTAGAGAATGGATAATATGGAGGATGGAGTGGGGCGAGGGAAGACAAAAATAACCTTATCACCTCCTTAAAACGTAGGATTGAGAATAATGATTAAATTTTGAGTACTGGAAAGTTGAACATATTTATTAATATACTTACTCATTCAAAAATTAAGAGAGAGAGGGTGGAGAAAACCATCAGAAAGCACTTGTATAATTTACTCTTTCTGGATCATGGAATGATCTCCTTCTTTAACCTCCTGTGTTTTTGGACCCTATTTTCAGAATAGTTTCACACTATATAAACAGCACTAGGCTAAGAGTTCAGAGACCTGAGTTTCTTCCTGGCTTCCTCTCCATCTCAGCTTCCCTGGGTACTTAGTTTTTTCATGATTGAATTTGAGGATCAAATGAGATGAAATGGGAAAAAGACTGAGCAAATGCAAGGGCTCAGAGCACAGTCTTCCTTTTCTGAAAGGCATTATTTAAGTAGTACTTTTAAATAAAATACATATGATTTGATTGATGGATATTAAAGTATATATTGTTTTTCTGAAACCCTAACATAATTATAAGAACACGAGGATCTGTATTATACTCTTTGTTCCACGCTCAAAATACATATTTGACATCAGATGGAAGAGCCACATTTTCCAGGATAAGCAAAATTGTCTTCTATTTTCTGTTGTTCCTTCTCAGGAAGTCTTCTGCAATTTCCTTGGAGGAGTCTCATCTTGCTGGAAGGACCTGCTACTGAAGGTGAGGATACACCTATCCTTTTCTTCTTCAGGAAGGTAAGCTGATAGCTTGGAGTGTCCAAGGTAGAGCTCATTTCAAATAACACATTGTTTTCCCCATAAATACATTTACTTGTGGAGAGTCTTCTGCCCTGATTTTTGGGTCAAGGATGAAGGCCATTATAATGTTCTGAATTCTGCAGACATAATATATTATAGCAAGTTCAAAGGCAATTGCATGTCCAGGAAAACTGGCAGAGTATATTCTCAGTTCATGCGTCTTCTGTGCATTCACTCCCTGCCTTGGGGAGATTTTTGAGTAACACTTTCACACTTACAAATTACGAGTGGCAAGGGAGCCTCATTTACAAAGGATGACAGAGATTCTACAAAATCCATCATGTAACCAGCCTCTTATTCTCAGCTAGCAAAAATAATTGCTTTGCTAACTTATTTTCACAACCACATGGGATCTCAGTCTATCCTTGTTTTAAGAAAACAACCTGGACAGCACAGGGAAAATTCACTTAATTGCATTTAAAAGGAAACACTGCTTGAGTCCTTTATGGTTCTTCCCCAATCCTTCCACACCAGCCTCTGCCTTTTCAAGTGATAATTAGGCATTAGAAATTGGCTGTGTGATCTCAGCCAACTGCTTTTAAAGGGTGTTAGGATTTAAAGAAAGGCTTTGTGTGAAGCTTTTGAAAGAGCGCCAAGTCTTGCACATCTAGGGCCTCCTCATTTCAGGTAGCCTGGGTTCCTGGTAGATGCCTTCAGAATGAACAAATGGCCAACTGCTTTGCCAGTTCCATTAAAGAAACCTCTTTTAGTTTGAGCCTTCTTTCTGAATGGGCTACCCTGTAATGCTTTTAATTTCTTTTCTTTAGTTTCTTTTTTTCCTGAGATAGAGACTCACTCTGTAGCCCAGGCTGGAATTCAGTGGCACAATCACAGCTCACTGCAGCCTCAACCTCCTGGGCTCATGAAATCCTCCTACTTCAGCCTCCTGAGTAGCCGATACCACAGTGCACACCACCATGTCCAGCTTATTTTTAATTTTTTTGTGGAGACAGAGTCTCTCTGTGTTGCCCAGGCTGATCTGGAGCTCCTGGGTTCAAGTGATGCTCCCCCTCGACTTTCCAAAGTGTTGGAATTACAGGCATGAGCCACTGCACCTGGGTCCCTTAATTTCTTAATATAACTATTATTCATTTGGAGGGAAGTTGTTCACAATGCTCTGAGAACTATTTTAATTGAAATATAATGCTAATCATGAAATTTCTACTTTACCTGGCCAGAAAAAGTCCTCAGGGGACAAAGGAAGTGAGGGAGGTTTGGCTTCCACCCAAGTCACCCAGTGATATCCAGGGTTGGTTATGTTTTGTCTGGTTTTGCCTCTCACCATTCTGTATATGCTCTTTTAAGATTGGGACTCTATTACAAAGTCCGGTCTTTCAGTTAAGGCCATATAACTGATGGGATCCCCCTACTTGAAGTCTTTCAGATGCTGTGAGTTGAGTCTCATAATTGCGGCCCATTCAATACTCAGGCAATGGGGATTTGGCAATAGAAAAAACACCGTGCAAACTCTGAAGGTGTCTTTAAATTATCCTATGTTACAGTTGGATTGAGCATTTTAGCTTACGAAGCTCTTTGCCGTCCATTATCTTACTTAATTCTCAAATTATGAACAAGGCAAAGTAAGAATTATTATCCTCATTTTCAAGATAAAGAACCAGACTCAGAGAGTTCCAGGGGCTTGCTTGGCATCACATAGTTGAAGCTAGACCCAAGGCTTTTATTTCCACAACAGCTGGTCTACTTTCTTCCTTAACCCAGGAAGTCAGTAACGATGAAGGTTTTCAGAGTAGCCTCAGAAGTTATCGAGCATCTCTGCAGACATGGCTACAGGTGTACTCTGTGTTCATACAGCAAATCTGATAGGATGAAGTGAGACTGTGTTTTCTGAGTAAAGATCCCTTTGTAAACATTGCTGCTGGTGGTTATACTATCCTCTTATCCATAGACCTGTAATTGCTTTTGGTTTTGTAAAGACTTTATGGTGCCCTCCTTCACCAATTATGCCTCAACCAGCACCCGGCCACAGTTTTATTCCCCTCTACCCAAAGCTGTGGCTGGGGCATCAGAAGTGGGAGCAGAGCATGGAGTGCTGGAATAAAAAAGGTGAGATCATTAGGATTACAACATGCGTCTTCACTAAGGGGACTCCAAACTAGAGTCAATGGATGATATACTCCAGGTGGGGCATATGGCAAACGGGAATGCTTGCTCCTTCCAAAATGGGCATCCAGTACTCAGTTCCAGCTGATGCTGCCATGATTCTAATCAGGCCCAAATTGACAGGTCTTGAGATATTTTTCGAAGAGAATCTGGAAATCCGGAATTTTACATCACTTCTCCTGACTGGATTGTTAAATATTAATAGCAAATTCAAACATTTTAAAATCTCTGCAGGCCTAACAAAAACAAAAGTAAAACAAAGCAAAACTTTGTGAGTCTCTTTTGCAATCTCTGCTCTTTATAATTGTGAGTAAACTGGGTATTCTTAGGAGAAACGCACGAGGACAGAGATGTGGATAGATGTAGCTTTATTTCCGGCAAGCTCTTGTATCTTTTCCATCTTTGTGAGAACAGAAAGACAGAAGGGATTAAACAGTTGGAACCAGCATACATACAGAGCTACCAAATTATCACTCTTAGTTGTGACAATTTGCGTATCTACTTTTCCTCCTTCTAAAAATAGTTCTCACCTCTCTCCTGTCTATTGCCTGGTGGATGAGGCCTGTATGCCTTCCCCTGGGCATCCACAGATTGCAGGCTGGGGCAAGGACAATATACAGACCTCTGCTCACTAGCTAACACCACACTCTCCCCTCTCATCCAAGAAAGTGTAATAGAGTCTAAATAAGTGAGAATGCTAAAAATAACAGAATGGCTTTCATTGACCTTAATTTTTTTACAGTAAATTCATCACAAACATTGATATTTTATCTACCATTGATAATGACTCACTTGTGACACAACTCACAAATGTTGGGACAGCATGTTTAAGAAATATTTTTAAAAACAAAAATAAATTTGAAGATACATTGCTAAGCTTCCCAGACAGACCAGCACTCTCTGCCTCTGGTATCATCAGCCAAGGCATGGTGGGCTGGGTTGACTCCCCCAGCTCATACATTCACATTTAGAGTATCTGGGACAAGGGTCTTAGGAACATCACCAGAGACATTTGGACTCTTAAGATAGGACAGGAGAAATAAAAGACCTTTGTCTGCAAAGCAATCGGTGAGTTAGAGTCCAAACATTCTCACCTCTCTAACTGGCAACAGGGAACCCCACTTGGACTGGTGCTTGGATAATGCTAAGTCAAGTCCTGCCCAGCAGCAAAAACCAAGAAGGAGCCCATGTAATCCACGATCTCTGTTCCGTGAATTGATCCAGAAGATGCAGAAACCGAACCCCAGTGCTTTCCCTGTTACCTCCTCATTTAGGATGATCTGTTTCTTTTCCACTGCATTAGAAAATAAAAATTCAAAACACAGAATAGAAACCATACTCAGAAAGAAGAGAGAGACAAAGAGGTGACTGGCAATTTGATGGCATACATCTCCTGGGGAGAAGGTGTCTGAATCTTCAAGTCAGACGATGACAAAAATGAGAGCAGAAACAAGTCTATTTTTTCTCTAGGTCACCACAGGGAACCAATCTAACCTATTTACAAGTGGTCTCAGGGGAACTATCTTTAAATAGCTATCTTGTCACCATCCTTTTCGTCATCTTCCACGATTGCTTTGGGTCTCTCGTCCCTGAGCAATGTCACACCTGCAAAACAAAGCACAGACCTGCAATTAAGTACCTCTAATTAAAACATTAGGCAACGTTGCAGACAGACACAGTACAAAGGAGCATGGCAACCCAGAAACCTCTTAGTGTCTACAAGGTTACCTGCTAACAGTACCAACCCAGAGAAGGAGCTGGGTGGCTCTATCTAGGCTTCCCAGAGGTGCTCAATGAGGACACGATTCTGGTTACAAAGGGATGCACCACCTGGAAGTCAGAGGCAACCTTCATCCTCTTCTTTAAGTTCTGCTCCTAAGCTTGCAGCATGGCGGGATGGAAAATAACCAATTGCTTTGCACTCACAGTTCTGCCACTCACTTAATCTGTGTTGGGCCAGAAAACACATTCACACCTAAATCTTCTCAATATAACATGAGTACAGTAACAATTATTATAAAGGGTTATTGTGACCATTAAATAAGATATATGTCACAATGTTTAACCCAGAGCAAGTAAATGTCGGCTTTTCCTGTCCTTTCAATATTTGCTCGTTTATTTTCCTTTGGAAAAGAACTGGTAAGCCTCAGGAAGTCAAACTTAAAAGCATTTTACTACATCCAGGGAAATATTGAGCTCAGGCTCTGGACATGCCATTTCTCAATGTCAGTACTGTACCAGGAGGTGATGACGTTCACATGGTTCAGAGCAAAATGAGAAAATAAGGAAAGTGTACTGAGCTTTTCATACAACTGTATGCCTTCACTTTTAAAAGCTGTTCTTTATTTTGAGATTATTTTCCTTCTTTTGGGGATTAAAATATCCTTTCTTTTATGAAATTTTAGAGATGTTAGAAGGTTTTTGAAATGCAACCTTATAAAGCAAAATAAAGAGTTGCTGTTCCTATGTTGGGCTCCACACTATTTTGTTTTAAAAATTTACTGGGCCGGGTGTGGTGGCTCATGCCTATAATCCCAGCACCTTGAGAGGCCAAGGTGGGTGGATTGCCTGAGGTCAGGAGTTAGACAGCAGCCTGGCCAACATGGTGAAACCCCATCTCTAGTAAAAACACAAAAATTAGCCAGGCATGGTGGCGGGCACCTGTAATCCTGACTACTCGGGAGGCTGAGACAGAAGAATCCCTTGAATCCTGGAGGCAGAGATTGCAGCAAGCCGAGATTACACCACTGCACTCTAGCCTGGGCAACAGAGCAAGACTCCTTCTCAAAAAAAAAAAAAAAAAAAAAAAAAAAAAAAAAAAATTACTGGTCTGTGAAATTCAGAAGTCTGAGCACAATTTTCTGGACTGATCACCCCAGAAAGGACCAGCCAAGAAGGGCCACATGGTTCTGCTCATCCTGTGAAGTGTAAAGTAAGGTCATTTTAATGTAAGGTCAAAGGAAGCTGCGATGGAAGGCCAGTCCTCCATGGTCCCTGTCATCCCACTCCAGCCAGCTTCCCCACCACTGCCTCGCACTGCCTCCTTCCTTCTCATAATGAGACGCCTTCCAGTCCATGAAGCATTTCATAAAGATCTACACTTGAGAAAGAGAAGCTGTGCACCACAAGAGGCCTTTCTACCACACTGGACTCCATTCAACAGCAGTAAATTAATGAAAACTATGTGTTGATCTTAATGACTATTCATTTGTTTCAGTTCCTAGTTTGTTCACATGGGTTCTTTACCAATTAGCTGGTATTTATTGGAGGAGAAAAACAATTTCAAGAGTCTGGCTGAAACTACAGCTTTTGCATAAATCACTTATGAAACACAGTGGGAGATATTTCTCGTACACCAGCTGCACAGAGATTTGGATTTCTGTTTGGAATTAAGGCTAGCATGGCAGGAGAACATAGAGTTAGCTATGCTGAGCCCCAAAATTTTCCATCCATCCTTGCTTGATATCTCTTCACATTAAGCCAAAATTGAGTTGATTCAAAGTGGGCAAGAGCCTTTAAGTTCCCAAATCCAGATCAACTTTCTGGTTACTTTTGGTACCCTGGAAACTTAATCATATGAGAATCTGCTCCTTGCTGACTCCCCAAAAGTTCCTGGGATTTCAGGAATAAGAAAAGCCTGTTAAATCATCACAGCCAGCCCTTCTCAAAGTAGGCTGGGCTGTCCACAAGAGCACAGGAGATAATTTCAAGTAGAGGGTGAACCAGCATTTTATATTAATACAGTTAAGAATTAATTTTAATGTCTTATAATGAAAAAATATGTGGTAGCTCATAGAAATCTTGATTTCATGGATATCATTGCTTAGGATGAGCCTTAAGTCAGGAGTATCTACATGTCACGACTGCATTCTTGTTCTTGATGCCTTGGTGACATGAAGATGGCCTGGGTTTGGGAAGCACTGGTCTGGTTTAACCTCCTTCTGACCCTCATGCTTTCAGGGGAAGCAGAGGTGCACCATTAAAGGGATATGCAGACCCTGAAGCCAGAAAGCTTTGCCTATGGTGATCATTAAGCCTTGAGCACTCACTTAACCTACCTGAGCCTCAGTTTATTCACCCGTAAAATTGGAGAAAAAGTAATTTGTATCTTCCACAGTGTGTGATGTCCCCAAATAGACTTAGGCCTACATTGTGGCTGCAGCCACAACCTACATGAACCTCTGTTACCGCATATTTCACATTGTAGGAATCACTGGACAATACATCCTTCTCCGCTATTGAACCGTGAGATTCTCTAAGGATATGCTAACATCTGGCACAAGACTTAGAATGCAGTAGGGATTTAGCAAATGTCATTTCCTTCCCTTCGTCCTCTCTCTATACAGAAGAGTTTAGGGAACTTGGCTGCTTGTAAGAGCTTAGTGGGTTTTAAGACCAAGACTGCCAGTCCAAAGTCTCCAAGGGCCAATCAGCTTTGAAGCAAGCTGTTTTACAGCACAATCCCACCCAGAGCCCCATCTAAAATAGTTCATGCACATTACATTGCGGTCTCAGGGAGCCAGGGCTAGGACACCACGTCTTCTGATAAATCACACTAGAGAGAAAGTTCTATTCCTGGCAAGACAGAATATGTGTCACTTTCAATGGACATCCTGATCCCTTTCTAGTGTAGAAGTGCAGGATTTTGATCTTCGATGTCCCAAACTGCCCAAATGTCCACAGCTCATGGACAATTTTCCAGGAGGATTCTCTTTGATGCTTCCAGCCTCATTATTCCTTTTTCATGGTTCCATTTGTGACAAACCTCTAATAAGACTTCTTTTCACTCTTAAGCAGGCCTTGGTTACCCAGATCTGACTAGTCAGAACCAATGCTTTCTGCCATGCAGTCACTGCGATGAGGGCCCCTGGCAACTGTAGGCTAAGCTGGGAGCAAGCCTGGGTCTGTCAGAGAAGCTTGAGATGACCCCTTTGAAGGGCTGTGCTCGCAGTTGGAACCTGTCAAGTAAGCTCATTAACTAAGGGGAGTGAAGGTAGTTAGCAAGAAATTTAGAAGAGAGACTGGATCCTTGTCCAGTTTTCACTTGCCAAGGGCTAATGAGAGATGTCTCCAGAGTGTATTTGTCTGCGAGTTTCTCTCAACACCCTTATTAGAACCAATGTGAGTCCTTCTGAACATCTGCCGAAGGCTCTATCCTTATCAGCTTAACTACCATTTTGATTACTGCCAAATCTTTAGCTACTAAAAGGCGCTTCAAAAATAAAGTACTTCAGCTAATATGGTAATGAAAGCTAGAATCACACAATATCTGTAATTGCACTTACTTATGATATAGAGATTTGCTGATTCAAGGAATTCCATAATGCATACAGAGGCTATGGTTATACAACCTCTCCCCCTTCCCACCCCAACTCTTGTTTACGCTGTGTTGTTTGATAAACATTTTTGATTCAATAGGGAAGCTACTCTCTTAGGATGTAGATATTGGGATGTAGGCAGCACTCATGCCAGGTAAACAGAGCTCAACCCGTTAGGCTGTTCCTTGAATCAGCAGGTTTATACAGAGAAGTAAAATGCTGTGGCTTAGACAATCCTCACCTTCAGAAATGGTTTGATTTATCTCAAAGAATATAAGATTGAACAGAGAATGGAAGGAACTAACATTTGTTGAGAGTTTTTGATAGCCAAGAGCTCTGCCAAGTAGTTTATGTACTTTATTTAATTGTGTTAACAGCCCTGGGAGACATATTTATGGTCCCCTTTTAGATTTATGGGCAAAATGAAGAAAGCTTTTACAGTTTATGTTAATTGTCCAGGGTCACAAAGCTAGTATGGAGCAGAACCAGGGATGAAACCTAGACCTTTGTGAATCCAAAGACCATGTTCAATTTCGTATACTGGGATGACTCCCTGCCCATAAATATTTTTGTTTTTCTACCAAGTCTTCTCCTAGAAGGTCTTCAATAAAAACAGATACAAGCACGAACAGAAAATAATCAGTCTCCATCAGGTATTGCAAAATTGTGATTGCCAGATAAAACATCAAACCAGCATATATGTAGTGAGTATTGCTATGTAGAAATGATTGGACTAGATATCAAGATCAATACCAGAAACATAAGGCAGTCACAGCCAGTCCTCATGAATTCATCATGCAAGTTGTTGATGTAAGTCAATTTAAGCAGCAGCGACAATACAGGCAACAAGAAGAATAAAGACAATACTAAAAGAGATGACAAAGTTTTGGGTATTTGCATGCTGTGACTAATACAGAGTTAGTTAAGAATAGAAAAGAGTCATTTTGGACCTGAAGGGGTCTGATAGCAGAGGCTTCGAGCTGGCTGACTACTGAAAGGTAATTGGGACCTGGACAGTGGCAGAGCTTGAGGGAAAGCATGTGATGGAGTAGAGGATTAACCTAGGTAGGATTTAACTTAACCTATGAGAAACACAGATGAGGGAAGTTCAGAGCCTCCCCCGGTCCTTGGACCATTTCTCCATTACTCCTCATGCTCTGCACCACCCTATCTAGCTCTGCTCCTTCCTAGCAAGTCTGAAAACATGTGACCCTGCCTATGCTTCTATTTTCTTCTTGTCTTATTTGGGAACAACAATCTATTGGTAGAGGCAAAAAAAAAAATAAATAAGGGTGAAAAGCTGATTTAAGCCATATCACAATTCTAAGGCAGAATTTCCCATATCATAGCATAACCTGTAGAATGACTAAACTAATAAGACTAATAGGTAGTACCAGAAAAAGATCCATGGAAAATAGATCAGATCTGGGTTATACAAAGGCAAAATGATTCCTTTTGCAGGACTTCTAAAAAATTTTATTACAGGCATAACTCAGAGATCTTGCAGGTTCTTCCAGATCACTGCAATAAAGCAAGTATCACAATAAACAGAGCCATACAAATTTTTTGGTTTCCCATTGCACATAAAAGTTAGGCTTACACTATACTGTAGCCTACTAAATGTGAAATAGCATTATGTCTTTAAAAATAATGAGCATAGCTTAATTTAAAAATACTTTATTGCTAAAAATTGCTAATGATTATCTGAGTCTTCACTGAGTCTTAGAGAGGCTTGCCTCAATGTTGACGGCTGCTGACTGATCAGAGTAGTGGTTGCTGAAGGTTAGGTGGCTGTGGCAATCTCTCAAGATGACAGTGAAGTTTTCTGCATTGATGGACTCTTCCTTTAACAATAGAGTTTGCTCTAGTATGTGATGCTGCTTGAGAGCATTTTACTCACAGCAGAACTTTTTTCAAAATCAAGTCAATCCTTTCAAACCCTGCTGCTACTTTATAAACTAAGTTTACATAATATTCTAAACCCTTTGTTGTCATTTCAACAATGTTCACAGCATCTTCGCCAGTAGTAGATTTCATCTCAAGAAACCATTTTCTTTGCTGATCTATCAGAAGCAACTCTTCATCCATTCAAATTTTATCATTAGATTGCAGCAATTCAGTCATATCTTCAGGCCCCACTTCTAATTCTAATTCTCTTGCTATTTCTACCACATTTGCAGTTACGTCCTCCACTGAAGTCTTGAACCTCTCAAACTCATTCATAAAGGTTGGAATCAACTTCTTCCAAACTCCTGCTATTTTTGATATTTTGACCTCCTCCCTTGAGTCACAAATGTTCTTAATGGCATCTAGAATACCAAATTGTTTCCAGAAGGTTTTCAGTTTACTTTGTCCAGATCCATCAGAGGGATCACTATCTATAGCAGCTCTAGGTTTGCAAAACATGTATTTCTTAAGTAACAAGACTTGCAAGTCGAAGTAACTCCTCAATCCAGGGGCTCCAGAATAGATGCTACATTAGCAGGCATGAAAACAACATTAATCTCCTTGTGTGCCTCCATCAGAGCTCTTGGGTGATGAGGTACATTGTTAATGAGCAGTAATAATTTGAAAAGGGTCTTTTTTTGGAGCAGTAGGTCTAAACAGTAGGCTTAAATTATTCAGTAAATTATGCTGTAAACATGTATGCCTTTATCCAGGCTTTGTAGTTCCATTTACAGAACACAGGCAGCTTCAATTTAACATAATTCATAAGGGCCCTAGGATTTTCAGAATAGTAAATGAGCATTGGCTGCAACTTAAAGTCACCGGGGCATTATCCCCTAACAAGAGAGTTGGCCTGTCCTTTGAAGTTTTGAAGCCAGGCATTGACATCTCCTTTCCAGCTATGAATGGCCTAGATGGCATCTTGTTCCAATAGAAGGCTGTTTCATCTACATTAAGAAACTATTGTTTAGTGTAGCCACTCTCACCAATTATCTTAGCTAGATTTTCTGGATCACTTCCTGCAGTTTCTACATCAGCGCTTGTTGCTTCACTTTGCACTTTTATGGGAGATGGCTTCTTTCCTTAAATATCATGAATCAAATTCTGCTACCTTCCAACTTTTCTTCTCTGCTAGCTTCCTCCCCTCTCTCAACCTTCATATAACTGAAGAGAGTAAGGACCTTGTTCTGGATTAGGCTTTGGCTTAAGGAAGGGTTATGGCTGGTGTAATCTATCCAGACCACTGAAACTTTCCCCGTATCAACAATAAGGATGTTTCACTTCCATATCATTCCTGTGTTCACTGGAGTAGAACTTTTAATTTCCTTCAAGAACTTTTCCTTTGCATTCACAACCTGGTTCTTGGCTAACTCGTTGGTACAAGAGACCTAATTTTCAGCCTATCTTGGCTTTCAACATGTCTTTCTCACTAAGCCTAATCATTTCTAGCTTTTGATTTAAAGTGAGAGATGTGCAACTCTTCCTTTCAGTTGAACACTTAGGGGCCCCTGTAGGGTTATTGATTGGCCTTATTTCAATATCTTTGTGTCTCGTGGAATAGGGAAGCCAGGGGAGAGGGAGAGAGATAGGGGAATTGTTTGTCAGTGGAACAGACAGAACGCATACACCACTTATAGATTAAGTTAACAGTCTTATATGGGCGAGGTCTGTGGCACCCCAAAACAATTACAATAGTAACATCAAACATCACTGATCACAGATCACCATAAAAGATATAATAATGATAATAATAATAATAAAATTCTAAACAGTGCAAGAACTACTAAAATGCAACACAGAGACATGAAGTTAACACATGCTATTGAAAAAATGGTGCTGCTGGAAAAATAGACTTGCTAGATGCAGGGTTACCACAAACATCCAATTTGGTTAAAAAAAAAACCACCAATATCTGAAAAGCACAAAAAAGTGAAGAGAAATGGAATGAGGTAGGCCTATATTCCATTAACACTGCAAACCTCTAGTATGGAAATATCACCATGTAACAATTCCTTCTTCCCTTGGGAAGCAATCAAACTTAACAAATTGTGACTGTTGTCTATTATTCTTAAATTAGTTATTCCAAGATCTCTGGACCCCTTGACCAATATTAAAACTGCTCTGAAAGAAGACAGAATACTGCCAAAAAATCCTCTGTGAAGGCCCTTTCACGGGAGACCGTGCTAGCTTGCTCCCCTCTCTGTTAGAAAACAGGAACAGCATTACCCTTCATGTCCCAGTGAGGTAAAAGAGCTGTGATGGGCCATCACAGTTGACTCAGTGTTAAATGAGGTAAGGGCTGATGCAGGATGTTACTGAGGGCCAACAGATCCTGCCCAGGGAAGTAATAAAGGCAGTCCTCAGAACCTTTCCTCTTTCTGAGCAAGTCATCTTCTGGTGTCCAATTTGCCTGACTGTCAGTTTTAGAGAAACCTCCTTTTCCCTGCTTTAGCACCAAATATTTAATTATCTCTCCCACCTAGAATATAAACACCATGAGAGCAAGGACTTTTTCTTTGGGGTTTGTTTTCCAGTGTATGCCCAGCACTTGAGCTGTGCCTGGCACATAGTAGGCACTCAATAAATATTGACTGAGCAAAAGCTAAAGATATCACTGCCTTAGGACTCTTGGATTTGTCTTTTCTGCCTCAACTACTCTGCTCAGTTACCCCCATGACACACCCACATTTTCCTGAGGTCTCTGCTTAAATATCTCTTCCTCGGAAAGGATTTCCTGTGCACCTTGGAAATCTAAAGAAGCAATTTCTATCTCCCATTCTTCATCTAACTAGATTTATTTTCTTCACAGCATTTATCCCTAGCAGACTTTCTATTATGTATTAATCTATATGGTTATTGACTTTCTTCCTGTACCATTGCCTAGAACAGAGCCCAGGATGTGACAAGTACTCAGTAAATATTTGTTAAAAGAATGAAGACAGTTTGAAGATTAGACTTCTGCATGTCCTAAACTCCTTGTACTTTTAGCACATGTGCATGATCTCAGAAGCTTGCATGTAGTCAGTGCTTAGAAAAGCTGGTATGTAGAAATGTGTGTGTGTGAAAGAAACTGAGGGAGAGTTGTCCCTGGCATGACCAGGTGGGGTCAAAAACCCACCATTCATCTTGGTATACAGGTAAGTGGTGAAGACGAAGGGATAGATAGAGGTAATTGGAAGTGGGAAGAGAAGAAGAGGTGGAGGAACAAGGACAGAAGTGCAGAGAACACAAATCCCATGGAGCATAGAACCAGAGCCTCTAATGTGGCTGGGGATCTTAAGCCCCTGACTGTTTCTGTCGTGATGTCTTCTTCTGAGCTGTTTTTTCAATTTTTTTCTTTATTAAATGAAACAGTGGGGAAATATAGTTTTATAACAACAGCCAAATTTTATCTTCTCCCCAGAGTGTTTCTTCTGTTCCTATAATGCTAAGATTCCAAACCACAGCACAGATTAGTGAAAAACTGCCCAAAGGTGAGATAGACCTAGGTTTGAGCCCCAATTCTGCCACATTTTAGTGTTTGATCTTGATCATAATTTTATCTGTTCATTTGTCCATCTAGTCATCTCATCTTTGATCCAACCAATTAGCTAGTTAGCCATCTATCTATCAATTGTATCCACATAAGACTTTAAAGTAGATGAGTAAGTTAATTAAATTCTCTGTTTCTTAGTCTGCAAAACGAGATAATAGCCTCTCTATTATATTAGTCAGTTAATTTATAAAAATCCATGAGACATGATAAACTGAGTGCCTAACATTTAGTAGGATCTCAAAAACATTAGCATATTTTCCCCTCCGTCACTTCCCCAACACAACAATCTGTATAAAATACACACATACACACAGAGTCATACTCTAGCCATGAATATACGTGTCTTATTCCCCAACTTGTACTTCTCAGAGACAAGGACTGTATCTCACAGAGCAGCTCCTTTACAGACTGGGGCTGTGCTCATAGTTCAGTATGATTTTTTTTGTTTGATTTGACACACATTCAGATAGCTATCCTTATTTCTGCATCTCTTTTTCTGTCTCTCATTTTGAGGATTTGGCCAATTAGTCCAAGTGTCTCAGGAGAACCAGCCATAAGACGCAAAATCCGTGGAAGCCTTGGGAGGAGGGCATTCCAGCTCTTCTCAAGGACCCACTGACATTTCTATTCCGTTGGCTCAGTGAATTCAACCAGCTCTGCTGAGGCATGAGTAATGCTCTGACCCTTTCCCATCCCCACATCAGCCCCTGGGGAGCTACTAGTAGAGATAAACCTAAAAGGTAGCACTGAGTGTGGCTTCTCCCCAGAGCACTTCAGGACAACGCAGCTTGCTGGGGCAGGACAACGGCCAGGCCCTGGGGACCTCCAGATGGTAAGGTTCTTGACCTGTCCCCATCACCCCCTGCAAATGCCCTGCACCAGCTTTTTTACCTGCTGCAAAGGGGGACATGTGCAGGGCAGGTGTGTCTTTTCTCCTTGGCTTTTTCTGTTCCAGGTCAGTGTTATGAAGAACAGGGATCATTTTGCCCTTTGGATGTCTCTCTTGAACATCGTATCTTTTAATTAAATGTTCTGAAAACACACCTGCATGGTTAGGGGAACACAGAGAGAAACAGGATCAAATACATATATCCTAATATATGAGGACTGTGCATATTTATAGACATCTGGTGAAGACAGTCAATATAGCTTTCCAAACTTACTTTAATAAAGCAAGACTTTTCATAAGAAGCATTAGTATTTATTGAGGCTCCACTAGGAACCTTGTCTATACAAAAGGTTTTGCATGCTTGATTTTATTTTAGCTTCACTAAAACCCTGAGGAATTTAGTATTATGGCCACCATCACAAAGCTGAGGGAAGTCAGGCAAAGAAATGTGCCCAGGGTATTACAGCTCATAGGTGTCACAGAGCAGTTGAGCCCAAGTTTTTCTGCCTCCAAATCTCATCCTCTTCAGCCAGAGGATTTCATCTGATGTATTGCAAGCTGCGTCTGCACACTTCCACCCTGATACCTCCGCCCTCCTGCTTTCTCACCTCTATGCTACAGTGAAATTTTTCTCCATTATTGAGTAACTCTCTAAAAACAGCCTCTTGCATAAAATTTTCCACAATTCACTACCCACACTGAGCTCCAACAGTCCTTTTTAAGAACTCCCTTATGATGTCACTTCTTACTGCATATTTCAGCTATTATGTGCTGTTGTTATTTCTTAGAAAACTGAAAGATCATTCCCAGAAAGATCTATGTTTCATTTGTTTTGCAACCCTCAAGGTGTGTTGTGAACAGAGATGACAGTAAATTAGTGACAAAGAGGGAGGGAGAAAAGAAAGCAAAACAAGGCAAAACTTTGAAGAATAAGAGAATGTCATGCATCACATCCAAGGGTGTTACAGAGACATGTTAGCTGTTCAGCAGACTGCTTTGCTTTTCTCTTGGGCATTGAGCTGGGTTCATTTCCCAGCTTACCTCATTGTCTGGTGAGGCCTCGTGACTGAAGAAGGCCTGGTTCACGTAAATCTCCCTGTCAGTCCTCCACTCTGTCTACCTCCCATGCCTGCTGGACCTTGGTACTCATCGTGACTGTGGAAGCTTGTGGTGACTTTGCTCACCATGTGTTTATGATGTCAAAACACATGAGACCGGGTCCCTGAATGACTCTTTGAAGCAGAGCTTGCCTCCTCACCCCATGGTTTCACTATTGGTAGGTAAAAAAAATAAACTTTTATTGTATTAAGCCCCTAATATTTTAGAATGTATCTGTTATAGCAGCTTGCTATATTGTAACTAATACAGAGATACAGAGGTGGGGAGTGCACAAATTACTTTAAAATACCTGAATATTTAAGGAAAAATGTGTACGAACAATGCAACCTAGTGGCAAGTGGCTCTCCTTTACAGCTGTGCAGATGACTTTGTCCATTACCTGGTATGAAAGGTGGGATGTGCAGCGCCGGTGTATCTTTCCTCCTTGGTTTTTTTTGGTCTGACTCAACATTCAGGGTGGCCTGTACATTTTTTCCCTTTCTAGGCTTCTTTTTGAGATCACAGTCCTTAATGAACTGGTCTGAAAGATCATCTAATTTTGACAGGATACAAAGAAATAAAGAATATAACATGATTAAGGATCCAGTCACAAACTGTTTGGTTCCTAATTGCACTTGATGACAGGACAGAGGTGATTTGGCCTGAAAAGGAAAAGTGTTTATTTATTGTGGCCTATTCCACAAAGGACTTTATTAGCCTTGCATAAATTCATATAACAAAATCGAAAACTAGAATGCTGTAAAACTCCAAATTAAGGAAACTCAAATGGATGGATCACCGAGGCAAAGAAAAACTTAAAAAATATGGTCCGGCAAGCCACAGAGTGGGTTTGAGTTAACTTTCTGATGGGAGAATAGGTTCTCTCTGCTAAACGCGCCTCCATTCTTTTTGCTCAAGACTTGCTCTCTTTGGAGACCCCAAGGGCCAGTATGGAACCTAAATCTCCCTCGATCTTAGAAAGGTTCCCTCGGTCCTCAGTGAATTTCTCACTTGCCTTCATCATTGTGCCAGTCTCATCCTCCTGGTGATCCAGACCTTGGGTTTTGTATTTGTCTTTTCACCGTTCCTGGCTTTGTAACCCTCCTATTTGCCCATCCTAACTCAAGATCCTACTGTCTTCTGACTCATTTATTTACTTTTCTCAATCCTCTGCATTACCCCACCAGAGCTTTGAAGCCTGGCTTTTACATCGAGTCTATCAGAAGTCGTTACGGGTAATGAATCCAATCTGATCACGCCCTGCCCATTCAAGTCTCTCCTCTGCTCCCTCTTACTCCTCTATCCTTTGTGTTCTGCCTTGGACTTCACTGTCATTGTTTCAGCAATGGTTCACTCTTCCATAATGGTTTACCTGCTGCTCCAGACACAGCCTTTCTGGAGATTAAGGATTATAGTCTTTTTGTAATTTTATTCTTAGTTGCCTCTCCCTGCAATAAATGGATGTTGAACGGTTAAATGGAGTCAAGCTGATCTGAGTTCAAACATGGACTCTTATCATTTTCTAGTTCTGAGAACTTGCACCTTCATTTCTAGAAACTAATATTCTCTCAATCTTTAGAGTGGAGATAATATTAATATTAAATCTGTGTGTGTGTGTGTGTGTGTGTGTGTGTTTGAGAGAGAGAGAGAGAGCTAAAATTGTTAATGTTTGCAAAGCATCTGATACAGTTGATATACTTCAGATGTCCCAAAATATTCACTCTGGCCATTGCTCACCCTCTAACCTTCCACTAAACTTAGGGGAAAGCTTCCCATCTTCATAAATGTATCTGTATTAACTCCAGTCCTGAGTGTTCTTTCTCATTTTCTTAATATCCACAGCATTTTTGTTTAAGTAACATATTTAAAAGATGATCTAGTTATTATTTCTGCATATGTCTTCTCTGACCTCTTTACTGACAGGTGCCTTATCTTTTAACTCTTCAGCAGCAATTAATAAATATTTGTTGAATGAATGCTTGATGAATAAACTGGAATATATTTTGTATAAGAAACTATTCCGTTAGGATTCAAAGAAGCCACAAGACAGTGAAACTTTTTGTCTTCTTTGGACACTCTAAGTATGGCCTGGATATAGTTTGGCTAGATCTACAGATATGAATAAGTATGGAGAAATTTTAAAAGAGTAATTGGATATTTTAGCTCCTTCCCTTCCCTTTCATTTCCTTCTCTTCCTTCTCTCTTTCTTATTTAAAAAGTATTCAGGTAAATTTCTCTCTTTCTTACTAAAAACTATTCAGGTAAATTTCCTTAAAATGTTGAGGATTAAATGTCTTAAACCTTGGTGGGTCTAGATGCAAACTCTGTTATTCATTCATTTATTACATCTTTTCTGATTTTTCAATGCCTATGCTTTATCAGTTGTTAAATATGAATACCATCCCTGAACATATGATCTCATTGAGTTCTCATGCTAAGTCTACAACGGTGTTATACTCTTTTCTCCATGTTGAAGATGAGGAAACTGAGGCTCAGAAAGCCAGGTAAAAAGCTGAGGGGTACACTGCTGGCAGGTTATGGTATCAGGATTAAACCCAGCCTCTTGGGACTATGTATCTTAATGCCTGGCTGCAAACACAATTTTAAAAGCTTATTGCCACATAGCACAGTTAATCTTTCCCCAATATTTTACATGCCATAGTCATGTGTTGAATAAATGAATGCTGCTCTGAATGGGTACTGCCTGCTGTGGGTCTCTTGAGGTACAAACCTGTCATGGGCTACAATTCAACCCCAGGATTCTGCTCAGTGCACAGCCATTTGCTTTAATTTTGACTTTTACTTCAATTGCACTTTTCCCCATTTTTGGAGAAATCTTGAACATAAAATATCTTGATGGCAAATGGGGAGAGGGGAGAGGAGGGGGGAGTCATAACCACGTGAGGCATAGACAAAGGCTATGAATAGGCAAAAGGCCCATCCATCAAAAGTCTGAATGTCTCATTTTTAGAAATGGGTAGCGGCAGAAATGTTTCTGGTATTTTCATTACAAAGGTTATGCAAAAAGTCAGTTCTGGAAAGGAAACAGATTGACAATAAAGCAGAAAAAGGCTATTTAAAATTCTGTCTTGATAGGCAAAGAGAGATATTTGAAATATTTTATTGGCACTGCACATGGGGTATAAGTGTGTCAGGAAATACTGGAAACAAGCTGTACTGACACATTCCATTTATTGCCTCAAAAATGCTCTGCCTGGGACTCTGTCAGACCCAGAAAAAGAGGACGATGCTTCCTCTCTCTCTCTTTCTCTCTCTCTGTCTAATGAACTTCTTACTGGTGCTTCAGCTAATATTTACATGGCAGACCCCACAGACCCATGGCTATTTGCCTGCCCATCTGGTGTTGGCTGTCACCAGAAGGCACAGACTATCAGGTTTCGGGGGGTGCCCTCTCTCTGACTTGCCTGCAAACCAAATGGCTGAGACGCCTCTTCTCTGACTTCCACCACTGACATTCACAATCGATCATTTGTTTACCTAAGTGGCTGCAACGAGGGTCTAGCTTGTCCAGTCTGTCTTCTGAGAGTTCCAGTGGCTGCATTTGCTCAGTGGACATCATCAAAGGAGGGTGGGTGGATGTATTTCTTCTCCAGCACTAAGGAAGTATAAAAAACAGTTAATAAGTATGGCTCTGTTTATTCATTCATTCAATCATTTGCTAAGTAAATATATTTGTTGAGCACCTGCTATTGTGTTCCCAATCCAATCCTGTTTCTTTATGTGTGCTTCTTAAACTTGGCTATTAGAAACTCTAAACTTGAGATTTAAGCCAAAATAAAATGAACCCTCCCACCCTCACACTGACAGATTTATTCATAATTGTCATGTATCAAATGTCCAATATTTGCCCTCTCTCAGAGACACATTGAGAGTTTCAGAATAAGCAATTGTCAAGTCTGAATAAGAAGTGAATTAGCTGAGAGTCACAGAAAATCATGCTTAAACCTTGCCTATGTTTTTTCTGTTGAGTTCTGCAAAGTAGGATTATGTCTACTTCACAGATGAGGAGACAGAGGCTCAGAAAATTTAATTAATTTAGTCACACATCTATTAAATAGCCAAGGCTATATACAGGTCCAGTCCTGCTGACTTCCATTAGACACCTGAGTCTCTTAAAAATAAAATGAATCCTTTGAACCCGAATTGAATAAGGCTTCTGTTGTGGGTTTTTTGCTTGGTTTTTTTTTTTTTTTTTTTTTTTTTAATCATTACATTCTACAACTATTGTATAAAGTAAAGAGACTACCTCCCCATCCACATTATGATGGTGGTAGAAACATGGTAGGAGAAAATCTGGGTTTTGGATAGATCTTTATTTTCTCCCTAGGGATTCCAGACATGAGAACAAATCTGTCCCCGTCCCCACCCTCCATCTTTCCTGGAAAGTTCATTGAACTTTCCAGAGCTATTAGTTATAGCTGTCGCCCAGGAGCAGTGGAATTCCAGAATGGATATGTGTCAGGTCTGAAGGAGAAATGCATTAGCTGAGATTTATAGAAAATCTTCATTAGAGCCTGGCTAGATTCTGTATCTTGAGTTCTTTTTAGATAATTTATTACTCATGTCCTACTATAGCAAGAGTGGTGGGGGAGGAATAAATAAGATTAAAATCGCCCAACCAATTCTTTTCTTTTGAGATTTCTTGACAACCAGCATGCAGATGAACACACAGACCAGTTGTGCTAATGTTTCAAGCTCATAAAATGAGTTCAACTCTGTTGTCTTTTGAGGAATAAACCGGTTTTCTCTGAAAAGGTGGGAGGGTCTCTTCCTCTATGTGCTGAGATCACTGGATAGCAGATGGAGCTATTAACTGATCACTTGAGCACAGCTTTTAGAGTCACTCTGTGCAGACTGATTGTACTGAGTGACTTCAGAAGAAATCAATTCAGACCATTGTTTTCAGTGTTTGTATAGAGATTGCCAACTCCCTGCGACCATCAGGAAGTATGCTGTTAGCTTGGATGGGCCATGGGAACATCACTCAGGATGAGTGCTGAGGTCTCAAGGCAGCATCAGATATGGTCTTATGCACCTATTTAACCAATTTTCCTCCTCTTCAGGCAGAGTCATGGGCCCAGTCATACATATTATGTTGAAAATTACCCCATAGAGGATCTGTTGAAAATATTCATTCCTCAGAAGAAGAAACTGAGGCTCAAAAATGTTGAAATGACATACCATTAGTAAAACACTTAGAATCAGAGTAATCATTTGAAGCCACGCACTTACTATCTACTGAAGGTCCTATCTGCTGTTAGTACCTTTATCCTTCTCCCCGACCCTTGAAAGGTAAGGCGGTTTTTAACTTGGATCCTATGGCTGTTCTTATGTGCCTAATAGCAGGTTATTTAGTTTGAATCTGGATTCTTGAGTCAAATAGACCTAGTTTAAATCTCAGCTCTTAAACTAAAAAGCCATATGACTTCGATGAAGTTGCTAAATCTTAAAGATGTAGTGAGAGTAAATGGGGCCCAATGTAATAGAATCATTTTTGCCCCCTCTCCACACAAGTTAAGTCTGCTACAATAAAATTTGCAAAGGCTAACATCTTTGTGGTGCCCACACAGTCTGGCACCCAGAAACATATGTCCCTCTCTGTCCCCCGAGCTTACCCTGAGTTTCCTCATCTGTAAAATAGAGATAATAATACCTACTGGGTGGAGTAACTGTGAAGATGAAATAGCATAGCTGCATGCTTAGCACATTGTAGTCATAATTCAAGTGGCAGCTATTTTTATGTAATGTTGTCTATCTACCACGCTAGATTTTTGGCTAAGGAAGACCCGTTGTATAATGAAAAGATTCTAAAAAGCAATTGAACTTTTCTTTCAGATGCTTAGCCACGGGAGGTCCAGGCCTCCTCTGAGCAAAGCAGCTATGGCAGCACCAGTCTAGAAAAAGAAAGCCTGTCTCTGGCCGATGAATTGAATAATCAAACATGTCAGAGGCCCCTGGACAAGGTGAGGGAAAGCAGTGATTCGTCACAAAACTGACACATGCTTCCTCCACAGCATAGCTCATCTTGTCTATGGGAGAAACAACACTATTTCAAATCAGTGTGATTTAAAGAATGGTGGTGGTGAACCAGCAAGACTGTTTGCTAAGGGGCTGAGAGACAATTTCCAGATCTGGGATTTTACATTACAAGAATATCCCATGCCGTGCAGGGATGTGTTTTGCTCATGGGGTTAGAAGATACTTTTATCATGAATGATGTCATTACGGACTTCTTAGGAGAAAATTTTCACACAAAGAAAAGAACAAGCAAGTGGAGGGGAAAGACATTTGGAGTTTAGTGTTGGCTTATTGATAATTTTCATAGCCTGTTAGTATAATGACCCCATCTCTCAACTCACTCTCCATTTCTATCCTCAGTGAGAAGGGGCGCTCTTTATGAGTGAGCTGTTTTAAGACATGAGCCGGTCTAATTCTTGACATAGGAAATGGAATATTTCCATTTCCTATTCCTGACTCTACCCACGCCTTCCTCTCTTTAATTCAGTCTCTACCCCAAGCAGGTGTCATAAAGGGATGCTGCACTTGTTGGGCTGCCCAGGGAAGGTTTCATCATCTCCCTGTAACTTGGGAACTTTCTAAGGCACCAGCTCTTTCTTTCATGCCTGCATAGTTGGTCCTCTGCATCTTCAGAATTCAACCAAAAAGCTAGGGCCTCCAGAGAGGCTTGTTGTCTAATACTTCACATTTGGGGGTGTTTTCATAAACTGTGTCTACTACAAAGACTTGTGACCTTTTTAACATCCTCTTTCCACTTATTGGTTCAGTGTGGGCTCTGAATTCTAACACTCACACAGGGACGTGGACTGCCACTGTCATTGCAATATTGGCCACCCACCCTTGTGACAAGCCTGGAGTCAAACGTGCTGTGGAAATCAGGACTGTTTAAATTATATAACAGCTCTAGAGGGGTCTCAAGGAGCACCAGCAGTCACATCCATTATTTCTGCAGCAAAACTATGAATATTCACACTAAGTGACATAAAGACAAACCACAAAAAATTCACATTCTTTCAGGTCAGGCTTTGCTACCAAATGAGTTTGTGTTGAACTTAACAACAAACCTTTTGGTTTTCAAAATGTTTCAGATTTCTTAATTAGAGAATGAAAGAGTATTGATCGAATTACTCTTCTGGTTGTGGTTGTTTGACAGAATGTAGGTATTCAGTGTAGTATGCAAGAGACCAAGAGATATGATTTCAGGGTTTGAGAAAGGATTTCAGGATTTCAGATTTTAAACTCTTGTAACTTCCTCTTACTAATCCTTACCTTCCTTTTCACAAGGGACAAAACCTTTCTTTTTACAGAGAGATACTTGTAAATGCAAATACCACTAAGAGCAGCAATATGTAAATTGATGTCACAATACACAGGGATTGTTAATGACAAAGGTCACCTTCTCTTTTGAGAACAGGAACTGAAAGGGGGAAGGAACTGGGTGCCAGAAAAGGGACCCCACTATATTGCAGAAAGGCAGGCACACCAGCGGAGCTGAAACACATTAGTTGGTTCAGTGTGTGGTCAGAAGCTGGTCTGGATTTTTTGTCTTTTCTCTTATCATTGAGCGGTTTTCTCAGTTGGATGTGAGAATATGCGGTTTAAATTATGGGAAGAAAATTCCTCTCAACTTTAAGATTGGATGCTGTGAGTCAATATAAGGTAGAAGCCAACGTTTGGCTGCTTGTACCACTCTCTAGCTGGGTGAACTTGGGACAGTTATCTGTTCTCTCAAAAATTTAGTTTTCAAATCTGTTAAATGGGGGAAGATAGTGGCTCTTCTCCAGGGTTGTTGAGAGTATTACCCATAGAATGTGCATGGAGTCCCGAGCCCAGGTCCTACACACTGATATTTTCGTGAGTGTGAGGGACCTTCTTGGATCTTTCAGTCCTCCATTTGTGATTATATGTCTATCTAAATTGATCTATCAGAATTATCTCTTTATCCCATCTCTGGCCTTCTCTGAAGCTGGTAATGAGATGAGAATAGTTCAAGACAAAAACCAACCCATTTCTAAATCTTGGGAACATAATAGAACTGATTCTCAGAAGCGAGTTGACACTTAGCTTACCATACGGTATTCTGAAGAATATCCCCCAAAGTAATCAGGTCTTGATTTACTGGATGGAATAAAAGGGTAGAAGGTTGTATCCACAGCCTATGTGGTATCTCGTTAATGCACCCTCTGGCTATGTAAAATACATATTCATTGTCAAACCTCTTTTTAACCAGAGGATTGAATTCAGGTCAAAAAGTACCGTCTTTTAAAATCAGATTTGTTCATTTAGAAAACCTAAATTGGCAGTATTCCTGGAGGAGAGACTGACTTAAAGTAGGGCATGGAGAATGTGTTTTGAGAAGCATACTTTCTGTACTTTCCCCAGCCTTGGAAGATAAACCTCTCTATCCTGTGTGAATATGCAGATACACCAACTTCATCTTGAAACTTTGCAAATGAGTTTGTGAGGGTTCAGTCTTTTACAGAACTCCATTCCCTCCCTTGGAAGAATGACTTGAAAGTGGTAACTTTTTCTGCTGTCCACTCGGCCCCAGCTTAGCCTTGCTCCATAAAGCACAACCCCGTGCCACCAGCTACAGCCTTCTTTGTCCCAGTAACTGACTGGAAACTTGCTTTTCTCACCACAAAAGTTCTTGGAGTAAAAATCTGAAGCACTTACCAATCAGCGCAGATGCAGGGAAGCGAAGGCGAGAGACAGGGAGGGCGTGTGTGCTCACCGAGGCTGGGCCTGGCTCCTCTGCGGCAGTGGCTGCTGCTGGCCGGCTCCAGCTCCTCTTATCTAGGGACCAGCTGCTGCTGTTGCCATGGGGATGCTCTGTTTCACAGGCACCAGGGCAAGGGGGATGGAGAAGGAAAGAGGACTAACATCTCCATCGCTGCTCTCCACGGCAATCATTGTACATTACAAAAGTACAGTATAGAGTCGTGCTTTGAGTTTCCGGTGTGCACACCAGAGAAATTCAGACAAACCAGCTACATCATTGAATTCCCATGCGATAGATTTTTTTTGGCCTGATTTTGTAAATATGGAAACTGAGGCACAAGAAGTTAAGTGATATGCCCAAGAGAGGCCACAGCTAATTTCGACTCTCAAAGCTATTTAAGTTTAAATCCAGAGTACTTTCAATCACTATTGCTGCTTCTCAAAGTACTATCATGAGGAGGAAGAGAAGGGTAGCTACTGCTAACATTTATGTAAGGCTACCAAAATGCCAGACACTCTTCTAGAGACTTCACACATATCTACTTACTTAACCCTCAGGCCAACCTTGTGAGATGAGCTACAGTCATCATCCCATTTTATTGATGAGGAAGCTGGGGCTCAAGAGTTACCAAATCATCTGACCAAGGTCTCCCCACATGGTGAAGCTAGGGTTTGAATGGGGTAATGAAATGCTAGGGTCCACGCTTGTAACCACTTTGCAATACCTCTCAGCAAAGAGAGCATTTCAAACAGCACATAGCAAAGAAAGCAGCCCCCAACTCTATAGGTTATAGTGTGCAGGCCAGAAAAAATTTCCTCCTTCAAAGGAACAAAGCCAAATGTACCAATATTAGGAATACGTAGGCACTCAAGAGTGGATGTTTAAGCAAGGTGGGAGAGGCGGGAGACATGCTGTCTTTTGGAGAGGAAGGTTCTATGTTTTGGGTCTGCTCACTGGAGGAGAGCCCACTGGGGTTTGGAGGAGCAGCAGTTTTGACTCCAAAGCAGGAAGGCCAGTCTGGGAGATCAGGTAGGTATCAGGACCCACTAGAAGGGCTCCAGACCCCCTGATAGCAGCCAATGGACCACCCAGTGATGCCCAAGAAATATGTTCTCACAGAAGATACGTGAGCACCATCCACACATCCATATTTTTTCCAGTCTTACCTGAGGTTCCCTGCAGAGCAGGTCCCTGGCAACCCCTTGGTTTCAACTGCCTGCTTGCCACTGGCAATGTGTTTGTTGGTGCCTCCCTCCCACTTGCCAGGATCCCAAATAACAGGGCTAGAACCATAGTAAACTCACCAAGAGGTTGACTCCTAGGGTTAGACTTTTGCCATGGTAACAGATAAGCAGAGAATGGACTTCTTTGCCTGTTCCATTTTGTGTTGATCCTTATTGGGACCTCCTGGGAAGAGATGAGGGTTGCTGAAAGGTGATGCTCTTGTCTAGGAAGGGAAGGCCCTAGATGTTGAGGGACAGGGCCTAGAAGCAGGTCTGTGTTCAAAACTGCCTGCTTTATCTTCTTCATTTTTTAAATTTTATTTTATTTTCAGTGCTGGGACACATGTGCAGGACGTGCAGGTTTGTTACATAGGTAAACGTGTGCCATGGTGGTTTGCTGGACCTATCAACCCATCACCTAGGCATTAAACCCTGCCTTACTTTATCTTCTTAACAACAGCCTTGTTGGCCAATGAGTTAGCAGCATCTTCAGTCCACACTTGAGTGGAAAAGATATACTTTCCTTCTGAAATCCTTGAATTCTTCTTTTGAATTAAACTGTTTTGAGGTAATAGATCTACATGTCGTTGTGAGGGATAATACAGGGAGATCTCCTATACGTAAGCAGTTATATCCAATGGTAACATCTTATGAAACTATCCTACAATATCAAAACCAGTATGTTGATATTTACATGAATATATACAGAACATTTCTGTCACCACAAGCCTCCCTTATCTTGCCGTTATATAGCCATGCCCCCCTCCGTTCCTTCCTAACCTCCTGCTCCCAATCACTTTTTAAACTCGGCAACCATGAATCTATTCTCCATTTCTATAATTTTGTCAATTCAAGAATGTTTTAATAATGGAATAATACAGTAGGTAGCCTTTTGGGTTTGGCTTTTTTTTTTTCACTCAGCATTATTCCCTAGAGATCCATTCAGGTTGTTGTGTGTGTCAATAATTTGTTCTTTGTCATTGCTGAATAGTATTCCATAGAATGGACCACAGTTGGTGTGACATCTTGTATATACACCTGGATTGTTACCAATGTTTGGCTATTACAAATAAAGCTGCTATGAACATTCATGTAGAGAGGCTTTTGCGTGAACATAATTTTTAATTTCTCTGGGATAATGCCCAGAAGAGTAATTACTGACAATTGCATGTTTCCTTTTACAATAACACCAAAGCGGCTGTAGCATTTCCCATTCCCACCAGCAATGTACGAAGGGTCCAGTTTCTCTGTATCTTCACCAGAATTTGGTGTTGCCAGTATTTTTAAAAAGCCATTCTCAGAGGTAGGTTCAGTAGTAATATCTCGTCATGGTTTTAATTTGCATTCTGTGCATGACTAATTATGCTAAACATTTTTTCATGTGCTTATTTGTCATCTGCGTAGTTTCTCTGGTGAAATGTTACTTCATGTCTCTTGTCTACCTTCTAATGGGACTTTTTATATTACTGTTGAGTTTTGAACTGGATCCTAGATATTCCAGATACTAGTTCTTTATTAGAAATATGGGTTGCAAATACTTTCTCCCAGTTTGCTGTTTGTATTTTTAATCTTTTCATGGAGTCTTTCACAAAGCATAGCTTTTAAATTTTTATAAAGTCCAATTCATCATTAATGAATTTTAAAATATATAATTTAGATTTTTCTGAGGCTCTTTGGAGAAGCTTAATTGTGTTAAGCATATTCCAGCCTGTAGATTTTAACAAATCCTTTTGTCACTTAATTTCCACAGTTCAAAGGGAATATTTTCAAAGACAGAAGAGTATGAATCCCTGATTTCCCCTTTGAATAGACATGTCTACTACTCCCAAGTTCGGGCTGTTGTTGCTGTTGCTGATTTTTCCCAGGGCTTCGTACATACTCTTTAATTGATTATGCCCCTCCCCCTTTTAAGGCAGATGTAAACAGCAACTGACAGGGCAGATGGTAATGTAAATCTATACCTTGGAGAGTTCTAAATAACAACCACATATGTGCAGTGCTGAAGTCATAGACCCTCAGCCTACAGCGCTCCCAGCATAAGTGCAAGGAGCCGTTGTGTCCATGGCATGATTTGTAGTCCAAGAGCCCTTTGATGTATGGCTGAATTCACTTGTGCCTTCATTCCTGATGGATGCCTGATGGTAACTAGCTTTAAATGAATATATTTCACTTTAATCACAAATATCCCATCTTTATGAATAAGAATTATTTATAAAATGATTGAGCATTTCCAGACAATTTATTTTAGTCAATAATCTATAAAATGTTCTCTTAAAAGATTTGCCTTTCATAGCCAATCTAGGGGTAGTTTCTGTGCTGATGAGTGATGAGGCTCCACCTTCTCAATTCAGGGAGGGGGAAAGAGAGAGGAAGAGAGAGCACTGAATATTCATAGGCCTGTTTTATCCCAGAGATCTTGCTGGATCTCGTTGGTTGTCTCCATCAGCCTCTTAGAGAGGAGAGTGAGCTGTCTCAGATCAATATCCCCTGGTAAGTGAGCACTGTGTCTTTGCTCTGGGCAGTTTTGAACACATGTCAGGTCCTGATAATAGGGAACTCTTTAATCTATAAGAAAATCTGATGTCATTTATTATCATTTCACTGAAAAAAAATAGAAAATATTTAATCTTTCAGATATGAATTGTCACATTAAACAATAAATACCTACTAAAATAAGAGGCAAGGTGAATGGTTGTCTTTTCCTATTTTATTTTAATTGGCATTTTAATTGAGATAATTGTAGTTCACATGTAGTTGTAAGAAATAATACAGAGAGATAGATCCCTTGTATATTGTGCACAGTTTCCCCTGATGGTGACATTTTGTAAAACTACAGCACAATATCACAGTATCTCAAAGACAGTATTGATATTGGTACAATCCACCTATCTTCAGATTTCCCCAACTCTGTCTGTGTGTATTGAGTTCTATACAATTTTATCATTTGTGTAAGTTCTTGTATCCAGCACCAGTCAAGATACTAAACATTTCCAACACCACAGAGATCTCTCCTGTTGCTCTTTTACAGCCATGCCCCTTCCCTTTACCCTCCCAGACTCCACAGTGGTCCCTGACAACCACTAATCTGTCCTCTCTCTCTATCATTTTATTATTTCGGGAATGTTATATAAATTAAATCATACAGTATATATAACATATAACCATTGTTATTGTTTTTTCACTTAGCATAATTCTGTGGAGATTCATTCAGGTGGTTTCATGTATCAATAGTTCATTCCTTTTTATTGCTGAAAAATATTCCATGTTATGGATGTACCGCAATTTATCTAACCCATTCATCTGCTGAAAGACATCTGAGCTGACTGCAGTTTCGTCTATTGCAAAGGAAGCTACTGTGAACAATTGTGTACTTCTTTTGGTGTGCACATAAGTTTTAATTTCTCTAGGGCAAATAATCAAGAGTGCAATTGCTGGCCCATATGGTAGTGGCATGTTTAATTTTATAAGAAACTGCCAAACTGTTTTTCAGAGCGGCCTGGCCATTTTTCATTTCCACCAGCAATGTGGCATGATCCAGCCCCTTTGCATCCTCACCAGCTCTGATGTTGTTACTATTTTTTGTTTTACCCATTTTGATAGGTGTGAAGTAATATCTCACCAAGTTCTTAATTTGCATTTTTTGATGGCTAATGATTTTGAACATGTTTTCATATACTTATTTGCCATCTGTATATCCTCTTCTGCAAAATGTCTCTTCATTCCATTTGCCCATTTTCTATAATATTTTGTCCAGACCAGAAGTTCTCTCTTTTCCTTTCCTATATTTAACATAGGGCAAATTGTCAACAAAAATGTTTGGTGCTTAAGTGGTTACTACATGCCAGACACTGTTCTAAGCACTTACTACCTATTTGTTTAATTCTCAGCACCATCCTATGAGGTAGGTACTATTGTTATCATCCCCTTCTTATGGATGAAGAAAGTGAGGCCCAGGGAGGTCAAGTAGACAGCTAAGAATTGGTAGAGACAAGATTTAATCCCAGACAGTCTGACTCCAGCATTCATGCTCTAAACCACTGACCAGACTCCAAATCTAAAGCTGCTTGAGAGTGAGAGAATACATACAGTTAAGGGAGACTCACTTTCAAAAAGACACAAGAGGACATTTTGCTAAAATTTCAACTTGTTATGGTTACTGGTGCTGACTTCCTTGGTGAATTTCATCAGAAGATACCAATGTGTGGACTTCTCTGCCAGGCCTTAAAACATCTGCTGTGGATCAAATAAAGCAGCCAATTTTTGGCATCCAAGAACTAAAAGGGAGGTCTTCTTGCATGAGGGGAATAAGTTTATTCAATTATCATTCACTGAACGTTGATTTGGTGGTGTTCCTGGTGTTAGGGAGTAAATGTGAAAAACAGACAGCATGGATCTTTTAAGAGCTCATAATCTGATGGAAATGAGAGAGACAGACGCAGAAAAATCACAAGAAGGTGCATTGGGTGCTCTACCAGAGATATGAGCCAAGTGTTCTGACAGCCCAGAGCAAGACACAAGAATCTGCTTCTGAGGAAATAAGTTAGGGTGGCTGAAGAAAGGAGAGATGGTTTTGAATAAAAGGGAGGAAAAAGATAATCTAGGAAGATAAATAATAGCATATTCATCCATCCATCCATCCATCCATCCATCCATCCATCCATCCATCCGTCCATCCATCCATCCATCCATCCAACTGAACTGTGAGGAATTTCATGAAGGTGGTATGTTAGGTACTGAGATAAAATGGTGAATAAAGTACAATACCACCATAATTTCAAAGTCCTTTGTGTGGATTGAGGCAGGGAAGATGGCCAAGTACAGCCACATTCTGAATGTTAGAAGAATGCAGTAGCCGTTTACCTACCCCTCTCAAAAAGAACAAAAAATTCCAATCTGTCTGTAGGAACAGTGTCATATGGTTTCAAGAACTATCAAATTTTAAGTAAACCATTGAATTATTTCTGATGTTTTGGCCTCAATGATAGCATTTCCCCCAGGAATGTAAGTGAATCACGTTAAGTGGCTAGGCTGGTCCCTACTTCCTGAGGTCAATTGGCTGGCCTGAATATCTCTGAGGATGTACCACTCACTTGTCAGGACCAGGTATCAGAGCTTTCTGATGCTTGACTGGGCATCTGATCTGCAATATGTCTCCATTTTCCACACTTACCCTATCCTTTGTCCCACCTCTTTGCCCTTTCACTCAGTTTTTGCAGCTGGCTGACTTCTAGGGTTTGCCCTATCCAGGTGTATTTTTTGTCCAGCCTCTGGGTCCTGGTCTATACTGGTTTGTCTTGTCGAATGGAGACTCAGACCATGAGGTCCCTAAGTGTCACTGTGACCAAAGGGGCCATAGTCACACTGACTTTGAGCACCATTCTGATCCAAAGGGCCACAGTTACTCTGACCCAGCTACCTTCCGTTAAATTCCCACTGTGTTCTCCTAACTATATTCTGGCTAATGCTCATCACAACCCCATGAGGTATATGTTCTCACTTTATGTTACAGGTGTAAAACCTGATTTTCAGAGACCAAGGTCCCTTGCCAATGCCACATAGCTAGTAAGAGCAAGGGAGTGACTAGAATAAAGGTCCCTCTTCTCCGAGTCAGTATTCTTTCTTCCACTTCACTCCATAACAGGCTTGATGCCTTCCCCAGTTGGCTCTGCATTGATGGTCTTCAAGCCCTTCTATTCTCCTGCATCAATGAAACGGGTAGATCTGACTCATCATTTACTTGCTCATGAAAACCAAGCTGATTTTATTCTTTTTTGAGTATCATGTTCTCAAAGCTGGACATCTGGCAATTGTATGAAACAGTGATCACCACTCAGCCGAACAGCAAGGGAGCCATGTGGCTTTCATTCGGTTACTAATCCAAAGCTTTGCTTGAATATTAATTTGGTCACGGCTTCTCTGATGCTCAATTAAGTAAGTGTACTAAAGATGAGACACATGCTGAAAATATGCTGACTAATGCAGCTCCTGGTTATTAAGGTGCATCCGGACACTCTCTGGTTGCTGGTTACCACCTGCAGCACATGGGAATGAACAGGCCGGCAGAGAACTAATTCATTGCCCTCTTCCCTCGCTTGCTTTCTTCCAGCTAAGCTATTAGAATTTTTCAAATCTGAGAATTGCCCAGATTCTGAGAAATCTCCACCAGAGAGGCAGCACAATAAAGGAACCAAGCCTAATCCCCACTGTGTCGCCAAAGCCTGTCAAACATTACCTCAAGCGTTCATATAAGGCTGCCTTGTTGGAGGAAATTGGCGAGGGAATTGATGCCAGCTACCAGATGGTAATAACGGCAGACACAACGCACCGTTTATGGGGGCTTCTGAACACAGAGGGAGCAAGCACATATATTTTCCCAAAGGGCACATAGAATTTTAAGGTATGTGCAATGTAGTTTAAAGCTTCTGTTGCTCAGAGAGAAGTGCTTAGATATGAGAGGATATCACATTTGAATTGTAGCTGCAAAAATATTAATAAGTAAGTTCATTAACTCTCTATGAACATAAGGAAAAGTGTTGACTAAGGTTTTTATGATGTGGAAAAAATCTTTTAAAGTTTTAGGACTTTGCCTCTTTTGTTTCAACTGCATGAAAAATGACACACAATTTAGGAATATGCGAAAGCAAATTTTAAACCCAGCATGTATTCAAAATAGCGGCTATAACTTCTGCACTTGATTTCAAGAAAATTACATGCCTCATATTACTATACTCATAAAGCCCAGTGGGAAACTCTCTTGCCTTTTGCCAATGAGAAGGTCAGCTACCCAGTTTCTGGCAAGGGTCTCTGTGCAGAGTTTTGGCTTTCTTCTCCCATCTGTCCAGAATACCCTGGCCTGGAAGTGGCAGCTCTGGATTGCCCACATAGGAGCAGCCCAGGAGTGCATTCTGGTCGGAAAACGAGGTTAGAGGATCTGCCTCCAAGCTATATTTACAAAGTAAGCATGTAGTTTTTACTAGATTATAGGTTCATTTGGATATGGATTGGTGCCGTAGACTAAGTCAACCATGCTTTATTTCTGCCAATGCTTTCAGGGAAACTTTTCTTACATTCGCATCACAATCCAAGAAATTGTATCCTTTTGCTTTTGAGGTCAATTTTGCATATCTGTAACAAGAATCAAGGCTCACTTGACCTAATCCCATCTTACCTCTTCGACCAGGCTGCCCACTACGCCCTGAACTATTTCCTCCCTGATCTCTGTACACACTCTTATTTCACATATACTGGAAAAGAAAGCACAAGATTTGAAGTCATAGAGAACTGGGCTTAAATCCTATCTTTTCTGTTTATACTTTTGGTGACCTCAGAAAATTTAATCTCTTAGACTTCATATCTCAACTATGAAATAGGAATAGTAATAACTGTCCTACAGAATTGTGATGAGTATTGAGATAATACTATCGAAGTATCTGATACAGTGCTTGGCTCCACAGTAGGCACCTAATAAATTCTCACTGTCTTCCCTTTCCTTTGTCTCATCCTTTATTTTTACATTCCCATGAATGGTAAACTTCAGTTTAAAAGTTTACTCCCTTCCCTCACTCTATTGATTGGTGATGTCATCTTTATAGTATACTAAATTTCTATTTGCAATTGAGTCTACCTCTGAATTTTCTATTCTGTTCCATTGCTCTGTTTTACCTAGTCAAGCACTAACAGTACATTGATTTTATACCGGGTTTATGATATGATCTACTATCTGGAAAGGTTATCCCCTTCTTTCATTGTTCTTATTTTTCAGGGATTTTCTGCTATTCTTGCTTGTTTATTTCTTTTAAAGAACTTTAGCTCCAGAAAAATGGTGTTTTTATTTGAATTCAATTAAATTCATAAGTTTATAAATCATGTAGGGAAGAACTGATGTCACCCCTTTATGAGCTTCAAATCTACTTTTTTGTTCTTCTGGACTGTTTTTTAGTCTTACTCGTAGAGCGTTAGAACATTTTTTATTAAGTTTATGTGTATATTTGTGAGTTTATCTTTGCCATTATAGGTGGGGCCTTTTATTGTATCTTCAAACTAGTTTTTATTTATACATATAAAAGCTATTACTTTTTACATATTGATTTTACAATCTGCTATCTTATCAAATGATCCTAAGATTCTTAGCATTTTTTCCATTGATTCTTTGTGTTTCCCACATATAAAATTATCTCACATGTAAATAGAGATAATTCTACCTCCTTCTTTTCACTTCATGTATCTCTAAGTTTTTATGATAGCATTTTCTGATACAATATGATAGCAATGCTTAATTGCTGAGGAAATGCCATAGCTGGCATTTCTATCTTGTTCCTGACTTTAGAGAAAAAGCCTAGAAGTTTTCTAATACATAAGGTACTACATTCACTATTGCACTGAGTCATTTGGAAAGTATGTAATAATTCTTATAGTTTATTGAGTTTTTTTCTTACATGAATGAGTTTTGAATTTTATCAAATACTTCTGCACCTGGGGAGAAAAAAAATATGATCTTTCTCCTTAGCTTGATTAGTATGATGAATTATGTTCAAAGACTTTCTAATGTTCAACACACTTTATATGTCTGGGAAGAGGAATCACTTAGGACACAGTATTTTTTAATTTTGCCATTACAGTCTATTGGTTGATAGTTTAAGGTATTTGCATGGATAGTCGTAAGTGAGACTGGTTTATAGTTTTCTTTGTGGTGTATTCTTTTTCAAGTTTTGGTGTCAATTGTCTCCCTTCACAAAATAAATTTGGAAATTTTTCTTCTTTTCTGTGCTTTGGAATAGTGTAAGTGACATTAATATTATCTGATCTTTAAAAGTTTGGTAAAATTCTCCACAAAACTAAGATCTGATCCCAGCACTTATTTTGTGGGGAATCCACAAAACTATTTCCTCTTTGTCTTCTGGGGAGATTGGCCTGTTTAGACTTCCATCTCTGCTTTGGATAATTTTACTGCTACACATTTTTTAATAAATTATTCATTTCAATTTACGTTTTCAAATTTATATATAGACTTGTGTACAATTAAGGTGAGCATAGAAATTATTTACCAAATCAGGACATTCTTGATTGCTGCAGAGTGTGGTTACTGGATGGAATGCTGGGAGCATAGGCAGCCACTGAGTGGGACTAATGGTCACTCAATGCCAAAGTCATTTCTTAGGATTTGTTGAGAGTCCATGATTGAGGTTATTTCTCCTTTATCATTTCCCCACCATGACTTTTTTTTTCTTTCATTAGGCTGGCTAATGAATTGTCTATTTAAATTTTATTCATAGAAACAATTTTTGTGTTTATCTACTAATTCTAGTATTTTTCTGTTTTCTAACCCATTAAATTCTACTTCTGTCTTATTAGTTCCTTCCTTTGGCTTTTTAAATTTTGCTTTGTTTTTCTTCTAGTTTTTGGAGTTAGAAATTAATTATACACACACACCCACACCCACACAAACACACATATATGTGTATTCCTTATATAGCATATATTTTCCCCTTTCAGTGCTTCAACTATACATCTGATATGCAATGTTTTCATTTTTTTGTTTTTAAGAAATTCTGCAATTTTGTTTAGTATTTCCCTTTTGGCCTAGGAGCTAATTGTGTGTGTGTGTGTGTAGTTTTAAAAACTATTATTATTTTTAATTCATTGCTAATTTTATTTCACTGGGGTCAGAGAATGCTCTTAGTGTTATTACTATTCTTGGGAATCTATTGAGATTTTCTTTATGGTCTAAAATATGGACAATTTTCCTGAATGTTCCATGTGTCCTTGTAAAGAAAATGTAGTTTCTATTGCCAGGATTTAGGACTGTGCTGGGTACATCTTACACTCTGGCTGACATTATCTAGTCCCACTATTTTGTAATGACCATTGTGGACAGCCCTTGGCTTAGCTGCACTGGCGTATCTCTTGCTTTCTATCCTGGGCTTCTCGGCCACCGTCATGCGGAGCATCTGTAGGGGCCTACTTAGTCACTCTGGAGCATGTACAAAGCTGAAAGCACCATAGTATTAACAAGGCATTAACATGTTTGAAGGCAACTCTGGGAGATGGGAGCCAATGGTTAGATACTCTCTTCCATGTCTCAGGTGGTAGATTCTGAGATATATTATACCCAGATCTTCAGATGGATACCTTGTCACCTGCTTTGCTGTAGATGCTGTCTGTGGGCTTAGATTTTGGTAACCTTTTGCCTATTTCCTTTCTTTCTCTTTTACAAGTGGCTAACTTAGTGATAGTCAAAAATTATATTTTCATTGCTGAAATTTTCCAACAGCTTTTCTTTATAAATTTAGCACACATTTTTAGCCCTAACCAATATATTATTTTTAATAATATTTATTTATTATATTTATTAAATTTGTATGAATGCAATTATATTGTTGGTATTCTGCTGCCATTGCCTTTCTTTTTCAAGTTTCTGAGATTCATTCCCAGTGATGTTTGCAGTTGTGTGTATCAGTCAAGGTACAGCCAGAGAAACAGAAACCACTCTGCATGAGACAAAATAAATTTAATACAGGATGTTGGTGGCATGGAGGATGAAAGATCTAAGAAGTCCAGTGGGGGATGTTGGGGCAAGCCAGCTATTAGCAACAACACAAAGCCACCACCAACACTAATGCTTGGATGGTTTCAAAGGGGGAGTTAATTCTGATGAAATCTACATTAGCCTCCAGGAGTAGGATCTAGGTTGAGCCTCCAGAAGTGACTCCCAGAAATCATGAAACTGACCTTTGCACAAATCTGGAAGAAGGTAATCAAAAGGCCAAGACTGCAACTATTGAATTCAAGGATGTACCTTGAATTCAATAGCTATGATCCAAGATCAGGAAATCATGATTGCAAACTGGCCATGGCCAAAAAATCAACCACATCTTGACAGCTCTGAAGCCCGTGACCAAAGCTTGGAACAGAGCCCAGCTACTGCTGCCAGTGCACCTGCCCCCTCCACCACTCAGGCAGGTGGGCAACCAGTGGGGCTCTCTATGGTCTTGCTTGATGCAGAAAACAGCCCAAAGTAGCAAGCGTAAGCCTTTTTGCCACCTTCTAAATCCCATGTGAGTATACCTAAAAGATGAGATCTAATTTGTATCAACATCCTTAGCTGCTGGGAAGTTGGGATTTTGTTTGTTTGTTTGAGTTTTGAGATTTTTGATCTTTTGTGACACATATCAGAAGAAAGTGGAAATGGATTCTGAACATCAGTCAACTACATCTAGCACATCTTCTAAAACTTTCACAGATTTGCCCTCCCATTTAAGTATTTAAGTCATTTGGCATTACACTGTTAGAAAAGAATATTATTTTATTTTATTTTTCCATGTAGACAACTAATTGTACAAGTATCATTTCTTAAAGAGTCCATTCTTTCCCCACTGATCTGCAGTGCTCTTTCTGTTATAAGTAAAGTTTCTGCATACGTGTGGGTCTATTTCTGTGTTCTCTATTCTGTTCCATTGTCCAATTTTTCTATCTCTATATCAACACATTGCATGGATTTATATATCTTTATATCTTTATTGATATCTAGCAAGATATATTCCCTGATCATGATCTTCTTCAGAAGTGTTTTAGCTCTTCATTGGAATTTTTCTTTTCTTTTCTCATTTCTAACATTTCGTTATGTAAATTTCCAAGCATATAGAAAAGTCGAAAGCATTTTACAGGAAATACTCAAATACCTACTACTCAGGTTTTATCATGGCATTATATGTACTTTCTTTATTGCATAACTATCTCTCTATTCATTCTTCTATCCTTCCATCAAAGCATACTATTTTTCAAGCATTTCAAAGCAGTTTGTAGATGACAACAGACAAAGCTAATGTATGATGATGAAAAAAATCAGAACAGTGATTGCCTCTGTAGAGTGGGCAGGGGCTGATTAGGAAAGAACATGAAAGAACTTCTAAGGTGACTGTAATGTTCCATATCTTGATAGTTTAAGTTGCACAGGTGTATGCATTTGTGCAAAGTCACTGAATGGTTCATTTAAGATTTGTGCAATTTACTGTACATTTAAGACAAAAAAATACACACATAGTAAGCTTTTGTGAATGAAATGCATGCCCCAGCAAGTTTTTCTGAATTTTCTTTTCGCTACCCATGATGATGTTTACTACCTGCCCTTCCCCAGTTGGACTCCGATCATTTAAGGATCTGAAAGGCATTTTATCAGTTTAGAGTTTAATTAAAATTCACGCTCTGATATTATAATTTCATCAAAATCAAAACTCTTACTGGAAAATCCCTTGCTAGGGAATGAATATGTTTACCAATCAGTGATGTTGAGACAACTGAATATCAATTTGGATTAAAAAAAAAAAAACTAGTTTCTACCTTATACCAGCATAAATTCCAGATAGGTTAAAATAGGCAATGTAAAGAAAAAAGTAGCACCATAAAATTACCACAAGAAAATATAGGTGAATATTTTAAATCTTTGAATGTAAAAAAGAAATAGAGGTCATAAAAATGATAGTTTCTATAAAATTTTAAAACACATGAGAAAAATTTAAAACTTAGGATCAGTTTGCAATGTACATAACAAATATAGAATCCCCTTAATCTATACTTAATATCTTAAATATTAAAGAGAGAGAGACACACACATCTTTCCCCTTCTAAGAGACTGAAAATAGAAACAGACAATGGCCAGACCACATATAAAAAGAATTCTGACCCTCAACTTCTGCAACAATTGAACTTGGCCCAAATGGTAAGGACTTGGTCCTGTCAGCTTCTCTAATTACACTTTCAACTTCATAAATCAAACAGAATCTTCATCTATAAATCATATAAAATCCCCTCCTTGTAGTTAGTCAGCCTCCAGCTTCCCTATGCCAACAGTTTCCAATTAGGGCATACCTGAAAGCTTCTTTTTTTCCCCACTGTATTAGTCCATTTTCACACTGCTATAAAGAAATACCTGAGACTGGATAATTTAGGAAGGAAAGAGGTTTAGTTGACTCACAGTTCCATGTGGCAGAGGAGGCCTCAGGAAACTTACATTCATGGTGCAAGGCAAAGGGAAAGCAGGCACTTTGTTCACAGGGAAGCAGGAGAAAGGAAGAAGGGGGAGGCACAAGACACTTATCAAACAACCAGATATCATAAAAACTCACTCAGTATCACAAGAACAGCAAGGGGAAAATGCTCCCCTATGATCCAGTTGCTTCCCACCAGGTCTCTCCATCGACACATGGGAATTATAATTTGAGATGAGATTTGGGTGGGGACACAGAGCCAAACCATATCACCCTCACTATAAAGCTTTCCCATTCCGTTTACTGCCCTTGAGTCTCTGACAAAGAGGAGTGATGATGGCTGATGGACTTGCTATGGCAAGCTCTGAATGGATGGTCTCAGCTTCTTTTCATTTGAATGGTCTTTATTTATTTCTACACTCCCCAAAATGTACTTAATAGAAAAATAGGCAAATAATTTGAATATACAATTAAAAAATAAAAAAGGAAAAAGAAAAAAAAGAAATCAGAGAAGGTCAAAAATGTATAACCTCATTACCATTCAGATAAATGCAAAACAAATTGATCAGATTAGCAAAGATTTAAATAAATGATAATGACTTACTATGGAGAGGGTATGGAGTAAGGTTGTTGTTGGTGAAGTTTTCTTTTATGTGTATATTGAGAGGTGATATTTTAGTAACAGGAGAAGTTATCTATATATCAATATGGGGAATTAGCAGGATAGGAACACAATTTATAAGAATATAATACAGCCATGAAACAACATCCATAATAACGTTTTGAAAAATCATATGATGTATTTTCTCTTTTTGGTGAAGTGTACTTCCATCCGTCTTGCCAAGCAGTTTTTCTGACATTCAGACTTGGCCGAGAGTCTGAGACTTTTTGCTCCAGGAAAGGGGAAGATGGACAGTGCTGAGAACAAAAAAGTCACAGTTCAGCTTTGAGCATTTTAAAGTCCCTATCAAGACAAAAATCATAAAAACAGGGCTTTAGGAAAGAAAAATAATACTTTTCTAGAAAATTCCCAAATGGGGTTTTCACAAATCAGGAATCAATCATCGAAGCCTGAAAGAATAGAAGTTATGCCAGAAGGGACATTTCCATCACACAAGTACAAAAGACCTTGTGGGGCTATGGGCAGGAAAAGCTAGGTGAGAGAGGAGGAAAAATTAATCTCATTTTATTGTGGGCTTTGTGCCCTGGTTCCGGTGTTCTATTAGATCTCTGGGATTTCCCTGAGAGATTTGACAATCCCAGAGCTCAGGGAATTTATAGGTTGCTTTCCATATGAGATACTGGTTGACCATCTAGCAAAGTGTCTTGTGGCTATGTGGAGTGGGCACAGCAGGAATGCCAGCATGGTGGACTTAGGTGGAGAGGGCCTGAGACAGGGTCCCATGACTCCCCCTAGCCTGAGCATAGTGTAGAAGATAGCCAGACATTCCAGTGTACCCAGTTTGGAGGGGTGTGGTGGGGTGGGTCGTGCATAGCAGGTGACTGACAGCTGAGAGCTAGTGGACCTATCAGGCTACTACCATGGCATAAAGCAATGAGTGATCACAGTGAGATACAATGTTACTTGGAAACAGGTGGTAATGAAGCAGGAAATCTCCCTGACCCCTTTGCAGGTGGGAACTGGAGTACACAGGCAAAGGCACTCAAACTTGCTGCACTCAACCCCTTGTAGGAGGGAGCACATAGATGAGCAGGTGCAGGAGCCAGGGTGAGCACTTTTGGGTGCCATCAGGAACGAATCCATGCTGGCCCCGTGGCAGAATCTACGGAGGTGCCTGCAACCCCTGAAGTCCCAGAAGGAGTGTTATAGTCAGTGCTCCTTCAGTTTTGCTGTCCATGGATGGCTTAAGTGTTAACAGCTCAGTGAAGGGTCAGTGTGGCAGCCTTTTGCGGCTGCACTCAAGTTCTTGTCCACTGTCCAGGAGGAATTAGGTCGCATGAACAAATTGGAGATGGCAAATGTGGGGGATTTTATTGCCAGTGAAAGTGGATCTCAGTGGGAAAGGGAGCTGGAAAGGGGATGGAGTGGAAAGGTAATCTTTCCCCAGAATCTGGCTGTACCCAGCCAGACTTCTCTTCAAAGCTATCCCATCAAGCTGTCCCTCTGAACTCAAGCTGCTCCTCTCTGACATTCAACCATAGTCTCCGACCTCCAGCTGCTTCTCCTCTCTGCTGCCAGTGGATCCTGTGGTTTTTATGGGCACAGGATGGGAGACCAGGTGGGCCATGGGTGGTTTTGGAAAAGGCAACATTCAAGTGGGAAAATAGGAATGTTATGTTCTCACTTTGGGCTGCGGTTCCAGGCTTGAGGGGTGGGGACCTTGCCAGGAACCTGCTCTCTTCTGCCCAGAATTTGCCTGCCTCCTGTCTCTATCAGTAAGACAGTGTCATACCAGTTTAGAGACAGGACTTGAGCTTAAAGTTCTAAAGCTACCTGCAAATCTACTTTAATGCATACTTCAACCTTTTTAGAATCCAAGCTATAATTGGGACAAGAATTAACATTTAAAGGGGTTAGGGGCATAACAAACTTCACAAGGAGATGCAAAGGATTATGAAGGGTAGAACCTGGAAGAAAATCGCACTGAGACAGGAGCAGATTTATAATTGATTAACAGGATCTGTAACCAGTGCAGGGGGGATGGCTCAATTTTATAGAGAAATGAACATGTGGTGCAGTTTGAGCAACTCCAATTTGAAAGTCTAAAATCCCAAATGCTCCAAAATCCCAAACTTTTTCAGCACCAGAATGGTGGTCAAAGGACATGCTCATTGGAGGACTTCAGGTTTCGGATTTTCACATGAGGGATTCTCAACTGGCAAATGTTCCCAAATCCAAACAAACAAAAAATCTGCAATACTTCTGGTCCCAGGTATTTCAGATAAGGGATACTCAGCCTGTATATGAATGTTTGGGGCTGACTGAAAGACAAGGTGTCAAATCACTTCATACTTTCAAGGTTGATTGGCTCCTGACATAGAAATATCTGGGGCATCTGGAGAGATACCTTGGGACCTGTCACGGGATGGAAGGAAGGCTGGAGGAGTCCTAGATGAGAGTCAGACATTCCAAGGTTGAACACATTTCCCTGATATGCAAACCTCCTCTCTGTTAGATAAACTGACAAACTCAAAGGGTAGGGGTTAGAGAAAATAAGGGGTATTTTGTCCTTTTTTACTTTTAAATTATATTTGATAATCAAAATGTCTGTAGGCAGCAATTTAGCCATGGGGAAAGTGCCCATTGAAAATTGTGTTGAAAAGCAGACCTCAAATCTTATTACATGAGTAATGGTCTAACAAAGCCTACCTATTCTCTGCCACCCACTTTAGTTTGCACAAAGCAAATAACCCCTTGGGCAAGAAGAAGAGTCTGATGTAAATTCTATTTTTCTGCCTTATTGTTCCTGTTCCAAATTTAGAACTGATGAATGTAGTTTATGATGAAGAAAACCCATTTTGTTGCTGTGAGCTAGGGAATTAGTGTGGAAAGAGTTGTCAGAGACACAAAAAGTGGCCCATATTTTACCTTGACAGTGCTTTTTGAAGGGAAAAGTGAATTTAGATACTAAACTGGGATAATACTTCCTTTATAAATACAAATTATATAAGAGTAGCTTAAACTTTTCATTATTAACAGATTATTTTTTGTATATCTTGTTTAGGGTAGTAAAGATTAACAGTGGGTCAAATATTTTGGCTAGTGTCTTGTCCTGGGATGGCTCACGAGAACTGTTCTACTAAATATAAGGTGACCTTGCTTTTTGCTTATGAAAAAGAAAAAAGAGAAGAAAAAAAATCTACAGCATTTCTGAGTCTTACCCAAATTGCTACAATGGCTACTGGCTGGTCTTACTGCATCCTTTCATGCCCCCAGAGTCAATACCAACAAGGTAGCCAGACTACTCTTAAAATGCGTCACATCATGTCACTATCTTACAAACTCTCCAGTGACTTCTCATTACATTCAAAATAGAATCCAAACTCCCGGCCATGCCTTAACAGACCCAGGCTGAACTGGCCCCTACTTCCTTCTCCTTCCTCAACTAACTTCAGCCTTACTGACATCCTCTCTGTTCCAAAAATAAAGCAAATTCATTCCCACCTCAGGTGCTCAGACTTGCAGTTCCCTCTCTGGAAACTCCTTGCCCCTCAGGTATTTGCATGTTGATCTTATTTTTTTTTAGTAGTTCATTGAGATATAATTTATAAACAATACAATTAAAGGGAACAATGTACTGGTTTTTAGTATAGTTACAGAATTGTGCAACCATCACCATAATCTAATTCATAATATTTTCATCATCCCCCAAAGAAACCTCCTATCCAGTCACAGTCACTCCCATTCTCCCTTCCCATTCTCCAGCCGTAGACAACCGCTAAGCCACTTTCTGTCTCTATTAATTTGACTATTCTGAACATTTTACATAAATGGGATCATAAGATACATGAATTTTTGTGGCTGGTTTCGTTTACTCAGTATGTTTATGAGGTTTATCCACATTGTTGTAGTAGATATCAGTATTTCCTTTTTTTTTTATTGCTGAAGAATACTCCTTTGCGTGGATAGACTGCATCTTGTTTATCCATTCATCAGTTGATGAAAATTTGTGATGTTATTTCTACTCTTTGATTATTATGAGTATTGCTTCTGTGAACATTCATGTACATGTCTTTGTGTGAACATACATATTTATTTTCTTGGGTAGACAGAAGTGGAATTGCTGGGTCAAATGGCAACTCTATGCTTAGCATCTTGAGCAACTGACAAATTATTTTCTAAAGTGGCTACAACCACTTTACTTTCCCAATAGCAATGTAAGAGGGTTCCAATTTTGCTACACCCTCACCAATACTTGTTAATATCTTTTTGGACTTATAATAAAGTCACACAAAAGCCTAATTTCCTCTATTCCCTCTTTTCACATGTTTACTTTGTCTTATGTAAAATGTAGATTTACTGAGCAGGGATAATACATAGTCCAGTTTTTCCCTAGTCCCTCTTTTCACATGTAAAAATGCAGATTTACTGAGGCTAATCAGAGCCTCACAAGAAAGTAACCATCTTCCTCATTGCCTATCCTCCCTCTCCTTTTATTTTCCCCTCCTGCTTGCCCTTTGAATACTGAAGTTCCCCAAATCCACTTTGGAAAAAGCACTGGTCACAGATCCTCCTGTGGCTTGAATTTTTTTTTCCCAGATTCATCCTCCACCTCAGCTAAACAAACCTCTATTGATTGAGACCTGCCTCAGTCATGTTTCAACTTACAACCCCAATGACAGAGCCATCCTACCTCGATGAGCCAGTACAATATGACCCCTACCATCATGATCCTATTGTCTACTGATTACATAAAAGCACTTCACCATTATTTGAAATTTCTTTTTTTTTCATATTTGTTTACTTGTCTATTCATACACTGCCCTCCATCACTAGAATGTGAACCATATGAAAGCAAGGCCTATCTCCCTTGTTTTGCCTGTTGTGACCCTACCCCTACGACGGTGCCCAGCATAGCACGGGCGTCAATAGCTATTTAGTGAATAAACCAGTAAATATGGTTTCACTGTATTTAAACTATATTCTGACTATGTTGTTCTTCATCCAAATTAGCAAAGCAACATATAATTATCAAAGCAAGTTTAGGAGAAGTTCCTTGAAATGCACAGTCACACAGGATAATGACTCTACCTTTGATAGTCTGTGGAATTCCACAGGGTGGAGTCCTCCTAATTTTCTTAAGCTAGGGTTAAAGACTCCTTCCCAAAGATTCACTGTCACCTCAGATTCTGGGCCTGAACCTAGTCAATCACAAGAAAGGGGTATTCCAAAAGCTATAGGCGGGTAGGTCAGCCGGACATCAGTCACCATCTGCTTCTAGTATGACCACCCTTGTGCCCCCATCTTCTGTCACCTCAGCTTACTCCTGTAACTAGCTTCCACCTGAGACCCCTGCCCCGTATCCATGTCCCTAATGCTTAGCCCACATCCCGACTTCATGTCTCCTATCCCTAATAGAACAGGGGTCTTTCCTTCTCTGTTGTTTCAATGAATGGCACCTACTGCAACCCTAGCCCTTATGCCTAGAGCCTTACAACCCACTGCTGGACTTTTGTCATGACAGTTTCTCTTTAAAAGACACTGTTAAATGACAGTCTATGTGCTTGGAGAAAATATTTGGTAAACAACATACATCTGGTAAAGAACTTGTATTCAAAATATACAGGACAAAAAAAAATGGGGGGCTGGATTTAAAACTGAGTATTGACAACAAAAAGGGGCATAAGGGGACATTTGGGGTGATAGGAATATTCTATATCTTGCTTTGTGGTGATGGTATATGACTAAATGTATTTGTCAAAATTCATAGAACTCTACACCATAAAGGATGAATTTACTGTATGTGACTTATACCTCAATAACCTGACTTTAAAAAGCAACTGATTTCCTTCCTAAGAAACCAAGCAGATTTACATCCCAAATTTATTTTCCTTTTAGTATAATCAAACCTATTCATACAAATTACAGTATTAAGTTAATTGTGTAAAATGTATAATTTTCAAAGTGATTTTAGAAAATAACTTCATTTAAATACATAATAATTGTACAAATGTTACTAAACTCATTAATGAGGGAACTAGCAAGATAATAAATCTAATTTAAAGGACGGTATGAGAAAGGTTTGCTTATATGATGAGTGAAAGACAAATGTTTGATAAAATTGCTGCTTTACAAAAGACCGGTTAATTTCTCATAGGCCAATAAAGTATACCTTAACTTTTTCAGTTTTCTTCATTGGATTAATATTATTTGCATTTGTGATTAGATAAAAAGTCATTTGTATTTTATCAGGTTTCTACAGCTAACATCCAACTTTACAGAGTTGTTAAATCCCTTGGCTCTAACCAATAGCAAGTCAAGCAAGTGTACTTTCCACTGAAGCATCAGATGACCCTGATGTGAATTTATAAAGCAGCTCCCTGGTCTTGGGACAAAGAAGTTTCTAACAACAAAAACGGGGTACCCAGCTAAAGTGATTTCTCCCTAATCTTTAGGTTTTTCCACCAGAAACAATAGTGCAGGTGGCAGGGAAGGAATCTTATCTGGGCCTGCTCCAATTTGCCTGAGTCCTGCACAGAGGTAAACTACTAATCAACATCAACTTTTCCTAATGTTCAACCCCCTGGGATTCAAAGTATATATTATCTATATACATCAAAGGAAAGAGCTTCTTGAGTGGGAGTTTGTTCCTTTTAGAAGTTTCCCTGAGGGCCTTCCCCTAAGAACTTGCCCCTATCTGAGCTATTCGCCAAAAGGGTAGAAGAAGTATGACTGGATGCCCAGAAGTCCAGTTTGCAACAGGAGAGATCAAACTAATTTTGGTAAAGTGCAGGAACTACTAGCAGAAGAGGACATAGTTTTCCTCCCCAAACTAAAAATTCCTTGTTGGATTAAACTGCCTTGTTTGTGCATAGAGATTGCTTATTAGTGTTAATATATTGATTGATTAATATTAATTAAGTATCTTATGAAATCTTTTGTGAACTTACTATGTACCAGGAAGTGATTTAGGCCTGGGGATAAAATGTGGAAAGAAGAGAGACAAGTTTCTCTTCCATAAGGCTGACATTTCAGTAGGAGAGACAGCTAATAAAGAAATAAAAATAATACATGCTATGAAAGAAACAAAATAGGATCAATGGATATAGACTGTGCAGAGATGTGTGTAGGAAGAGCCTCGTTTTGGATATAATTGTCAATGAAGTCTTTTTGAAGAGGTGACATTTGAACAGAGATCTGAATGAGAAGATACCAGCAATGTGAATATCTGGGAAAAGTAGAAAAGCAAATGCAAAGAGGGAAAAGCCCCTGGCAGGAGAATGAGCTTTAATGCATTCAGAAAATAGCAAGAAGACCCATGAAGTCATGATGTTGCAACATAGTGAGAGAGGAAGGAGGAAGGAAATGGTATGAAATTAGGTCAGAGAGCTATGCAAGGTCAGGTCATGTAACACTTTGCAGATTTTGGTAAGGAGTGGAGATTCCATTTTAAATGTACTGAAGAGCCTTTGGAGATTCTTAAGTAGGTGGCCAATGTACCTGATTTATGTTTATAAAAGGCCACTCTGGCTGTTGAGTGGCAAGTGGATAAAGGAAAGAATGAGTTAACTATTATTATGATACTACATTATGAGCATGGATGTCTTGATCAGGTGAGGTAAATTGAGTTTCCCAAGACATAGAATGGAAAATGTCCCTTCCAGCCATTTGTCAGGGATATCCTCATGATCTGAAAAGACTCAATTAATCTCTTTGAAGGGAAAGGTTGCTTTGAGAGGCTATTCCTGTTGGATGAGGTTCTGTGCCGTTGGCAAAAGTTTATAAAGCAAATTTCCTTCAAGCCATCTCAGATGTGATAATCCAGGAGGATTCAGGTACTGCATCTTAATTGTCGTCATCATAAACAGTTGCATCTGGTTGTTGGGAGAGCCAGACATGTGAGTCTGTGTCCCATTCTTATGGCAACTGGAACATCATTTTCTATTATGTTCTATTTTGTTCTGACAGACAAATGATTAATTAGCACAATCATCATCTCTCCTTGAAAATGGCCATGGATCAGTGTGTCCCCCTCCATCATGTAATTGAATCAGGGCCCACACACCTGTTTCCACTTCCTTTAAACAAACACCTGCCCAATAAATAACACAAAGCAATATTAAATCTCAACTGGCTCTGTGCGTAAGTACATCTTTCAACTTGACCTAATCAATGCTGAAAGCTAGAAAAACATGGGTTTCAGAGCAGACTGCTGCCTACTCCTCACCTGTAATTGGAATGTCTGTGGCTCTGGCCTAACTTGGGCTGCATGACAGAGCTGGCCATGGTTATACTGGACAGTGGTTCAGAGTTTGGTTCTGGAGTTAGACAAACCTGGGATCATACCTGGTTTTCTAGTTGTGTGACACTGAGCAAATCACTTAATCTCTGTAAGCTTCTGTTTCCTCATCTTTAAAATGGGGATGATCCTATTTACCAGAAATATTTGTTATTCTAAAAAGTTTGATAAGAAAATGAACAGAGACTCAAAGAACTGTGGGGCAATATCAGAAGTTATTATATTTGAGCTACTGTAATCCTGGAAAAAGAAGAGAATGAAATACGTGCAGAAATGTATTTGAAGAAATAATGGTTGAAAATTTCCCAAACACGGTATGTAAATTATGCATATAAAGAACTTAGCACAGTATTAGCACATGGTAAGCAAGTGTCAGCAGTTTTCACTATAATAAGAGAATATTAAATACAATTAGGTTGGCAAATTTCATTTCTGGTTAAGATGGCATAAATACATGCTATGTTTTCCACTAAGCACAATTAAAAGTCCTGAACAGAATATATGAAGCTGAGAACTCTGAAAAGTAAATAATAGCAGGTCAACTGGAGGAGAGAATTTAAAAACTCAAAGAAAAACAACTATGGAAAAAAGTTCCTGCTTTTTTATATCCTCCGATATTTTCCGGCATAAAATCAAGAGCAGTCTGAATCTTGAAACTGTGCAAAAGCTGTTAACAGAAAAAACTGCAAGATAAACTCTCTCTCTTGGGCCAGAGGACTGGGAAAGGAGCCCCTGGAAAGCAGAAATCTTTTGCCTATCACAGTCCTACTCCTGACATGTACTGGTAACGAATGGCATTACAACGCGGTGGCAAGAGCAGCAGCAGTGGTGGCGGAATTGGGGATAGCAGCTACAGCAGTAGAGGCTCTGTAGACTCTTTTGTCTTGCCCACTTTTCCCTGAGGTAGACCCAACTGCAGGAAGTTCATGACAATGCAGGGAATCCAAAGCCACAGTTTTCTAGCCAGAGCCAGGAAAAGGAGCCCATGAGAATCAGAGTATGAAGAGGATTCACAGACGGGTAATAGCTGGATAGAGGACTGAGAAGGCACAGCAGTGTCCAGCACCGGGAGTTATAAGTGGCATACAGGGTTTGAAAAGGAATTTGGATGGGATAAAGCCAGATAGGGGTGGGATCATGGGGCTTTGTAGGACAAGGAAGAGTTAAGACTACATCCTGCATGCAGTAAGAACTCTTTGAAGACTTTTAAATTAGAGAACAGCACAATCAGATTTTTGGTTGTTTTGGTATAAATATGGATCAGAGGGATAAATATTAGAGAAAAGAAATCACCTAGAGGAATTTGGAAATCATCTAGCTGTGAGATAAAAAGGGCAGAATCAAGGCAGTAGAAGTAGGAATGGGAAGTGAACTGAGGGTTTTATATAATTTTCTTACCAACTGTGGAAGGATTCAAAGATAATTCTTGGAATTCTGGATAAGGTAACTAGCATTTTAGATTATTTACACATTTACAGGACAAAATCCAGCACACATACATGCACAGAGTCAAACACAGTCACATACGTCTACACAACACAGACACAGACACTTATACAACACAGACACATACACTTATACAACACAGACACATACACACACTTAGACACAAAAACACTATGAGTTCCTAACTGGCCCAGGTTCCAAAATCTTATTGAAAGTGCAGTGCCCACTCAGGTGGGAACAAATACAGCCTACCGGGATTTTTTTCCAGGCACTGAGATTCTTGGTGGGACACACAGTTAGAGATGATTCTGTCTGTGGAGAGTAGAGTCTTCCAGATCTGAGAATCCGCCAAATTTTTGCTTCATTTCACTTTTTTCTATTCAGGAGTAACCTCATCACTTTAGAATAATCTTTACTAAAATCTCTGTATATCCATTTAAGGACATTTTAGCGGATATTGGGTTCTTCTGGTCCTTACTCAAAATTAGTACCAGCAGGACCATATTCCCTTCCAGGGTGAATAAACAGAGGCAATGTCTGGGTGCCCTTGAACAATATCACTTTTCCAGCTCTACAGCTCTGGAAGGACTGGCACCCTACAAAAGTAAAAGTGATGACAGTATTACCTGATACAGGTAGCATAGGTCACATAGAGCTGGTTTAGAGAAGGAAATGATGAATCCAATAACCATAACCATTTGAAATGGAGAGCAGAGGTCTGAGTTAGATATGTGTATATGTGAGCCATCTGCACTTGGAGAATCAAAGGTGCAAATGCGATTGCTCAGGAAAAATGGAAAAAGAAGAGATTCAAGGAGAGAGACTCGGGGAATGTGAACTGAAGGGAGTAGGCAGAGGGAAATAAATTAATGAAGTAATGAAGAAAGATGGGAAGTGTGATGGGAGTACTGACTTTTACTTAGAAGAATGAACAGAAACAACAATATTCCCAATATTATTATATTTATTTTTTGAGACGGAGTTTCACTCTTGTTGCCCCAGGCTAGAGTGCAATGGTGGGATCTCGGCTCACTGCAACCTCCACGTTGTGGGTTCAAGCGATTCTCCTACCTCAGCCTCCCAAGTAGCTGGGATTATAGGCACGTGCCACCATGCCTGGCTAATGTTTGTATTATTAGTAGAGATGGGGATTCACCATGTTGCCCAGGCTGGTCTCGAACTCCTGACCTCAGGTGATCCACCCACCTGGGGCTCCCAAAGTGCTGGGATTACAGGTGTGAGCCACTGCGCCTGGCCCAATATTCCCAATTATGTAAGTTTTCTTCCAAAGACTATCTTTCCCTATGGGGTGAATGATTCTCAGGTGAATCAAGCACAGAAGGTAGCAGTCAATAGCTTTGCAATGTCTTAACATTTTCTTTATTATATCCTAGATATAATGATATCATGCATCCTAGGTAGAAACACACTTTCTAATTGACATTGTTTTATATATATAAACTACAGTGGCTTATTGGATGCTCAAAATAGGCATCAGGCTATCATATTCATCAACAAGATTCTGAATGTGGCAAACTGACTGATATAGACTTATTTGACAATCATACCTCTCTGTGGTACTGAATTTGTAATTTCTATTTGTGGCTTTTATTGATATTACCTTTTCTCGAGCTTATCTCTACCCCGTTCAACAAATCCGATTCCCTTGCAACCAGGAACTTCATCACATTTCTTTTTATCATCAACATTATTTCTAAGTGTTTTATTTGTAATTGGAACACTATATATAGGCATATATGTGTGTGTACATATATGTATATACACATATATACACATACATATGTGTATATTATATATAATATATATTGCATGATTGACTTTCTAATGGTAATACTGCTGGTTAGTTTTCTCTAGATACGTATTTTCATATTTAAATGAATAGGTATGTGGTATTAATTGGCTTGTATAATGTCCTGTCAAAGAGATTTGAAGTGGTTTACAGAAAGGAACATAAAAAACACCATGATGGAAAAAGATGAAGATATCAGAAGAATGGAAAAATAAGGGCTGACAAATAAGATAAAGTCAGAAATAATAATTCTTCAAAAAATTTTGTGCTCCTTTTATGTACGGTAGCCAGAAGTGGGCTGCAAAACAGTCTTGGATTTCCTTAATCAAACCAAAACAGAAAAATAAACAGAAAAAAAAAAATGGGAGAGGAACACAATCAATTTTCAGAATAAATACATCACTTGCTCCAGAACAATCTAACCTTTCTTGGTAGTGATTTAAAAGAAATTTCTATTATGTATCTTTATAAAGGGAATGTTATGTGATATAGTAGACCATAGCTTTACATAGATATATGTTTAGATATTTCCCTTTGATCATAAATAAAGGAAATCCCCAAACATTGTTTTATAGACAGAAAAGCAGTTTTTAGAAATTTATTTTAATAAGCATTTATAGAAAAGTGACAGTGGGCTAGTGTATTAGTCCGTTCTCAGGCTGCTAATAAAGACATAGCCAAGATTGGGTAATTTATAAAGGAAAGAAGTTTAATTGACTCACAGTTCAGCAAGACCAGAGAGGTCTCAGGAAACTTACAATCATGGTGGAAGGTGAAGCAAACATGTCCTTCTTCACATGGCGGCAGCAAGGAGAGGTGCCAAAAAAAAAGGGGGAAATGCACCTTATAAAACCATCATGAGATTTCATGAGAACTCACTATCATGAGAACAACATGAGGACAACTGCACCCATGATTAAATTACCTCCCACCGGTTCCCTCCGTGACATGTGGGGATTATGGGAACTACAATTCAAGATGAGATTTGGGTGGGGACACAGCCAAATTATATCAGCTAGGTACTGTTATTATCAGATGTTATGAAAGCTAAAAAGGTGAATAAAATAGAGTTGGAAGTTTCTGCTATAGCTCTACATGATTTGAGTGTTTTGCAGAAGGCCACACAAAATTTTCCTGCAATATAGTGCTTTTCAGAAGCAGACCATCAGACTACAAGAAAAGAGACTGAAGTTTCAAGGAGCACCCCTATTTTAATAAGGAGTTTTCAGAGAAAGCAAAATGTATGGCTCTACATTTATTCAGATTAAATGGAGAGTAAGGAATTGTTTTCTGAAACAAAATACAAAAGTCTACATATATAGCAACCAAGTGATGAACAAATAGCCTAGTCTACCCCTTGCGCTATCTGGCCCTGAAGCCTCCACTGGGGGCAGAAGAAGAAGCAGAGAGGTTGGTGGAGTTTGGGGCTGTGTGGAACAGACAGGGAAAGAGTGAGGCTGAGCAGGAATCAGAGTGCTGCTGCTGCCCCAGGCAGGAAACCTCTCCTTCCAATGTATCAGTGTCAATGTACTCCTCAAAACAATGTGAAGTTCACAAGGCTCAACAGCTTTCAGCACAGCATGTAACACAAAATATAAGTAAATTATTTATTTTATTCATAGGAGCGGCTAACAAAGCAATGCATTTGACAAATGCCTATCCATGTCCATAGAAGAATATAAATGATCCAAAGTAGAAACAAGTGACTTTAAAAAATATATATATAAACACTTGGTTTCAGGGATAGAGAATACTGGAAACATTATTTCTTCTATCAACTACACAGTTATAAAATATCCCCAAATACTTTCAGTTTTTAAAAAGAAAAATGTAGATACCTTGTGACTCTGGTAGATTGCCCTGAGCAAATAAGCAATTACTAGATGATCATGGGAATGAAGAAAGCATTGGTACATTTAGGAAATGTTTTCTTTCATTTTCCTGATGAATGAATAAGATAAGGTTTGGCTCTGAGTTTTGGAGGGGATTAGCAGCATTGGATGGCATTGAGTTCTTAAAGTACTCAAAAAGGAAAAATCTTCAATTTGATTCTTATGATCTGAAATCATTCTTGATGTGAAGGGTTCTTTCTTTACTTAATTGGGGACAGATTCTGAGAGGAAGCATCCCATACCAACCTCTGATCTGCCAATGTTTTAAGATCAGGCAATTAGAGGCTGAGTTTGGGCTAGAGAAAGGTGCCGTCCATATTTTGGCTTCTGTTCCTGTTCTCTCAATTTTCAAGAAAAACAATTTAACAAGGCTTTTAATAACCTACAATTCTCGCACATCATGAACAATTTGTTGTTTTAAATTACAATTTGAAATTACGTATGCAACCCACCATTCCACATGAAAACACTCTAAAACTTTTTCTTCTCAAAGGGGCACCACTTTGATACTCTAACCTCTTTACAAATGTTCTATTTTGTTCGACATGTGTTATACTCTGGAAACTGATTATTTTCTCAACAAAGAAAAACAATTACAACAGACCAGAGTCTTGTGTCTTCAGAAAGTCTTTTGATTTTATTTTTTCATCTTTAGCAGAGTTATTTGCTTTTGAAGAAAAAAAAAAGGGATCCAGCTCTGCAGACAATAATTCACCTATAAGAGAATATGTGTTAAATAAACAAAACCTAATGCAACATTTTTCTGGGAAGTGTTCTTCTGTGGGCTAAAAAACGAATATCCTTACACAAATCTACATGGCCTATGCATACACTGTGGTTCAGAGCAACCCTCAAGGTTTCATCTTTGTGTCTCCATGATGCAACTTGGGTCTTCCCTCATGCATAACGAAATCAAGGAAAAGATGTGACTTGAGTTTCCAAGTATTGTTTCTCAAATTGATCTTACCTATTCAAAGCTTTTGGCTTTGAATAAATGGAATCTGGATGGAATGAAATTAATACAGGGTAGGATCCTGTGCTTTAATGTAGAAGAGGCCACGTTTTTCCTTGGCTGATTTCTAAATTTGAAAATAATCACTTAGTGTGATTTTACTTTTTCTTTTTTTTCATTTTCATTTAAATGAGACGACTCTAAACTTGAGTTTGGTCTCATAATGAGAAGTTTTGCTGTGCTAACTTTCTGCAAATATTTAGTACAATGATACCATTTATTTTCAAATATGTGATCTGGATTTGCCTGAATATAGTCATGTTGAATATGGTCAATGCATAAAACAAAAAAAAAGGAATACAGGATCTTGGGACTTGATAATGGAATAGTAAGATTACACAGATAATCATTCAGGAACTGCAGAAGGGCTCTTGCCATTATTCTTGGCAGTGGGCAAGTGGTATTAAGCTAAGAGTTGCTAGGATGGTGGTTTAAAAGCATTCCTATGTGGTGGAACTCATCTCCTTGTATGAAAGCGACTCAGAACCGATACCTGACTACAAGCGTCAGATGCAATTAGCACAGTGCAATGTTTTTCAAATTTTTCTATAGCAATGAGATCTTTGTTTATTTAAAAAATAAATTTCTGCTAATGTTCAATGTATAACGCAGACAGAAGCAGGACTCCTCTGGTGGACTTGGGCCTAGTGTTAGGCACCACATAAACCCCAAAGCTTGGCAGAGCCATGACAAACCATTGATTTAACAAATCAGGAAATCAGAGTCAACTCAATCCCTTAATGGTTGCCAGAGCTTAGACAACTTACAGTCTTTTTGAACGAGTGTGCGTGTATGTATGTGTGAGTGATATTATATATCATATTTTATATATGATTATATATATTTGATATATATGATTTTATATATATTTTATATATATCATATATAAAATATATATGATACATAATATATATAGTGCGTGTGTGTGTGTGTATACACATACATTTATTACACAAACCAGGAAAGCCAGTGGTATAATTCAGTCTGAGCCTAAAGGCCTGAGAATCGGGGGTGGTATTTGGAGGCAGCATCAGCAAACATTGTTCATCATGCACTGAAGACAGCAAAGGTCCTGGTGGGATAGAGCAGCCTCTCTACATTTTAGTTTCCCTTCTATGCTCTTTTTTGGAGAATTAGGAGAGTAAACCATTAAATGTTTGGAGACCTTTGGGGATTCCATTAGCTATTCTTCATCAGAAAATAATAAATGGTCTTTTCTCTCCTCCATCACACATGAAGTCATCTTTCTGACTGTCAAAACCGTCCACAAATAAGTCCCTTTTTACAATCTAAACTCAGTTCCTTCTACAACCTATAACCGTGCTTCTACCATAGTCAGTTCATTCTCTTCATTGTCTCCTGAGACTGATAATTTATCCTCATCTCATTCATTCATCAAGCGGTAGGTAATATTCTGTGTGCATAAAGTACTTTGCTAACAGTTCTTTTCAACAGAAGGAAGACAGTAATTACAGTTAGCATTTATTGAGTTCTTGGTATGTGCACTTGTAATAATAGCCAACATGCATTGAACACTTACTACGTGATGGACATTGGATTAAACACTGCACAGGATTCATGGTATTTATTCTGTCCAACAACTCTATGTTGTTTTTCTTCTCCCTATTTTACAGAGGAAGAAACTAGGGTAAAGAGAGCAAGTGCCCGAGGTCACACATGATAAAGAAAGGAGTCTGTACTTTCCTCCAGATAGTCTCTCTTAAACACAGGGTAGTAGGTACTACACAGTCCTCAAATAGCTTTAAGTTTACTAGAGAAGATATGACCTACACAGATAATGGTAACACAAGACAGGAGGTTTTCAGTGTTTTAACAAAAAAGCAAAGTGATATAGGAGTTTCAAAAAATAAGGATCACTTCTGCCACAGATCATCAAGGAAAGCCTGTGTAGGAGATGGGGTCTGCCCTAGGACTTACTGGTGAGATACTTCATTTGTTTCAGCAAAGGAGAGGAAGCAGGAACACAGGAGGTGGTTTAGGGGAATAGAATTGGAGATTCATCTGAGGGATGAGCAGGAAATGAGACTGGTAAAGCAGATGGCTGCCAGGTGAGGGACATCCTAGAGCCAGGTGTTCCTCTTCATTCCGTAGGCGTTACAGGGAAGGAGCAAGGAAGAAACTGCAGGAGAGCTCGGAGTCTACATGGAGAAGGGGAGGTCAAAAGCCCAACCTGGGTAAAGAGTAAAAAGCTTAGGAGTTTAGCAAGGGAAACGATTTGGAGGCACAAATGCAATGCATCAGGAGTCAATTTGGCTGGGAGCTGAGCCATGATATAGGAGCCAAGATGGGGATGTGGCAAAAAGGGATGATGCAGTGGGAGGCGACGAGAGGCGCATAATAACTCCAGGGCCTGGACTTTTATTTCTGGTGGAAGGCTGCTCTGGGAAGTATGATCCTGTGATTTCTCTCTCATTCTCTGGCTTATTCTAAAAGTACTTTCTGGGTATTCACTGTAGATCCAGCAAATATGACCCACATGGTGGCTGAGAGAGCCCAACCTGGCAGAGGCCAGTGCAGTTTGGAGAGAAGGTGGCTGGAGGCAGTTAGGAAGCACCTATGTTGCACTGTCGCCAGGTAATTCGTTCTGAGGAAACTTCTGGGAGGTATTTTGTGGCAGTAGACTCAGCATTGGTGTGGTCATTGACTGACTGAGGGGGCAGGGTAGAGGGGCAGGAGACCATGCACACTGTGGCACTGAGCCTGCAGCAAGGAGAAAGGCTGTGCCACTGACAGAGAGGATCAGGAAGATGAACTGAGTTGGGGCAATGACCAGGTCAGCTTTAGCCAAGAGTGAGACATACAGCCAAGTCTTCCAGGTCAAAATGTCTTATGGACAGTAAAAAATGCTGGGCTGGGATACTGGAGAGAGCTGGGAATCAGGGTCATAGATGCTTGGAGAGTGTGTGTGTATACTGAGGACAGAGGAATGGAGAAAGAGAAGAGAATTCAGGACAGAATGGGGATGTCCACGCTCTGAGAATGTTAAGTCCATGGGAAAAATAGTGTGGTGGTCCCAAGGGTAGGAAGGCCCCGCTGAGTCAAAGGCTTTCCAAAAAGCAAGGAAGGGGAAGAGTGCAAGCAAGATGTGAGATGGTTTTGAGTAGTGGGTGGTTTCAATAGAATTAGTTTCTGAGGTTACTTGCTAAGAAGTGACCTCTCCTTTGACCATCTTTTCATACAAATTATAAACTTCCCTCATGGCATTACTTTTCCAAGCAGTTTTTCCTATTCCATTCTGCATCTATTCCCCATTCCTTAGAGACCCAGTGCCTCTGGCCTTTGTGTGCCATTCCCTGCATTTCCACTGGGGTGGGAGCCTCACAAGCCTCCAAGGCTGAATAGAAGCAACTTGACGACATTTGCTTCTCACCTTGGGGATGACAGCAACAGCCTCCTAGCTGGGCACTCTGCCTCACTGTAGACCCCCAGGGGCGTTTTCTCCATAAAGCAGCCAGCATGACTTCAAAACGTAAATCAGATTATATGACGACCCTGCTTAAAACCCACAGTGGCTTTCCATTACCCTTGGAAAAAGGATTCAGATGCAAAGACTTGGTCATGGCCTATAGTCTGACCGATCCCCTCTCAGCCTTCCCCTCCCTCCATCTCCATGCCCCACCGCACTGAGCAGCACTGGCTATCTCTACATCTGGGGGCCTGTTAACTTTCCATTCCTTCTGCTTTGAATGTTCTTTTGCAAAATTGCACTTGGCTTCCACTTCCTCACCTTTCAAGTCTTACCCAAATAGCCTTCCCTTTAGCAAGGCCTTCCACAGGCACCCTGATGAATGCAGTACAGTTTTACTCCACATCTCCCTTTGCAACATTATCACACTGTCTTCTGAGGCTCTTTTCAGGATTGTAATTATTTGCTTGTTGGTTTTTTTTTTTTTTTTTTTGGACTTACTCTTCATCCAACTCTTTCTGAGTAGAAAGTCCATCTGTCTTATTTATGGCTGTCTCCAGCACTAGAATAGTAGCCTGCACACAGTAGGTGTTTCATCAGTACTCCCACTGGCTGCCTGACTGGACAGTCTGGTACCTCTGAGGCCTGGATCCTCCTTCCCTCTTCTGTTGTTACTTCCTCAACCAGGGCTGTCTGAACATTGATCTAAATCGGATTCCCTTCTGTGTTCTCTTTCACAAAACCTGTTATTTCCTTCAGAGTTTTTAATAATAAATGTACGTACATGTTTATATTCTGTGAAAGGAAAATAAACCTCAGGACCCCAAAATTATGAAGTAAAAGGGAAAAGTCAAGTTAGGAGCTGCATCAGGCAATCTGCCTCCCATTTTATTTCTAAATGAGATAGCTACAAAGATTTTTTTAAAAGCTAAATACCTCCCTCACAATTTGCCCACTGGGAAATTCCTTGTGGTCCCTAAAATCTTTAGTCTAAAACAGTTCTGTTGAATTTTATCCTGACAAAGTATATTGATAGCTTCTCTTAATAGGTACAGGACAAAGAACAGAACTCAAAGCCATCCCTCTGCTCCCCCGAGACAAATGCATATCTGATTGCTTCCTCTGCCCTATGTTTATTTTACCTTCTGTAAAAGTGCAGATCCACTGAGCTAGGTGAATGCATAAGTGACAGTTCCTCTACCCCTTCTCTCATGAGAAAAGCTGATCAGACTCAAAAAAATGCAACTGTTTGCCTCCTATGTACCCACACCTCTTTCCCCATTAGCACCCTTTCCCCACTAAATGTTGAAGGCCTCAAAATCATCTTTGGAGAAAGGCACAGACCTGTCTTCTGGGTGTGTATCCTTAACCTTGGCAAAATAAACTTCTATATTGACTGAGGTCTGTCTCAGATACTTTTTGTTTGCAATTCTATCTCCCCCACTACACTGTAAGTTCTAGCAGGGCAGAGACCGTATACTATTTAGTCACTGTTGCATACTCTGTGCCAGGCACATACTAGGTGCTCAGTTATTCTATACTGAATGAGTATTAGAGTATTCTAAACTCCTCTTGGGTTTAACCAAAGGGTAGAATATGAGAGATATAGCTGACAATGGGTTGGCAGACCCTTCTCCTTGGGGAAAATTGAAATTTCCTTGCTACATCTGTTCTGGGCCTTTATATTTTGTATGAAGGTTAACAAACCTGCTCTGATCTAGAGGAAGACATCTGCATCCTTTTCTCCAACAGGACAATTTGACAAAGGGGTTGGACCTAACTTTGCCCAAGCTGATGATGAAGGAGACATCCTGGTGCTGTTCTCCAAGGTGGGTGGAGTGAAGGCAGCCAACTGGGTCCCACCTGAACAGGGAGCCTCCTGGCCATCATCGGGAGGAAACACAGTCCTCGGGGCCATGCCTGGGTGGATTTTAGAACATGAAGTCTGCCCATTGCTTTCTTCTATCCAGTTATATTGATGCAGATTTGAATAGTGTTCAGGTGGCTCTGCTGTGAGAACCTCCAGCTGCTAAAAGGAAAACAAGAGGAAAAAGAGTAAACAGCACATCACATTGGCACCAAACAGCTTACTCAAACTTGTGAGCTAGGCATTATGAGGTGGTCGATTCTCTAGAATGGGCTCTTTGAGCCAGCAGCAGATTCTGATAGTGACTTAGCTTATATTGGCTACAAAGATGAGCTTCACTGTGCCTGTGATTCTTATTCTTATTTGGAAAATGGGCTAATAGGACTTCTCTATGATGTACAGGGCAAGGGGAAGATTGGTATGACAGGTGAACTGAATTCTGATACAGAATCACCATCAGCTGGCTGTGTACCCTTGAGCAAACCAAAGTACTTCTCTGTATACTTAAAATGAAGGTGTTGGCATGTAAACCTAGATTCTGAAATGATTGCACAATCAAGTTTCTCATTTAATGCACCTCTCCTGTGGTAGGCTGGATATAGTCAAACTCCACACCCCATCACCCATACCAGTAAAATCCCTTCTCTGATTTGCTGAGCCCGGTCTCCTAACTGAAATTCCAACTCTGCCACCTGCTGCCTCAGGGCCTCACGTAACGTTTGCAGTTGCTCGGCCTCCTCCCTGCAAGTAAATAATAGAAAATAACCAAATTTAACAATCCTTCCCAGGTGCAATCTTCCATTGTCACCTCATAATATAGGTTCTTCCTTTGCAATTTCTTAAAAGAGAATGTCATCTTTATTTGTGTCAGCTGGAGACATTACTAAGGTTGTCTTCTTTAAAAAAAAAAAACAACTTTATTGCAGTATAATATAGTTCCCCTATTTTAAGAGCACAATTTAATAATTTTTAATAAATTTACCAAATTGTGTAATCATCACCACTATTCAGTTTTAAAACACTTCTATTTCCCCAAGAAAAACCCGTATGCCTCTCCCTTTACAGTTAAACCTGATTTCCATCCCCAGCCCCAATGCAGATTTTCAAAACTCTCATAACTCCCACATTTGCATTTGCACGAGCCCCATCCCATTGATTAAAGACATCCTGCTGTCAATGCCCCTGACTGCCTGTCTTTTGACCTTCTCCAAGAATAAGTATTGCTATCTAGCAAATGGCTCTCACAGACTCCCACTGAGAAAGCAAGAACAAGACCAAGAAAGCAAAGGAAAAGCTGGCCGGTTTCTCATTAGCTCTGCTCCAGGGTGCTCCTCTGTTCTGCCCTGATTATCTTCCTTGCTCCAGGTGTGTGGGCTGGTACTTACTTTTATGGCTCCCTTAGGTAATTACCTTTCCTCCTCTGACATGTCCCTGGAAAAGAGGGCCTGCTGTCCCATAAGGTGCTGTTCAATTTCTTCTAAATACTCCCGGAAACTTTGGCATATCGTCTTCATGGCTTCCATCTCATGGACTGTGCACTGAGAACAATGAGAAAGAACTGAGAAGAAAGTCCTCTCTGATCCTCTGCAAGAGCTCACCATGGTGGAGCCTGTCTTCCCATTTGGGATCCCTTTTTTCGCAAACAGGCCCTACTGCTAATATAAGGGGGAGGGAATAGGAAGAGCCCAATATTTGGGTTCACAAAACAACTAGTGACAGTGCTCATCTGCAACAGAAGGGCAGCTGTTGTTGGGTGGCCTTTGGGTGACAATCATTGTGTCCCAGAGGCTGGAAGGCAGTCTGGAGGCCTAGGTGACATAGGGATGCAAGGATGTAGGTAGAAGAGAGGAGGGGAAGTGCCAGAGTAAGGGTTTGTGAGAAATTGAGTCTGTTTAATCTTGTTTAACTTTGTTGCTGGGTACTGCCTCACTCTGAGTATCAATAACATTGAACACATCTGTTCAGCTGGTATGTGTTTGATTAAAGAAAATCTGCTTAGAATAATGTTTATTAGTCTTAGTCCTGCTTAGTCACAGTCCTGGAGGTTGGAATCTGCAGGATCAGCTTCATCCACCTAACAAGCCCACCCTGAGGAAGGCAGGCAAAGGTTAGGCATCCTGTCATCTCCAGGAGTTGGAATCTAGAATTGAACTTTGTCTACGCTTTTAATCCTTCCCATTGCTCCTGATGTAGTCATCGTTTAACTCTTACTTTCTCTCTCAGGCTGTGCCTTTGCCTTGGTTTTCTCATTTAAATATATTCCTGCAGCTCCTGAGAACTTTGGAACTCTCCACTAACAGACTTGACCACCCTCCAGTCTGCCTCCCAGCAGCACAAGGCTGTGTCCCTGGGATGACCTTAACCTCCCCATCCCCCAATAAAAAGCCTGACTGAGAAATCTAAAGGCTGCCAGGAAAATTTACTGTTTGCTTTCGCCAACACCTGACATAGGCCCTTTCTAAGAGTATTTATTAAATGTTGATTATAATTGTAAATATGTATTTCTTACAACTCACAAGTGTCTCTCTCAAGGACCTGAGAGCCACTCCTTTGAAATGTAATCATCTAGAAGGTTTGGGCCTCTGTCCCCGGTCTCTAGGAGGGCAGAATCCTAACTTCAGTTACTGCTGGCTCACAAACACAGTTGGTCTAATGGCATTGACATGGACCAATTCTTTGTGATTTTTCACTTTTCTGACTCTACTGAGCCCCTACTCTTCACCCTCCCTTATTCTCTCTTTAGAATGCCCAAATCACCTCTGCACAAATTGGAGTGGAGCTCAGCTCTTTCCCCTGCTGTCAGTAGTTGCTGAACACAATCTGTTTTCATGGCTTTAACTAAAGCTATTTACCTTTGGCACCTCCAAGCCCAGTCCATTTGCCGGCACTCTGATGACTTGCTGAGTTCTTACCAGCTATCCCCTTTGTTTTGCATCCTGGGTTGGATCATGCTTTGAAATCCATGACCCAGAACTCCAGGGCCACTAACCATTTGACTTTGAGTAATATTAATGCTTGTTAGGCCCTAAAGCCATCTCTATCAGACCCACAGGCTTGGACCCCTTCCCAAAATCAGTGTAGCAGAGGCTGCTAGTTGACTACTCACAATCTTTCTCTCCTTTATTCTTGTTAACAAGAATACTTTAGAGGCATCCATGTGTCTAGCTAAAAAATTACATTTCCCAGCATTCCTTGTAGAGACAATGGCCAGTGAGCTGGGAACAGAGAGCATGCTGTGGGGCTTCTGTGGTGTGCTTTAAAGGAAACTGATCTTGCAGGCTGGCTGTTTTGAAGCTTCTCTTCTTCCTCCTTCCATGGAGACCAACTTTACAGCTAGGTGGACTCCTCTAGCCCTGTTTCTAGGAAGTCTGAGATTTCTTACCCTTCCTCTCTAAACTACATGGCCAACATCCTGGCAGCCGGATGGCTATTTTTACCAGAATTGTCATAATGGAAATACTTTCCTAAGAGTAATGTTTTTATATTGAAAACTCTCCATATTTTGGTTTTGGAGTTTGGTTTTGATTCTATCCTCTCGCTTTTATACTGAATAACGTATTTTGCATAGTAAAGCTCTTGCATCAATTTTGCAATTTTGCAATTACTCTTGCATCAATGTGAGTGAATTTGAAACACTTAGGGAATCTCTGAAGTGATACTGATGTTGGCAGGAATGCTAGATTATGGCTCTTAAGACCAGAAAAGATCTTGTAGACCATGAAGGGCATCTGTTATAGATACGTGTTCTGACATAGAATGGCTAGTTAACTTGTCTGTGGTCAAAAAATGGCAGTAAGATTTCGAACCCATCTCTTGTTTCATTTCTTTTCTTCTAAGATCTGAGTCACAGCAGGGACCACAGTATAGCTGAACACAAGGATAAGTTGCTTGTCCCTTAGCAGCGAGCTGTTTGAGTGGTTCTAGTAGCTTCCCATCAGGTAACCAAGACTTCCCAACTGGTTCAAATTCACTTCAAAGTTCTGGGGACAGTGACGCCAGGATCATGGAAGTGTAGTGCTCAAATAGGCTGAACATCATAAACATTGAATTTTATGCTCATGTAGTTATTTTGGGGTAGCCTTTTGTGATTGAAAGGTATAAGACTGGGGTGTTTTGGTTTGGGAATAACTGATGGAGTGTTTGCTCTCTGAGAATGGTGGAGGGATGTGGAAGATTCTGAAATGCTGCCATCTTCTGGTTATTTGGAAACATGGAAAAACACATTTTAGCCCTAGAATAAGTATAGAAATGATTTCATAATAAAGAAAACTGTAGGTGAGAAAAAAAATAAATAAAAACCCTCAAAAATAGAGTGTTTTGAACATTTCTTCTTTTTCTTCTTCTTCTTTTTCTTACAATATAAAGGCTTGATTATAACCCAAATACCAAATGCAAGTTCTGCTCTACTGACCCAAACCCATTGAAACAAACTTTAACTTCAATGGTAAGAGCACCATCACCAAAAGACAATGAATTTTCACTTTGAATATGCTCATATTACTTTTTCTTATTTGTGTACTTTTACTTTTCTCTAAAACTAAATCATAAACAATATGGAAGCACTTCTAATATTCAGAAATCTTATTTCTGATAGATCTCATTTTCTTTTCTGGAATTTTTTTTGAATTAACACTTTTTAAAATTAACAAATTATCCTGAAGAATTTACCTATATATAACAATTTAGTTATACCAACAAACCATTTTTTTGAATTAACAAATTATTGCAAATAACTCACTTATATGTGAAAATTTAATTATATCAACAAATCATTACCCTAGACAACCCAAAAAGGCCACAAAAATGGCATTTATCAATTAGTCAAATGTTTATCTGCAGTGTTATATATTGCTATATTAGGGGGGTAAGATAATGATGTTTTTGAGTCTTCAAGTCCTTTACCTAAAATTGCTCTTAGTTTCAACATCTGCTCAGAACTCCCATTGTCGTCGTCGTTGTCGTCATCGTCTTCTTCTTCCTCTTCTTTTTTTTTTTTTTTTTTTTTTGAGACGGAGACTCTCTCTGTTGCTCAGGCTGGAGTGCAGTGGCATGATCTCACCTCACTGCAGTCTCCGCCTCCCAGGTTCAAGTGATTCTCTTGCCTCAGCCTTCCAAGTAGCTGGGATTATAGGCACACACCACCACACCCAGTTAATTTTTTTTTTTTTTTTTGTAGTTTTAATGGAGACGGGGTTTTGCCATGTTGGCCAGGCTGTTCTCGAAGCCCTAACCTCAGGTGATCCACCCATCTTGGCCTCCCAAAGTGTTGGGATTACAGGCGTGAGCCACCATGCCTGGCCTCCCATTATCTTCTAAGAGATGTCCATCTCTGCTTATAATCTTCACTTGGTCCAAGAGCTATGTCCTGTTAATATTTTCGTAAATATTTTTTCTAGCCCTGTCTAGCACTTGGCATCTAATTTAAAGCCAATTTTCTTCAGAACAGTTTTCAGGCCTTACAAACCCAGGCTCACTCTTAGTAGATGTTGCTGCATGCACTAACTTGTTCTCTTTGTGCTTTAAATGTCTTTAAGCGGTCTCCTGTCATGGAGGAATGCAATCTCTTATTTCCACTTGCTTTCCAGCACATGCGCCTGTGTGCATATGTATGCCTGCATAGGAGTATAAATATGCACACGTATATGTGTGTATGTTTGAATTGTTTTCTTTGAGTGTATTTTTTTCTATTTCTTTGGATGTTAATAAAGGGAAATTCATTGTCATCTGGTAAAACCTTATATAGCATCCATTTCAGCAGGTGTATGATGTCAAATCAACTGGATATAAAAGTACCTTTTTTTGTATAATTGCAAATTCTAAGAGGAAAGAAGGTGAAGGCAATAGGAGACAAGGCATTAGAAGCTTTCGGATGGTGGCCCTCACACCCATTCAAACTCCTACTTGTTTAAAATCTACCCACGTCTGAGGACAGTTACTGAGCATAATGGGCCACAAAACCTCCCTGTTTTCTGCAGGAGTGCTGATATGACAAAGTGTCAAATCAGGAGGAACATCTATTTCCAGCTGCCAAATCTCTCCACACAGCTGGGGCTACTCATGCCCAAAGCCCTCTTTTGACACTAGGAAGGAGGAATAAGAAGAGCTCGGGTCCACACTTGGTCACCCTGGAGCTGGCCCAGGTTTAATCTTCTGCTCCTATTCTGAATAATGTCCTTACCATGAGGAATCTGGCTCTGGGTTCCTGTGCCTTTTCCCCCAGGGCCACCTCTTACTCTTTCCAGCCTACCTTCCTCGGAGAAGCTGCAATCCTTCTACCTGCGAATCTGCTCCCAGGTGCTGGAGGCCCACTCACACTTTCAATCCCCAGAACCATGCTCCTGCAAATTCATCAGGACACCCCTAGTACCTCACAGACTCTCAAACCTTTTACATTAATGGTCTTACTGGGCTGTGCTACTGACCAGTCATGCTCTCTGGGTGCTGTGGTTTGCCTGATGGATTAAACAGGTCTAGAAAAACCATTTCTCCTGGAGTTTTGAACACAATTTTGTTATTTTTAACAAAATAGACAACTAAATATGACTTAAAATCTTTGTAATGCTTGTCTTAAACGTAAATTAGAAAAATAATCTTTTTTCGGGATGTGCATTCCTATGTTAGACCAACAACCAGCCTTTCTTTGTGAAAACTGGAGTACCTAATTCTAGGATTTAATATTTTCCCCCATACGGCCTCTCAAAATGTCACCTTCTCCAGCTATCTTTCATCCCTAACATTTTCCCCTTACAAACTACGTGATCGGGTAAATGTTTATTCTCTTAGAGCTGAGTTTTACAGCCTTGACACTACTGACATTTTGGGCCAAAGAATTCATTGTTGTGGTGGCTGTTCTCTGTATTTTAGGATGTTTTGCAGCATTCCTGGCCTCTACCCACTTGTTGCCAGTAGCAACCACCCCCCTCCCGTTGTGACAACTAAAAATGTCTCCAAACATCACGAAATGTCATCTGGGAGTTCAGGGGTGGGAAATTATCCCCAGTTGAAAACCATTTACTTAGGGCATTTAAAATCCCCTCAACAAATGATGTAAATAATGATGATGGTGGTGGTGGGTGGTGGTGATGATGGTTATGGTGATGACGACCCTACTGTTACCCAGGATTTGAACCAAAGTCTTTTGATACTCAAGAACCACCCAGCATACATTAGGTTTTGTTCTTTTCTTCCACTGAACTTTTGGAAAATATACCTAGAACTGATCACTATGCCTAAATGAAGCTTTCTCTTACCTGTTCAACTCTCACTAATATTAGGTTCATATAAAAATATTCCAAATGCCTGGGAGTCTTGCAATTAAAAAATGATCTGATAAATTATTTAAACTTTCCTGTAATCACTCTCTTTACATCACATTTATGTAATGTGATTTCTATACATTGAAAGGCCAAGTAGTAATTTGCTTTATCTTTCAAATAATCACTTTCTAATGTTAATTCTACACTTACATAGATTTAGATATTTTAAAGTCGGACACTTCTTTGCTTATACTGTAATGTCAAGCAATTTACTGTTACCCAAATTGAATCTGAATTTGGACTTCCCACTTAGTCATTAGGAGGCATTGAGATAATTATTTAAACTCTCTCAGTTCTAGTTTCCTTGTCTATAAAGGAGGAAGGACCTGGCATATATTAGGAGCCCAACAAATATTTATGGAATGGATTAAAATGAAGGTTAAATGACATAACAGAAAATGGTCAGCATAGACACTCACTAAATATTTGTGGAATTAAGAGAATGGGAAGGTAACTCAGTAGGCACTAAACAGAAGGTGCTCAGTAAATCGTGGTTCCACTTCACCCCGCTCTGAATAGCTGCAACCTATATTCTCTGTGCCAGCCCCTTCACCTTTTCAACTCTCTATACAAGTGGTTTTATGTGCAATAGTCTTAATTTTTTAATCAATGGCTGGCCCTGAAAGCCTAGATCATTTCTTACCTTAAAAACTTACTAAAAAGGAGGTACTGGAAGGGCTCATTAAACAATTACTGATTAATCAAGGGCTAGAGAAGGCTGGAGCCATTTAGTCCTCAGTAACTATAGGGTCCACCTTTAAATAGGCTCAGCAAAGGTAGACCAAAAGCCCCTCTATTTGACGTGGGAAGCTCTAAGTTCAAGACCTGAACAATGTAAAACAGTCACAAAAATTGATTATAAGAGTAACACATATAAGAGTAACACACCCACACAATTAACATTACCTAGAGATTTCCATGTGCCACATGCTGGGCTGAGTGCTTTACAGGGTTCTTCTTATTTAATCCTAAAACAATCCTGTGTCAGTGCATGAATAGTCTCCCTATTTTACAAAAAGATTAAATGGCTTGTGCAAGATTATATAGCTAAACGAATTTAAGACACAGAACTTCTCAGCTAGAACTGGAGATGAGTTACAGATGCATTAATGCTTATAACCTTAGACATATGAATGCATGGCTCTACCCCTTAGTTTTCCTTTCTGTAAAATGATGATTAATGATAAAATTTGCTTTGCTTATTTCTAAAGGTGATTGATTGGAAGTATCGAGAAGAAATGTGTGATACTATATCATAAACAATAAAGCACTCTACAAATGTTATTCATGATTTAAAATAGAAAAGTTTGCCCTGAGATCTTGCATTCAGCAAGGAAGTCTGAATATTATCCCTGAGGTGTTTATCACGGGTGCATCTGCCTTTCCATCTTTGCCAGGGTGAACACTTACGGAACATAGCTCCCTCACTGTAGTGTCCTGAAGGGCTTTCAAAGTCGTCATGAACTGGGCTTCCTGGTGACCAGTTAGTGAACACAGGCAGTGCCTACAGACTGAGGGTTCAGGGCCAGGGCTTTGCCTCTCCCCGTGGCAGTGAGGGTGGTGATGACAGCAGATGCAGCAGTGGGCAGGTATAGCATGGCAGGTGCCCATTGGGCAGATACTAGAGAAGCCTGAGTCTAGAGAGACGGATTTGGTGAGGGGCTGGGGCCCATGTGTCAAGGTCTTGTTGCTTAGAGCTGAAGTCTGAATGGAAGCATCATTTAACTGTCTTGCTTTTGTCCCCAGTCTTGTTTCTGTTGCGGTAACAGGATCACACACAGTGCATTCTAAAGATGTTCCTCTGGGACCAGTCCCCAAGGCCACAGCCCTCTGAGCAGCCGACACCAGGCTGGAGGACATCTGGGTCATTACAGACCTGGAGCTGCCAGTATTTAGAGGAAGGTTTTCCATCTCAGCTTCTGTCCCAGGTAGTATCTGACCCAAAGTACCAGACCTTGACTTCACCTGGGCAGGATCTCCAGGCAGTTTATGGAGGTGGGGAATGAGCTTTTCAGATGTTTGAGCAAGGTCAGTTGCATAAGGTGTGATTTCACTGTGCTTGGGGATACACTGTGATGAGCTTTCTGGTACGAGTAAGCTGTGGTTGGTGTGAGGACAGAATCCACTGCTTTCCTCTTCTCGTGGGGCCTCAGAGTCAACATGAAGGAACTTGTCTTGAGTATGATCATTTCCAGGTGACCTTTGAGACTCATTGTGGTGGCTTTGCACTTTGCCAGCTCCCTCAGGCCTCACAAAACTGTCCTGCATTTCTGTGACGTGGGTTACCATAAACCCCAGAGGATGATCATATTTGGAAGTGGCTGTGGGTCTGGTGACCTCATACTCAGCATGGGGCATTGGCAGAAGCTGCCACAGATGGCTGTCTTTCCTTGGGCATTCTCCCCTCGTGGTGGTCTTGGCACAGGCCATGTCTGGGATATACAGCTCTGGTGGCCCCTCCATGGCCTCAAGCAGAAACTCTTCCTCCATCACAGATACTGAGGCCCTTTGTTCCAAGGCATTCGCTTCTTGGCTTGAAAAAGACATGCTCGCCCTACTTTTGGAATCTGGCCCATCCGACTCTAGCTGACAGTCCTGGGATGATACTAAGCTGTGGCTCTGATCTCTTGGCTTTCTACCTCCATTCTCAGCAGGACTCTGGCTGTTTGGCAAGGAAGGCATCTGTAGGGGAAACCAGGACAAAGGGAAACAGGTCAGGAAGTGGAGGAGGCAATAGGTTTAAGGTGAGATTTTCTTCTTGTCATTGCCTTAGGAGTCAGGAGATAAGGGTTGCAACATCAGGTTTTGCATCTGTTTACCTCTTTACCAAGGTCCTCCTCTCTAGGAGGCTCAGCCTCCTTGCTTAGAAAAGTCAAAAGGAAAGGAAGGCCACACTTTCCGGCACCTTGTCTAATATGACTCCATCATCCTCTGCCCCTTGGGTGCAGGTGGCTTGTGCCTTCTCAACCTTTCCAATTGTGGCTTGATTTAAAACACCCCTCTTTCTGAGTTAGCTGTGAGTGAGGTTTGGGTGGCAGCCTGGTTGATAGGGCTGAAGTGGGATGTTAGGGATGAGCAACAGGGCCCTGTTCCAAACCCTCCTACCTGGAGGGGCAGCGGTTCCAGCGGCTCCTCCAGGAACCCGCTGCTGTCAGACTGGCAGCTATTTGCTCTGTCCACCCTGGCACCTGCAGAATGAAAGAGGTCTTGAGGTTATTAAAGGGAAAACACGCAGCCAGCAGGACTTGGATCAACCCCTCTAGGTGCCTGACACACCATGGATCCTGCAGAAATGCCCACTGTGTGGAAGAAAAAACAAATGAGGGAATTCCAAGGACATTTTTTTCTCGATTGTCAGAGAGTTCAGTTAAAATTGCATCACTGGTTTCCTGATACAAAGAATAAAACCTGAAACGAAGGAAGAGAAACTAATGTCTCTCAAAACCAAATAACAATATGGTTGTGAGATGAATCTTTACTAAGGGAAAGAAAATCCAGAAGGAAACACATATGCCTTAAATGCCACACTAATAAAATAATGAAAGACCACATTTTATATATTTGTGTGTGTGTATATATACATATTCTTGTTCTTTTTACTAAAGTTTGGATAAGTACCCTTTGCTAGCTTCAGCTGGACTATTTCTATGACTACAAGTTTGTGCTCATGTTTTAGATCACTGCTCTTGCCACCAGAAGAGGCTGGGACATGCAGAGAAAGGGCAAAGTCACGTGTGGGCAGGTTATGACTTTGTAAACAGGAGCATCCATGAAATGTTAAATCTATCTGTAGATTCTTACGTAAATATTAAGTTATATATTGTGGGGGAAATAGTTGGCTACCAGAGTGTCACCATGCTAAAGATTAAATTATGGATTTTTTTTTCTCTTCTTTAATGAGAAATGCTTTCAGTTATACCACAGTATAGGCTCTAATAGGAAGTCTCTCAGGAGGAAGGGGGTTGCAAGGTGGCCTCCTTAGAATACAAGGAGCAGAGGGAGGAGCCTTGTCTGTCCTGGGAGATTAGGTATGTGTGTGGGAAGTGAATTAAGGGGAAACAGTTGATTGTCCATAGATACAATGCTTGAGTATTTGGTACCTAAGTGATAAATAGGGGATTTGCCTTTGCTTGAACAACTGCTGACGAAGAGTTCAAGGGAGGGAAATGATCCCAGCCTCTGCTTAGATCTCTGCTGGACCTCACCTTGAAGGACAGTTCCACTCACAAGAGCAGCATCATTCTTCTCCCTGTAGACAACAATGCCTGAGAGCCTTAACGGTCCATGTGTCTGAGCAAAGACAGCAAGTGGAGACAGTCTCAGAGCTGGCCAACCCAGCCCAAACCCCAGCTACCTCAGCCTGAGGCCAAAGTCAAGAGAAAGTAATGGCTCAATTTTGTATAATTAAACATTATAAACTCCACACTCTTTAATTCAGCCTCAAACAAAACTAAAAGCTAAAAATCAGAGGGCATACATTTTAAAATAGCTCAATCCTAGAGAGATTGAGAAACTTTGAGCAAAATTTTGAGAATGCATATTTTTGACCTAGCCATTGCCTCTTGTTACACAGTTAAGGGTAAAAAAATAGAAAATATTTGCAAGTCATAGATCTAAATGAGACTTCTGCTTCTGGAAAGCTGTAGTAATAGGGACTAGATTTTTCCTCCTACCCGAACCAACTGAAAAACTAGACAAGATATGTGGAAAAAAAAAAAAAAGTTTTTCGAGACAATGGACCTCAGACAGTTACAGACAGCAGTCCTTGAGAAACAGGAACAAGTGATCTGAACCCTATAGTTACCCAGCTTAGCGCTTTGAGAGAGTTTACAGGTCTTGGCATGAGAAGGGGGAACCCAGGCTGAGCCTTGCAGACACTTGAAGCTGAGGAAACAGAGCTAGGAGTCCAAAAAGACTGAGCCAGCTAGAGTTCAAAGGGCACACAGAGGAGAGGAAGGAGCTGCACACAGAGAGAACTCTAGAGGGTCTCTCTTGAGTATTCAGCTGAGTACTGATGAGCTCATGCATGTGAGAAACCACCAAAAGCTGGGAAGAGAACCATCAGAAAGGATCAGGGGAAACACTGCCCAGTACTCATCCAGAGCCTGGAATAGGGAATGTGCCCACCAGCCAGATGCAAAACCTCCTATTTCACAGGACATTGAGGGGTAGAATACTCAGAAGTGTCTTGCTTCAGGAGTAAGAAATAATTAGCCTTAGAATGACCGCTGCTCTGGTCCCACCTAATGAGCCTTAAAAGCAAGACCTGAAAGACTTAAACTGTTTCCAAGTAACTTGTGTCCAAGACATAAGCAAAAGAATATTTATGGGAATATAGTACTATCTACCACCTATATGGTAAAATCCAAATGTGTGGCATATATTAAAAAATAATAGGTGTGCAAAGAAGCAGGAACATATGATCCATTATGAGGAGAAAAATCAATCAATTGAAACCACCCTAAGACTAATGCAGATCTTAGAATTATCAATTAAGAAAGAGCATTAAAACATTTATTAAAACTATATCCTGGGTACAGTGGCTCACACCTGTAATCCCAGCACTTTGGGAGGCTGAGGCAGGCAGATCACGAGGTCAGGAGTTCAAGACGAGCCTGGCTAACACAGTGAAACCCCGTCTCTACTAAAAATACTAAAAATTAGCCGGGCATGGTGGCAGGCACCTGTAGTCCCAGATACTTGGGAGGCTGAGGCAGGAGAATGGCATGAACCCGGGAGGCAGAGCTTTCAGTGAGCTGAGATTGCGCCACTGCACTCCAGCCTGGGAGACAGAGTGAGACTCCATCTCAAAAAAAAAAAAAAAACAAAAACAAACAAACAAAAGAAAAACTATATCCTGTATGTTCAAGAAGCTAGAGGAAAGATGAACTATGTTAAGTGGATATATGCAAGATATTTAAAAAAAACCCAAATTGAATGTCTAGAGATGAAAACAACGTCTCCAGTAAAATTTATACTGGATATATATAGCAGATTAGAGACTGCAGAAGAAAAGATTAGTGACATGAAGACATGGTCATAAGAAGCTATCCCAAATGAAACATAGAGATTTAAAAAAAGAAAATACTTTTTAAAACGAAAATGCATCAGCAAGTGATGAGACAAGTCCAAGTAGCCTCAGGTATAGGTAACTGAAAAATCCCAAAGAGGAGGGAAAGCTTTTGAAGAAATGTTTCAAAGAAAAGTTTGTTTCACAAAGTCCAACAAACTCCAAGCACCAGAAACATGAAGAAAACTACACCAAGGCACATGAAAATCAAATTACTGGCTGGGCGCAGTGGCTCACACCTGTAATCCCAGCACTTTGGGAGGCCGAGGCAGGCAGATCACCTGAGGTCAGGAGTTCAAGACCAGCCTGGCCAACATGGTGAAATCCCGTGTCTACCAAAAAATACAAAAATTAGCGGGTGTGGTGGCAGGTGCCTGTAATCCCAGCTACTTGGGAGGCTAAGGCAAAAGAATTGCTCGAACCTGGGAGGTGGAGGTTGTAGTAAGCTGAGATTGGGTCACTCCACTCCAGCCTGGGCGACAGAGCAAGTCTCCATCTCAAAAAAACAAACAAACGAAAAACAAAAGAAAGAAAAATTACCCAACACCAATGACTTTTTATAAAAACCCTTAAAATCAACCAGAGAAAAGGAACATTACATATCGAGTTAACAAAGATAAGGATGGCAGATTTCTCATTGGAAATAATCCAAGTAAGAAGACAGTTGAGTAACATCTTTAGGGTATTGAAAGGAAAAATCATGTGGGTAAGCACTGAATATTTTATTTATTTATTATCTACATCTTTAAAAAAGATAATTGACTATTTAAACAAAAAAAATTAACAATGTCGTGTGGGATTTATAACAAAAACCTAGAAAAGTCTACAAACATAAACACCTGTTATTATAAAACCGGATAGTTTGTAGAAAAGGTGCTGCCTGATTTTCCTTTAACTCTGATGTGCGACTTTTACAGAGCCTTTAACCTGAGTAATAGAACAGCTGTTTAGTGTTGTCAGAGGAAATAGTGTATACTCACTATATATTTATTATAAGAAATTTACTAGTGTAATATTTAAGACTTCACTGCCTTTGTTATAATTAGTTCAATCCATATTAAAACTTTTCAGTTTCCTTTAGGGTTAGCAAAAATACCACCCGTTTTCCTCCTTATATCAACTGTGGGTACAAAATTCATGATGATTCTTGCAGTAACCTTTCAAAAGCTCAATGCAGAACTTTAAATGTTTTTTCAGTACTATGCAAATGGCCCTGCACACTTTGGTGGGAGCCCCTCTGCTTAATAACCTGTTGAGAGGGCAGCCCATCCTGAAGAATTTTCCACATGAACTTCCTGATTCCCTATTTAATAAATGGTGTTGGGAAAACTGGCTAGCCATCTGTAGAAAGCTGAAACTGGATCCCTTCCTTACACCTTATACAAAAATTAATTCAAGATGGATTAAAGACTTACATGTTAGACCTAAAACCATAAAAACCCTAGAAGAAAACCTAGGCAATACTGTTCAGGACATAGGCATGGGCAAGGACTTCATGTCTAAAACACTAAAAGCAATGGCAACAAAAGCCAAAATTGACAAATGGGATCTAATCAAACTAAAGAGCTTCTGCACAGCAATAGAAACTACCATCAGAGTGAACAAGCAACCTACAGAATGGGAGAAAATTTTCGCAATCTACTCATCTGACAAAGGGCTAATATCCAGAATCTACAATGAACTCAAACAAATTTACGAGAAAAAACAAACAACCCCATCAAAAAGTGGGTAAAGGATATGAACAGACACTTCTCAAAAGAAGACATTAATGCAGCCAAAAGACACATGAAAAAATGCTCATCATCACTGGCCATCAGAGAAATGCAAATCAAAACCACAATGAGATACCATCTCACACCAGTTAGACTGGCGATCATTAAAAAGTCAGGAAACAACAGGTGCTGGAGAGGATGTGGAGAAATAGGAACACTTTTACACTGTTGGTGGGACTGTAAACTAGTTCAACCATTGTGGAAGTCAGTGTGGCGATTCCTCAGGGATCTACAACTAGAAATACCATTTGACCCAGCCATCCCATTACTGGGTATACACCCAAAGGACTATAAATCATGCTGCTATAAAGACACATGCACACGTATGTTTATTGCGGCACTATTCACAATAGCAAAGACTTGGAACCAACCCAAATGTCCAACAACGATAGACTGGATTAAGAAAATGTGGCACATATACACCATGGAATTCTATGCAGCCATAAAAAAATGATGAATTCATGTCCTTTGTAGGGACATGGATGAAGCTGGAAACCATCATTCTCAGCAAACTATCGCAAGGATGAAAAACCAAACACCGCATGTTCTCACTCATAGGTGGGAACTGAACAATAAGAACACATGGATACAGGAAGGGGAACATCACACACCAGGGACTGTTGTCGGGTGGGGGGAGGGGGGAGGGGGGAGGGATAGCATTAGGAGATATATCTAATGCTGAATGATGAGTTAATGGGTGCAGCACACCAACATGGCACATGTATACATATGTAACAAACCTGCACATTACGCACATGTACCCTAAAACTTAAAGTATAATAATAATAAAATTTTTAAAAAAAAAAGATCCCTTTATGTGCTTCTGGGCCCACAGCCTGTTAGTTCTCCCTCTGCAGTAGACAAAGTATGGGATAGGAGAGCGTGAGACAGGACTAACTTCCACTTCTCACTCCCACTCCCAGACTATATAGGCATTAGGGGAACCAAAGATATTCAGCAGAAGAGGTTGAGCCTTGGTAAAAGATGGACAAGACAGACTTTCGAACCTATTGCTTTTTCTATATGTTTTGATGCAAGACTTGTACAACAAACTGAAGGACTCTCCATACATCATTATTATTATTTCAACTTTTCAAACAATCTCGAAGCAGTTACTATTCTTGAATATAAGCTTCATATGCAATGTTTGCTATTAACCCTCTTACAATGAATGGATGAAATTATACGTTAGAACACTAGCACAGAGTGATATGTTAGAGCCCATTTGTCCATGTGCTGGCTAGTTTATACCAGTCTGGTTGATATGGCATAGCTGTGTCCCCACCCAAATTTCATCTTGAATTGTAGTTCCCATAATCCCCACATGTCATGGGAGGGACCTGGTGGGAGGTAATTGAATTATGGGGGCGGTTTGCCACCCCCATGCTATTCTTGTGACAGTGAGTGAGTTCTCATGAGATCTGATGGTTTTATAAGCATCTGGCATTTCCCCTGCTAGCTCTCATTCTCTCTCCTGCTGCCCTGTGAAAAAGTGCCTTCTGCCGTGATTGTAAGTTTCCTGAGGCCTCCCCAGCCACACAGAACTGTGGGTCAATTAAACCTCTTTTCTTTTTTTAAAAAAAATTATTTTAAGTTCCAGGGTATGTGTGCAGGATGTGCAGGTTTATTACATAGGTAAACTTGTGCCATGGTGGTTTGCTGCACCTATCGGCCAATCACCTAGGTATTAAGCCTGGCATGCATTAGCTATTTTTCCTGTTCCTCTCCTCTGACCCCCGCCCTCCCCTTACAAGCCCCAATGTGTGGTGTTCCCCTCCCTGTGTCCATGTGTTCTCATTTAAACCTCTTTTCTTCATAAATTACCCAGTCTTGGGTATTTCTTCATAGCAGCATGAGAACGGCCTAATACACTGGTCCAAATGAAAATAAACAACTACAAAGGGTCCCTAAAAGGTAGAAAGAGTAATTTCCTCCAAAAGAGGTATACTTGTGATATAACTGTTGCCTTTCATTAACTGTACTTGTGTAAAGCACAAAAAACAAACCAATGTTTGAAACTCAAGCAATAAAAAATCAGACATTGGGAACCTCACTTGAATGATGAGATCAAATGGTGGAATTGGGCATAGTTCTCTCAGGTGTAGAGGCTTATTTATCTTGTGTTTGTTTTAGAAGTGAAATGCCTGCATGTCAATCGTTTTGAGAGATTCACCAAGCAAAATGTGGGCCAGGTTACTGATGGTTTAGTTTCTTCAAGAGGCTAAAAATCCTTTCTCTTTATAGAGTACCTTCTCAACAACCAGACTATGCACATCTAGATGTAGGATTTCCAAATTCTAAATATTCCCTTAGAGTCATAGAAATTAAATGAGACAAAGGATGAGAAATCACCTAGCTCAGAATGGCCATGATGGATTATTAAACAAACAGACAAATACAAATGTACATCATTTATCACTCCCACACCCTCACACCTAATATGTAATATAACATATCACACCTAATATGTAATACATTGCCTTTAGGGAAGGCAATATGGCATCTGGCAAGAGTAATGGCAGTGGTACCAGCACGCCTGGCCAATCCCACCCCACCCAGTTCCTTCAGCTAGCTAAGCCAAGACTAGGGGAACTTGAGACGTCTCATTGCCCTCAGTGGCATTTTCCCTAGGCACTCAATATGCCGAAGGAGCCACAGTTCTTCCTTACTCTGCTCCAGTGGGGCCTTGACTTCCCACCTGGCACCTACCAGTCCTTTTCCTCCAGCTAGATCTTATCACCTAAGCATTCTATTGCCAGCTGAATCCTGTTCCAAACCAGTTGTGTAAATGGAATCCTTCACCACCACCAAGCCCTGCACAATTTTTTTCATGCCTCCTTAGACTGCTGGTTCCCCCATCCTGCCTATCCCATAGCTTAAGGGGGTCCACTTCTGTACACTGGATGCTATTGAAATCTAGTTAGGCTCCATGCTGAACCATCTAGAAAATTTGAAGCCTGCTCTACTGGAGTCTGATTCTGACTCTCCTACTTAGAGGCTGTGTGATCTGGAGCTTGCCTCTTACTCTCTCTGAGTCTGTCCCCTCATAGGGAAAGTAATGAATATGGTAATACTATGTTACTTGTGGGGTTGCAATAAGGATAATATCCAGTAATATATTTCTAATAATATATAGGCTACATAATGTTATATGTAAATTTTTGCTGCAGGACATCATTATTAATATTATCTGTTATAACTCAATCTTCGTATCATTAATAATAATCATGGTTAATACTAATATTAATTAGAAATTACCATTTTCAGCACACAAGTGTCTTCATGGAGATGAATTTTACCCTCCCAATTAGGGGGACCCTGCTTGGGGCAGGACTACTCTACTGACTTGTAAGTTGGGAAACATTTCTGCCTAGGAGGAGACAGACGCCTCAGGCACTTTGTGGGAATAATCACCAGATGGCAGCATTACACCAACCACAGAGTGGAAGAACCTGGTCCCTGCCAAAGGACCTTTGGAATGGCTAAAATTAGTAAGAAAAGTCAACCTGCTTTTCTGGGCTGGGCTGGTCTGGTAATAAAAGCTTCTGAATTCTAGGTGGAAAGTTCCTGTTTAAAATAGTCTGAGTTCACAGAAGCTATAAAATTGAAAGTTACATGGGAAGAGGGAGAAAAAGCAGAGGTGATGGGGTGTCAAGTGTGATAAAGTTGTGTAGAGCAAGAGAAATGTTTCAACCTCAGACTGTTTGAAGTTAACTGTCTTCATCAATCAATTCTACTTTAACTATTTTATGGTCAAGTTCCTATCTCTTCTGTCCTCCAATGGTACAAAATTCTGTGACAGCTCTGTGGTGAAGCTGAGTCACCAAGCAAGTTAGCCTAGAGTTGGAATGGACATTAGAGATTAGGCAAATGCCAATGCCTTTAAGAGCTGGGCAGGTGGCATAAATATGTGAAACAGCTAGACTTCAGGACAATGGGCGGTAGTGTGAATTGTTCAGACCAGAGAGCAGTTGTTCCTTCTAAGGCATTTTACAAAATTAATTTTCAATGTTTTGTAGAACAAACAAAACCTCTCTATGTTCCCCAGGTTGGAAGACAGGATGGTGCCACCTCCCTTCCAGAACACTCCTTATAGATGGTCATTTAGCTAGTGCTTACTCACTTTTGGTGACAAGCAATGACTCCTATCTGGTCAGAGAGCATCATACGTTTTAGGAAATTCGTCTTTGTATTGGCCACCTCTACCTTAGCATTTTACATTTGTCGGTCATAGCTCTGCTCCTTGGAGTAGTGCAGAATGTGTCGAACTCCTTTCCCAAAGACAGCTCGCTTGGACTCTCCAGGCCTTTCTCCTCAGCGTAAATCTCCCCAGACCTGGCCGGTCGCGGTAGCTCACGCCTGTAATCCCAGCACTTTGGGAGGCTGAGGCAGGCAGATCACGAGGTCAGGAGATAGAGACCAGCCTGGCCAACATGGTGAAACCCTGTCTTTACTAAAAATACAAAAATTAGCTGGGCATGATGGTGCCCACCTGTAATCCCAGTTACTCGGGAGGCTGAGGCAGGAGAATCACTTGAACCAGGGAGTCGGAGGTTGCAGTGAGCCAAGATCGCGCCACAGCACTCCAGCCTGGCGACAGAGTGAGACTCTGTCTCAAATAAATAAATAAATGAATGAATAAATAAATAAATAAAAATAAAAATCTCCCCAGACCCTTTAAATCAGCTCTCACAGGGCAGGCTTTTCAGGCTGTTTGTGTCTTGTACTTTTGAATAGGCTCTTACTTAATGCTTGCTGTAAAACCTGTCACCCAGCTGGGCTTCAGTAGTAGGGATGACGGTCTGACCAACATGGAAACGAGGAGGACTGCTCTTTTCCTGCTGCTAGATTTCACTTCCATACACACAGCCTAAGGTTGTGTTAGTTTAGTCAGAAGTTGTGTTCCCAGTGTTGGGTTACACTGATATCAGTCTCTATTTTGAAATCAATAAATAAATGTTTAGAAACCTAAGTGAATGGTTTAGTTTATATCCTTGTGAAATTTGATCTAGCTTGTTTGGGACCATGGTTCCATCCTGTCATGGATAATTTTTATTTTTATTTATTTATTTTTTGAGAAGGAGTCTCGCTCTGTCACCCAGGCTGGAGTGCAGTGGCACAATCTCGGCTCATTGCAACTCTGCCTCCCGGGTTCAAGCGATTCTCCTGTTTCAGCCTCTCAAGTAGCTGGGACTACAGGCACGTGCCACCACGCCTGGCTAATTTATTGTTTTTTTAGTAGAGATGGAGTTTCACCGTGTTAGCCAGGATGGTCTTGATCGCCTGACCTCATGATCCACCTGCCTCAGCCACCCAAAGTGCTGGGATTACAGGTGTGAGCCACCACGCCCTGCCTCTGTCAAGGATAATTTTAATCTTCATTCTGAAATTGATCTGTGTTGTCTATGGCATTGAAAAACATTCTTGCTGTAGGACAAGTCACTGTTAATATTCTGAAGAGAATAAGCCACAGGGAAAGAGCATGGTGGAACCTTCTACTGGAAGCCTTCATTCCTAACAGGTGGTCACTGGGACCTGCAGGGCCCTCTGCTGTGCTGGACACTGGTCGGCCGGCGTCATCAAAGGTACCTGCCATCACGGAGCTTGTATATATCTTGACTCTCATCCTAAAACCGAAGAAAGACTGAAAATAGTAGTAGTTATTGAAAATAATCCTGAGACAAGCTAATTATTTTTCTATGCCAAAAGTCTCAGGCAGAAGAGTCTCTATCCTATGAAGATTTCTACGTAACATTTGAATTACTTCCATTAGCACTCTCCTGAGGTTTTGGTTTCAAGGTCTTACAGCCTAGGAATTCTTCCCTTCCTTTCTTCCTCCCTTCTTTCCTTCCTTCCGTTGCTCCAGGTCTAGCAGTCCCTTTGTTCTTCAGTCAAAATAACCTTCCTTCATCATTAAAGAAAAATCCGCTTCTGTAAAATTAACTTATCTTTGGCTCAATACTCTTGCTTTTCAGTATGATAGAAGTAATACAAGGTGGTAAAGAAAATTTGGAAAAATAAAAAATCATAAATAAAAAATAAAGATCATTATAACCTAACCACGTAAGAAAATGACTAAAATCTTTCTATGTATTTAGGGCATTTTGTTTGTGCACATTTATATGTCTGTGTTTTGTAAAATAATAATCCTAATACACATTTTATATCTTGTTTTTCATATAATGTGAATTTTTCTTATCAAAAATTATGATTTGTGTGTCTGTGTGTGCACGCACGCATATGTGTTTGTGAGCACATGCCTTTTGCCCCCAGATTTTGGTAGCATAATTGTGCCACTTCTGTAAAAAACAATTGATAGGTTTCTCTTTTTTTTTATCTGCTCTTCCGCAGTTTGGAAGGCTTAGGTAGTATTATTTTCTTATAATGTTAAAAGAGCTTAGCCATAAAACTGCTGACAATGGTATACCTTAAAAGATGAAACTTTTTAAAAACTTTTAATTTCTTCAATAGTTATTGATATTTCTGGATACCTACTTCTTGAGTTAATAACTTGTTTTTCTAATGTCACCAACTGAACAATTTATGTTCCTTCCATATTCTCTAAAAAGACTGTTTCTACCTCTCATCCTAGCTTTGGTCTTATTTCATACATTTTTGTATGTATTTTTTTCTTGAATTCAGCACTATCTAATAATGTTGTAATTCCTGTTTTCTTTTTGTTTTCATTGACATACTTTTTGGTATATTTTGCCCATTCATTTTGCTTTTAACATCTCTTTGATTCTTTATTTTAAATGTAGATAAAATTTCTTAATGACCTTTTGAGTCTTTTTCTTTGTAGGTTCATTTATTCCATCTATAACTATTTTCATAAGCTATATATTTAGTCTTATTGTTTGTAATTTTATATCTATTTTTATAACTGATTGGTAAATATGTGACATACTCGATGCAGATCTTCCCTGTTGTTCTGAAAGTAGGCATCACTAATAATCCATAATCCAGTCTTTTCTGCTGAGCTGAAATTCAGCCTCAGAATCTTTATTAGTTCAACATTACTAATAGCTAATACTAATCAATGAGAATTGGGACACAAGTTTTAATCTATTTGTCATCCTACTGATGTATTAATAAAGACAGAGTATAACTTCACATTTAAGTAGGCCTGATTTTGAACTGCATCATAAATTGTTATCTCAGAGACTTAAGTGAGGATTAAAGGAGATAATGTAAAACACTTAGCATAGTTCCTGGCACTCAATATTTGGTAGTATTACTAATATGATTAATTTTCAATGTTTTTTTTTTTTTTTTTTGCCAAGTAGACTCTATTTTCTTTGATTGCCTCTTTTCCTCTGGTAATTTAGAACTCATATAACAAATACTATGTTTTTAAATTTAATTAGTAGTAACATCAAAAATTCAAACATATTTCAAACACCAAGAATTAAACAAGTACCTATTAACTCCCCAATTAATCAGTATTTGTTGACAATTTCATTTTCTTCTGTCATTCAGCTTTCTATGATATAATCTAGGATTTTAGATCTAGCAATTTTGTGTGTGTGTGTTTCTTCTCTTTTAAAAATATTCATGATATTTATTATATTTATATCATGTTTGTATATTTTACAATTCTTTAGACTTTGCCTTACCTGTCCTTTTAAGCAAGACTTCCTAATTCAGTACGCTGGTGTACATCTTTGACATTTCTTTTTCAGGAAGAATATATGGATGCTCTATTTCCTGAGGCCTTTCTTATCTGAAGTGTTGCTTCATATGACAACTTGAAAGGCACACAATTCGTGAGTTGCAAAATTTCTACTTTAAAATACAACTATGCACCTCCACTATCTTCTGGCATCTAATATGAGGATGCTTTTTGAGAGGTGAGTGAGCAAGGAAAACATTCTCTATGGACCCATGGTCTGACCATTGTATTTTGAAAGATAAAATTCGCACTGCTTCCTCTAGCATCTTTTCATATCATTTTCTTAAAAACTGTCATATCAAAATACTACCTTAAAAATTGTTGAAAAATATCCTTTAGAGTAATATGTTCAGAGGGCACAACCTAATGATAACTGTTTCTATTCCCCCTCCCTACAAGCTGTGTTTCTGTCCAGGGGAAGGAAAACAGGCCATTGTGCCTGGAGCTTCGTGGCATGGAGTAATCAGGGGTTTGGTAATGCAGGGACTTGGAATGAAGCAAGTTAGAATCTTAATCCAATTAAATATTTCTGAAACAGAACATTTATATGAATCTATATAAAGATTGTGTTGTTTAAACACACATATCTTCTTTGTCTACATAGATACTTAGTAGATATTCCTGAGACAAAAAGGAGGGCAGATCCGATTTTGAATAGCAAATGTGCATGCAATGTCCTGGAAGAGTGCAATGACAAATTTTAATTTAGATCCAGTGCTTACTCATATTTTACAGAAATAGAAGGATAGAAGTTTCCAGGGCTAAGTGAACAATGTCCCATGACCACCTGAGACAATAGATAGGTTTCAAATTTTGTAACGCCAATTTTTTTGGAGACTTTAATTTTTCTACTGATTCAAGTACCACAGTTCTAGTGATAACCAGTCCAAATGTTTTTTTGTTTTTGTTTTTTCCTCTTGTGAAGCTAGCTGGGAGGAAACATTGTCCTTGTTGAGTCCACTGGTTGATTGGCAGGGATTACATCAAATGTTCAGACAGTAAGAAGAAATAGTGCTTTTACAAGGCAGCCCATTTCCTCACATTTCGTAGTTACCAAGCTGAAGAACTAAAGTTTCCATCAAGAATCACGCTCAGGCCGGGCGCGGTGGCTCAAGCCTGTAATCCCAGCACTTTCGGAGGCCGAGGCGGGCGGATCACAAGGTCAGGAGATTGAGACCATCCTGGCTAACACGGTGAAACCCTGTCTCTACTAAAAATACAAAAATTAGCGGGGCGTGGTGGCGGGCGCCTGTAGTCCCAGCTGCTGGGGAGGCTGAGGCAGGAGAATGGCGTGAACCCGGGAAGCAGAGCTTGCAGTGAGCTGAGGTCGCGCCACTGTACTCCATCCCGAGTGACAGAGCGAGACTCCTCAAAAAAAGAAAAAAAAAGAAAAAAAAAAAAGGAATCACGCTTGTGTTTCTCTTCCTAGCTGCATTCTGGGGGACAGATGTGGGATTCCTGGCTCCATCAGAGTCAGAAGGCATTCTCAGGGAGACCAGTCGTTTGTTGGCTATTCTCTATTTGTCCTTCCTTGCCCCTGTTACCTTCTATTCTGATCATTCTCTGCCCTGCCTGTGCTCCAGGCTTTCTCTTGTGTTCCATCAATGGGAGGCACCGGTAGGAGTAGGAGATTGAAGGGCAGAAGAAAGAACATGGATTATTTATTGACCACTCCCTCCTTCAGGGCACTTTTTGAAAATGGCTGCCGTCCTTTATTGTGAGAGCTCTTTTTGAGAGGTCTCTCTTCTCAGGCTCCAACTTTCACAGGCTCCAGTAGTCGGCTCCCTCTGCTTTTTTAGGCCTGGGGTGACAAAGACTTTCTGCTCTTATTAACCTTGAGGTGCTTCCACATTTCTTGTTGGTTCCTTGAATCCCACCCACTTCAGTAAATAGCCCCTTTCTAAAACTCTCTTCAGTTAAACCCTTTTGGATATGCTCTTTCTTGCCTGAATGATACTCATAGTACAATAACCAGACAACTTAGTATTCACTTAAAATTGTATCTTTTCATTTTAATTCCAATTAATCTCCTTTTTAATAAAAAGGAAGTTTTTGTTTTTAGGGACATAAACCACCCAAGCTTAAAAGAAAGATGTGCAGAGGACTGAGACACTGCTTTCCATTCTGTCAAGTTTAGTCACTTTCATTTCTGACCTGTTTACTGAATTTTTTTTTTTTTTTTTTTTTTTTGAGACAGTGTCTTGCTCTGTTGCTCAGGCTGGATTGCAGTGGCATGATCGCAGCTTACTGCGTAGCCATGACCTCCTGGGCTCAAGCAATCCTCCTGCCTCAGCCTCCTGAGAAGCTGGGACTACAGGTGTGCACCATCCCATTGGACTAATTTTTTATTTTTTTGTAGAGATGGGGTATTGCCATGTTGCCCAGGCTGGTCTTGAACTCCTGGGCGTCAGTGATCCTCCTGCCTTGACCTCCCAAAGAGCTGGGATTATAGGCATGAGCCACCATGTCTGGTCTTCACTTACATTTTGATGATTCTCTAAAGAATATCTTCCATGATGTCACTCTTTTTTGTTTGCATCCCCAATATTACTTTTTACTGATTCCAACCCATTTTAAATTTTGATAAAATTATTTGATGTAGTCTCACTTATTCATGTAACAATCATTTACTGATTGATTGGCTGCTCTGTGCCAGGCACTGCATGGACAACGGGGAATACTGAAAGACACAGCCCAGCCATTGAGGAGCTTCTCCAGTGGACAAAATCCAAATAAGGATAAAATAGATGGTAATGGAAAACACTAGGAGTACTTTTGAATTGTATTTCATAGTAATAAGAAATACTCCAGAACACCTTCCTCAACATATGTGTTTTAGACATACATAATTCATAAGGCATACTGCCTAAGCATTGAAATAAAATAAATAATCTTCAAGCTGGGTGACCATCCACTTTCTAGAAGAAAGCTTGCTATATTTATTTGTTTATCCCACAAACAAACATTTTTCTGTTGGGTGCTTACTGTGTGTTAGGCAATGTGCTAGATAAGGGGATACAATGGAGACTAAGACTGTGCCTCTGCTCTTTCAAAGTTTATAGGCTAATGTTCTGAGAATGAACTCTGAGCATGTGTAGTAGTAGCCCTTATAAAGATGAAAACTGCCACAACAAGAGTTTTGGGGCACATTTAAAACTAAGTCCCTTTAGGGATCCAGAAGCACTGACTCCTCCTTTACAGCATGGTGTCACCGACATGTCAAAAACTGTTTTGATTCAAATGCTAAAAACTATTCAGAAGAGAAATTCTGAATAACTACTGCAGGAAAAATATAAAATTAAACAGTTGTATCCATCTTTGTGATATTCATGACAGCAAAGGGAAGCATACTACAGAAAGGAAATAGTAAAATGCAAACAGAAATATAGTGGGAAAACTTACTTCTATCTAAATAGTACCAGATTAATTATGATAATTTTAAAAGTTATCAGTGACACTTCTTAGAACATAAGGTTACACACCCAAAGTTAAAGCATGATTATGGTCACTAGGTGACTTTTTACCAATGAACTCTTCAAAAGGAGTTATGCAGTTGGCCTAATTTTAAAAAGCAATTTTAATATCTTTAGTCACACAAAGTATATTTCATTACTTTATGTGATGTTATGATTCTTTTTTAAAGAACTTTGCTTTTACAAAAAGAAAGCCCAAAGATGCATACACATAGTCACAGATTTTTAGATGGGATTCGTTTTCCTTTTTTCTTGGTAAAACATGTTTTTGCCAAGTTTACAACCCACTTGAACTTCTGTCTGTTCTTTGATTTTAGAATCAACTTGGAATCCTTTTAACACTGGAAAAATCATAGAGTTAGTCATAAAGTTTTTTTAAAAGTCATAGCAAAGTTTACTGAAGATATTTATTATCACCAAATTATCTGTAAATAAAAACCCTTCTTACTAACATTAGGTGTACCTGTATCTGAAATACAATGTTTCAATTTTAGATGAGATCACTTTATTTTAAGCATTTATAAAATAGCTTTATAAAGAAAAAATTTAAAAAAAAAGACATTCTAAGGAAAGCTTATTCTAATTCTTTAACTGTTTTTTTTTTAATTATACTTTAAGTTTAGGGTACATGTGCACAATGTGCAGGTTAGGTACATATGTATACATGTGACATGTTGGTGCGCTGCACCCACTAACTCGTCATCTAGCATTAGGTATATCTCCCAGTGCTATCCCTCCCCCCTCCTCCCACCCCACAACAGTCCCCAGAGTGTGATGTTCCCTCTCCTGTGTCCATGTGTTCCCATTGTTCAATTCCCACCTATGAGTGAGAATATGTGGTGTCTGGTTTTTTGTTCTTGCAATAGTTTATTGAGAATGATGATTTCCAATTTCATCCATGTCCCTACAAAGGACATGAACTCATCATTTTTTATGGCTGCATAGTATTCCATGGTGTATATGTGCCACATTTTCTTAATCCAGTCTATCATTGTTGGACATTTGGGTTGGTTCCAAGTCTTTGCTATTGTGAATAGTGCCGCAATAAACATATGAGTGCATGTGTCTTTATAGCAGCATGATTTATATCCTTTGGGTATATACCCAGTAATGGGATGGCTGGGTCAAATGGTATTTGTAATTCTAGATCCCTGAGGAATCGCCACACTGACTTCCACAATGGTTGAACTAGTTTACAGTCCCACCAACAATGTAAAAGTGTTCCTATTTCTCCACATCCTCTCCAGCACCTGTTGTTTCCCGACTTCTTAATGATTGCCATTCTAACTGGTGTGAGATGATATCTCATTGTGGTTTTGATTTGCATTTCTCTGATGGCCAGTGATGATGAGCATTTTTTCATGTGTTTTTTGACTGCATAAATGTCTTCTTTTGAGAAGTGTCTATTCATGTCCTTTGCCCACTTTTTGATGGGGTTGTTTGTTTTTTTCTTGTAAATTTGTTTGAGTTCATTGTAGATTCTGGATATTAGCCCTTTGTCAGATGAATAGGTTGCGAAAATTTTTTCCCATTTTGTGGGTTGCCTGTTCACTCTGATGGTAGTTTCTTTTGCTGTGCAGAAGCTCTTTAGTTTAATTAGATCCCATTTGTCACTTTTGGCTTTTGTTGCCATTGCTTTTGGTGTTTTAGACATGAAGTCCTTGCCCATGCCTATGTCCTGAATGGTAATGCCTAGGTTTTCTTCTAGGGTTTTTATGGTTTTAGGTCTAACGTTTAAGTCTTTAATCCATCTTGAATTGATCTTTGTATAAGGTGTAAGGAAGGGATCCAGTTTCAGCTTTCTACATATGGCTAGCCAGTTTTCCCAGCACCATTTATTAAATAGGGAATCCCTTCCCCATTGCTTGTTTTTCTCAGGTTTGTCAAAGATCAGATAGTTGTAGATATGTGGCGTTATTTCTGAGGGCTCTGTTCTGTTCCATTGATCTATATCTCTGTTTTGGTACCAGTACCATGCTGTTTTGGTTACTGTAGCCTTGTAGTATAGTTTGAAGTCAGGTAGCGTGATGCCTCCAGCTGTGTTCTTTTGGCTTAGGATTGCCTTGGTGATGCGGGCTCTTTTTTGGTTCCATATGAACTTTAAAGTAGTTTTTTCCAATTCTGTGAAGAAAGTCATTGGTAGCTTGATGGGGATGGCATTGAATCTATAAATTACCTTGGGCAGTATGGCCATTTTCACGATATTGACTCTTCCTACCCATGAGCATGGAATGTTCTTCCATTTGTTTGTATCCTCTTTTATTTCATTGAGCAGTGGTTTGTAGTTCTCCTTGAAGAGGTCCTTCACATCCCTTGTAAGGTGGATTCCTAGGTATTTTATTCTCTTTGAAGCAATTGTGAATGGGAGTTCACTCATGATTTGGCTCTCTGTTTGTCTGTTATTGGTGTATAAGAATGCTTGTGATTTTTGTACATTGATTTTGTATCCTGAGACTTTGCTGAAGTTGCTTATCAGCTTAAGGAGATTTTGGGCTGAGACAATGGGGTTTTCTACATATAAAATCATATCATCTGCAAACAGGGACAATTTGACTTGCTCTTTTCCTAATTGAATACCCTTTATTTCCTTCTCCTGCCTAATTGCCCTGGCCAGAACTTCCAACACTATGTTGAATAGGCGTGGTGATAGAGGTTTCAAAGTTTTCCTTTGAAAACTGTCTTGTGCCAGTTTTCAAAGGGAATGCTTCCAGTTTTTCCCCATTCAGTATGATATTGGCTGTGGGTTTGTCATAGATAGCTCTTATTATTTTGAGATACGTCCCATCAATACCTAATTTATTGAGAGTTTTTAGTATGAAGGGTTGTTGAATTTTGTCAAAGGCCTTTTCTGCATCTATTGAGATAATCGTGTCATTTTTGTCTTTGGTTCTGTTTATGTGCTTGATTACATTTATTGATTTGCGTATATTGAACCAGCCTTGCATCCCAGGGATGAAGCCCACTTGATCATGGTGGATAAGCTTTTTGATGTGCTGCTGGATTCGGTTTGCCAGTGTTTTATTGAGGATTTTTGCATCAATGTTCATCAAGGATATTGGTCTAAAATTCTCTTTTTTGGTTGTGTCTCTGCCCGGCTTTGGTATCAGGATGATGCTGGCCTCAGAAAATGAGTTAGGGAGGATTCCCTCTTTTTCTATTGATTGGAATAGTTTCAGAAGGAATGGTACCAGTTCCTCCTTGTACCTCTGGTAGAATTCGGCTGTGAATCCATCTGGTCCTGGACTCTTTTTGGTTGGTAAGCTACTGATTATTGCCACAATTTCAGATCCTGTTATTGGCCTATTCAGAGATTCAACTTCTTCCTGGTTTAGTCTTGGGAGGGTGTATGTGTTGAGGAATTTATCCATTTCTTCTAGACTTTCTAGTTTATTGGCGTAGATGTTTGTAGTATTCTCTGATGCTAGTTTGTATTTCTGTGGGATTGGTGGTGATATCCCCTTTATCATTTTTTATTGTGTCTATTTGAGTCTTCTCTTTTCTTCTTTATTAGTCTTGCTAGCGGTCTATCAATTTTGTTGATCATTTCAAAAAACCAGCTCCTGGATTCATTAATTTTTTGAAGGGTTTTTTGTGTCTCTATTTCCTTCAGTTCTGCTCTGATTTTAGTTATTTCTTGCCTTCTGTTAGCTTTTGAATGTGTTTGCTCTTGATTTTCTAGTTCTTTTAATTGTGATGTTAGGGTGTCAATTTTGGATCTTTCCTGCTTTCTCTTGTGGGCATTTAGTGCTATAAATTTCCCTCTACACAGTGCTTTGAATGTGTCCCAGAGATTCTGGTATGTTGTGTCTTTATTCTCGTTGGTTTCAAAGAACATCTTTATTTCTGCCTTCATTTCGTTATGTACCCAGTAGTCATTCAGGAGTAGGTTGTTCAGTTTCCATGTAGTTGAGCAGTTTTGAGTGAGTTTCTTAATCCTGAGTTCTAGTTTGATTGCACTGTGGTCTGAGAGATAGTTTGTTATGATTTCTGTTCTTTTACATTTGCTGAGGAGAGCTTTACTTCCAACTATCTGGTCAATTTTTGAATAGGTGTGGTGTGGTGCTGAAAAAAAAATGTATATTCTGTTGATTTGGGGTGGAGAGTTCTGTAGATGCCTATTAGGTCCGCTTGGTGCAGAGCTGAGGTCAATTCCTGGGTATCCTTGTTGACTTTCTCTCTCGTTGATCTGTCTAATGTTGACAGTGGGGTGTTAAAGTCTCCCATTATTAATGTGTGGGAGTCTAAGTCTCTTTGTAGGTCACTCAGGACTTGCTTTATGAATCTGGGTGCTCCTGTATTGGGTGCATATATATTTAGGATAGTTAGCTCTTCTTGTTGAATTGATCCCTTTACCATTATGTAATGGCCTTCTTTGTCTCTTTTGATCTTTGTTGGTTTAAAGTCTGTTTTATCAGAGACTAGGATTGCAACCCCTGCCTTTTTTTGTTTTCCATTGGCTTGGTAGATCTTCCTCCATCCTTTTATTTTGAGCCTATGTGTCTCTGCATGTGAGATGGGTTTCCTGAATACAACACACTGATGGGTCTTGACTCTTTATCCAATTTGCCAGTCTGTGTCTTTTAATTGGAGCATTTAGTCCATTTACATTTAAAGTTAATATTGTTATGTGTGAATTTGATCCTGTCATTATGATGTTAGCTGGTTATTTTGCTCGTTAGTTGATGCAGTTTATTGCTAGTCTCGATGGTCTTTACATTTTGGCATGATTTTGCAGTGTCTGGTACCAGTTGTTCCTTTCCATGTTTAGTGCTTCCTTCAGGAGCTCTTTTAGGGCAGGCCTGGTGGTGACAAAATCTCTCAGCATTTGCTTGTCTGCAAAGTATTTTATTTCTCCTTCACTTATGAAGCTTAGTTTGGCTGGATATGAAATTCTGGGTTGAAAATTCTTTTCTTTAAGAATGTTGAATATTGGCCCCCACTCTCTTCTGGCTTGTAGGGTTTCTGCCGAGAGATCCGCTGTTAGTCTGATGGGCTTCCCTTTGAGGTAACCCGACCTTTCTCTCTGGCTGCCCTTAACATTTTTTCCTTCATTTCAACTTTGGTGAATCTGACAATTATGTGTCTTGGAGTTGCTCTTCTCGAGGAGTATCTTTGTGGCATTCTCTGCATTTCCTGAATCTGAACGTTGGCCTGCCTTGCTAGATTGGGGAAGTTCTCCTGGATAATATCCTGCAGATTGTTTTCCAGTTTGGTTCCATTCTCCCCATCACTTTCAGGTACACCAATCAGACGTAGATTTGGTCTTTTCACATAGTCCCATATTTCTTGGAGGCTTTGCTCATTTCTTTTTATTCTTTTTTCTCTAAACTTCCCTTCTTGCTTCATTTCATTCATTTCATCTTCCATCACTGATACCCTTTCTTCCAGTTGATCGCATTGGCTCCTGAGGCTTCTGCATTCTTCACATAGTTCTTGAGCCTTGGCTTTCAGCTCCATCAGCTCCTTTAAGCACTTCTCTGTATTGGTTATTCTAGTTATACATTCGTCTAAATTTTTTTCAAAGTTTTTAACTTCTTTGCCTTTGGTTTGAATTTCCTCCTGTAGCTTGTAGTTTGATCGTCTGATGTCTTCTTCTCTCGCCTCCTCAAAGTCATTCTCCATCCAGCTTTGTTCCATTGCTGGTGAGGAACTGCGTTCCTTTGGAGGAGGAGAGGTGCTCTGCTTTTTAGAGTTTCCAGTTTTTCTGTTCTGTTTTTTCCCCATCTTTGTGGTTTTATCTACTTTTGGTCTTTGATGATGGTGATGTACAGATGGGTTTTTGGTGTGGATGTCCTTTCTGTTTGTTAGTTTTCCTTCTAACAGACAGGACCCTCAGCTGCAGGTCTGTTGGAGTTTGCTAGAGGTCCACTCCAGACCCTGTTTGCCTGGGTATCAGCAGTGGTGTCTGCAGAACAGGTATTTTTCGTGAATCTCGAATGCTGCTGTCTGATCGTTCCTCTGGAAGTTTTGTCTCAGAGGAGTACCCGGCCGTGTGAGGTGTCAATCTGCCCCTACTGGGGGGTGCCTCCCAGTTAGGCTGCTCAGGGGTCAGGGGTCAGGGACCCACTTGAGGAGGCAGTCTGCCCGTTCTCAGATCTCCAGCTGCATGCTGGGAGAACCACTGCTCTCTTCAAAGCTGTCAGACAGGGACATTTAAGTCTGAAGAGGTTACTGCTGTCTTTTTGTTTGTCTGTGCCCTGCCCCCAGAGGTGGAGCCTGCAGAGGCAGGCAGGCCTCCTTGAGCTGTGGTGGGCTCCACCCAGTTGGAGCTTCCCGGCTGCTTTGTTTACCTAATCAAGCCTGGGTAATGGCGGGCACCCCTCCCCCAGCCTCGCTGCCACCTTGCAGTTTGATCTCAGACTGCTGTGCTAGCAATCAGCGAGACTCCGTGGGCGTAGGACCCGCCAAGCCAGGTGCGGGATATAGTCTCCTGGTGCGCCGTTTTTTAAGCCCGTCGGAAAAGCGCAGTATTTGGGTGGGAGTGACCCGATTTTCCAGGTGCCATCTGTCACCCCTTTCTTTGACTAGGAAAGGGAACTCCCTGACCCCTTGCGCTTCCCGAGGGAGGCAATGCCTCGCGCTGCTTCAGCTTGTGCATGGTGCGCTGCACCCACTGACCTGCGCCCACTGTCTGGCACTCCCTAGTGAGATGGAACTGGTACCTCAGATGGAAATGCAGAAATCACCCGTCTTCTGCGTGGCTCACGCTGGGGGCTGTAGACTGGAGCTGTTCCTATTCGGCCATCTTGGCTCCTCCCCCTTCTTTAACTGTTAAAAGAACACTCTTTACAAACTTACTTGACCATTGATTTCCTCAGCATAGATGAATGAGGTAAATTTTGGAGATTGAAAATAAATCAGATGTTATTCTTATCAAAATGCTATGATACAGTAACTTTACCTGCTTTAAACTTAGCTCTACACATACAGTTGAAACAATAAGTTAGGAACATGTTACATAGAAAACTAATTAATGGTAAAATAATAAGAATTGAAAATTCAACACTGAGAGTTTGGAGTCTGGATTTGTCACCAATCATTGTTGGCACCTAGAATAAATCACTAACTTTATGGACCTTTCTTTTCTCATATGTAAATTATGAGAGTTTACCCAGAAATCTAGTCATTATGCCTTCCATTTTACTATGACAAAAATGTGATCACCTGAAAATAGACATAGAAAGGACACCTTGCCTGTACTTACAAAGAAAAGCAAGAGCAGCTAAAACTGCTTTTGAAAGACTAATGAAATGTTGTGACTAATATACACAGATTAAAGGTAATGTCACCATGCTTTACAAATTGAAAGAAGACAAAGGTCAGTATGGAATCAGGGAAGAGAGCAGAGAGGGATTTCCTCTCTCAGACACAATGTAAGGGGATGAAGAATCAGGTCTTCCACAGTGAATCCTAGAATGCTTTGAGTCACCTACTCTCTCGACACATATGATAAACCATTTTATCCACTTTGGCTTCTTATAACATGCAATGTGCACAACAAAGCATATTTTATAATAAAGTGATAATCACAACTTATATTTGCGGCATATAATTTGGGCATGGCATGCCATTTGGAGTCAGAGGAACCTGGGTTTCATCCTGATGCCAACACTTGCCAGCTGGGTGAACTTGAGCAAGTTGCTTAGCTTTTAAGAGCCTTGGTTTCCTCACTCATAAGCTAAAAATAATTATTGGTAAGCCCTAATACTCAACTATAATTATGGGTTTCTACATTGTGACCCCATTAATGGAGGGGAGTTTATGAAATTTGCTTTTTGGCCTTTCTGGACTCCCTTTTGGTTTCAAAGCCTTTCCTAACATCATCTCTACCTTTTCTGAGAAGAAGGGGCCCCTGGAGGCATTTTTTCTTGGGATTAGGCTTTGGATCAGGAAAGAAATATTTCCCTTCTTGACCAAAAGATTCATGAAACTTGGGTGCCAAGAGTTGGCAACAGCCAGATGCCTCTTCTTCAATAGCCTAATTAGTAGTGGTGTGTGTTAGCAGGAAAGGACAGGGGAGGAACCTCCCAAAGAACAATGTGAATTTGCCCCCTTTGGATTTTCTCATGAACAGTCCTAATTACTTTTTATGGGGTATTGGTTGTATTGTTTAGGGAGAAGTGAGGGGGCAGAAATTGGGTGGTGGCTGGGGAAGACAGACATACATGAAGTGAAAAGGCTGATCTTAAGTTTGGGGAAATGGTCACACCTTTGATCTGGGTGACTTAGTCATAGTCCTTGCTCCTATCACAATGATGGGCACCAAGAGGGCTTTAAGGTTCCCTAAAAGTCTGTGAACCTGATAGGCTTCTGTCATCTCTTGGCTTCTTTAGGATCCCATGGATGCCACAACTACTGGAAACGCTCTGACAGCATAAACAGTTTATCTAATGACAATCAATATGTGTGCTTCTAAAATGCATTTCCTACCATTTTCTTTACTACAAATAGAAAAGGGACTTTATCTTCTTTTCCTGCAGTGATTTGTAGCGTTAGAAGTAAATAAAAGTAACTCTCTTCTTAATAGGTCAAATGTTTTCTTCTGAAACTTAAATAGTCTCCAAATATTTTATCTTCATTTTCATTTTATCTTTATTATCTTCAATTTCAACCAAACTCATTGAACTCATTTTAGGTAGAGTATTATCCTTAAAGTACTGTGGGGGTCGGAGGGAGCACTAATATAAATCAGAAAATGACAAGAGTATCGTGGGTTTTTTTTTCCTTTAAAAGATGGAGCATTAAATCATTTAGAAGGTAAAAGTTGTCTCTAAAGAGCTGCTGTTAATGGAAGAGACTAATCAGGATGTATTTTCTCTTAAATAATTTTGTCTGAACTCTTATCTCCACTCACAATGAAGTTGTTTTCTGTTTTTTACAAAAAGCAGAATAGTTTTGATTTTTATACTAATTCACATTTTCTTTTAATTAAACTGTTGGGGAGATTTGGTTATTATTTCAATGACTCTCTTGCCTACCTCAGAAATGCTTAATACTACATAGAGGTATGATACCTTTGGCAATCTAAAATTTAACACTTATTCTTTAATAGCTTATCAATGAAATACTTGTTGAGAAACCCATTTATATTAATCATCCCCTTTGCAAAGTTAAATTGTTGTTATCTCCATTCTAATTAGAACAGTGTCTCAAACCTATTGAGTTTATAGAAGAAATAATAGGATCTTCCCTTCTCCAGGCTTTTCTTCCTGAAAGATGGCAAATGCTTCAAAAACTGAACAAGTTGATAAATTATACCGGGACGAGCTCACCCACCACTGAAGTGCAACCATCTTTGGGGTAGCTCCCTACAGCTGTTTACCACCATGCTGTGGTGCCTAGGAGCAGTCTGTCATAAAGAAAAGAAGAATGCACTTGGAATATAAGCAACAGGCAATTTGCAGAAGAGAAGATATAATTATCTAGATTGGAATATGACCAGGACAACCATACCATTCCCACAAACCACCAAGAAGGCAAAAAGTAAGCAAGAGAGGTTTGGGTATCTGGTATCTGTTAAGAGAGGTTTGGATATCTGATAATTGTTTGAATCACAATCTAATGTTTTTATGCTACCAAAAAATGAAATTTAGAAACCTTTTTGGTTTTGTCTTTTCTTGTCTCATTCACCTGTACATAATCCTTATGCTGCTTCCTACTTTGGCCACAGAGGAAATCAGGAAAAGGCCATTGAAAACTACTCTTTAAGCTATCTGGGGAATTTACCTTATGATCTAAGATACTATTTATTTCTAAAGCTGAAATAACATTGTGCCTGTGGAATCAATGAGATGATGAAAAAAATGGACTTTGTCAGTGGGTGGAGGGATGTGTTGATGGGCAGATGACCTCCTTCTCCTCAGGGTCCCACCCCCATACTGTACTTCCTCAGAATACATCTTAATACATCACTTTAACACAAACTCTCCCTGAGGTCCATTTCTGGGAATCCAACCTAAGACAGGTGGTAGGGATGATTCAGAACAAAACTCTAAGACCTGCACATTTAAAAATCTGATTATTGAAATCAATAGGACCCAATATGCATATATTCACTACTAGACCCTGAAGGGATAACCATAAATACAATAATTTTTTAGAGAGAGAAATTAGCAATAACTTACATTTAAATTAATCAAAAAGAGGCACGATTAAAAACCATGGTCAATTTAAGATGTTATTAATATATTAACAAATCATAATTCTTGAAAACTGTAAGAATTCCAATAATTTATATTTTTGCATGTACAGTAGGAACCTTGCAACATTGTCATAGCATTGCATAGCAGCTAGACCTTTTAACAGAAAACGGAATTAGAATTCTCAGTAAACTCGGCTGGGTGCGGTGGCTCACACCTGTAATCCCAGCACTTTGGGAGGCTGAGGCGGGCAGATCAGGAGGTCAGGAGAGCGAGACCACAGTGAAACCCCGTCTCTACCAAAAATACAAAAAAAATTAGCCAGGCGTGGTGGCAGGCCCCTGTAGTCCCAGGTACTCGGGAGGCTGAGGCAGGAGATTGGCGTGAACCCAGGAGGCAGAGCTTGCAGTGAGCCAAGATTGCACCACTGCACTCCAGCCTGGGCAACAGAGCGAGACTCTGTCTCAGAAAAAAAAAAAAAAAAAGAATTCTCAGTAAACTCTAACACGCTACTGGTATTAGCCTTCAATTGGTCACTTAGTATGTTATTAGTAATGATCTTGGTCATGTCTAAGAATGAAAGCCTATGTAATTACACAACCATTGTTCATAAGACTCAAAGAATCTCCATTTTAAAAAATTACTTAATGTCTTATTTTGCTTAAGAGAGTACCAAGGACTATACATTGATAATCACTCACATCTTCACATCTTTGTCCACAGAAATAGCATAAGAGAATTTAAAAATGACTTCAAGATGCGTCCATAGTACTAATAACTAACTGCCATTTACTGCTTGCCATTATTGTTCATGGTATTCTGAACACATTGTCTATAATCCTTACAACTGCCAAGCTGGGTAGATTTTATTACGCCCATCATGAAGATGGGAACATTGAGGTATGAGGGCCTCCAATAACTTACCGTAGATTACACAAGTAATACTTATGACCTGATCCTATCTTCATGTTTTTTCCATTAAAGCATGCATGTCAAATCTTTGATTTTTCACTAGTCAGCCCTATATCCATGTCCAAAGACTAAATGGGAAAATATCTACAGTATGTGTTCAGCAAACCTAGATCACCCTTGTTTCTAAGGACTAAGTTCTGGATTATATAACTTTTAGAATTTTGCTAATTTCTATACACTTTCTAGAAGTCGCCTTTATTCTCTTTAAGAAAATTACTATAAAATTAAACTGAAACTAAATTACATTCTCAAGGCTTCAGCCTATAGCTTAAAAATAAATTAATCCCTTGGCTAATGGTGATGGAAAACACTAGCAATGGACCCTCAGTGAGGTGTGGTGTTCATTCCCGCCATACTCCAAAGGACACTCTAGGGTTCCTTGTGATAAAAAATATAAATGGGGCCCCCGAATCAGGAGTTTTCCTCAGTGGCTGTTTCTGAAGTAATTTCAAAAAAATGATCCATGACTGTTCTCAAACCAGATGACAATGATGTTCAATGCTCTCTCCTCAGAGAACCTTTCCTGGCCACCCACTATAATGCAGCTCACTGTGCCACAACGCTCTACACTCTACTAACCCATTTTGTTTTTTATAACCTTTAAAAACGTGAAATTATCTCAGTTAATCAATTAATTCCATAATGTTTACTGAGCATCCATACGTACCAGGAACTGTTCTAAGGATCTGGTATATGGTATTAAATACAACAGGAGAAAATTACTGCATTCATGGAGTATATATACCTATTAAGTGTCTCTCATATCTGCCTTTTGTAGAGGCTTTTTCTGTCTTACTTCAAGCCCTGGACACATAATGGGTGCTCAATAAATATTTGTTTAATTACTAGAATAAGTGTAAATCTGAAACTCTGCATGGAGAGTTTTTTTAACAAGTTATTGAGCTAAAGTTGAGCCTCGCCCTCACTTTTACTCCCATAATCTCACCAAAGTAAAAGGAACTAGATCTAGCCTTCCCCTGTAAAGCATAATTTTATTGGAAAGCATTTATGAAGTTACTTCTTCACCTGCCCTAGATACACAAGAAGATGCACAAGAAGGTATTGGATACTGTATAGGTATTTTAAGCATTGGATGGTTTAGACTAAATGACAATCTAAGACTCCGTAATATCTGGGGTAAAGAACATTGTGTGGTAGAGGGAAGGAGTTCTTAAACTTTGATATACCTGACCTGCATTCAACTCCCAACCCTGGTGCCTACCAGCTGGTTGTTCATGGCAAGTCACTTTACTCCTCTGAGCCAAAGTTCAGCATCTGAAAAATGTGAACAATCCTAACTGCTTAAGGTACTTCACAGGGAATATGGAATATTTCCATAAGGAACTTCCCTCCCCCTACATATGCATTAGCAAATATTCAAGCTCTCATAACATAGTATTCAAGCAAGAATAACACAAATGTAACAATGTCATTATGCTGTGCAGAGGGCAAAAAGAATTCAAAGGGAGATCTGCATTGCTGAGAAGCCACCTTGCAAATTCAGAAAGGCCCAGAGTGCTGTTGGTTATTTAACATAAATATAGACGTAGCCACTGGATTTGGCTTTAGATAGAAACAAAACAAACTGCTGATCATGTGTGAATTTAAAAGAAAAATGGCCTTAAACAAGAATGTCTTTCTTTCTGATTTGTCTTCCTACCTGATATTCTACTAGCAGAAAAATTGAAATTCATTGTTACTGACTAACAAACAGAGCAAATATAGACTCTAAAATGGTAGAATGAAAATAAATATTTTTCTTTGCAAAAATCCCATAGAAACTACAGTAAGCAAATTGGTTTTATTAAAAAGACAAAGAGAGGGAAGTACTTCTGAGGTAGTGGAAATAGAACCTCCGAAACCCCATTCCTCCATAAAAACAACAAGAACGCTGGCAAAACCTGTCAAAATTAACTTTTTCAAAACCCTAGAAATTAACCAAAGGCTTTCAATAATCTGAGGAGCATTTATACGAGAAAAAAAGAGTTGACTATCAATAAGAACAGTGAACTTCGTGGCACTTTAACTTACCCTATTTCCATTACCCTCTCCCCAGCTCTTCATTAGCCTTAAAACAATCAGCCTTGGAATAGTGGTAGCTGTGAAAAACAGCATCCTATCGGTTAAAGGAAGCAGAAAGGGTGTGGACTCTCAAACAAAAAGTCCCATTTCTGGAGAATTATCACTATTAGGCCTATCTGGAAGCTCTCTGGCAAAGCCCATTCAGTAGGCCTGTCTTTATTTGACCTAGTTCAGAGATTCCTAAGTCAGGAAATCCATACCAGCAGGGTGTATGTTTAAAACAATGGTAATTGTTTAATATTATAGCTGCCTGAGACAGTGATACCAACTGGGGCAAAATAATAAACTTGGCTAATAGTGGACTTTGAAAAACTCTGACATATTCGTGTGGATCTACAAAAGGCTGGCTATGCACATGTGCAGGGCTGTGTTCATGCCCAAGAAAGATCTGAGAAGACCCTAATTTCTCACATCTGAAAGACCTCGAGGCTGCACAAACAAGAAGGGAAGACTAACACTGAGTTGTAAATAGGTGGAGCATTGAAGGCATGCTCCAACAAAAACACAGAGACCTTCAGAAAAGGGTGGTAGACATATTTGTTCAAGTCACTTAAAAAAATCTCTGTCCAGTCATTAACTAGGCTATTCAAGTAGGAACTTCAGTGTTGTACTTGACAAAATATATAGGTTTTATAAAGTTAGTCCAGGAAAGTCTCTTTAAAACAAACAAACCAGAAACAACAACAAAACCTAGGAGTATATCTAAGTTCAAGAGTTTTCATATTATCATATCATTTTAAATGTCCAGTTTACAACAAACCATCACAAGACACACAAAGAAATGAGAAAGAATGACCCACACACACAAAAACAAAACAAAACAAAAGCCAATCAATAAAAACTGTCCTTGAGGAAATGCAAATGTTGTTCTCACTAGACAAAAACAAAAAATTAGTTATTATATATTGTTCAAAATAACTGAAGGAGTGTATGAGAAAGAATGTCTCATCAAATACAGAGTATCATAAAGAGGTAAATATCATAAAAGGACCAAATAAGAGTTTAGAGTTGCAAAATATGGTAATTTAAATAAAACATTCAGTACAGGACCTCAACATCAGATCTGAGATGGCAGAAGAAAAAGAATCAGCAACCTTGAAAATAAGCCAATTAAAATTATCCAGCTGGAAAAACAGAAAAAAAATGAATAAAAATGAACAGACCCTCAGAGACCTGTGAAACACCATCAAATATACCATCACACATAATGGGAGTCCCAGAAAGAGAAGAGAAAAGAAAAAGGCATAAAGAATATTTCAATAAATAATGGCCCCAAACTCCCCAATTTTGATGAGAAACAATGTACAGAACCAAAAAGCTCAACAAACTCCGGAGAGGAAAAACTCAGAGAAATACACACTCAGACACATGATAATAAAACTCAAAAGACAAAGTATCTTGTAAGCAGCAAGATAAAAATGACTCATCACATACAAGGGATATTTTAAAAGATTAACAACTGACTTCTTAGCAGAAACCATGCAACCTGAAGGCTGTAGGATGACATTCAAAGCATTGAAAGGATAAAGGAATGTCAATATCAAGAATTCTATATTCAGCAAAACTGAATATAGAATATAGAATATAGAATTCTATAGAATACAGGATATAAAGAGACAATTTAAGACATTCTCAGATAAACAAAAACAGAATTCATCACTTGAAGAACTGCAATATAAGAAAAACTAATGAAAGTCCTTCAGGTGGGAGTGAAAAAACACTAGACAACAACTCAGATTCAAATGAAGAAATAAACAGCACTCATTAAAATAACTACATAGGTAAATATGAAGATGATAAAAATGTATTTTTGCTTGTAATTCTTTTATTCTCATCTGTTTTAAAAGACAATAAAGCAATAATTATAAAATGGAATTGATATAATCATAATGTATAAAAATGTAATGTGTATGACAATAATACCGCAAAGGAGGGAGGAGGAAATAAAACTATACTGGAGAAAATTTTTAACATGCTATTGAAATTGTTGGTACTAATCCTATCTAGATTTTTTAAGTTAAGATATTGGAATTCCCAGGGCAACACCTAGAAAAGTAACTTAAAAAATATAATAAAAGTAATAACAAGATATTTTAAATGGCATACTAGACAATACCCGTTTAACTCAAAAATGCAGTAATGGTGGAATAGAAGAATAAAAAGACATAAGACATATAAAACATATAATGAAATGACAGACATAAATCCTACCTTATCAATAATTACATTAAATCTAAATAGATTAAACATTCTAATCAAAAGAGATTGGCAGCATGGATAAAAATAAAACATAATCTAACTACATGCGGTCCACAAGAGAAACATTTTAAATTCAAAAAACACATAGGTTCCAAGTAAAATAATGAAAAAGATATATTATCCAAATAGTAACCAAAACGTAGCTGGAATGGCTATATTTTTATATACTATATCATATCATATTACCTATTATATAGACAATAAGATAAAAATTGTTAATAAAGACAAAAACATTTTATAATGATAAAAGAGTCAATCTATTAGGAAGACATAACAATTAAAAACACATGTAGACCTGAAAACAGAGTCCCAATTAAACAAACTGACAGAAATGCAGAGAAAAACAGATAATTCAACAATGGTTGAATACTTTAAAACTCCACTTTCAATAATGGATGAAACAATTAGAAGACCAACAACAAAACAGAAGATTTGAACAATAATAATAAATTGAAATGTTTAATCTATTTAGACTGAATGTAATTATTGATAAGATAGGATTTCTGTTTGCCATTATACTATGTGTTACATGTCATATCTTTTTATGCCTTTACTCCTGCATTACTGCATTTTTTTGAATTAAATAGGTATTTTCTAGTATGTCATTTTAAATAAATCAAGTAGTCCTAATAGACATCTGTAAAAGACACCACCTAAAAAAATAATATCTATGAGAAGAATACTTACATTTCTCAACTGTACATGGAACATTCTCCAAGCAGGATAGACCATATGATAGTCCACAAAATAAGCCTCAATAATTTTAAAGAGTTGAAATCATACAAAATAACATTTCTGACTGCAGCAGAATGAGATTAGAAATCCATAGAAGAAGAAAATTTAGGCAATTCACAAATATGTAGCAATTTTTTAAAACACTCCTAAGTAATGGGTCAAATAAGATATCACAGGGAAATAGAATATACTTCAAGATGAGTGAAAACCAAAACAAAACATATCAAAATGTATGAATGCAGCAAAAGCAGGCTTTGAGGGGAATTTTTAGCTATAAATGTCTATATTTAAAAAGAAATAGAATCTCAAAAATTACCTAACCTCTTACCTTAAACTACACAAACAGCAAACTAAATGCAAAGCAAGCAGAATGAAAAAAAATAATAAAGATTGGAGCAGAGATAAGTAAAATAGACAATGGGAAAACAATACAAAGAATTTTAAAAAAGAAGTTTTTCTTTGAAAAGATCACCAAAACTGACAAATCTTTAGCTAGAATGATAAAGAAAAAAGTCAGAAGATTCAGTTAATAAATTATGAATGAAAGAGAGGATGTAATTACTAATTTTCTAGAAATAAAAGACAATTATACAAATACTGTGAATGACAAATTAGATGACTCTGGTGAGATGGATACATTTCTAGAAAGGTATAAGGTATTGAAACTTATTCTAGCAGAAACAGAAAATTTTAATAGACCTGTAACAAGTAAAGTTATTTAATTAGAAATTTTAAAACAGTCCACAAAGAAAATTTCAGGCCCAGATGGCTTTGCTGATATATTCTACCAAATGTTTAAAGAAACATTAATAATATTTCACAAACTCTTCCAAAAGATATAAGAGAGAGGACACATCCCAACTTATTCTCTGGGGCCAGTATTACTTTGATACCAAATCTAGACAAAGACATTACCAGAAAAATCCTTGTGAATATAGATGTAAAAATCCTAAACAAAATACTAGCAAAACTGAATCTGGAAATATAAAAAATGGATTATATGCCATGATTATGTGGAACCCATCTCAGGAATGCAAGGCTATTTTAACATCTGAAAATCAGTGAATTTAATACACAATGTTAAAAGAATAAAAGAAAAAAACCACATGGCCGCCTCAATTGATGCCAAAAAAGCATTTGACAAAATTTAACACAATGTTATGATATGAACACCCAACAAACTAGGAAGAGAACTGAATATCCTCTACCTATAAAAGACATCTACAAAAAGGCCATCGCTAACATCATACATAATGGTAAAATACTAAAATTTTTCCCCATAAAATTAAGAAGAAAATAAGGATGTCCACTCTCTCCTCTTCTATTTCCAGGATAATAAGGCAAAAAGAAAAAAGAAAAAAAATTCAGAATCAAAGGAAGAAGTAAAACTATCTCTACTTGCAGATAATATGGTCTTGTATATAAAAATCCGCTATAGAATTATTAGAACTAATAAATGAATTCAGCAAAGTCACAGGATATAAGATCAATATACAAAAAATAATTTTATTTCTACATACTAGCAATAAGCAGCCCAAAATTAAATTTACAAGAACAATTTCATTCACAATAACATTAAAAAGAATAAAATATTTAGAATAAACTGAACCAAAGAACTACAAGACTTATACATGTAAAACTACAAAATGCTGCTGAAAGAAATTAAAGAAGACCAAATAAATGGAAAGATATCCCATGTTGTGAATCAGAAGACTTAATGTTGTTAAGATGGCAATAGTCTCCAAGTTGATTTGAAGATAGAATACAATTTCTATCAAAATCTCAGCTACCTTTTTATATGGAAATTGACAAGCTGACCCTAAAATTCTTATGGAAATGCAAAGGACATAAAGTAGTCAAAATAATCATGAAAAAGAAGAACAAAGGTGAAAGATGTATTTCCTTATTTAAAACTTACTACAAAGGTACAATAATGAAGACAGTGTGTTAGTAGTATACAGACAGACATATAAATTAATAGAATAGAACTTAGAGAGATTAGAAATAAGATTGTACATTTAAAGCCAACTGATTTTCAACCAAGGTACTAAGGTAATTCAATGGAGGAACAAATGATGTTGGGATAACTAAATATCATGATAAAACAGAAACTATGCAGTGAGATGAAAACTTTACAGATACATACATAAATATGTGCATGTATACACAGAAACTATCATTGATCTTTTCAAAGAGATAAGAGGAAGCATAAGCATTGCAACCATGACAAAAAAAAATAGGATGCTATGGGAGAAAACATTCTGAGAACATAAACTTCACGAGGTTAAATACATAAAAACAGAAATAAATTTAATTAAAGTGCTGGAAGATAAACTGAGAAAGTCTTCCAAAAATTAGGCTAAAAAATAAAGAAATGAAGAAACAGGGGAGAAAATTTGAGAAAGAGGACTAATTCATGAGTGTCAGTATTCACATTGTAGATTTTTTTGAAAAAGAAAATTTGTGCTTAAAATTATTGACAGATAATTTAAAACTGAAGGGCATGGGGTTGTGATTGAAATGGACCCTGAGAACCCAACCTAATGGATGAAAACAGACCAACACATATTATTATAAAATTTCAGAGCAGTAGAGTCAAAATGAAAATCTATAAGCTTCTGGAGAGAGTAACAGAACAGAGTTCACTGTAGCTTTAGACTTTTCAACAGCACAACACAAGAAGACAATGGAGCAAGGCCTTCAGAATTCTGAAGGAAATAATTTCGGACCAAGAAATTGATGCTGAGCCAACATACTTATCAGGTGGATTAAACATTTTCAGAATGTTTAAACACGAGGTCTCAAAAAGTTTGCCTCCTTTCCTTATTTCTTAGGAAGCTACTCAGACAGTCTGGCATCAAAGCGAAAGCATCAGTCAAGAGAAGGAAGTGGCCCAAAAATGGGAGATCCAGCAAGGATCCAAACAAGAGAATCTCCAAATTAATTTTGCTAAGATATCCTAGAATGACAACTGTACATCAGGCATTAAGAACAACCGTCTTGCAGGTGGGAAAGCACACTGAGGACAGAGTTTTGTTTTCTGATTATACATTCTTTGAATCTAATAAAATTGTTGGAGCATGTTTCAAAAATAGAAAAAAAGGACTATCCAAAGAAAGAAAGACATGAGCTCTAGGAAAGAGAGAATCAAACTCAAGAAAAAGGCAAAGAGAAACCCAAGGATGACAGCTTCATTGCAGTCTTGGAAAACATCTTATCCAGGGAGAAAAATAATAAAAATGACCAAAAGAGTAGATACCAAGAGTAAGGTAAAATTATTAGATTTACTAGATTACCTGAAATAAAAATTTACCTCTTGAAAAAAGTATATTGAGAAGATATTGAAAGGCATAGAAAGAGTTGCCAATATGCACAAAAGAAAATAACCAGAAAGAAAACAATTTCCTTTGCTGGAAATACCTTGGTTCATATATTTTTTTCAACATCTCCATGTAAATTTTCGGTTTCCCCTTCAATTTTCCTGATGAAAACTCCAGTTGATATAATATTTGATATTGATATTTGAAAGAAATAGTCTAATGGACATAAGAATTTTTTAAAATTTCTCTAAGCACGAAATTCTTTCTCCATATCAAGTCTGATCAAAAGCAATCTATGGTACTGGACTACATATCTTTGCAGTTTTACCTAAGTGGCATTTGTTTTATTTAAACATCTAGGGTTTAACCATCATGAGTTATCTTTCCTTTTTTTTCCTCTCTCTCTCTCTCGTTTTCTTTTCTGTGTCACTTCACTATGAAGATATTTAGCAAAGGATTTGGCTTTGTTGACTTTTTATCATAGATATAAATACAGCCCCTGAGAAATCTTTGCTGATCCTATTCTCCCATTGAACAAACATTTATTGAGCTTCTAGGTGGTGTCAGGTCCTACACACGGGATTAACAGGGTATGCATGTCAGGATTTTTGGACCCCTAGGGAATCATAATTTCTTCACATCATAGTTAACAGAGAGCAAATACTGGTTTTTTAAATAGTCCTATTTATCAGAAGGCAAGAATTTACACTATTATCTATTAATAGAGTAAGAATCATTATGATAAACACAGAACTTTGAAACTCCCTTAGACCAACTCTATACATTTTAATGAAATTTAATGAACATAGAATATCTACACATTCATATTATGTTTTATAAAATAAATTTCAAAACCTATTGGCTAATGCATCAGTCCATGACCAAGGTTCCACCTGTGAGACTGCCATGCAGGTGGGCAAATTGCACATGCTAAAGGAAATAGACCATGTCAGATATCATCATTGAGGTCTGTATGGGCACCAGAAGCCGGCTAGAGTTGGCAGCAGAAGAAACCAATCAAAATCTCAGCTGCTCTGGCACTGAGCCACTTTCCAACCTCTCTTCCCAGGGAGAAGAATCAGCCTCACCTCTGGCTTCAACTTTCCCAGGAAGAGTAGAAGGGGAAAATGCCAACTCTTTTTTCCAAAGCAAGAACGGCCAGAATAAGATCAGTTATGAGAGAAAGAACCCTAATACCCAAAGCCTCTTCTATCACCAGTTTCCTTTTTACTGGTATGCCTCATTTGCTCAACCTTTTCTAAAGTCTCATGCTTATCATAAGGGATGATGTTTGCTACAGGAGACAAGAACTAGGATCTTCCTTCCAACATGTCCCTGAAAAGGAGGAGCGAAGCTATGATGTTTCCATTGCTTGCTCCCAAACCATTGATCTTTAATTTCATACTACCTGAGAATTTTAGCACAACACAAACTCCTTAGTGAATGGCCTAGGTTTCTTGATGCAATATTCACCTTGAATTGTTTTATACTAGCACTTGGGCAGTAATTAAAGGGACCTAGAAAGAAGCAGGGGAATTGTGGAGGTGAGCTGGGGAAAGAATAGGGAATAAAAGTAAGACAAAGAGCACCTGAAATACATCAGCTTTGCCTCCCCTTCCTTCTGCCTTGAAGGCTTCTATCAACTACCTTGGCTACACCCTCCCTTCCTACCATAATCACCTCTCCAGATTCAAAAAGGCCTGTGAAAGATTTATTTTCTCTTTTTTTTTTTGAGATGGGGTCTCCCTCTGTCACCCAGGCTGGAGTGCAGTGGCACGATTTCGGTTTACTGCAACCTCCACCTCCCAGGTTCATGGGATTCTCCTGCCTCAGCCTCCAGAGTAGCTGGGATTACAGGTGCCTGCCACCACCCCCGGCTAATTTTTTTGTATTTTTAGTTGAAATGAGGTTTCACCATATTGGCTAGGCTGGTCTTGAACTCCTGACCTCAGGTGATCCTCCTGCCTCAACCTCCCAAAGTGCTGGGATTACTGGCATGAGGCACCCTGCCTGGCTGAGAGATTTATTTTCTAACCTCCTTCCAAAACACCACCAGGCTAAAATAAAAGGGTTCTCGATTTCCTATCTGACATAAGCTATCCCTTGAAAAAACTGAGAAACACATCTCTTGTTAAACTTGTTAAACGTAATTTTTATAGGAAGCATAGAAAAGCATGCTCTTTTCTATCTTCATATCTAGCATAGTTCTAGGGGTGGGTGGTAGTGGTTTAGACTGCTTATTACTAAGTTTGAACTTAAATCAACACAACCCCTAGTTAAATCATAAATTTGGTTTGTTCCCCGTTTGGTGTGGACCATTTCAACCATACCTTGATTTTAATACTCCCTTAGAACAGAAGGGTTTTCTCTGTTGAACTGTAAATCTAGTTCTACCAACATTTTTACATTAGGATGGTATCTTAACTATACAAACATAGCAACATTAAATTTTTTGCTAGAGAAATAAAGGGATGCCTTAGTAAGAATCAAAGCTTTGAAATCACATAGATCTGTGAATACTAGCTCAGTTACACCCTTGCTGAATTATTTTGATCCAATGACTTATCCTCTCTGAGCTGTGGTTCCCTCATCTGTAAAATGGGAGTAAAATCCACTTGCTCCCATGGTGGTTTTAAGGATGAATTAAGAATGTAAAGTGCTTTATGTAGTGCCTGTCGCACAGAATGCTCAAAAAAGGGCTACTTCCATTCCTTACAGCCCCACATACTAACCCCCGTGTAGATGCCACAGCAGCCCTTAGCTGACAGATGGCTACAAAGATGCATGCAAAGGGTCCTTAAAAGGAGTAACAATTTAGTTAGGTACATATGTTTTGTATACAGCTAATTATAATACAAGGCAAAATGTATTAAGGCCTATGGTAAAGGCAGGCATCAACAACATTTACAGGAGCACTAAAGGAGGAGTATGTCTAGGGAGCAGCGTTCCTGGAGGAGATGACAGAAGAGGTAATCATCGCACTAAGACCTTGAAAGATGGATGACTTTTGACATATGAAAAAGGAGATTGGAAGTGAAGTCTGAAAAAAGGAGCAATGTAGCTACAGAGATGCAAAATTGGGCGATTGTGGGGGACACTAAGCAATCCAACATACACAGAGTCTGGGCTGTGGGAGAGGAAGTAAGGTGGTAAGAATGGGCTGAGGCCAGAATAAGAAAGACCTTGAATTCAATTCTACGGGGATTCACATTTATTATTTAAACAAGAGAAATCAATATTTAAAAATTGTGAATGAACACTACAGTGTCCTTATGGAAGTAAAATGCCCCAAACAAGTGTAGTGTGTTATATCTATAGAACTTAGCATCAAGCAACTGCCCCTTTCATTCGAGAGTGAATAATACCAGGCTTCACACTATTGGAACATACTCAGTCAATTAAGAAAAGTACTGATTGCCGGCTGCAAAATATCCCCATGGTGCCAAAGTGTCTGTGGAGTGGGTGGGGAGGGGGAGGGAAGGTGTGATAATTAAAAGAATTGTTACTTGCAATGTCACAGGAGCCAATGTGTTAACTCGGCATGCTGGGAAGCTAGAATGCTCCCAGCTGCCACGGGGAGGGAGGATGTGGTTTGATCCCTGGCACCACTCGTTGGGACAAGATGAATCACAAATGTGTTAATAGTGAGGTTCCATGTCATAATGTGCCAGATGGAGGTGGTTACATCTCTGATTGATTGCCTCCTGGCCAAGACAGGAGTTTTCCAGAAGGCAAACGTCTCCAAATTGGCATTCAAGCTCTAGGGATCAGCAGGTCTTTATCATGGTCAACATGGACCTGACATTCTCGACTTTATGAAGTGTGGCTACCCCCAAGACATGGGCAGCCAGAAACAGTATCTGGATGAGGAAAGATGCGATGAGGGGGTGATATATGGAAGAAACAGGTTTGTGCTTGACAGAGCTCCTATGGCTAAGCATGACTATTAACGAATCTATGAATGTACTGGAAATAAAGGGGAGGGGGTGGGGAGATGCAGGGGGTACCCTGCTTGTGAACAAAATAAATAACCAGAGAGAGAAAAATAAAGGCAAAAAAGAGAAAGAGCAGGATAGAAAATACTTCCCAGCCTCAGACACCAAATCCCCAAAGCAGATGAGTCTAGATGCCAGGCTGAGGCCACCGGGCAGGAATATAGAGCAGGGGACAGCAAGACGACTCTCCTGTCCATTCCCTTCCACTCACCCCGATGGCGACTACCCAGCCCTTTGTTGCTGCTGCTTTTTTCCCCCAGTGCAAGCTTCCAACGACAAACAGCCAACTACAAGGGCAATAACTGTGGTGTCCTACTGGGAACTAATGCAGCCTCTCGTGCAGGCGCTGGGTCCTAATACAGGACAGTGAATAAAGCTTCATTACAGAACAATGGAGTTAGCTGCCAGAGCCTACAGATTTGAATAAACAACAAATAAGCAACATCTGCTCCAGCATATGTGTATGGTAAAAAAAAGTCACAAAATAAAAGAATTTGTAAATGCCAAAAGCAACACTAAACTGCCAGTGCTACTGTAGAGTGAATTTTTAATTGCACATGCAAAGAGGCAGGCTGTGGGTATTAGTCTCACATATGTCTTGTTGCTGCCAACCTGGGAGTATAGATGAATTTAATTAAATAAGGATTATCCCTTCTCCCCAGTACAATTACTTATTTATAACAATGATAAAATTGCCTAATAAAAAAATTGTAATATTTTAAAAACAAGGCTAGAGAACACCCTGCTTTCTGTGTAAGTCGTTCGGGGCTGTTTGAATTTGAGTGTGTCTTTTAAAATTAAGTCTATGCCTACTGCCAAGGAAGAAAAAAAAAACCCCTTATCATAAAGCCTGCTGCAGTTAAACAGCCAGAGACTACATTATGGAGAAATATAAAGAAGACACAGAGCAGCATGGAAATTGACTTTCATGGGTGTGTAGAAAATTAAGCAATTGGACTCAAATTGAGGCCAGGTGACTAAGCCAAGGGACAGGGCCACTGAGACTTGTTCTCCACCAGTGTTCTGGTCGCCCGTGAGCAGTTCCCTTCGTGTTGGTTATCCCTCTTCCATATGCACTAATTCCCTGAAAATGAACAGCACTACCCAAAACAAAACAATAACAAAAGAGATGGGCACTCTCGTCCCTCTTCTCAGTGACGGTAGAGTCCCTTTTTACCTCCACATTAGCAACCTGCATCATCACGGAGGCCAGTGGTAATAAACCAGGTATGAAACTAGAGACAGCAAAGTAGATTCATGTGTAGGATGTTACTACAGAAATCAGTATCTTCTGAGTCTCAGGATCTCAGTTTCTTTCATCTTTGAGCAATTTTGTTATTTAATCACTTTTCCTCACTAGGATTCAAGGCAAGTCAGAGCACTTGACCAGGGGCATTCTCTCAAGGTCAATTCAGAGGGCAACCAGAACCAAAAGATAGTCAAGGTGTCTAAGTGTGTGGCTGTGGGCAGTTACACAATCGTTCTACCTCAGTTTCCTTATCCGTGCAGTGGCAGTGGTAAAACCAGAATTCACCTCCAAAGAAAGTTTCCATGAATTAATATGTGTAAAGTGACTGAAGCCTCAGTAAGTACTCATTCAATAAACATTGCCAAGAATTTAAAAGGATGCTTTATAAGGCACCTAGATCTGTATCTGTCTCTCCCTGGATGTTAGCAGCTTTCTATTTATCTATTGTTTTATTTCTTCCTGACACTTATCACAATTGTAATTCAATAAGTAATTGATTTCTTCTGATACTTACAAATTCTATGAGACTAGGGTCTGTTTTCCTTCTATTTGTATCTTCAGCATTCTCTTAAGGTCGACTCAGGAGGCAACCAGAATCAAAAGACAGTTAAAGTCTTACAGGTGGCTAGGCATGAGCAGGGCAGAAGACGGCTCTCCCCCAACCCACTAGGAATCTTGGGTGATGTTTTGGCAATTATTGCATTACCTCTTTAAAAACGATAACTTGGCAACCCCAGGGAGAGGCCATTTCCTGATGATCCACACCTGTTAACATCAAACTAGTAGTTGAATTCAAGCCCCAGGAAGAAGCAACTTCCTGGGCATGCATGTTGAGAGACAAAAATGGTGAAGTATGATCTTCCGGGTACACTCCACCAGAAAAGGGAAGAAAGCCTCGATGATTCCCATCGAGGAATAACTCCCTAAACAGACCACCTGTGGTCACTTCTCAAGGGTAAGGAAGGCTCTGCGCATGCAGGCAGCTCACCCCAAGGGAAGAATCATGGGAAAGAGTTGGGCTTATAAAGTCCTAGGATCCCGGTTATGCAACGCACTTGGCTTTCTTTCTCTCTTTAACCTTTTTCTGTAGGAGCATACATTTTACTTTATGACTTGGTTTTGTCCCTTAACTGTAGGCCTTTAAACCACTATGTGATGAAATACCAGTTGTGTTCTCATTTTTAAATGACTGCATAATTGTCCACTTTATGCGTCATTTTTTAAACAATCCCCTTTATTGAAATGTTTAGGGCAGTTCTAATTTTTTACACCTCTCTTATAATTGCCTTAGAGCAACTTTCTAGAGGTTATACACAGGTGAAAAGGTAAATAAAGTTAAAGCTTTCTGATACATATTGTTATATTCCTTCCAGAAAGCAATGTGCTTCCTTGCCAACATTAGCTTATATGAACTCTTAAACCTCCACCAATTTAATAACTCATTTGTCTATTTGGCTATAATTTTAAGTTGTATTTCTTAGATTATAACTGAGGTTGAAAATTGCTTCATTTACATATTTCTTATGTAGTAAAATTTCTACTGACTTTTTTTGTTAAATCTTTTGTTAAAAATACTTTGTGAAATATTTGGAAATATTTCAAACACATAGAAAATATAGAAAATAACTGGCTGGGTGCGGTGGCTCACGCCTGTAATCCCAGCACTTTGGGAGGCAGAGGCCGGCGGATCACGAGGTCAGGAGATCCAGACCATCCTGGCTAACATAGTGAAACCCCGTCTCCACTAAAAATACAAAAAAAACTTAGCCGGGCGTGGTGGCAGGCGCCTGTAGTCCCAGCTACTCGGGAGGCTGAGGCAGGAGAATGGCCTGAATCCGGGAGGGTTCAGTGAGCTGAGATCGCGCCACTGCACTCCAGCCTGGGCGACAGAGAGAGACTCCATCAAAAAAAGAGAAAGAAAGAAAGAAAGAAAGAGAGAGAGAGAGAGAGAGAGAGAGAGAGAAAGGAAAGAAAGAAAAAGAAAGAAAGAAAGAAAGAAAGAAAGAAAGAAAGAAAGAAAGAAAGAAAGAAAGAAAGAAAATAACACAACAAATACATATTCTTCATAGCCACCGATCAGCTCTATTAAAACTTAACATTTTGCCATAATTACTTCAGATTTTTTAAAAGGGGAAACATAGATACAGTAGAAGTCCTGAGTTTATTCTTTCCTCCTTTCATTCATGTCCAGAGTTAACCAGGATCCTGATTATGGTGGTTATATATTCCCTTTCATATTTTTGTGCTTTTACTTTGCACATTATTAATATACAGCAGATGTTGCTAAGGTTAATATATACTTTATATATTGTATGTACCCAACTACGATTAATTTACCCCCAACTTATATTTGTAATATTTATCTATGTGGATAGACTAACTTCTTTACTAGCATTGCTGTATATTATTCTATTTATGAGTACGATACATAATGTTTAACCATTTTCTTATTGATTTGATTGCCCTTATGTTGTTGACAAAAGTTTTTCACTATTTCAGTGTTTCAAAATGATTCTTATACTTTCATTCTTCTGCATATATGTGAAGATTTCTTTAGGATATATACTAAAAGCTGAATGGCTGGGTTAAGGGATCTATGCATCTTAAACTTTCCTAGATTTTGCCAGACTGCTTTGCACAATGGTTGTACCAATTTATAATCCAACCAACAGAGTCAGAGATTGCCATTTTCCATAGCCTCACCAACACTTGATAGTATCAAATACTAAAAATTTTGCCAATCATTTGGGTCTAAAATAGCGTCTTATCATTTAAACTTATCTGCTCCTGATTATAACAGGGTAAAGCTTTTTTTTCTTGTTTATTCGTCAGTTTTTCTATAAATTGTATATTCATATTATTTGCCCAGTTTTATATGGTCATTTACCTTTTTCTTATTGACTTTTAGAAATTTGCTATTTTAGACCGAGCGCGGTGGCTCACGCCTGTAATCCCAGCACTTTGGGAGGCCAAGGCGGGCGGATCACGAGGTCAGGAGATAGAGACCATCCTGGCTAACACGGTGAAACCCCGTCCCTACTAAAAATACAAAAAAGTAGCCGGGCGTGGTAGCGGGCGCCTGTAGTCCCAGCTACTCGGGAGGCTGAGGCAGGAGAATGGCCTGAACCCGGGAGGCGGAGCTTGCAGTGAGCCGAGATAGCGCCACTGCACTCCAGCCTGGGTGACAGAGCGAGACTCCGTCTCAAAAAAAAAAAAAAAAAAAAAAAGAAAAAAAAAAAGAAATTCGCTATTTTAGCCACTAATATTTTATTGTATATAAATTGCAAATTACCTTTTCCTATTTTGTGACTTGTCTTTGAACTTTATTCTGTCTTTGATGAACCAATGTTGACAATTATGATGAAGTCATATTATCAGTTTCTTTTTAGAGTGTGTACTTTTTTGTGTCCTGTTTAAGAAATTGTTTGTAACCCTGAGGTCATAAATGTATCCTTCTGTATTCTCTTTTGTAAGTACCAATGCCTTACTTTTTACACTTACACTGTTGCTATACTTGGAATTTATCTCTGGGTATGGGCCAAACCAAGGGTTTAATTTGCTATTTTTTTCTATATGGATAACCACCTTACTGTCTCAGTTATGTTTATCCTTTCTCCACTGATTTTGAAATGTTCTGTCTAACTTATTGCTTTATATCAGGGAGTCTACTTCTGAGCTGTTTATTTCATTGGTTTATTATCCATTTTTTAAACTATGGCACCTGTCTTAATTACAATTTCTATATAATAAGTGTTGATTTCTAGCAGGGAAAATTCCTTCTCCATGATCTTTATAATAGTCTTAGCTTTCCTTGGCCCTTTACTTGTACACATGAATTTTAGGACAAGCTTGCAAGTCCTACAAAAAATAAACTTATTAGCATTGTTATAGAAATTATGTTGCATTTCAGATTAATTTGGTGAAGATTTATTTCTTTTTGATATGGAGTTTTCCCATTTATGAACATAGCATACCTCTGCTTTTATTTAGTTATCCTTTATAAGACATAGTAATATTTATAATCTTCCCAACAAATATTCTAAAAGTATTCATATAAATATAAGGTGCTCTTAATAGGTTTATGGTTCTTGTTGAAGTTGTGAAAAGAATCTGTTGTTGTGGGGTTTTTTTTTTTCTGCTTTAATGTGCTTCCAGTTGGTTATTGCTGATGCATGGAGACTGATTTCTGCATTTTGCTCTCATATCCAACAAACTTGTTAAACCTTATTATTCTACTAATACACCTGTCACTTCTCAAGTTTTGTATGTAGACAGTTATCTTGTCTGCAAAAGTGAACATTTATCTGGTTTATAAATTCTTACCTTATTGAGTTGTTTTTCTGCTTTTATCTTTAGTTCAATGTTGAATAAAAGTAATGTGGGCAGGTTGTATTCCTGGTTTAATGGAATTTTTTCTGAGATTTTACTGTTGAGATTGAAATTGCTATCAAGATTTGATAGATGCCTCTAATTAGGTTAAGATATCTTTCTTTTATTCCTACTTGCAGAGAGTTTTTGTTTGTTCTTTTGTTTTGTTTTTAAATTATGAATCAATTACATTTTGTTATATTTCTTTTCTGCATCTTTTAATATTATGTTTTCTTTTCAGAACTGTTAATGTAATATGCTTTATTAAATAATTTTACTGATGTTGATCCATCCTCAAATTTATGAAAAAACATGGTTCTTGTTAGATGGTAATTTTAAGAAATCTTTATGTACTTCTACTGTATTTTATCATTAACTGTTAAAATTTTAAGTTTTTTAAATATATGTTTTCAATTTTAGATAGTAAAAACTAATCAGCTTAATTGCTATTTTATGCTGAGCTTTAAAAACCATTCTCTATATTCCAATATAAATATTCATCTACACTTATTTCTGTTCCTTTTATATTTTGAGGGTGTTTTTACATTTAATAATTTATCTGAAATGTCATCTATCTTCAATTTCTGTTGGTAAAGGATGATAGGGAAATATTTTTTATGCACACATTTTTTTAAAATCTGTCAAGTTGATGATGTCAAGTATTTCCTTTATCCTATGACTATTTAAATTATATTAGTTTTTCAATTGTTAAAACATTTTTGATAACTTATACTAAAAGCTATTTGTTCAAGTATTAGTATTTTAAAATATTTTACTGTACTTAAATCACCATTAGTTTACTTAAAAATTTTTGCCTCTATTTTCATAAGTGAAATGTATCAATTTTCTGAGATTTTTAGTCAGAATTTCCTATGAGGTTTCTCTAAAATCTAAAAGATGCTTGGAAGATTTACAAATGTTTGCATTATCTGAAATACTTACATAAACAAGAAATTATCTATTTCTTGAAAAACTGAAAGAACCAGTCATATAGCAATTTTTTCTCATTGCTTTTCTCAGAAGTAATTTCTGATAAACTTAGTTTATGTTTATTTATTTTTCCCCTATGGTATTAGCTTATTTATCTTTTCTATTATGTTACTTTATTAATTTTTGTTGTATATATAATGATAAAAATATTGGTAATATAGTATCAATATAAAATTTGATAACACAAATTTTAGATATCATAAATAAATGACATATGCAAAATATATTTATCTATCTAAATTTCCTTAAGTGGCATCAATAGTAATTATCTCTGGTTTTAATTACATTAGTTGTACTAGTATTCCTTTATAATTTTAAAATGGGTTTTGCATATTAGGTTATTTGTTTTCTATATCAGTGACTACATTTCTTTTCTTTATTTTGATATTTTAATTTTATTTGTATGCATTTTCAGTTTTTTGAAAACTTTGTGGCTTTTTTCCTATAAAAATTTAGTGCTTGGATTTTACATATCAAATCATTTGTTTCTTCTTTCCACATTACCAATTTCTACTTATCTTTATTAATGTCTAACTTCTAATTATGTTTATTTTATTAATGATGACCTCTTTAGGCAAATACCTAATTTATGTTAATTTTTTCTGCTTTGATAATAAAAACAATCAGTGCTATGAATTTGCCTCAGATTACTGCTTGTGGTAGAACTCTCCAATTTTACATAAAATGTCTTCATTATTATTCAAGTGATCTGAATTAGTAATTTTAACTTATACTTTTCTATACTTTTGTTTAGGATGGAGGACCCAGCCCCCAAGTACTGGGTTTGTCATTTTGTTTTGTTTGTTTGGGGTTGGAAGATGTCACTTTTACTTCTATTATTGAATTCAAGTGTTACTGTACTGCATTTATATCTATAAAAATGTGGCTCATACAGTGTGTGTGTGTGTGTGTGTGTGTGTGTAGGCCGGGCATGGTGGCTCACACCTGTAATCCCAGTACTTTGGGGGACCAAGGCGGGTGGATCACCTGAGGTCAGGAGTTCAAGACCAGCCTGGCCAATATGGTGAAACCCTGTCTCTACTAAAAATACAAAAATTAGCTGGGTGTGGTGGCTCATGCCTGTAATCCCAGCTACTCGGGAGGCTGAGGCAGGAGAACCACTTAAACCTGGGAGGCGGTTGCACTCCAGCCTGGGTGACAGAGCAAGACTCTGTCTCAAAAAAAAAAAAAAAAAAAGAAATTATAAAAGAATCTTTGCATTTACATGTTGTTAGATATTTTAATAAATATTCCAACAACACTAGCAAATAGTACTCATTTTAATATTTTTCTATTGAGTACATGTTATTAATTAATTAATATATTTTTATCCTCTTGTATTATTTTATGCTTGGTCTGTAAAAGACTGAAAGGAATATTAAAAGCTCCCCCTTTTTTTTTCTTTTTTTTTGAAACGGAGTCTTGCTCTGTTGCACAGGCTGGAGTGCAGTGGCACGATCTCAACTCATTGCAACCTCTGCCTCCCAAGTTCGAGCGATTCTTCTGCCTCAGCCTTCCAAGTAGCTGGGACAACAGGCGTGCACCACCACACACAGCTAATTTTTGTATTTTTAGTAGAGATGGGGTTTCACCATGTTGGCCAGGCTGGCCTCAAACTTCTGACCTCAGGTGATCCACCAGCCTCGACCTCCCAAACTGCTAGGATTACAGGCATGAGCCACCACACCCAGCCAAAAGCTCCCATTTTTATTGTATCCATTTCCTATGGTATTGCCAGAATTATTTCTTATTTAGTGTTTTGAAAATAACATATGCACATGGTAACAAAAGAAAATTAAAATATGCCAATTAATTTAAAACGTATCAGTTTTCCTTTTATTAAGCTACCACCATTAACGGTTCCTTATACATTTCTCTGGAAGCAATCTGTGCATGCCTTTCCCCCAGTAGAAATATTATACAACCATCTGTTACTTAACATCTAACAACAGGGACACATTCTGAGAAATGCACGCTTAGTTGATTTTCTCATTGTTTGAATATCATAGAGTGGACTTACACAAACTCAGAAAGTATGGTCCACTGCACACCTAGGTTAGATGGTATAGCCTATTCCTCCCAGGCTGCAAACCTGTACAGTATGCTATTGTACTGAATACTGTAGGCAACTGTAACACAATGATAAGTATTTGGGTATCGCAACATAGAAAAGGTACAGTTAAAATATGGTGTCATAATTTTATAGGACCACTGCTGTATATGTGGTCTGTCATTAACCAAAGCATCGTTATTTGGTACATAACCATGGATATACTCTTTTTAATACAAAGGAGTGTATAGATAAGACTCTTTTGCATGTAACTTTTTTCTCACTTAACAACTCTATGTCTCAGAGACCTTTCCATATGAACACATATTAAATTATTCCTCATTTTAAAAAATAATGACTGAATAGCTTTGATGTAAGGATGTACTATAATTTTAAAAGTAGATTATTATTGTGGGCATTTAGGCTGTCTCTAGTTGTTATTATGAACATTATCTATATTACAGTAAAATTTTGTGTACATTTGAATCTATTGGCAGGTCAAGTTACAGAAATGGAATAAATACATCAAAAGCTGCATCCATTTAAAATTTTGAGGTATCGTCAGGTCACATTTTAAAGTAATTAGGAAAATTTAAATTCCAACCAACAGTGGGTGAGTGTCAGTTTCACATTCTTACTGTCACTCTGTATTATTTAACTTTTAATTATTTGCTAATGTAATAAGTGAAAAGGTGAAGTCAATCTTGTTTACCATTTTTGTGGAGCTTTTATATTTCTTCTTTGAACTGCCTATGTATTTCCATTCACCATATCTAATAAGATATTGTTTTTCTCATTGATTTGTAGGGGCTTTTTTACAAATTGATAAAGTCAGCCTTTATATATTAGACGCTAACTACTTGGTATGTAATGATGCATGATTGTTTTGTTTTTGTTTTTGTCTTTGTTTTGTTGAGTCAGAGTCTGGCTCTGTCTCTCAGGCTGGAGTGCAGTGGTATGATTTTGGCTCACTGCAACCCCACTTCCCAGGTTCAAGCAATTCTCCTGCCTCAGCCTCCCGAGTAGCTGGGATTACAAGCATGCACCACTATGCCCAGCTACTTTTTGTATTTTTAGTAGCGATGGGCTTTCACCATGTTGGCCAGGCTGGTCTCGAACTCCTGACCTCAAGTGATCGACCCACCTTGGCCTCCCAAAGTGTCAGGATTACAGGCATGAGACGCTGTGCCCAGCGCGATTGTTAATTCTTAAATGAAATTTTGATAAATTTTTAAAGGGCTTAATTAAAAATATTTTCTTTCATTTTAAAGTAAGCATTATTAGATTTTAGTATTATAACTCCGATTAGTTTTTGTCTTTATTCCTTGCTTATTCTAGGTCCACCCTTTCACAATTAACCTTCCTTGGTTTTATTACTTGAGTTCAATTTTTCCATACACTATTTTTATTAGTATAGAGCAGTGTTCCCCAACCCCCGGCTTCAGTCCATGGCCTATTAGGCAGTGGGCCATACACTAGGAGGTGAGCGGTGAATGGGCAAATGGGGATTACCACCTAAGCTCTGCCTCCTGTCAGATCAGTGGTTGCATTAGATTCTCACAAGAGTACAAATTCTATTGTGAACTGTACATGCAAAGAATCTAGGTTGTGTGCTCCTTATGATGATCTGAGGTGGATTAGTTTCATCATGAAACCACCCACCTGCCTTAGTCCATGGAAAAACTACTTTTAATGAAACTGGTCCCTGGTGCCAAAAAGGTTGGGGAAGGCTGTTCCAGAGTACTTTATTTTGAGTAACATCTTAATCAACTTGAATGGTAGTAAAAAGAGCTGATACATAAGGGATTTACATGTATTAGGCTAATCTTTTTAACAATCCCATGAGATAGATGCTGTTATTATGCTTATTTTTATTTTCTTTAGATGAGGACACAGAAGCATAGAGATTGAGTAATTTGTTAAAGTTACATAGTTGGCAGTTGCTAGATTGTGGGATTGGAATCCAGGCAAGCTGGCTCCAAAATTCATGCTCCATCCATGGTCTCACTTACTTGAGGACATTGTCCTGGAAAGGTAGTGGATGATATACCTGGGGAGTCCTGTTATCTTTGAGAGTGACATTATACTGCCCTTACGCATAAAAAGAGTAGGGCTGGGTATAAAATTGTTGGTTCACATTTTCTTACCCTTCTAAATTATATGTGTATTTATTCCCATCTGCCATTTTATGTTGCTAATGAGATATTTGAAATTTTTTTCTCTTTGTAAGTTATCTGAATTTTTTTGGTCCAGAAATGTGTGAGTTAAATCTCACCCCACCATATCCTTCTACTTTATACATTTTATTGTCATATTTAGGTGTTTTCATTCCACTGAGGTGCCTGAATTTAGTAACTACCATTTTTGTTACAACAGTTATTTATTTATTAAATCAAAGTATAATATATACATTAAAAAATCAAATAGTGGCAAAATACTGTGTCATGGAAAGAAAATTCCCCAAAGACAACTGCTTTTAACCCTTTCCATATGGGATCCTAAGAGTGGCAATGTCACCCTGATGTTTCCAAGCCTAGGATTTGGCACTATTCATTGTTGGTTTTACTAAAACTTGCTCATACTTTCAAGAACACCACTCCTGGTTACCCAGTTTGAGCATGCCATCTATTTTTCTCTTTGGAAGAAAGTCCCTACACTTTTCACCAGTTTTTCTTCACACTTCCCATCAACCACTTCTCAACAGCTACATTTTTATCTTCAAAATACTCGGTTTGCTAATATTTCTAATTTGCTATGTGACCAGAATTGTCTCCCTATTTGTCTCATTGTTGATTCTCAAAGCAGAAAGCCAATCAGGAGTGTTTACGTTGTTATGGCTGCATATGTGTGTCTCACAGCCGGGCCAGTAGTTTCATCAGATGGCATTACCTTTTCCATATGTCCACTGTCATCAAATATTAGATACCATCAGGTTTAAGACTCTCATTATTTTATAATAAGAAAAAACTCTCTACCAATTAAACTAAGACCTGTCATCAATTATAACATGTATCTTGATTGCAAGGATGACAAATTGGGAAAAATCATTCATCTTATAATTGATGAAATACTGGGGTCAACTCCTGTCTTGCTCACTAGAGTTCTTGACCTGGAGGCACAGCCCATTCCACAGTCAGTGTTGATGTTCTCATGCATGAGCCATGCATCTCCCAGATGCAAGGGACTCCTTTTCCAGATGCATAGCACAGCATTCAAGAGTGTACACTCTGGAGCTAGACAGGCTGAATTTGAAACCTGGCACCACTTTGAACTGTATGAGAAACTGAGGCAACTTATTTAACCTCTCCATGCTTGTTTCTTCATCTAATACACAGAAATAGTAACAGTGCCTACCTTAAAGGTTTATTTTAAGGATTAAATGAAGTAAAGCATGTGAAACACTTAGAACAGTACCTGTCACAGTGTGTCTGTATTTGTTAAATATAATGACACTACTCTGTGAGTGATCTCCTTGCAGGCTTCTTACTGCTTAGGAGTGAAATTTAGTGTCCTCAATCTTCCTCCCAAGAAGGAATGGGGATACCCAGCAGGGAAACAGTGTTCTCCAATGAAATCTCTTCATCCATTTTTTTTCTTCTCTCTGCAACTTGTCCGCTCTTTATATTCATGATGGCTGAAAGGTTCAATGTTGTGGAACTGGTTCCTACAAATTCCTTAGAAAACTGCATATATATGCTTGCCACATATTGACTTTGTATCAGATATATATCTTTTTTAGAACCCCAGACAAAACTTAAGACATTAAGAGTCCAACTGCAACCACCTCTTACATCTATGTAGTATTTCTTGGATCTGTCTTCCTTGACATTTTGTTTATTATATTCATTTCTTTTTCTTTTCCCACTTAGTTCTTAAGTAATTTCTCACACATCTCCTAGTTTTCAGTCATTTTTATGCATGTACCAGTCTGTCTCTTACTAATTCTATTGAATTTTAAGAATTATATTTTAATTTTAAAAATGTAGCTGGGCATGGTGGCATGTGCCTGTGATCCCAGATACTTGGTAGGCAGAGGCAGGAGGATCTCTTGACACTAGGAGTTCAAGGTTGCAGTGATTTAGGATTGCACCACTGCACTTCAACCTGGGCTACAGAGTGAGATCCCCACCTCAAAAAACAAACTATATATGTGTGTATATATATACACACATATATATGTATATAAATTTTTGTTAGCATTTTGCTATACCTCTCATTTTTTGTCTGCTTTACATCCTTATTTTTTCAGTCTACTTAAAGTTATATTGTACCACTTCATGTAAAATGTAGAAATCTTGTAGGTATCTTTGTTCATTTACCAACTCCCCCACCCTGTATGCTATAAATTGTCAAGTATAACATCAACATATGGTATACAACACCACAATACCCTGCCCATCTTTGGTCTAAAGAACTTCCTTTAGCAATGTTTACAGTACATGGGTGCTGGTGATGAGTTATTTTTGTTTGTCTGAAATTTTATCTTTATTTTTGAAGGATATTTTTGCTGCATGTATATTTCTGGCTCATAGTTACTGTCTTCTCGTCTCTGTTGTTTTTAATGAGAAGTCTTCTGTCATTCAAATCTTTATTCCCCTGTATTCAATATGTCATTTTTGTGTGCCTGCTTTAAATATTTTCTTTTATCTTTGATTTCTATCAGTTTGATCCTGGTATTATTTAGGTGGTTTTCTTTGTAATTTCTTTGTAATTATCCCACTTAGAGTTTGCTGGCTTCTTGAATCTGTAAATGTAAATCTTTGAGCAAAATTAGAAGATTTCCCACCATTATTTCTCCAAATATTTTTTTCTCGCACAGTTTTCTCTGTCCTTTCCCTCTCAGACTGCAACTACATATATATTTGACCTTTGATACTGCCTCACAGGCTTCTGAAACTCAGATAAGTATTTTCTATAATTTTCAAATCTTTTTCCTGATCTTCCGATTGTTGGATAACGTCTATAGATATATTAAAATCCACCAAGTCTTTCTTTCATTGTTTCTGATGTAATGTTAAATGAATATTGAATTTCAGGAATTATAGTTTTTATTTACAGAATTTCCATTTTATTATTTATTATAATTCTTTTTTTTAGATTTTCTATCTTTTCATTCATTGTGAGCATATTTTCCTCTACATCCTTCAGCATAATTATAATAATCTCCCTATCTGCTGATTAGAACATCTGGGTTTTCTCATGGTTTGTCTTCATTAATTGCCATTTTTCTTGAATATGAGTTATATTTTCTTATTTCTTCATGTGTCTAGTATATTTTTATTGTTCCTGAATATTGTGAATGGTATATTGTTTAAGGAGGCAGGGAACTTGGCTGGAATCAAACCCCAAATGAAAATCTCAGTTCACTTATTTTAGTCTTAACAGATTCTTTAAGTCCTTTCCATGTGTGTTTGGTTCAACAGTTAGTTAGAGATTTGAACAGATTTAATTCCTAGAATTTGGAGATTTTCCTCCTTGGTTCTCTCCTTTCTGTGATTTTCCTCCTTCTCTTTTCAGCTATTATCATTTCCTCAAATTTTATATTCTGATTTTTTTTAACTCATAAGACTTCTAATTTTTTTTTTTGAGACAGAGTATCACTCTGTTGCCCAGGCTGGAGTGCAGTTGACACAATCCAGGCTCACCACAACCTCTGTCTCCCAGGTTCAATCAATTCTCCTGCCTCAGCCTCCTGAGTAGCTGGAATTACAGGCACCCACCACCATGCCCAGCTAATTTTTGTATTTTTAGTAGAGACAGAGTTTCACCGTATTGGCCAGGCTGGTATCAAAATCCTGACCTCAAGTGACCCACTCACCTCAGCCTCCCAAAGTGTTGGGATTACAGGCATGAGCCACTGCACCTGGCCAAGACTGCTACTTTCTGTTAGAGTTTTAGGATGGTGTCAACTGGAGCCAACCCTCAAAATAAAAAGCTTTTAAAAAACAGGACACTCACCCAGTGCCATTCCTTCCTTCTATGTGTTGAAACTCCCTCCACTCTTTGTTCACTTTTGGTCACTCTTCAGTACCTTTATGTAGGAGTTTTAAAAATATTTTGTCCAGAGTTTATGATTATTCTCTGTGGGAGGGTTGGCTCATTAGGAGTTACTTAGCATCAGAAACAGAATCAAGCATTGTGTATTTTATCTGGAAGGAATCTACTCATTGGAGATGGTTCTCTTACATAGACGCCATGTCCTCATACAACTCACTGAGAATATTAATTCCTAAAGATTTGTCTAAGGTGTAAGGAAGGGATCCAGTTTCAGCTTTCTACATATGGCTAGCCAGTTTTCCCAGCACCATTTATTAAATAGGGAATCCTTTCCCCATTGCTTCTTTTTCTCAGGTTTGTCAAAGATCAGATAGTTGTAGATATGCGGCGTTATTTCTGAGGGCTCTGTTCTGTTCCATTGATCTATATCTCTGTTTTGGTACCAGTACCATGCTGTTTTGGTTACTGTAGCCTTGTAGTATAGTTTGAAGTCAGGTAGTGTGATGCCTCCAGCTTTGTTCTTTTGGCTTAGGATTGCCTTGGTGACGCGGGCTCTTTTTTGGTTCCATATGAACTTTAAAGTAGTTTTTTCCAATTCTGTGAAGAAAGGCATTGGTAGCTTGATGGGGATGGCATTGAATCTGTAAATTACCTTGGGCAGTATGGCCATTTTCACGATATTGATTCTTCCTACCCATGAGCATGGAATGTTCTTCCATTTGTTTGTATCCTCTTTTATTTCCTTGAGCAGTGGTTTGTAGTTCTCCTTGAAGAGGTCCTTCACATCCCTTGTAAGTTGGATTCCTAGGTATTGTATTCTCTTTGAAGCAATTGTGAATGGGAGTTCACTCATGATTTGGCTCTCTGTTTGTCTGTTATTGGTGTATAAGAATGCTTGTGATTTTTGTACACTGATTTTGTATCCTGAGACTTTGCTGAAGTTGCTTATCAGCTTAAGGAGATTTTGGGCTGAGACAATGGGGTTTTCTAGATATACAATCATATCATCTGCAAACAGGGACAATGTGACTTCCTCTTTTCCTAATTGAATACCCTTTATTTCCTTCTCCTGCCTAATTGCCCTGGCCAGAACTTCCAACACTATGTTGAAAAGGAGTGGTGAGAGAGGGCATCCCTGTCTTGTGCCAGTTTTCAAAAGGAATGCTTCCAGTTTTTGCCCATTCAGTATGATATTACACCTTATACAAAAATCAATTTAAGATGGATTAAAGACTTAAACGTTAGACCTAAAACCATAAAAACCCTAGAAGAAAACCTAGGCATTACCATTCAGGACATAGGCATGGGCAAGGACTTCATGTCTAAAACACCAAAAGCAATGGCAACAAAAGACAAAATTGACAAATGGGATCTAATTAAACTAAAGAGCTTCTGCACAGCAAAAGAAACTACCGTCAGAGTGAACAGGCAACCTACAAAATGGGAGAAAATTTTCGCAACCTACTCATCTGACAAAGGGCTAATATCCAGAATCTACAATGAACTCAAACAAATTTACAAGAAAAAAACAGACAACCCCATCAAAAAGTGGGTGAAGGACATGAACAGACACTTCTCAAAAGAAGACATTTATACAGCCAAAAAACACATGAAAAAATGCTCATCATCACTGGCCATCAGAGAAATGCAAATCAAAACCACAATGAGATACCATCTCACACCAGTTAGAATGGCGATCATTAAAAAGTCAGGAAACAACAGGTGCTGGAGAGGATGTGGAGAAATAGGAATACTTTTACACTGTTGGTGGGACTGTAAACTAGTTCAACCATTGTGGAAGTCAGTGTGGCGACTCCTCAGGGATCTAGAACTACAAATACCATTTGACCCAGCCATCCCATTACTGGGTATATACCCAAAGGACTATAAATCATGCTGCTATAAAGACACATGCACACGTATGTTTATTGCGGCATTATTCACAATAGCAAAGACTTGGAACCAACCCAAATGTCCAACAATGATAGACTGGATTAAGAAAATGTGGCACATATACACCATGGAATACTATGCAGCCATAAAAAATGATGAGTTCATGTCCTTTGTAGGGACATGGATGAAATTGGAAATCATCATTCTCAGTAAACTATCGCAAGAACAAAAAACCAAACACCGCATATTCTCACTCATAGGTGGGAACTGAACAATGAGATCACATGAACACAGGAAGGGGAATATCACACTCTGGGGACTGTTGTGGGATGGGGGGAGGGGGGAGGGATAGCATCGGGAGATATACCTAATGCTAGATGACGAGTTAGTGGGTGCAGCGCACCAGCATGGCACATGTATACATATGTAACTAACCTGCACAATGTGCACATGTACCCTAAAACTTAAAAGTATAATAATAATAAAAAAAAAAGATTTGTCATGCTTCTTTGTAATCATTCTTTTTTAGTGGACATTTATTCTGAATAACTTCTGATTTTTGAACTGCTAAATCTTACAATTTTGCTTGGTTTGATGATTTTATAAGGTGATAGGGAAGGCATATCTTGTCCAAGTTGATAGCTAAGTGAGATTCTCTTGGAAATTTTTACCTTATCATGTTAGTATAGTTCTGCAGTAGACTCATCTTTTTAACCCCTAGATGGGCCTTTACCTAGAATTGTCTGCAACTTCGCCCACAATGTATCCCACACAAAGTCCTAGTCTTAGAGAATATGAATGATAGACTTCTCCTCCTCTTCTTCCTTTTAAATAGCACTATTATATATTTCCTTTTTTTCCTTATATTCCCTTGCCATTTAAGTGGCATTTTACTTTTGGGGGGCTCAGGGAGGATAGTATATTTGTGGCCTTGGGTCCCAATTTTCTATATGAAGTCAATTTGTTCAAATTCAATTAGGAAATGCTTAAACATAATTTTTCTGCTAGTATGCAGAGTATTGCCCATGAGCAGAGGCAATACAGTCTTACTACTGGTTTTTAACGAATTTTAAAGGTATTTGAAGAGTTCATCGTATACCTCCATTTATGTGTTTAAAACAACAATTTACTACCTCCTGACTCTGTGGGCTGGCCAGCTCGGTGTGGTTTCTCTTGGATTCTCTCATGTAGTTGCATCAGATGGCACCTGGGCTAGAGTCATCTGAACGTTTGGGCCAGACATCAAAGATGGCTTATTCACCTGGAGCTCATGCAGCACTGTCCACCAGAAAGTCCACATGTGGCATCCTCATGTCACTTGGGCTTTGCACAACATAGGGGCTGGGTTCCCAGAGGGAATGTTCCAAGAGGAAATATCTCAAGAGTCAGGAAGCAGCTGAGTGAGTGGCACTGAAACTAGCACAACATCACTGCTGCTATAATATTTTGGTCAAAATAGTCCATGTGCTTTCATCTTTAAAATGAAGTAATTGTTTTGTACTTTGAGAAAAAAATGCATGTATACATATCTCAAAGTGATTACACACACAGTTATCATATACATATGAAAATTTCCTTTTCCCATTAATTGAACTAGTTTTACATATTTATTCTCAGTCTTGTGTTTGTTTCAGTTAACAACACTATTTTTGAAAGTAACAAAATCACATTTGCTGTACCATAAGTCAGATTTTATCCATTAGGCTCTCCTTCACCTACCTTACTTTGCTCTCTCAATTCGAGATGAAATGTAGATTAGTAATTTTTGTCTAACTTCCCAAATAATTTTTTGGAATGATTGGGGCGACTTACATGGTATTAATTGACCTCTTAATAGAATGTCAAGGAAGGCAATTCCTATTGGCAAGGGGACCTCCAGCTTCATTGAAAAGCATTCAATTAGATGGGAAACAGATGCTTATTTTTGTCTTATAAGCCTCAATGCAGGTTATGTGGTAATTACTTCGAAGAGCAGGATAAGAATTTATGTAATCAGCAGGACCCTATAATTACTAATGCATAATTTCTAAACAGCATTTAGCAAAATGAGGCCCATACATACACTTTGTAATGAAAAAGATGTGTTTGACACAGCACTAAATTAAATTAAAAATTTGCATATTTTCTTTCAGGAAATGCATGAGCTTCATCTGCTGTATTTTGCTGGGCTAGTTCTGCCTACTTCTAACTCCCTTATAAGACCATGGAAATGCTGAATCACAGTGACAACTGAATGGGGGAATGAAAACCAGGAATAGAGAAGTGTTTCCTTCTCTGTTATTTAGGATGATAAAGCATCATTCTGAGAGAAGACTTGCAAAGCTACATCTAGGGAACCTCTGTCCACTGAGAGTTTAACATTAAGATTACACAAAATTTAGAATGCAAGGGCTAGCAGAGAACTTAAAATTATCTGCACTTATTTCTTCATTTCAGATGGAAAAACTGAGACCCAGTTAAATGAAAACAGCATGTGCACTATGAAGCAGTTGGTAGAAGGAGTGAAAAAGTACCCCCTCCCCACAGTCAGGCTCAGTCCCATGAAATTCATTCCACTATGGTAGTCAGATCATATAGTTAGTGTCAGACAAGCCACACACACCATTAGCCCCAGGAATATTGAACGTTTCTGTGGTCTTTTAAAATTTACATGTACATTTGCATTGCCAGTAGGTTCTTTTGTTTTGTTTTGTTTTTTTCAGATGGAGTTTTTCTCTTGTTGCCCGGGCTGGAGTGCAGTGGCATGATTTCAGCTCACTGCAACCTCCACCTCCTGGGTTCAAGCAATTCTCCTGCCTCAGCCTCCCAAATAGCTGGGATTACAGGTGCGCACCACTGCGCCAGCTAATTTTTTTTGTATTTTTAGTAGAAATGAGGTTTTGCCAGGTTGGCCAGGCTGGTCTTGAACTCCTGACCTCAGGCGATCCCCACGTCTCAGCCTCCCACAGTGCTGAGATTACAGGCATGAGCCACCGCACCCGGCCTGCCAGTAGGCTTTTAATATCTCAGAAGATGCATGAATTTAGAGTACCTTCTAGAGATAATTTAAGCTCTGTACATATTAAGAAATTTAAATACCAGTTATTTACATTCTGAAAGACCATTGATGAGATCACACACCTTGATGAATTCTTACCTACAGTTCCTGAAGTCATGTCAAGAGGATTACCAGTCTCTTCTTCAAAGCTTTGGACCTAAGATATCAAAATGCATCAATGTCATTAGAAATTTTGTCAAATAAATTCACTTATTTTAATCAACATATAATAAGACTGGCAACTGATAAGAGGGATAAACATGAGTTCCTGAACTCAAATAACTTGCAATCTGCTGGGAGGAGGTACCGGGGATGATGAAGATTCAAAGAATTAAAGAAGTTGAGGAAAGGGGAAGATCACAACTGGATGGGAGGATCAGTGCTTCTTCTGGAAGATGTGCATTTGAAAGAAATTTACATAATAATATTTCTATTCTAGATTTTTTTTTGCTTCCAAAGAACTTTAAGTATATTTGGAGAAAGTTAATTAAGGCTTGATAAATTTATGGAGAGTAATTCAGAAAATTTAATTGCTATATAGTGCTTAGACATTTTTCAAAATTTTAGTTTCCAAATTGCTAGAACAAAATTTATTTTTGAAATTTTTAAAGAAATTAATAAATACTTCTGTATTGATGAAAATAAAGTTATCATTAAACAAAATAATGCATATTACTTCTAAAATAGCAACACAGCTAATTATAGAAACTGATACATAGAAGAAGAAGGTAAAAAAACAGGGTTGGGCTTGATAACTCATGCCTATAATCTCAACACTTTGGGAGGCAAAGGTGGGAGGATCACTTGAAGCCAGGTGGTTAAAATCAGCCTGGGCAACATAGTGAGACCCCATCTCTACAAATAAAAAGAAGATAAGAAAACAGTTACTGTTACTCCAAAAACATTTTGGAGTATTTCTTTGCAAGTTTTCTTTTATATACATTTTTTCTGGATATTGTCACATAGTCAAATTTTTTCTCTCAAAAATTTGAAGGTGGAATTTTTATTCCACATAATAAGATTTCTTTGAAAACATCATCTTTAATGACAGGACAGTAGGCTGTTCTCAGGAAGTACATTAGTTTACTTAACAATTCTCCCACTGTTGGAATGTTTTCTAAATTTTGCAATTAGAAATAATGCTGAGGTGAATATTCTTGTTCATAAATCTGTTCTACATGTCATATTACTTATTTGGAATTGATATTTGAGTACAGAAAGCTGAATCAAAGGACATAAACATTTTAAACATTGTGGTACACATGGCCAAAAATGACCTCTAACCCAGGAATAGACTAGGGACCATGAGAATATAGCTCAACCATAACAAGAAGAAATATTTAATTTCTCTTTTTAATCCTTCACATCTTTTTTTTTCAAATCAGTTACTTTACACTTGTAATCTATTAGACATACTTCTTAGCATTATTTTCACTGGTGTTGGTAACTGAAGTCAGTGCACATCACATGCATTTTCAAGTGTAATAAAAAGTTTTTGCTATGACCATTATCATGGAGAAAAATCCACTTAGGGCAATGTGAAGCACATGTTTGTCTTTTGAAAAAAAAGGAAAAGCCCCATTAATTTAAAATGAAAGCCAGGTGTATTCCTGGGCTATTCCACCTGAGCCACACTTATTAATTAATAAAAAATAAAATAAACAAATAGTTACAGCTTTTGAAACATTCCCCCACCTAATCAAGATGTTGACTGGGGTTGTTTAATAATATGGTTAATGTTCTCACATGTGACTTCTAGAGAATATGATGCTTATATGCAAACAGGAGGGAAAGCTAAAAATCATTTATTATGGATATGAAGAAGCATCCTACCTTGAGTTTACAATTGCACAAATTTTACAAGTATCAAATTCACTTAATGTATTTGGGAATTTAAAAAGAGAGGGGCTGACTCAATTTTACTGAGTAAAATTAAGCAAAAATATGTTGATTTTTCCATTAAAAAATCTATGCACAATTTTGTTGAAATTATACTTTTGAGAAGTGAGACAAACATTGCCAAATGCAGCTTTTAGTACGACTTTAGGGAAAGCATCATTGGTTGATCTGGAGGCAAAATTTGGCCAATCATACTTGAAATTCTGATAACTAGATATTTAAGTACATTGGCTCTTGTTTTAAATGCCATGAAAATCTGCCAATTTCACACATATTTTTCATTTCTTATAATTGGATTTTAAAATTTGACATTGAAAAATAAATATTAAATCTGGCATTGGCTTCTGTTTAAGATGCAATCTACCCAAGCTTCATTTACTCATCCACTGGTATTGAGTGAAACAAATATTTTTTCCCCAGTGAGAATGTAATATTTTATATGCACTTTTTATTAAAATGAAATTCGAGTAGTGTGTTTCTTTTTTATTATTTTAGGACTATCTCTGCCTTACATACACATACAGTCTCTCACACACACAAATCCTAGAACATAATAACACCATAAACAAAGACGACTATGAAGTTTGACAGAGTGTTCTGTTTTTCTGTGAAAGTCATCCTTAGATTAAATTAATATTGTCAAATTCTTTGGATGTTCACTCAATTAACAAATATTTGCTAAGTACCTACTATGTGCCGAAGAAACATGTGATTTTGTTTGCTTTATTTTGGTGTCTGAGTGTGTTTCTACTCTCTCCCCAAATACATACTAATAGGTAGTATTTTCTTGAATAATTGTAATTTAAAAATTCTTGAAAGTATACCAATCAAGGACTAACATTCTTTTCTTATTTAGTTATATAAAATTTATCAAATTTGATAAATTTGATGTTTGTCTATCCCTATACTCTGACATTTCGATGGCTTACTAGGAACTTTATTTTTCTCTAAATCAGTCTAGTTTGAAGCAGAAGAACCTTCAGGGACAATAGAGTCTGACGAGGCTTGACAATGGGTTGGAGTTTGGTGAAACTTTTTGTTCGGATCCTAGCTAATAGCAGATTGATTTAACATTCTTTTTTTTTTTTTTTTTGAGACAGAGTTTTGCTCTTGTTGTCTAGGCTGGAGAGCAGTGGTGCGATCTCGGCTCACTGCAACCTCCACCTCCCGGGTTCAAGTGATTTTCCTGCCTCAGCCTCCCGAGTAGCTGGGATTACAGGCACCCTCCACCACACCGAGCTAGTTTTTGTATTTTTGGTAGAGACAGGGTTTCACCATGTTGGCCAGGCTGGTCTCAAATTCCTGACCTCAGGTGATCCGCTGCCTCAGCATCCCAAAGTGTTGGGATTACAGGTGTGAGCCACTGCACCCAGCAGGCTTGACATTCTTTATAGTAATTTAACTATTGGCTTGGTAATTAAATAATCTTTGCAAGATTAAGTTTTTTAAAAATCCTTTTTTTAGCGCCTTCTCAGTTTATCCTCAAATCAGGGCATTTGACCAAAGGTATGCTTTTTTCTTCCTTTTATTATTATTATTCATTTTAATGCTACTACTTAAATTCAGTTTAACATTTTAAGGTTCTTTAATTTTTATACAAGGCATATATGTACACAACCATATATACATATACATAGATATTAGGAACCTTAACATCTACATATTTTAAAGTAATTTTTATATCTTTGTGGGATGCAGCTATGCCAATAGGCATATTCACCTGGCTCAATCCTATTCTTTTGAAATTATGGTTAAGCCTACTTTCTATGAATTTCTTTATCCTCTCGGCCCCAGGCTGGCTAAGAATGCCTTTACTTGCTCCTGGAATACCCGAAAATATGTCTGTATAGTGATGTAAAGTGTATCTGTAGGGCTGGCTCTGTGCCTACCATCTTATGGTTTCAGTGCCCATCCCTGCCACTTCTCTGTAGTTCCCTTTTCAAGGCAGATTCTGTTACCATTTCTGTGCCTGCCACATAGAGGGCTCAACGGAGAAGTAAGCCCACTTTGGAATTTGCATGTAAATATCCTGCCCTACTTTTAGATAATTTAGATGAAAGGAGAGAAAAGCCTTGTTCTTCCTTTGTAATTACTTATCTGTAATTATACTAAATAACACAGTTAACAACAAGTTAACTCCCAATCCTAGCTGCCATTATGAATAGACTGATGAGTGGACATGTATACGTATTTTTTGAAAAGAAAAAAAAACCCAACTCTGAGAAGTACAAGTGAGAATGTCACTTAAGTGAAGATAAAAACTAGTGTAAATGAATGAAGGTGGGGATGGAGGAGCAAAGAACATGTGTGAAATGAAGGTCAAGCTATGTGAAAATCAATACATCCCAAAGCAAACAAATAAAAATCACACTAACATCCTAAAATCAAAACCATACCCAAGTCCCTACAGCTTTGTCTGAGGCCCTGTGTTAGGCATTGTGGGGGAAACATTTCCCACACACACCCCCGGCCCTAAAGGAGCTGAGAGTCTTTTTGGGGAGACAGCATTGACACACACTCAATCTCTAACATAACGAGCTCACGCTGCTAAAGCAATGAGAACACAGAGGAGAAGTGGTTAAGGCAAGTTTCACTGAGTGGGAAGTAGTTGAACTGATCCTCGAAGAAGATAAAACATGAAAAGTTAGAGAATAGATAAAAAGCATACATACAGGTACATAAAACAATTGAGCCAAAGCAAAGTCAGAAATGACCCACGGATTCAACTGCGAGCAAGAAGAAAGGAAAGATACTGGAGCAAGCAGAGGCTGGTTTCCTACTAGCTTATTTCCAACAAAAGCAACTAGAATGACTTTAAATCACTAAACTGACTCAGAACACTAAGAAGTAATGCTGAGGGATTAAAAGATGAAGTGGTGAAATGAGGGCTGGAAAACAAGGGTGTCATAGTGAAGGTTATTTCCCTTAGGAGGCTGGTACGTTGGTGCAGCACTGACCTCTTCCATTTCAAATGAGTCTGGTCCTTTGCCTGCAAGATGAGACAAGCTCTTGAGCTTGTTAGTCTGAAATAAGTTCTCCTTCTGAGTTCTGCCCTTGACTGACCCCTCAGACACACAGGAAGGAGGAGCCTGCTTGGCCGGCATAGATGAGCAAGGCCACTGCTTGCTCAGAAGACCATGAGGAGGATAAGGTAGCAAATCATCACAGGCTTGGAGAGACTGATGTTCTACTGACAGAGACAAATGATTTTGCTTGTGGTTGATTGAGGTTGCTGCTAGCTCTGCTCCACAATCCCATGGTTTTGTAAAGGGAACAAAAACTTCATCCTTCACCTTGAAGGACTCTGATACCTCTGGGTTACAATCCCGCCTGATGTTCTGTTTGGAAGCTCTCCTTAAGAGTTTACCCATTCTTCTTCGATGCTCTTTGGCGGCACTCACTGAGGTTCTTTGCACACTCTCTCCTCCAGCTTTCTCTTCAGCTCTGTTTGGCAGGATGCTGACATCACTCAGCAGAGATGAGAAGGCATTGGTCACATGGTCCAGGATTTCCAGCTGTCGGAAACGACCTGCACAACACAAGAAACACGAAAGTTTCAGATTGGGTCTTTTTTGCTGAAACCATATTAACGTAGTCAAAACTGAAGGGTCCGTTAACATGAAATTTTCAAGATAGGAAGGACATTAGGCTCTTGAAACTCAAGTTTTTCTCAGTATATGCCATTACTATTATGGAGATGATTTCCCTACGTAATGAGATTTTGCTGTGTTATGGGGAAAGTGAACAGCTTTTGTATTTAGTTGAATACGCATAACTATTTAGATTCATATATGCCTATAGTTTTTATGTGTTAGGTATTAAAAACGGTAGGCATCGGTGAATCTGTGTACTAACATATATTAAGCAGTGAATCCAGTGCTATCAACATGAGGCTACCTGAATATTCCTCCATAACTCTATGTGATGTGTATTCCTACCATCACTTACATCATCCCTATCCATACTGTCACCTGATAGTGTGGAAAGATCATGGCATATAGAGTCAGAAGTCCTGGATCCAAATTCCAGGTCAACCATTCACTGGATGTTTGAGCTCAGAATAAAATAACTAAGAGCTACACAGTGCTAGAGCCATGCCAGGCACATAGTAAATGGCCAGTATTTTCATGTCTCATGTATTTTTCACATCTGTCATGAGCACTAAAGCAAAATTGTGAAGACACGATGCCATGTAAGTATCAGTTGTTAAAATAATGATTATAAACGAGCAAGACTTAGGAAGGGGATATATTCTCCTCAGTCTTTCCAGAGAAGATAGTCATTAATGTAAAAACCTATTTGCCCTTCAAAACAAACCAGCTCATCAACCTGTTAAGTCTTTCTGGATGATCTGGCCTCTATCATTTGGGCCATATGCAAGTACAGTATTGACTTAATTAGCATGTGGAAGAGACCTAATGCAGCAAGGGCTAAAGTGAGAACATATTGCCAGTTTGAAAAAAAAAAAAAGTGGAAAATATTTTTGGTATCTCAAGATAATAAAATCATTGTAACAAAAATGGAATATTTTGTTTTTATTACCCAGCCTCCTCTTAATCACAGTGATAGCATGTGGGGTTGCATAACTCAGCGAAGGTCAAGGACCACATAAGTGGGCAAGGATGCTGTCTTTTGTTGTGTTTGCATCATCACAGCAACGTCCCTGACTCTCATGAGCCAGTGCCTACCTTTTTCTTTTACCTACAAGAAGTAGTATTGACTAATCATCCTTCTACTCCAAAAAAAGTGACAGATTTCTCACAGAGGACTGTGATATTTTTCCAAGACCTATAGGAACTGTGGGGTTCTGGATGTTTCAGAATAATTCTGATTACATTTCCCCCCTAAATTAAGCTGTAGTTGAAACTGAATCTCTTTTGCGATCAGAGGGTACAATTGAATGATAATTCAACTTTTATGATTGCTTTACATCCATCCAAAGCAGGTTTTTAAATTTAGACTAAGACAAAACCTACCAATTTAATTGGTTAAGTCAATTCAGAGAACACAATAGTCTGAAGCATTGGATAAGTGTTTTCTTTTATTTTTGCCTTTGGGTAGATTGAACAATGGACTAATTGATTCTCATGTCCCAAGTTTAAACATTTGTATCGACTTTGAATGAGATATAATTTTCCATTCTATCTGCCAACTAGCTTTATTATTGGTTGTTTTATATTTGACCTTCTCTGCTTCCTTGAATCAAGTGTTATGTTGTAGAAATTAGAGTGCACCAGGGATCACAAAATCAGGGGCCAACTCCTAGTTTCTCTGTAATCCATATGTCAATTTCATTTGTGAAATATTTACTTCATAGCAGCTCAAATGCTATTCAAATATTGGTAAATGACATTATTCTCCCGAAATAAAGAATTGATCAAAGAATTTGCATCTCTGTGCTGCTTGCAAGAGGAGATAACAAGGAACAACATGAATTGAGTCTAAAAAGTAAAGAAATACTACATTGCAAAACCTTCAGCTTTACATACTCTTTTTAAAAAAAAAATATCATTCCTGAAGTTTTGAGACCCATTTTACCTACTTGAAAACGGAGAAACGGGAGCTAAAATGAGAACTCCAAGTGAAGTCCCTGTTCCAGATAATTGCTTGAGAAAAACACTTTGTCTCACATGACTTTCCTTTTAGTGAATTTGTTTATTTAAAAGAATTTATTTGAGAATCAGAATTTTGTCATTTCCCCCCTCCAGAATTCCTCAAACTCTGTACTATAGAGAAGGTCTTCCTCAATGCTTCTCCAAGAGGCCTTTTGTATTTAAGTGGTTTTGAAATGCTGCACTGCATCCCCTCTAGGAGGCTGAAAGTGCACCTTGGCATATTAAATCAATCCTGCAGTAAATAAACCTATTACGCTGCAAAGCATCTTTCCCCCAAACTGTTTTGAGCACAGTACAGGCACCCTCAAGAACATGCTTAGTAATGTCCTAGAGAAAAGGATTACATTGACCACCAGCTGAAGAAGTACAGCAACATGCCTGATTAGCTATAAGGTTTAGACATAGTTAAATCAGGAGGGATGGCAGATTAATAACTATCACTTACAGCTCAAGGTATAAACGATAGTGTTCTAAATCTCATAAATGAGGAAATTAGGGTTTCACCTAATGATTCATGATAATCCTTGTCAGATTCTGGTTTCTCTGCCTCCTGGGTGTGTGGCTACGGTACATATTAGTGCTGCTCACCATTACTGCCAGCTTTCCTCCTTCTGGGCAATTGGTAGGGTTGTACATTCCCACCCACTTGGAGTTAGGTGTGGCCATGTGACTTATTTTGGCCAATGAAATGTGAACAAGACCCGCTGTGTGTAAGTTAGGAGCAGAGGATGTAAGAGCTGAGTATCATTCTCCATTTCTATCTTTCGCTATCATTGCAACTAGTGAGGTTCCAGATTAGAGGCCGTGTTCCTGAGTGAGGACAACATGGAGCAAATAGATACTCCTTTCTCCAAAACATACACACCAACTCCCACTGGACATATAGGATGACCAAGAAATCCATCTTTTGTGTGTGAAGTCACTGTAATAGAGGGTTTGCATGCTACTTCACACAATCTCCTCGCCTACACTGTGGCCCACCTGCCCACTCATTCCCAATGCTGAGATGCGAATGCCACAGGCACCTCGCTTACCGTACAAGTTGGGGTTCTCAATGTCCATTCGCTGCTTTTGAGCTTCAAGAAAAACACGGATGTTGATTCCTCTGGCTGCTGAGCCACAACCAAGGAATCTGGCTGGGATTTGCATGCAGATGTCTGGCTCATCAGCACCAAACCCCAGATCCAAGAGAATCTCCACTGGATCTATCTCCCAAAATTCCAGCCATTCAGGAATGCTGTGGTAAAAAATATGAATATCTTTATCCAGAAACAGTTAACCCAACACCATTTTTTTCTGGTCACCTCATCCACCCAATCTCCCAGATACTGAGTGAAAGAGGATCCTAAATAGACAAACGGTGCGTGCACTAGCGTTCCTATATACTTACTTAAAGGACTATCTGGCACCCCCACTCAGGGACTGCTTGCCTGTACTTTACATCCAAAACTATGAGTTTACTTAACTGGCTTCCCATTCCACAACAGGCACATGGTAAATTATACAGGGCAGGGAGACTGCAGGACAGATACCAGCCAGAGGCAGTGCACTGACAACCAAAAACAAGTGGTCACTAAAGGCAAGAAATGAAACAGAAAAAAAAAAAAATCCCACAAAACTGTAAACAGTAGACTAAAAGAAGGCTATTTTAATAGAGCACCAGTCTGCAGCATCCTCAGCAACACAGATCTGTCCAGGACATCATTAAATGCAGACTACCAGGACTGATGTTTACAAATAATGACTGTAAGTCCCTAGGTAGAATTAAAATGTGTTCTGTATTATTTTTGTACTTGGCTAAGAAACAAAAAATGCTTTTACCAACTCATTCTAGTCCACTTTGGCACTTTAAATGATAAACATCAATTAGCTGGAAATTATATTTATAATTTTTATTAAAATTTTATATATATTTTTAATTTGATTTGTATATATAAATATCTAAATTATTTAATTTTGTTATAATTATAGACATATTACAATTCTATATTTAATTGTTATATTTATAAATATAAATAGTTATATTATGTATGCCAATTCATGTCTGAACTTTGCCTAAGTTACTGAGCTAACCCAGGAGACTATGGGAGTCTTTCATGGATTCCATGGGAAGCAGACCTTTTGACGAGATTTTACCAGGTTTGCTCAGCTCTTTTGTTGAAGTTTTTGTTTGCCTTTTCTTTACATGCAACAATAATGAGCCTATTTGAGATAGTTTAGATAATTTTACTTCAGTGACTTCCTAATTGAAATTGGATTAACTACAATTCATTTACTTAGCCATTTACACATTCAACAACAGGTAGCTATCTCACTGGGGACGCCCACTTACCAGATACAACCAGCATCATGTTCACACTTTCTTTTTTTTCTTTAATTATTTTGTGTCTCTTTTTTAAAAAAAAAAAACTAAAATTTTTAATTGACAAATAATAATTGTGTGTATCTATGGAGTACAGTGTGAAGTTTTGTTCTATGTATATGTTGTAGAAATATTCAATCGAGCCAATTAAAACACCCACTACATCACTTGTGGTGAGAACATCTGAAATAATATTCTCTTAGCATTTTTGAAATCACAATAAGTTAATATTAACTGTGGTCACCATGCAGTGCAATTGATTATTGAAACTTATAACGTGAACTGGAGATGGCTCCATTTGGATATCTTAATCATGGGATTACCAGGGGAATCAGGAATGCCAATCACTTGATTACACTGACACAGACACCTGAATATAAAGAGGTTCAAGGAAGAAAAAAATTCTGGTGAGAAATCTAAAGTTGCATGAAAGATTTAATCTGTTATCATAGTGACTTCACTGTACAAATGTTTATCCTACCCATTTATACATATATTTATTGAATATCTGTCATGTTCTAGGTTCTATGCTAGGTACACATGGCTCAAAAATGAACACAGTTCCTGCTTTCCAAAGGCTTCAGTCTCTTGACCAAGAATATAAGTATTGATTGGTCATTAAACATATTTTCATATCATCATGAAAATATCATTAACTTTTTAAGTAATACTTAATGGTGGAAGAAATTAGATATACTGACTTTGTTAAAAAATTTTTAATAGTACACAAAATGCTTTCACTCCCCTCAATTATTACCCCCACCAATCCTGACCCTCTTCCAGTTAAACCTATGTGTATCCTTCCAGACATTTTCCTATGCAGTTACATACATGTTTTATGGTTTTCATTTGTTTGCTTTATGTATAGTAACATACTCTATATACCTTCCTGCATCTTGCTTTTTTTAATCTTAAAAAATATGGCATATAGAGCTTTCTAAGCCAATATGTGTATGTCTGACTATGCTTTTTATCACTATATGGAATTCTGTAAAATGAACTGGCCAATCACTCATTTGGCCATTTCCCCATTGACAGATATTTAGTCTGTTTCCAATTTTATTAACTCCTTTAACTCTTTTATATTGTTATTGCAAGATGGGGTTTGAAAATCTTTTATTCATTCTCTCATCCATTCATTCAACAAGTGCCTATTTATAATTTCATGAAATCCATTGTTGCACAGAATGATTTCTCAGGATGAAAAGCACCTGGAAATTACATACCTTTGTGGTACACTTGCAGTAGAATAGCAAGAGTTGAAACTGGTCCCTCTGGATAGGATGGGAGTTTCTGAAAACTGATGCAAAGATCTACAGTTGGGAAAATATCAACAATGAGATGTGTTGATTTAGATAGTCTCCTGGGAGGTCATTGTGAATCTTTTCCTTCCAGAGCAAACATTTGCATTTCCTCTTAGTCTCTAATAATCCCATAATGACCACACCTTTGCAGAAGACAGCTTGCAGTGGAGGAGCTGCTCCTGTTTTCAAGAGCGTTGTATTATAGAAGGTGTAAGAATTTAAGCATTAGGTGCCCGCTAGTGCTCATTATGAAGGTGACAGAATGTCTCACTTTTGACAGATGGCATATCATTGGGGAACCTTTCAGGAACACAGCTTTGCTAGGCACCAACTTTCAGGAAGAAGTTAAAATTATATGCTGAAAGAAGTACAGCCAGCCGTCACTGAAGTGACTCTACATTAATTCTCATACTAGTGAAGGATTTCATATCACATGGCTAACACTCTCTAAGTGCTGTCTCCAGGGCTCCTGTAGCCATCCATATGCATTTCTAACAAACTCCTTTACTATGGAAAAAATGAACATCACTATCCAATAGGCCTGCTTTGCAGATCATTTGAAAGTGCTTCCAAAGAGAGTGGAACCCTGTCATAATATAGTTCAGTTTTATACATATAGCTCAGCTATACCATGGATCACATCTAGCCCCATCAAATATAATAGCCAGTTGGCATATATTTAGAATTTATTAAAAATACAATGCAGATATCAATGTTCCCAAGGAGAACAAGGTATCCTACTTGGGTTGCTAACTTTGTTCTAGCTACATTTGGTAAGAATAGCTGGGCCAGGCATGGTGGCCACGCCTGTAATCCCAGTACTTTGGGAGGCCGAGGTGGGTGGATCATGAGGTCAGGAGTTCAAGAGCAGCCTGGCCAAGATGGTGAAACCCCCTCTCCACTAAAAATACAAAAATTAGCCAGGTGTGGTGGCAGGTGCCTGTAATCCCAGCTACTCGGGAGGCTGAGGCAGCGAATTGCTTGAACCCAGGAGGTGGAGATTGCAGTGAGCTGAGATGGCGCAACTGCACTCTAGCCTGGGTGACAGAGACTCTGTCTCAAAAACAAACAAACAAACAAAAAAAAACAATAGCTGGGCCCTGTCCTTTAATTGCTTCTGTTCTGTAAGGTTGAGAAAGTGTGTTTTTCTGGATAGTAAAAACTCTGCTGTTAACAGACAGTTGAGCTCCTTGAGCCTCAAGGAGAGGCAGAAGATACCCTTTCACTTATTGCCCCACCTCAGTTTTCATTAGGCCTGCCATAATTTATTTTTCCTTCTTTGTTTGAGGGCCACACCTTATTTTGGAAGGTGCAGCAGAGCAACCCAGAAGCAGCCTGCCCTTGGATCCAAGGAGAACCAATACAGAGTCACTGTTGTAATAAAGCCTGGAAGCACGAGTTGGTCACAGAACCTGGCTCTCATTTTCCTCTTCAACAAAGCGAGAGTTGCCTGAGAGATTTCTGTGGTCTTTTATAGCTCTATGATTCTATAAGTAGCAAAAACAACCAATCCTGCAGGAGAAAAATCTATGACAAATAGCATTTTAGGGGTGAATTGGTAGCAGCAGGGGGATGCAGTACTGCAGATTTGGTTTACGACTAGTTGGAATTATCCTGAAAATGCGAAGGTGACAAAAGCGCAGGAAGGGGAGTTCCTAACCTGAAAGAGCTCATAGTCTATTCCAGTGGTTTTTAAAAGAGTGTGGCTGAAAAAGTCATCTGAAGGACATGCACAAATACAGATTTCTGGACCCTACCTCCAAATGATCTGGTTCAGTAGGTCTAGGGTGGGGATTGGGAATTTGCATTTCTATGAAGGTCCCCCACAATGCTAATGCTGGTGTTCTGGGCACCACACTTGAGACCTAGTATTTCCTCCAATGAAGAGACTCTCACTGCTTTCTACCTAGCATTGGAAATTGTATATATTGTTGTCCAGTAAATAGAATAATAATCAATTACATTAGCCAAAATGAAAATATTGAATGCAACTGTTTTATAAACAGGTCCTTATGAACAGTTGCAGTACAGTAGAATGTCATTTATGCATATGTTGTAATTAAATTTTCCCCCACATCAACATTTGTTGATTTAATTTGCTCACAATTTTATGATTTTTAAGGAACCTCTATTTCTCTCAAAGCTGATGTAAACATTCTAGGCACTGTGACTAAACCAGTTACCTTTCACGAGATCCCAAGAGCTATGGCAATATTAAGAAAACTTCCCTACTTCTATTTTATTCAGCAAAGGTGTGGCTGCAAAATATTGGCATGAAGTAACACTGATTCTGCTACCTACCTCATGTAGTCTTTCACAGTCATTTGAACCATCCCTTGTTCATACAAAGAAACTGCAACAACAAAAAAAGTAGAGGGGAACTTTATTTCGTTTTATCTTGCGGAAGATTTTCTCAACCCCAAATGAAACCAAGGTAGAATTGAATTTCCATATCCAAGGTTATATAGGCATGAAATACAAGGCATCACTGCAGTGAATAGACAGAATGAAATTAATGGCTACATGGTATGACAAACACGTGAAGAAATGTACTGGCTCAATGGAGAGGGAAGTCAGTGCTAAATGGAGTATTCAGCAAAGGTTTCATGGAGGAAGTGGTACTTGTCTTGGATTTTTAAGAATGGGAGAATTTGATGGCTGGAAAAGAGGCATTGCCCTTAAAAGACACATTGCCCTTAAAGAGAAAAAAGATGTCTACAGAAAGTGCAAAGCAGAGTGCTAGGGGTAGTCTGATTAGCTCATAGGGCATTTAGGGATGCTCTCTCATGGTACAGGAAGTTGTGAAGTAGTGTGGGGACAGGCAAAAAATAATACATGAAGGGCCCAGCATGTATGAAGCATATTCCCTTCATTTGTATCATCTAATCCTTCCAACAGCCTTAAAATTAGAACCTATCCTCATTTTTCAGATTAGAAACTGAGATTCACAGAACTTTAGTAATGAGCCCATAGTCATACAGTCAAAAGTAGTGCATCTAGGAATTTATTCTTACCTTTATTATTGATTGCAGCAATAACATTGACTATTTAGCACTAACTTAGTGCGAGGCAATGTGCTAAGCATATTACACACACATTCTCTTGTAATTCTCACAACAAATCCCTGAAATAGATATTATTGATCTCCACTTAACACAGAGGAAAACTGAGGCTGAGAGAGATTAAATAAATTTCTCATGGCTAGTAGGATGCTGCAACTTATTTTAGCTTGTTGTTGTTGTTTCTGTAACACCACACTGCCAACAGAGCATCTTATAGCTTATTTGAAAGACAGAAAGAGGAGTGTATATGTATGTGTTAGGACATGAAAACCACGAAAGGTTTTTGAGCAAACAAGTAAATGTGAGAAAGATGATGCTGAATGTTCATTTGCCTGATAGCGGTGCTGAAGACAGAATAGAGGAAATAAATATTGGTTATCAGAGAGGCTTATTCAGGGGCCATTGCAAGATTCAGACCCTGTATCATGATATAAAATGTGGCTGACACGTGCAGAAGAAAATGCTTAGAATATGGGCAAATTCCTCAGAAGGTTCACCAGTGTTCTTATTTCCGCTTACTTGTTGCTCTCCTGGGTGCAAATGTGTGACGTGTGTGAAACTGGGAAGTGTTGCCAAGCTGTATTTCTATGAGAACATAAAGATTTTTACCATAAGAAAGATAATAGAGGTTAGGAGAAATTTTGGAAAAGCAATCCTGAATGATTTAAACATATGAAAGAATACTGAAGAGAATAAAGGGCTAGGGTTCTTGTCTGAGTAGAGGGTCTATGAATAGACGACAGGTACCTGTGAATTTGTCTCTAAATGCCAAATTTTGGGAGTGGAGATAAGAATACCCATCATTTTCAGAAGATTTTCAAAAGGCTTAGTGACCCTGTTAAATGGAAAAAGAAGACTGGTCTAGAAGGATAAAGACTGGAGATGTATTACTGACTTGCAAGTAAATAGTGATTTTTTTTTTTTTTCAGACAGTTCGCTCTGTCACCCAGCCTGGAGTGCAGTGTCGTGATTTCAGCTCACTGCAAACTCTGCCTCCCGAGTTCAAGTGATTCTCGTGCCTCAGCCTCCCAAGTAGCTGGGATTACAGGTGTGTACCACCATGTCCGTCTAGTTTTTTGAATCTTAGTAGAGACAGGGTTTCACCATGTTAGCCAGGCTGGTCTGGAACTCCTGGCCTCAAGCGATCCACCTGCCTCCATCTCCCAAAGTCCTGGGACTACAGGCATGAGCCACCACGCCTGGCAATAGTGGATTCTTAACTAAGCTCAGAATACAGGACTACAATTTAAAGAAGTAGTGAGAAAATAGGTACAGTAATGTCTCTGCTCTACAAAACAAATGTAACTATCATCATAAGAGTCAGGCAGGGTGACAGCTACTCAGGAGGCTGAGGCAGGAGAATGGTGTGAACCCGGGAGGCAGAGCTTGCAGTGAGCGGAGACTGCGCCACTGCGCTCAAGCCTGGGTGACAGAGCAAGACTCCGTTTCAAAAAAAAAAAAAAAAGAGTCAGGCGGGGTGAGAAATAGAATCGATTTTAAAGGTTTAAATAGTGAGTGGGAATATATACGGCCTCTGTGCTATCACTCCCAATGCTACTCCCATGGCAGACATCATTACCAATTTTGTCACTTTTCTTATCCCTTCTTCAGGAAAACCACTACCAACTGATTGGAATTATCACATAAGATTGAGTTATTTACTATCCTTTGTTTAGAATAAATTTCATAAGTGGAATTAAAAAAGAAACAGGGTAAGATGGGGTACATATAAACTTTAGAAGTTGAAAACATAAAGAGAATATATAAATGCTCATAATAAAACATTCTAGGGAGCCATGATCAAGGATGGAATATCAGAGTAAATGACCATTATTAGGAAATAACTGTGATGTTTCAAAAATTTTCCATGTGACATTTGGTGACAAATATTTATGTAAATTACAATAGAATATTTGACTCAAACTTATGCACCAGGTCAGAAATGAACTTAGAATCAGAACACCAGTCTTTTTTTCCCCTTTATCTTCGTAGTTTTAAAACACTAGGTTTTATCATAGGAATTCCACAATAATATAAAATCCTTTGCAAAATTCTAATAATTTAAATAAATTTAAAAAGAGCTGTTCTGAATGTAGTGCTCTTCCACTTAGCTCTTCCCTCACCCGTGAGGCACCTTCAGGAGCCAGAGTTTGAAAACTACCAAGTCAATACCCAATTCAGCTAGGCAGGCATGGCTAATCCATTGCGGCATTCTTGCTCACTGCACCCAACTCCATCTCAGAGCTTCTGAAACGCATAAAACCACTGCCAATTGATTGAAGTTGTCAGATGAGAGAAAGCCCATTTGCCACCTTATTAATCATGTCATAGATGCAAGCACCGTGTAATTTTTAGGTGATCATATTGTAATAACTTGATGCCACAATGAATTAAATAATAAGTTGCCTAAATGGAAGATAAAATATTGTTTCAAGCAATTTTTAAAATATTTATTCCTGCCTCCTTCCTACCAGCAGCAGTTCTATCTACTACTTTGCATGTAACTCACAAAGTAAGGCCTCCATTTGTGCCTGGTTTAGCTCTTCGAGATGATTCTGGAGAGTTTTTGAACACCCATTTTCACCTAAAACATTGCATGGTTCTAGGACATTTGGCTGCATATTCTGCCAGCACTGACATTCTTGCCACTGCTTTGGTCTTTTTTGTTTGCCTGCTATTGCTCTGGGTTTCCTAGAATGTGTGAATAAACGTGTACATCAGGCCAGGGATCTGGCCTTGTAGCCACAGTGCATTGCACGAACTGTCAGAGAGGAAATGATCCGTTTTCAGATATTGATGAGAAGAGTTAGCTCAGCCTTGCTGAGTTTTCAAAAACCCTAGCCCTGCAGAAAATCGAGTCATCCAGAAAACCCAGTCATCCAGAATCTGGAGCCCTTCACCCAGGGCTTCTTGAAGGGATTCTAGTGCCCACCAGATCTAGAGGATACACTCCATGGACCACGCCCTGTGTCCTGTCACTTGATCAGGAGCAATCTGATTGCTAGGGAGCCAAGGGCACTCTCCAAGAGAAAAAGTCCCTAATGGTAACATGTTTGCTAGGGAATGTGCAAAGTGGACCATTTGGGTCATGGTCTGATGACACATATGAAAGCCTTACACAGTTTTAGAACCAGCTGGGGAAAGGGCTTTCTTGCCTTTCACAGTACAACTAGCATCCTGTGGGGCCCAGCAGTCACCAATAATTAGAGGATGTCAGGTCGGGTGTCTGACTCCCCTCACTGGAATCTCACCCTCCTAGATGTACAAATGCAGCTATCAGACTCCTGTACTTTTTTATTTTTTATTTTTTTGAGATGGAGTCTTGCTCTGTCACCCAGGCTGGAGTGCAGTGGTGTGATCTCAGCTCACTGCAACCTCCGCTTCTCAGGTTCAAGTGATTCTCCTGCATCAGCCTCACTAGTAGCTGAGATTACAAGCATGTGCCACAACGCCTGGCTAATTTTTTTGTATTTTTAGTAGAGACAGGTTTTCACCATGTTGGCCAGGCTGGTCTTGAACTCCTGACCTCAAGCTCTCTGCCCACTGTGGCTTCCCAAAGTGCTGGGTTTACAGGTGTGATCCACCACAGCTGGCCTATTACTTTCTCTTCTTGATCTTGTTTCAAATGATACAAGTGTCTGTCTAAAGACAGTACATTCAGACATACAGCCTTCTCTGCTGCTGAGCTTAGATTTTGGAGAAAACCAAGGCAAGGAAAACTGAATATGATTTTTTAAACTCACAAGATGAACCTCATTTTAAAAGTTGTTATAAAATTATTAAAGATAGTTTTATTTTTTGATTTCCATTTTATGTTCTGGGCTCCCAGGGTCCCGGGAGACCAAGGGGTATTTTCACAGCGTTACTGTGAGTTTACTTCCTGATCATTGCAGAAGCAGTGATAGCTTTTTCCAACATTTAGACTCAGGCAGTTGGGAGCCTTGCACAGGGAAATAAGAAACTATTATTCATTGTATGTTGGGTGGTTGTTTTGTTTTGGTTTTCCCCATTTTGTTAATTTGTAAGGTAAATTTCCCGGGACCTGAGGATGTGTTTGTCAGGGCCAGGTCCTGCTTCCCTTTGCCTGTTCTTAATAATGAACTTGAATGGAGAAGTGCAAGCTGGTGGCTCACAATGTGCCAGTTCTCACAGGGATTGGGGTTGCTAGACTTTCCTTAAAACTTGGAAGAGCCAGCAGCCCCGGCCCAGGTGTCTTCAGGGCAGCAATCTGTTGAAGGCAACCTGCTCTCCAATTTTCTGCCGTCGCTATCCCACTTGCTTCTATCATTAGCAATTACCTGTCTGGCTCCAGGAAGCATCTGAGTCTGCTACCTCAGATCAGAGCAGGAAGCTCACGCCTAGGGAATGCCATCACAGGACAGACAAACTACTCCTGCTACCTGGATTTTCCCAGGTTTCTGCAGGCACCAGGCTTGAGACTGCCCCAGGTAGTATACATGTGTACCTGTACCGCCAACACAAGACCGCTCGCTAGGGTCTTCCTCAATTCTATACTTGCTTCTCTAGTTGCTTGGTTTTGATATTTTCTCTATTTTTTCCCCTCCAGGATACCCTGGTTAGGTTTTTTTAAACCAGATTTTACTCTCTAAGAGTGTTTGGGGAGGGAGAAAGAAAAAAACAAACACTAAGTCCTACTATCCCCAAGTTTCCTAAGGGTTTGGAGAAAAATTAAAGTGAGAAAAAAATTTTTCCCACTCTATTTGATACATCTCCTTCCATGGGTTAAAATGTCAGTTTTAACTCCCTTTTAGATACTTGAGTCTCCAGCCACCCTCCCCACTGTTAGGTGGACTTCTGCCATCTGAAGCAGCAGACACCGCACTTAACCCTGCAAAATGTATTACTGGAGAAGATGTAGTTAGATATGCAGAAGGCACTAATTAGCACCTTTATTGGCTTAGAAAGCATTTTTTATTTTGGTTTTCCTAAGCATTTCTGACTGATTCATGGAAGACATTTGGTTCTTTGGAATATCGTCCAATAGACTAATCAAATTACATTTTCGCAGGGCTCTAAAATAATAGCATTCTACAGCTTTCTGTAGATTTAACTCCTGCATGACTGGGACACTTAGTAGAGGCAGTCAGCAACATTTGTCTCAGTTGGCAAATTATTAATCTATGTTCTTATTTAAAAGAAAGTCTCTTACACTCTGCTGACATTCATGCTCAAAACCTTAAAGCCCATTGGAATGCTTTGCTCTTTTTCACCCACTTGTCTGTTTATTTCCAGATATCTTTGACCCTTCCTCCCCATTCCACTGCCGCCCCCTATTGTAAACCCTCGTCACCTCAAGCCTGAGTTCATTATAACTTCTTCCCAACGTGTTCCCCCTCCCCACTGCCAGGATAAACACTGCATCTGTCATTCCTCTTCTCACTACAGTGAGTTCAGGACTCACTATAATAGAGCTGGCAAATGTGTAACATGCTTGCTTCAACTCCCACAACACCACACCTGCGACAGTTATCACTAATTATTATCACAAATTATTCACGACCTTTTCAGGTGAACAAAGATAGGGTGTCAAAATCCTGCTCAGCCCAGACCACAAGTACAACTACCTCTCCATTTGAACTGGAACCTGAGATGACACTCCAGTGTCATCTCAGCCCTAAGACATCAAGTGTTATTCCCTCTTTCTGGATTTTAAAAGTTATAATATGACCTCATCCTATCTAACAGAAACATTTCTACCATTGCTCCCTAGCATGAAACCATTTCTTTCATCTGATCACCTTCCATGTGCTTTTCTGCACATATTTAGCTTTCTTCTCATTTCTGTGCCTTTGTTCAAACCCCTATTGCTTCCAGCAAATTAATTTTTCTTGCTTTGCCTCTTTGTTTTTTAAAAACCATATTCCTCCTTCATTTACTAGTTTCAGTCTCACCTCTTTTGAGGAGACTTCCCAGTCTGACAATATCTTCATTATGTTTTACTGAGCTCCTTTTGTCGACTAACTTTGGGGAAATCAGATAATTTACAGATGATTCCGTCTCAGTGGGGTTTATAATTTTGTCAGTGAAATGGATGATATCCCTAACAATTTGAGGCAGCACTGGCCAAGAGCCACATGGGTAGAACCCAAAATGCATGTTAGTGGTGTTCAGAAGAAAGATTCAGTATCAGTGCAGAAGTCAGGAAGGTCTTATGGAGAATATGGGACCTGGGTCAGGTCTCAAAAGAAGGAGAGGAGAACAGAACAGAAAGAAAGACTTTAAGACAGGAGGAACAGGATGAAGAAAGATAAAGAACTAGGAATATAATGAGAAGGAATAAGACTAGAGGGTCTTGTAGAAAAGTTGATGTAGGTTACATTTGAATTATAATGATCCTGGACAGTTAGAGTGACATTCTGGAGAACAAGAGTCATATATTTTACATCATTGTTCCCTTCACCTAAAACAGATCATTGTTGTGAATATTGTCACCTGACAAGCAGTAAGGGAACATCTGTTATGTTTACTTGGATTTACTTTGACTTTTTCTTATAAAATAGACCAGAAAATTTATATTTTTTATTTTATAAGTTCCTATTCTGAAACAAATTCCTTTTGAAAAGAAATGAGTTTATTCTTCTGAGACCTCTCTGGGGATGGGAGAAGAAATAACTAAATATATAAAAGACACATGAATTAACCTATCAAGTAGTAACTGGCACCAAGCATATCTTTGACAGAAACTGTCTTTTTGCTGTAGGAGTTACTTCTAGTCTTTTCACTCACAGTTATGCTTGGATGTGTTGTTAAACAAGTGCTAATTATATAAACCTACATGTTAAAATGTGCACTCATTGTATGTGTCTTATCCTTGCATTATAATGACAATGCACTCTCACTCGCATTATAATCCTGGCATTGTAATGACAATGCATATCTCAGCCAGATAGCACTGATGTTTAATTTGTTTTCTGGTGGGGGAAAGAGTTTGCTATGAACCAGATACTCTCTCCAGGCTTTTTTTTTTTTTTTTTTTTTTTTTTAAATACATAGCTTTCATATGGAATCTGAGATTAAGAATGAATTTGCAGCCTGGGAAGAGGGACCTTAACATCCATGACCATGGGCTCTTTAACACCACTATTGACCTCAAAAAGACTCTGAATGTTCTATCTTGTGTTTGTGGTTACAGGAAGGTCTATGGATCCATATTCATCCCAAACTGAGACTCAGACATGTTTGCTTGTGTAGTTGGTGACCATGAAGAAGAGTTAATCTGCCCACAGAGGTGGTAGTTCTTAGAAAGGGAAAAGAGAAAGAAGTTGAAGGATGCCCATGAGGCTCTTTTCTGTAAGTCATCCAGGTGCCCTGAACAGACAACGCCCTGGAGATGAGACTGTCAGGCCACGCAGCTAAGATGCCCTAACATTTGCCAGAAGACAGAGCAGAAGATGAGAGTCCATCCTTTGGGAAGTGCTTCAGTGAGACTCACAACGTAAGCAGCAACGGCAGCTGTCCAACCTTTTGCAGTTATTGAAATTCATATAGAAAGAAGGGGCACAGGAAGGCATCTGTCATAGCTAAAGGGAGAAACCCAAATCATTTCTATCAGCAAATGAGCTTGGGTAAGCAATGTTTTATTGGAAGAGATTTCAATACCCCAAGTGGAGAAGTCTCAGAACAACAGGTCCAGACTCTGCCCACAGCTTCAGGAAGGCTGGGGGAAGGCACCATATGCCTCAGTACATCTCAGCCACCAATCATTCCCATCACACCTGGCTGCAACAGCTTTCATCTCCTGAAGAGAAAATCCTCTTTGCCTTCACTTTTCTTGCAGTTGTTATTTCAATTAACTGCTCCCTTTCACCTCTCAACTCCTCAAAGCAGTTTTCTGTTTTCTGTCTCCAATTCTTCTACTATCATTCCCACTTGAAAACTGTACAATCTTCTCCCATCTTTCCTCTGAAATAGCTCTTCTCAAGGTTACGGTGTCGTTCCTGCTCATACATAGTCAATTAACAACAGCTGATGGGGTTGATCATTCCCACCGTGACACACTGATTTCACTTGCCTTCAGACTCTTCTCTTTTGGTTCCCTTTTTACCTCATTACCTACCTCTTCTCCTTTGCTGGTCCTTCACATCTTCCTGGCCTCTTCTTTGTCTGCATTTACTTGTGTGGTCTTCCGTCTTTAACACATCTACCCATCAGCTACTCCCAAATGTATATATCTATTCCCGGACCTTTCCTCTGAACTCCAGATTTGTATTTCCAACTACCTACTCAATAGTACCTTCTTGGATATTTATTAAAATTTGAATCACGACATGCCTAAAATTGAACTTCCTATCTCTGAAGCAAAGCCCTATCCTTCTATTGTTTTTCCCATCCCAATAAATTGCCACTCATTCTTCCAGATGCTTGGGCAACATTTTTGCAGTCATCTTTGATTTCCTTCTTTCTTTGATATCCCACATACATTCACCAGCATATGCTGCCCTGTCTACATTTTAAACATAACCAGCATCCAACATTTCTACAATTGCTACTAGCCTTGTATAGCCCTATCCTCTCTCCTCTGGATTACTGTATTAGCCTCTGAACTGGGATCCCGCTTCAACCCTTTCCAACCTCCTCCTCCCAAAGCCAACTCTGTGAACAGCAGCTAAAGTTGTTCTTTTAAAAAGAACCAAGATAATACCACTTCTTTGTAACACTTTGAAGGGTTCCCTTGTGACACTGAGTAAGAGCCAAAATACTTACAGGGATATACATAGCCCTAAATGATTTGGCTTCTGGATAATTCTTTAACCCCTAGCCCTCTACTCTCATCTTTGCTCACTTAACTGCAACCATTCAGGCATCCTTGCTATTCCTGGAACACAGAGGACATACTCCTGCCCCTGGCTTTGCATATGCCATCTTATTTTCCTGAAACAGCTCATCCCCAGATAACAAATGTTCCCCTCCTTCACTTCTTTCAGGTAGCTGCTGAAATGTAACCTTATTTGAGATGCCTTTCCTGATCATCCATCCTCCTAGCATATTACATATGTATTTATTTGTTTATTGTCTCTATCACTATTGCATCTATTTTCTTCAGCATTCTCAGTACTAATGGAAAGCCTGGTTTTAGGAGGCAATCAACACATATTTGCTAAATACTGAAGACAGGAATAAAAGGGAATCTGTCAGAAACTTCGTGTTCCTGTGGGCAAGGAAATAGAGCTGATGTCATGTTTGTTCTTCAGTCTTCAGTCTCCAGCCTAAGTCTAAGGCTCAAGGGGAGATATGGGCTGCAGGAAGAAGCTGAAAAATTACTTTCATCATGGGTTTTATGTGACATAAAATACTAGTAATGCTGCCTAAATCTCCAGATGATAGTCATGTAGTATAATGGACATCAGTGTTTCTTTTTTTTCTGAGACAGAGTCTCACTCTGTCACCCAGGCTGGAGTGCAGTGGCATGATCTCTGCTCACTGCAACCTCCACCTCCAGGGTTCAAGCAATTCTCCTGCCTCAGCCTCCTGAGTAGCTGGGACTACGGGTGTGCACCACCATATCAGGCTAATTTTTTTTTGTATTTTTAGTAGAGACAGGATTTTGCCATGTTGGCCAGGCTGATCTTGAACTCCTGGCCTCAAGTGATCTGCCCACCTTGACTTCCCAAAGTGCTGGGATTACAGGTGTGGGCAACTGTGTCTGGCCATGGAATATGAGTGTTTCTATACAAATTCTGCAATAAGTAGAGCACCATAAAAGCTCAAAGGCAATGATGGTGGTTCCCAGAGGAGCAGAAGAAGAACATGATGCTCAGAAAGTATTGAAATGACTTGTCTATGTGGTGATACCAAGAGGATTCTATTGGAGTAGTAGCAGGGGCAGTGGAAGGGAGCTCATTTATGAAAATATTTGAGATAGCTAATAACTCCCAGAAATACTTAGGGGGAGATATTTCTTGTGTCACCAAGAAGAGGGCAATAATCCAGCAAAATTTAGGTACCAATGTTATTGTAACCTAATTTGTACCTATAGACTGGTGAAAATTGAGGCAAATTTTAGTTATAGGAGTTATTTATAGGTGAATTTCAGCATAGCTTTATACTTCTTTCTTACTATTAGAACTGTTTCTAAGTAGTAATTTTGCTTTGAATTAAAATCTACTCTATGTGCCTCTATATTTTAGTGGCATTAAAACCTTAAATTTAGAGAGCATTCTTTTCTGCCACCCAAAATTGGCTCACAGAAGTAAAGAAAAGTTAGAGATAAACTTAATGACAATTGATTTACACCAGTGTGCTGTCATTGGCGGTATGCTAGTTTCTGGTTAAAAGAGCAGGAACTTTGAAATCAGACAGACTTGAATTCAAATCATCTCTATCTCTTATTGAGGGTGAAAAATACCTCTTTCTGAGGTGAGAATATACTCAAGATCTACTCTTTCAGACAATTTTAAGTACAAACTACATTATTACTAATATAGTCACCATGCTGTACTTAAGGTCTCTAGAACCTAGTCATCTTATAACTGCAAGTTTATACCCTTTGACCAACTTTATGTATCTTTTTAAAGCTATGAATATAGACACTTTACTGACATAAAAAAAAAGTTAGTATTGCACCACATCAAAAGAATTGAACTCCAGAGGACTGTGTTGTGGTCCCAAAGGGCTGATGCATAAGAGTCAGAAGGCCTGGAGGGAGAAGTGCCAGTGACTTACCCACATTGCCCATGCTTTGACTTGTCTAACAGGGATGTGGATGGGGTATCTTAGCCTATTTTCTGCTGCTATAACACAATACCGCAGACTGAGTAATTTATAAAGAAAAGAAGTTTATTTGGCTCACAACTGTGGAGGCTGGGAAGTCCAAGATCAAGTGGCTGCATCTGGTGAGGGCCTTCTTGCTGTGTCATTCCATGGTGGAAGGCAGAGGATAAGCAAGCACACAAGAGAGAGAGAAAATGGGGACCAAACCCATCCTTTTATCAGGAGCCCACTCCCGTGATAATTAACCCAATCCCATGATAAATAACTCACTCCAGGATAAGGGCATTAAACCATTCATAAAGGCAGAGTCCTCAAGACCTAATTACCTATCAAAAGTCCCACTTTTCAATGCTGTCACTATGGTGATTAAGTTTCAACATGAGTTTTGGAGGGAACATTGAAACCACAGCACAGAGCTTTCCTTCCAGGGGTTTCCACGCATAACACGTGTAGTAAATGTTATTAGTCTTCCAGAGGGAGAGCATGGCTATACAGACAGACAGATCTAAGCTGAAAATCTCAACTCCAATACCTACTAACTGGGTGGCTTTTGTCAAGTTACTTTACCTTTCTGAGCCTCATTTTCCTCCACGTAATATTTACCTCAAAGGTGGTCTGGTAAGCAAGATAATGTATGTATAGTATCTAGCATGTGCATCCTCAGTATGCATTAATTTTCTTCCCCTCCAAGTTCTACTGATGAAGAGGCTGAAGTGCCAAGGGCTTTACCTGGCTTAATTGTGGTAAACAAGGTACAAAATGGGCCAACCAGATTCCCGCTTAATAAAAATGAGATTTGAGATTTTAGGTAGCTGCAGATGACCATGACAGCCAGAGAGTCATCATAAAAGGCCAAGCCTCATGTTGGCCATCATAGAACCCAACAGGAAACCAGGAACAGGACCACTGAAGCCTTATCCCAACTATCTATGTTATTTGGGCCCAGTCCAAAGGCTGAAGACTCACTAGAATGCTTTCTGTGGGAAGCACTGGGTCACCTGTAAGATGAAGACACTTAGATCTTGCTGCTACCTTAGTGTACAAAGCCTCAGAAGTGATTAATAAGGAAACCAGCCTTAGAATGAATTCTAGTTAGTTGACTAGAGTCCCCTGGAATTTCATGTCCACCTGGAATCTCAGAATGTGCTGTTATTTGGAAATAGGGTCTTTGTGGATTGTTAATTAGTTAAGATGAGATCATACTGGATTACATAGGATCCTTAATCCAATGACTGGTGTCTTTATAAGAGGAAAAGACTCACAAGGAGAAGAAGCCATGTAGAGATGAAGTCATAGAAAGGAGTTATGTAGCTGCAAGCCAACGAACACTGAGGATTGCCAAAGCCACCAGAAACTAGAAAGAAACCAGGAGGGATTCTTCCCTAGAACCTTCAGAGGGAGATCAGTCTTGGTGACACCTTGATTTTGGGCTTCCAGACTCCATAACTGTGAGAGAATACATTTCTGTTGTTAAAACAACAGAACTTGGTGCTTAAAACCACCAAGTTTGTGATAATTTGTTACTGCTGCCCTAGGAAATTCATGCGTCACTCTACATTTTATCAGTATTTTATGAGTTTTGACAGGATTTTCCCTCCAAAAGTGACTTCTTTTCTTCCTCCTCTTTGGGTCCTTTTCATCTCCACAGTTTTTCTCCCTGTCACCCTTGCCATGACCTCCAGGTCCCCAGTTTCTGGTACTGTTCTAGCATCCACCATTCTCAATGTGTCTCTCAGCTCCCCCAAGCTCAGTGCAGCTCTCTCATCATGGCTGAAGCCAGCATGCAGTGGGGCTGATATTAATAGAAGGCCAGGCCTCCATTCCTCCACCTGCCTCTAACCAGCTGTGACCAACAATCATGGCACTTGACCACTCTGTGCCCCAGATTCCTCATCTGCAACAAACAGACGAAACAAACCATGCTACCACACAGGCCATGGAGTTTAAAATATGATCGATGAGAAAGGGCCTTGTACAAGCGAAGGCTCAGTTAAACGTGTAAGAAGCTATTCCATTTTTATTAAAAATCTTGCTGAAGATAAAGGACCTGGCAAATCAAGACTGTGTTTCTGATCTCGGAGCCATATCACTATCCCAATTTTCCTCCAGGTCTTTACTTCATGTCTGTGCCTTTCCAGTTCATTGACTTGGTTCAGAAGAGGAAGAGCTGTGATTTGTCTTTAATTTCTGGGAAGTGAAGCTTTTAGTATGGTTACTGATGACTCCAGAACCAGTGCCAGGCCTCTCACCACAACCGGGGCAAGAGAAAACATTAGGGGGATATGAAATGCTGGCTATTTTTCTGAAGTTTTTGCTTTTCCTTGAGTCTGAATTATTATGAGCAGAGAGGTACTTACATTTGATTTATTGGCAAAAATCTTTACAGTATTTGGCATCATGGAACTTTTATATTAGAAAAAATAAAGAAGGTTGGTGAAAAGGGAAATTTCAATGATACATATAGGTTTTCTTTTAAAAGTAGTAAAAAAATTCAAAATTTAAACTGATTTGTAGCCAACGGTCAGTCTTAATGTAAGATGGCAGTAGAGGAAGTGAAATAATTAAAACCAGCAAAGTAAGTGACTATTAGACTAATAATTTTTTCATCTAACCATTAAGTTCCTAATTTATGTCATTTTTTCACACAAATTCTTCACAATATTTCATCCATTTTGAAACATACTTTTTCACATTTTAACACCTGTGAAATCAAGATACGTATTACAGTCAATATTGCCTTCTGTTTGTAATTGCCAGGTTTTGTTTTTTTTTTCTAAATGGTACTTAAAATATGAATGCATTTTATAATTGAAGGGTCTTAGATTCTATAAAATATGATATTGCATTTAATGAAGATGGAAACTGTGAGTCCTGTAATTAAATTTCTTTTTCTTTTTATACTGCTTTTATCAAATCTCAGTGAAACAAGTGTGATACATTTTCTCCTTCAGAAATACTTGTACTGTTTGCTTTAGAATTCAGACATTTATTCTTCTTGAGAACAAGTGCATTATTAGAAAGAGAGAATGTAAGTGCAATTTTGAGACCAAAGAATAGAAAAAATCTAGATTCAGAAATAAAAGTATAATACAGGATGGGGAAAATTAAACAATTTCATTTTCATAACTACATCCTTGCAAATGTCTTCATAGAACCCAGTGAGTTTATGCTATACTCTGAGCCATTGATGATATGGCAAGAGCCCTGGGTTCGGCCCTTAACCTGCTGCTGGGGAAGCACCTATCATTTTTGTCGCAGTCATATGTCAAATGAAGAGATTGAGCTGGATAGTTTTTGAGGGCTGATCATTTCTAGAAGCCTCTGATAATGCTCATTTTAAGAAGATTTATTCACGTAGATATTTGAATATATCTCCTACTCAGCTTCCCAAAGCATAACTGCTTCTCTTGTCTTACCAGTGCGGTCAATGACTTGTTGAAAGTTTTCATTTGCAGAGACACTGTAAAGAAACAAAAGTATTGTGAGTCAAACAATGTGTGTAAATAAATTATACTAAATTACTTTTTAATTAAACAGGTGAGAGCAAATGCAGAGTTAGGTTTTAGTAAGAGAGGACTTTTAGAAACCAATAAACAGTCAGGGACTAGAGTAGTATTTTATTTTGTAGTTTTAAACTGATACATAGTTTTTACAATAATAGAATAATACTTCACGTACAATTAAAATGAAAATCCCTACACTTCCCCGACCTTGCCCAGGCAGAGTTACACACATTGTTTTCATGGATCTTTGCAAGAGAAACATGTAAGGCACACACACACAAAAACACTTACAAGAATCCAGAGTCCAGCCACTGCTGAATACTTTCTTGCTTGGAATCTTCTACAAGTAAGAAAGAACAGATCAGTTAGTCAAAGCACAACCAGCTAAAAGGATGCTACCCTGTTTACTCAGCCGCCACTCAGTCACTATTTCCCACATATTTAGTCACATGTTTCCTTCCATAAGCATATTCATTTTTTTTCCTGAAGGCAAAATCTCCTGTTTTCCATGATCAGCCTTTCCTGAGAATGAAGTGTAAACTTGTCAAAAGACTGTAACTTAAAAAAAAAGAAAGAAAATGTGAGAGAGAAGAAAAATAAACCACTGAAGAACGAGAGATGTTAGAATAATTTTTAAATTACCTGGTGTGAATACAAAGGGTGAGAAAGCATAAGAGACTTTTGTCTTTCTCTTGTTGGATATAAATCACCACAAAGCCTCTCCTTATTGAATCACATTTACCTAAGGCAGCCAGCCAGTGATGGTTATTTGCAAGGAGTTCTCTGCCAGGTTAGAAACCAAATTTGCATTCATTCCAGGGACAAATTGCACTAGAGTCCCTGGATTGCCAAAGGCACCCTGTGTTAAAAAGGCACCAGTCTTTTAAGGTGGATCTTTATCATTGGCTCAACAAATAGTCAACAGGTAAAAAGGAGAGGATGTAAAGCAGCATTTCCTGTTAAATATTTGTTTCCATTCTGCTTAGCAACTGTGTACTCTAGGCTAATTTTGTTTGACTTTATCCTATCAAATAGTGAAGTGCCTGAATTATCTCCCTCACAAGGTGTCAGGTGAACCATAAAAGCCAGGTGGACACAGGAGGTCTGTATTGTTCTTCAGTTGAACTGCTGTGAAGTTAGAAGGAATTGGGCAATGGGCAAAGAAGAAAAACCATTCAACAGTTACATAATGGGGGCAGGGAGTGCTGGAAGTATTTTCTTACTTATTACTCTTTAAATGATTAAAATTTTTGTCAATGCCTCCTGCAGGATCCAACAAATCAGAGTTTTTCAATAAAATGTTTGATGACCTGAAAGAAGCCTCATGCCCAGACCCCACACAGCTTCAAAGTCCTGGGAACTTAGGATGAGGGATGTTTGGAGTGGAAAGGAAGCAGAGTTCATTCATTAATTGGTCTACTTCTTTCAAGGAGGTCTGTGTCCTGATGTCTATAGCAGAAGTCAGAAGTGCCCATTTCATAAATGTTTCCGGCATCATGCCAGGAACACTGGTATATTCAAAGCCAAATACTTTTGTTCCAAAATCACCTGCCCCTGGCCAAAAGCTCCCACATCCCTCACCACTCACAGAGGAATGTTTTCAAATAGGCCTGAGAGTCCTTCTCACCCAGCATGGGGATGGTGAGACTCTGGCTTTCCTCCTCAGGGTCAGGGGGCAGCCACTCATCCAGCGGAGCCCACGCGCTTTTGGTGCACTTCAGGATCTCTCTCTTGCTCTTTTCCTGGCCTTCCTGAAGGTTGTCAGATCCTTGTGATTTCTGTGCCATCATAGGAGAGTAATTCTGCAAACTAACTTAAAACACACACACACAAACAAATCAGACACGATGAGTTCAGCTTCTGGGCTTGGCTCAGTGAAAGGGAGAAAGAAGGCCAGAATGCCTACAGTCAGATGAATGATCCAGCTTCACAGTCATACATGAACCTGGCTCACCCACCTGAGCCAAGCTCCCTGTCTCAGTTTGGTGAAATGCTTCCTTCCCTCTCCAAGGCAAAGCAGCCTGGGACTCAAGTGGCCATGCCAGTCATCAGACCACATGCGCACTCTGCACTTTCACTTTGGTGGTCTGGGATGTGGACGGAGAGCAAAGAAATTAGACTTGAGGACACACCCAGTAAATAGCCTTCAAATTTACCTAACAGTTATATCTATAAAATTATTTTTGAGGCCCAAATGTTGGAGAAAAATGAGGGCTTTGGCAACAGATTGGCTTGGCTCAGTCTCATTTCTGCAACTTGTTGTGTGCCCTCACATAAACTGTAGAACCTTTCTGCATTCCCTTATTTCTAAACTGGCGATACACTCTACCGAATTTTAATAACTGTTAACCTCAGTGGAATACTTATTATGTGCTAGATTCTATGCTGAATTCTATACATTCATTATTTAACTTAATTGTCAATGAAGGAAGTAATATAATTGTCACAATTTTATGGTAAATTGAAGACCAGAGAGATTAAGTTGCATGTCCAAAGCCAAACAGCCAGCCAGGACTCAAAACCAGGCACTGGACCTCAAGCATGTTCCCATGACTATGCTATATATCCTATAGGATGGCTGGGACAATTAAAATATTTATGAATATATTACACACCTTGCACAAAAAGTATCAGCTGCCCCCATTATTTAACTTGACCTTCATGAACAACCTGTAAAACTAGCAGAGTAAGAGCAGGACACAGCAGCTTAGCGCAGCAAAAGAAATTGTTCGGTCTCCGCAGACTATAAGCACCATGAGAACAAGGGCCATTCTCTTACTCATTTATGTATCTCTAGAATTTAACTGGATTTTTGGCACATAGTAGGTGGTGAATCAACAAATACCAAACTAAAATAGCAAAGTGAGGTTTCAAGCCACACTTTCTGATGCAATTACTTCCATGACATATGCTTTAATTTGCATTCGTTTATCCTTCAAGTTTACAGAAATGGCCAAGTAGCCAAACACTTACTTCAGTAGCATTTCTAGGATCCCTAAACTTAATGCATAATCACTGATCACATGACATGTAAATCATTTCTAATCTGTTTGCAAAAGGCAAACCATTCAGATTTATTACAAATGTAAATATTTTCTTTCAAGAATAGGTGAGCGTTCTAGATGCAACTGGCAGCACAATTTTCTTACGTGCTTTATATATTCAAATTCTGTCAGGTATAAATATATACATTTATTGTTGCAATTTTAAATTACTACAAAAATCAATAATTATGATGGCTGTCAATTTTATGTTAAAAAACAAAAATGAAGACATTTCAATTAGTTAAAAATTAAGGGAAAAAATAGTTATATCTATATTAACAGTCAATATTTTAGCCAGTTAACTTTAGGAATATCTGCTGGTAGCAAATTATAAAAATTTCAGTAATAACACAAGACAGAATAATGCAGACTGAATTATGTTCCTAACCTTTGGAGAATTGTTTGGTATACTAGAATTCATAACATTAAACAAAATAACCTTTAAAAACTCACTGAAATTTTAGTTATTTAGCTTCACATAGGTTTTGGGTCTTTCAAGGAAACACATAACTCTTCAGCAGTGCCTTTATCTTGTGAGCATGAATGCTAATAACAGCATCGACACTGACAGTGCAAAATTTCACAAGGAGGAAAAACTCCAAAACCATGCTCAACAACATTCATGAAATACCAGATTCAATAAAGGATCAAAAGGTTTGAAGAAAAGAATAACATATCACAGAAAAATAAGATCCCCAAAATAATCTCACTCCTTCACTGATTTTGGCTGAAAGTGAGTTTCATTTAGAATGGGAGAGTTTGCACTGTGGAGGAAACAAGAAGCTATCAGGTAGCTGATAGTATTCAAATTGCTGCTTCTGTATCATAATGCCAAATTTTAAGTTAGTGACTGCTTTTTCAAATGTAACCCTGGAGAAAATTGTTAAAATTTTAGGTAAAAGTGCTGCTTTATTTGTACGTCCCCAAACTTCCATCTTATAATGAATGGCATACTTGACCTCAGCCTCCAGCCTTACACAACCAGTGAGGATATTCTGTCTGCCAGCTCTGTTGTACTTGGCCACAGAGCAGGAAAAAGGCTTGCCAAAGAAAATGGGAACCCTTGCTAAAAGCAAGGGTCAGGGACCAGTTCATAAAGAAAACCTCTTTTGTTCCCCCTGTTTTAGTGGATGCCTTCCCAGTTGGTAAACAAATCTGCTTCTGGAAATGGATTTTCTAAAGCTTGAATGGCCTTCCTTTGGCATTCACTTACTTGACCCCCAGAGCAGCCCTTCGGAAAGGGACACAGATCAGGTGGTATCCTGGAATTGCTCAGTGGATAGACAGGGCACAAGTTATGGCATGTGACTGCCTGCAGACTTCTCTAGTTAGTCTGTCCGCCCCAAGGACCATTTCGAACCTAGTTCTTGCTAATTCTTTGACTTGTCCCCAAGAGGAATCCTCATTCTGGATCATGTCATTCCATGCCTGGGGAATCCAGTAACTTCTGTCTCTTCAAATCCCTTCTACTCTGATTACTATGCTGTCATTTATCCTCATGTGTATACAAAACTTCTACTCATGTGGGAAATTGCATATAGTATCACGTTTAACCAAAAAAAAAAAAAAAGAGGATGCAAAACTGTATATGCACTAAGAACTCAATTTTGTAAAAACTAAATAAACAAATGCCTTGAAAAAGGAAAAAAAAAGGTACCAAAATGTTATCAAGGTTTAAAAATGTTAAAAATAATCAAAATCAGAAAAAATGGCTCTGTTACATTAATTCTACTTCACATTTTCTTAACTTGAGCAAATTCATCCATACATGCTCCTTTTCACTGTGAAGCTTTAGAGCCACAGTGAAATCATAAAACTTGGTGCTTTGACACTTAAAGCAGTGACAATGATTACATTCTTGTCCTCTGAGTTATTTCACTTTTTGTATCTTTATGCAAACAGGTTTTCTTGCCAAACAGGTTGTTCATACTAGGAGAATACAGACTGTGTTTTATTTAATCTCTGTTCCCCATAGATCCCAGCACCTTTGACCCAAGGTAACTAATCTTTATTAGTAATTGCTTGGTTACTTGGGAAAGGAGCATTCAGTTGGCTTTGTCAGCTTTCTTAGTTCTTGTCTGGTTAAAAGAGCAAGTGCTTTCAGGTCAGATAACTCTGGATTTTAATATCAGCTCTGCTGCTTTCTGACATCTTGGGGAAATTTTCAAACTTTTCTGATAATCTATTTCCTCATATCTATAATGAGTATGAAATAAACACTTTATGGAGTTTTTGGGAAAATTTAATGAAAAATATATCCAAAACAATCACCACTCATATTGGTCAGTTTTCTTTCTTTTTCCTTCTCTTCTGTGTGTTGCTTCTTGTCCTTATCCTGTCAGGAACTGTCAAGTAAAGAAGAATCACCAATCAATGCAATCATTTGTCTCACAGAAAATAAACTTGACCCTGTTAGTTTGTGGGTAGCCTGTGTTGTCTTGAAATTACTTAGTTTGGATGATTGAGAAGTAGATGTTTTTGGGAGAGTGAGAATAGAGTATTTCTGTGACCATGAGAATATGGATTTCCCTGAGATGAGTTAGAGGTGCTTATCAGAGTCTTGAGATTCCTTCAATTATAGACTAAATTTTAAGGTTATAATTAGAGCCTGTAGCTCCAGCCTTGGCCACCATTTCTGATTAAACTCGGTGGCCAAGAAGAGAACTGCATAATGGGAGAACAGCCCGAGGCATTCTGCATCCAAATGGATCTCTAACACCCTGTCTACATCTCATCCATGGATCCTCATTGTCATAGCCTCAGTTCGGGCCTTCCTAAGATCTCAAATAGTGTCCAGGCTTGCCTTGTTCCCCTCCCTACTTCATATGGTGACTTCCCCAAGAGCAGCATTGAAGAGAAGTCTACATAGATCCATGTGTTCCATTAAGACCTGCCCCTTTCCCAACCATGATGCCATTCATGGAAGTTTATAAAGGAAGCCTCCAGAACCCCTCCTATTCTCAAAAAAATGATTACCACAAACCTCAGTACCACTCATATTACCTACACAAACTAAGAGACCAGTCCTGAGAGGCTGGCACTCTCAGAGAACTAACTCATCCTTCTTCCCCTGGATGACCACAGGAGCAATCACATCATGCTGTTGGGCCATGCTCTTGTGGCAGTGAACATCACTTCATCTGGCCCAATCTTCCACCCTTCCTGGAGACTCTCCCAACACTTGTGCCCTCTAGAACTCATGCCCTATCACCTACCAATACCCCTTCATTCTAACCTCTTCACTGAATGTCCCTTCATCTTCTTTCTCTAACTGAAACTGGGATATGGTTCCTCAAGCTATGGCTCTTTCATTTCTTCCTTAAAAATCTGTACTATAGTCTTCAAGATAGTGTAAATTTCCTCTATGATCTTTGTTGCTGCTTCCAGACCTTGTTTCCTCTGTCCTTTGAAGCATATGCCATCAGACTATGTAGTCATCAACATCCAGGGCATTCACCTTCATTTACTGAAAATTTTAGTATGGTATTTCTGTCATCTTTCTGGAAGATTTCATTATCAATGTAGATGGCTTGCCAACACCAGGCCACTCAGTTCAATGACCTGTTCACTTTCCATAATCTTTCCCTCTGCTTGATTCCTATGGTTGTACTTCACTGTAAGAGAACACTCTCCAAAATCCTAATTTCAAACATCCCCCATCACCTCTATTCTACTCATAGATTTTGCTTGGGCACCATTTTTGTCCTCCTTACTGGATTATTCCCTTTAGTTTACAATACACTCTAATGTGACCCATCTTAAATTTGTCTTTCATGTGACCACCTTGAATCCCTCTCCAACTCCTACCTTAGTTTTTTATGAAACCAATGATGATTCCCAAATTCTCATTTCCAAATCTGGTCCAGCCTGTGAGTTTACTTCACACCAGGGTATTCCCACTTACTTAACATTTCCACTTGAATGTCTATACACATTTTGTGCCACACTGAATTCTTTATTCTTGCCTGGACTTCTTTACCCTCCCATATACCTGCTTTTATTCTAGTGTGCTTCATCTCAGTAAACAGGGCCACTATTCAGGCAGTTGCTTATGCCAAGGACTTATGAGTCTTCTCTGATTCCTCTATTCCTTTCATTCCCACATTAAAGCACTAAAAAAAAGAAGGAGCTGCTATGGTTTGGCTGTGTCCTCACCTCAATCTCATCTTCAATTGTAGTTCCTATAGTCCCCATATCGAGGGAAGGACCCGGTAGGAGGTTATTGGATCATGGAGGCAGTTACCTCCATGCTGTTCTTGTGATAGTGAGTGAGTTCTCATGAGATCTGTTGGCTTTTTAGGGGGCTTTCCCCCACTTTGCTCTGCACTTCTCCTTGCTGCCACCATGGGAAGAAGGACGTGTTTCCTTCCCATTCCACCATGACTGTAAGTTTCCTGAGGCCTCCCCAGCCCTGTGGAACTGTGAGTCAATTAAACCTCTTTCCTTTATAAATTACCCAGTCTCGAGTATTTCTTCATAGCAGTGTGAGAACTCACTAATACGGGAGCCATTAAAATATATCTCAGACCAACCATCTCCAATGCTATCAACCTAATATCAGCCAGAACTCGCAGTTTCACACATATCACAGCAAAATGCTTTCATCTGCAGTACTGTCCACACCTTCCCTTCTCTTTATAACCCACTTGAGTCAGTATGCTGGTGGTCAACTTTCACTTCTTATCATTTCAGAATTTTTGGCAGCATTTGATGTCGTTCACCACATCATCTTAATGAAAATAATCATTTAACTTGGTTTTAAATATAAGCCTCTCTAAGATTTTCTCCTACCTCAAAGCTTTTTTCCTCAAGCTTTTTTGCTGATTTTCTTCTTTCCAATCTCTAAATTTTGAGTGATCTATACCTCAATCCTAACCCCTTTATCTTTTCTGTCTACATGCCTCCCTATATGAGTGTGGCTTTAAAGGCCCCTTTGTAATCCCATAGTTCAGTGTAAATCACTATTAAGGTATTTTCACATTGTTTTATAAGTCTGTTACACTGTGTTCCACTTATGTTTAACCATCGTGAGATTTTCTTCAGGACAGAGATCTTAGCGTTTATATCATAATTGCATGGAAAATGTACTCAATGTGTATTTGTTGAATGAATGACTATTTAAATGAATACCAACAAGGAATTGAGGAATACCAAAGCCAATCTGGTTATGAAATAGTTAAGGACTGTTTGATATTTAGCAGTTAGACAACTCATCAGAAAGTGCACACTAACCAGAATTAGGGACACAGCATCAGAAAATATAGCATTGTAGATCTGAATTAGAAAAATTAGGAGATTATACACACACAGACACATGCATGCACAGACATAGACACACAGTTATATGCGCACGCACACACACACACACACACAATATTTCTCTGTTTTGAAGCAAAATTTTCTGAGTTATCACTTGATGCCTGCTTATTTTGTCATTTTTACAAAAATTATTGGAGTAAATACCTTCTTTTACCTTCTCTTATGTGCCTCCCAACAGCTAACAAACAGATGAAAAATCTTAATCCATTGCCAAGGAAACAAAAAAGTAATTTATTTTTAATTAATCAGTAAATAGTTATCAATTGGCTGTATGACATTGGGCATGCAGTTTCAAGTTCTTTTGGAATGTAATTTCTTTTTGCATAATATGAGAGAATTAGACAAAATGAGATAATTCCATAAGTTTATTATTCTTTTTCTAGCCTCCACATAGACTGTTTAATGTTTGTCCAACGGAGTTCACATTATAAGACATTTTAAAGTTGTAGTCATCAAAATAATAAAAATAATAATAATAAAATACTCCTATTACTCAAAGGTTTGGAAGATCACTCAAAAACTGAAGCAACAAAATCAAGCCAGGAATGTCCTTCTGCTCTCCCTCCCTATCCAAGTATTAAAGTCCCACAAACACTTGTAAAGATTTCCAAATGATTCAGTGAAGTAGAGGCATATCCTGGGGAATAGAGTGTTCTGTCAACACTCTGCTAGGAGGAACAAGCAGTCTGTGATGACTTGTTCCGTGGGTGGCTTCCTCCCACCACAAAATATGTGAAGGGTGCTCACTCCTGCCATTTAGGAGCAGGCTGGATATAAAGACAAGGCAGTTGTGCCCAAGCTGGAACCCAAAATCAGTCTTCCTGGAGTTGGAGTATTCATCTTTTACTGGTGAAAATAAGGAAAAGACTATTAATTCAAAGACTATATATACTGCTTCCTGGAAACTTGAAATGACTTCAAGGCTGATAAAGTTGGATAAACTGATTCATCTACTGCTAGCCCTGTTTCAGTCCCTTTCCAACTTTAAAGAGATTTTTTTTTCCTCCATGATTTCCCTCTTTATCCAACATTTCTCCTCTTGCCTTCTCAACATTTGCTTTGCTTCATCTTGAGGAGGGGGAGTGAAAGGTGAGAGGGCATCTGTGATCCACCTCTCATCTCCTATTCCAACATCACTGCAATCCAAGTTCTTTCATGGACACCATATTCTGGATGCACAGAACTACTTGTTCCAAGATGCATCATCATCTTGACCCCACTAAATGCAGATCTTTCTATAAGCAGTGGCCTTGTCTTCACTAGACACTGTTTCATTAAACTCAAATAGAACTTATTCTATAGAAACTTCTTTCTCACTCTTCACCCCTGACTCTAACCTACTTCTGACACTCACAGCAACCTGTGTAGCCCCTTACTGTAGCCTCTTCACATGCAAGTTGAGAGGCTTATTTTCATCTCTGCCTTTCCCACCAACTAAATGAACTCCTGGAAGGCAATGACCATGACTTATTCATCTCAGTATTTGTGGTACTTAGTTCAAGATATAGATAACAGTGGATGATTAGCAATAACTCTTTAATGAATGAATGATTGCTTCTAACTCTGGACTCTGTTCTCAGTACCTGGGAATTATGACTTACTTTTTTTTGTAGTCTCTATCATGTCAGGCACAGTATCATGCTCTAGAAGTTGCTTATAAAAGTACATTGTATAAATGAGCTATTAAATCAATAGATTCAATGATATCTACTAATTCAATTAAATATATGAGTGTCTACTGTGTACAAACAATCTTTGGAGGAGATTACATTTAATTACAAGCAATAGTTCTTACAAACTATGTTATGAGGCAGAATGTAATATGCATCTTAAGAAAGGTACAAAGAATTGTTCTCAAATATTAAAGGAGAACGTTGTTTATTTGAGGGGGGTATAAAAAAAGCTTCTTGGAAGAGGAATCCTTGGTTCTGGTCCTTGAAGATGGGATAATGGATGAATAGGCAAACTTTTCAGACAAGAAGACTGAAATACATGTGAACCTTTACAGCATAAATTTCACCAAAGAGCTGCTAAGCAGTGGCTTTGTGATAATTAAACGTATGTTCTTTAATATTAGTTTAACAAAATAACAGGTCATCTTCTGTGATGGTTATTTCTTTTAAGGAAAATTGTAGCTGGGCTCTATCACACCTGCCTTCCATGTACCTTTTCTATTATCTTTAAAAATAACTGGTCAACTAGGAATCTTCAACTTGATAAAAAATATCTACAAAAAATCAGTAGCCAACATCATACTTAATGGTGAAAACTTGAAGCTGTCCCACTAAGATAAAGAACAAGGGAGGAATGCTCCCTCTTACCATTCCTTTTCAACATTGTGCTGAAAATAAAATAGAACAATAGAACACAATAGAGAGCCCAGAAATAGACATAAAAATAGTCAGCTGGTCTTTGACAAAGAAGCAAAGGCAATACAATGGAGAAAAGATCATCTCTTTAACAAGTGATGCTAGAAAAGTTGGACATCACATGCAAAAAACTAATCTAGATCAAAAACTACCTCAAAATTGATTATAGACCTAAATGTACAATGCAAAACTATAAAACTGAAAGAAGATAACACAGGAGAAAATCTAGATGCCCTTGGATTTGGTGATGAATATTTAGATATGACACCAAAGGAACAATCCATGAAGTAAAAAAGTGATACGATGATCTCCATGAAAATTAAAACTTTCTGCTTTGTAAAATATAGTGTCAAGAGAAAATGAAAAGACAAGCCAAAGAGTGGGAGAAAACATTTGGAAAAAAATTGTCTGATAAAGAGAACTATAAACTAAAATATCCACAGAACTCTTAAAACTCAACAGTAATGAAACAGTCTAACCAGAAAAAGATAAGAGATATCTCACCAAAGAAGATACACAAATGGAAAATACGCATATGAAGACGCTCAATTTATCATCAGAAAAATGAAAATTTAAACAACAATGAGACACTAGTAAACACCTATTAGAATGGTAAAAATCCAGAACACTGATTTATGAATATACTCATAAGCAAGCTATGAGTATATTCAAAAGGCCTTATGTTTTCCTCTTCATAAATCTTGTTTTCCTGGAAAAGGTTTTTTCCCAGCCGACTGAATTACTTTTCTTCACTCTGTCTTGCCACTTTTAGTGCATGTACTTCTGGTGGCCTGGGACTCCTTGGGAAAACAGAAAAGACACCACAAATCCTGTTTTGGGAAAAATCTCTGTTTTCCTTATGGAACCCCTGGAATTAAAGGTGAATAATTACCTCTCAAAATCTGTCTTTGTCTTCCAGCTATGCTTGTTTCCTAGGCCCTGGAAATTGTTTTCCTAGCCCCATTCTTAAAAGGCCTCACCCAAAGGCCAATAACCCAGTTGGGAAATTAGCAAAACAAACAAACAAACAACAACAAAAACATAACTACTGGATATTTTTCTGGTTGTCTGTGTGGCTATATATGTGTTATGTGTGCAATCTGTATTTAAAAAGCTCTAATTAATTGGCCTAAGAAAAATAAGTGCTTAAATCAAATATTTTTAAGGAAAAAGTAAAAGCTGTGGGACCTTTCAGTCCACATGACCTTAATCTTTAAAACTTACTGGTACAGTAAGATTAGAAATGTCTTAAGAGTTGTCAGCATACATTTTTGTTTGCATATACTAATCAAGCAATTCCATACTTATCTCTGTCAAATACTATAAGGTGTCAAAATTTGGCATAGAGGCTACAAAACTGTAACTCAGCCCCAAACAGAATAATCTTTGCTTGTGTAATTTTTTAATAAATGAAACGTTAATATTGGTTTAATGAAGATAGCTACATCTTGAACTATTTAGTAAAATATCCTAACTTCTAATCTTGTAGCCTTAGGCAGTCTAGTCCACAGACATAAAGGAAGTTTGTTTTGGGAAAGAATAACAGTTCTTTGATATTAAAGAAAAGAGAATTTATATAAAAAGAATCTTAGATGGCAAATTCTTGTCCTAAAGTAAATTAATTGGTTGTTTAAAGAAAGGGGTGTTTACAAGTAAGAAATTTGAGTCATCTCAGAGATTGTGTAAGTCGTAAAAAAATGTATAAAAGGGAATTTATGCAAGAAATGTTGTACAATTTAAAAGTGGTTTAGCCTCCTAAATGCTGACTCTTCGCTGCACAACTTGCGAGCTTTGCAGCTAGGTAAGACCTAGGACACATGGAATGAAATGCTAGAATCAGTCAGACCTTATCTGCACTTCTGTCTAGGTCCTAGGCTCTATAACTAGTACATAATTCAAATCGCAAGCTCACCAGCAAAAGTAAAGGTTGCTAAAAGTTAATAGTGTAACATGTATTTAAGACTATTGAAAAAACAATTTACACATACTTTTGGTAAGAAGATTATAAGGAGGCATGAGAATGTGGATTTTTACCTACATTAAAAGGCTAAAGAATTGTTTTAAGTTGAATAAAATAAAAATGAAGGTTTAAGCAAGTTTTGGAAGGTTAATTGTAAAGGAAATTCTGTGTGTAAACATTTTGGCTAAAGCTAAAGGGGTATCATCCAATTTTTCTGGAAATTGAGCATTAAAATAGAAGCACAATGGGTTTCTCTTAAAGCACTAACCTGCTCTTTAACAAAAATTATAAAGGGTTAAAAAGGGTCTATAAAAATCTTACCATATGGTCAAACATTAAAATTGGGTAAACATGTCTACAAGGTTTTATTAAAAATTGAGTTTAACATTAACAGCACACTAATATAAAGGTAAAATTTGGCTTGTTATATAATCATACAGGAAGCATTGTCACATATAAAATGGTATTTGGCTTTCTTTGGGTTATATTTGTATAAATATGTTATTGGTATGTGCTCCAAAGTATGGGAGACTCCTATAATTCTGATATATCTTAGTGTATGTTATCAGTAATAATTATAATTGTTATGTTAAAATTGTTGTGTGCCGCAAAGGTACCAGATATCCTCGTAATTTTAACTATGGCTACCCTAAAACTTTTTGTCATCCATAAACAATTGTTGTCTTGTTTTGGTCCTCTTTAGAAAGTGGTTTTAAAATCAGCTATAAAGCTCTAATAGGTGCTCTTGAATGCAGGTTTCTGATAACTTTGGAGATTGTGACATCAGCATAGAGGACAAACATTCAGGACTATTGAAGAGCTAGAATGTTCATTAATATTATGCAGGACAGGAATCAACTGCATAAACTGAACTAATAGGAGACTGGAGTGATCTTTCTGACATTTTGCTTAAAATATTACTAATCCTTTGTTTTGCTTTTCAAAGTCAAATAAACTTTTGAGTTATTGACAGCTTTTAGCAATTTAGTATACTCCCATGAACAAAATTTGGAGCATACTTGTTTCTCTTTACCTGATTTTCTCCAGAATTTGGAAACTATCTGTGAGTATTCTTAAGTTATGACAATAGTTATTTGCATAATGCAGTAAAAATCTGTTTTCTTTCGTAACAGGGCACAACTGGAAAAACTGGTTATTTTTACCAAGGCTTTGACTGGAATGGTGTGCTTTCCTTTAAGGAATCAAACTTCACTTATGAAGGCAATAAAGCCCTTGGAAAACCGGCCTTATATTTTGTGTACACAGTCCCTGTAGAGGGTTTCTGATCAGTGGTAAGTAAATAATGTCACTTTCTGACAGGCCGGGAACCCAAAGTTATCTTGGAACCTCAAGAGGAGAGGAATTCACCCAACTTATAGGTATTTGATGGTACAAATCCATGGCTGGGCTTGGCTTTAAAAAGGTCTTATCTCAGATTCCTTCTCTGGAACAAAGTTCCATCAAAGCCAGTTTAAAAGGACTATGTAACAAATAATTATTCTTGCTGCACTGCATGCAAATAATTAAGCCAAGTATAATAAAGCAAACCAGTCCTACCATGATTTGTCTTTTAATAAAAATGGGAAACTGGAGAGAGAAAATTGTGTTTCAAAAACTATAGCACACCTGTTGTTAAATTCTAGTCTTGACTCATGTTTTTAATTTTTATTATTTTTTACAGCTTAAATTAAATTCTAATTTTTCTGGCTACAAGTTTCCAAAATAAGCTGTGTCCTGAAGCCCTATGAACTGAAAACTAGATGTTTCAGCAGGCGCTGCCTCTAAGCCCCACCAGTATTACAGGAGGAAATCTCTTCACTGCTGGCACTGACAACTAATAACTGAGGGTGCCTGGAACCCTTCACCCCCACGTCTAGTGAGTCCATGGAACCCAGGGATCATGGCCATTTCACAGACAACTACCCAACAACATCTACAGACGGTGTTACTCCTACAGTCAATCTGAGACCAGAAAACTCTCCATCCCCTCATCAGCAGGAAGTAGCTAGAAAGAACACACCACTGCTCGTCCTTTTTATAACTACGGGGTCTGGATTGACAGAGCAGGAGCATCACCATTTGAACAAGCACTGCCATTTTAAGTTCACCTCGATAAAAAACTGCCTAAATCCAAAGGGCATCAGCCTAATGGCTAAGGTCAGCATGACCATAAACCATAAATAACATCTCCGACCAGAAACATTCCAAACCCCTCCCCGATCAGATACATGCCACCCCGAGATAACTTGCCCACCAGCCAGAGAGATATCAGCCCCAAGATAACCTCCCCTTCAACCAGAGACATTCCAGTGCTTCAATAAACTTCTCCCCCACACAGAAACATTCTGAGCCTGTGATTAAGCTGTCTCATCCTGAACCCTTAAATAACCTTAGTCTGTAAGAGAAAGTGCACCTGACCAAAATCAGCCAGAAGCCCCTCTCAGGTTTATCTCCAAAAAAAACAAACCTGTCTTTGACTGTTGAACTGTTTTTCATGCTTCTCTCCACTTTCTTTAACTCTTACAGTACAGGCACTTTGGAAGACAGTTTGGTGGTTTCTTATGAAACTAAGCACACCTTTAACGTATGATCTATCAGTTGTGCTCTTTGGTATTTACCCAGAGGAGTTGAAAATTTATGCCCTGTCAAGTGCAGTGCCTCACATCTGTAATGCCAGCACTGTGGGAGGATCAATAGATTGCCTGAGCTTAGGAGTTCAAGACAAGCATGGGCAACATGGTGAAACCTCATCTCTACAAAAAATACAAAAATTAGCCAGGTGTGGTGGTGCATGCCTGTAGTCCCAGCTACTTGGGGGGCTGTGGTGGGAGGATCACTTGAGCCTGGAAGGTTGAGGCTGCAGTGAGCCAAGATGGCACCACTGCACTCCAGCCTGGGCAACAGAGCAAGACCCCGTATCAAAATAAACAAAAACAAAAACAAAAAAACTTATGTTCACACATACAATTGCACATTGATGTTTATAGCAGTTTTGTTAATAACTGTCAAAACTTGGAAGCAACCAAGATGTCCTTCAGTAGGTGAATGGATACATAAACTGGTACATCCAAATAATGGGATATTACTCAATGTGACAAAGAAATGAGCTGTCATGACACAAATAATGGTAAAAAGAATGACGGAGTTACAGAATTATCAACTTAACTGCATCATAGTAGTAAATAATTTCAGGAACCACCGTAATTGGGTGCAAAACTTACGGGGTGAAAGTCCAATGAGGAATAGGATATCAAGATAGCCTCAAAATGTTTCTTCAAGAAATACAAAAGGAAAAACAATAACTTTGCAGTGGAGAAATTTAGCCGATGCTTCCTTAACCAAGTGATCAATATTCACATCTCAGGTAATGGGATATAACAACATCATATTCCTCCTGATATGACACACTCAGAAAGACAGTGGTTATTTCTGTGCTATTTCCATGTTTTAATAAATGAAATGTAATTATGAAAAATATCTAATAAATCCAAATTGAGGGACATTTTATAAAATAACTAGCCTGTTGTATTTTAAATTTGTTAATGTCATGAAAGACAAAGAAAGATTGAAGAATTTTAAAACCCTGAAATGATATGACAACTAGATTAGACCCTGGGCCATAATTTTATGTTTGCTTTAAGGACTTTATTGGGACAAAGGCCAATTATGAATATGGTCTGTAGATCAGATAATAGTATTGTGTCAATGCACATTTTATTATTTTGATAATTATACTATCATTATGTAAAAAACTGGCCTGTGGTTTGAGAAAATAAACACTGAAGTATTTAGGGGAAAAAGAGCATTATATCTGCAATTTACTCTCGAAAGACACTACATACATAGTGTGTGTGTGTGTGCATGCGCACGTGTGTGTGTGTGTAGAGACAGACAATAATAAAGCAGGGGAAGTAAAATGTACAATTAAAGAATGGGAAGAGTACATGAGAGTCCTTTTTATTGTATAGCCTTATGTCCAATAATTTTACTTCAAATATTTTTTCAAAGGAAATAGTCATAAATATTTCTGAAGATCAGTCCAGTCTTCGCTGTTAGAGCAAAAGTTTAGAAAAAGACCTACATGGCCATCAATAATGAATTGCTATTACATAAGTTATAGATTTTTACCTGATGGAATACTGTGCATCCATTGAAAATAATAGTGACAATGTATGGTTCTTGATTTGTCCCAGATGTCTGGAATATTTTGTTACAGAAAAAATGTCACAGAAAAATATGTATACTATGATCTTATTTTGGGGGGAGAAGAAATCAATCAATATTTATATTAGGAAGATACTAATCCAAAATGCTAAATATGGTTATTTCTGAATGGTAGGTCAGGTGACTTGCATTCTTATTTTGTGAATTCAGATTTGTCTGAATGTTTTTTAACAGCCATGAATTATTTTTATTATGAAGAAATAAATAATGTCATTTTTATTTTAAAAATCAATGGAATAAGAACAGTGAAAAACATTAAAATATAGCATAAAAAGCAGGTAACAGTCTCTAAATATAATGTGTCATAAAATAAAATGTCAAATGTATAATTTTATTTAGAATGTGGGAAGTCACAAAAGAATGTTACTTCCAACCTAACAACAGAAAATCCAGCTAACTTTTAAAAAAATCATAGATTTTTGTTAAAATTGGGGGGAAAAAACTAACAAATTAATACCTAGAAAATGGCAAGTCTCTTGTAGCAGAGAAAAGACCCATGTCTGTTTTCATATTTGTGAAGCAGTAAAAGGAGGAGAAAAACTCCATGGGTAAGATAAAATGATATAATTTTCAACAGATTTTTAAACACCAATTGTGGGGTGTCTAATACTTTAGAACCCCTATGGGTCTCAGGTGAAACTGTGGGCCACTCACAATCTCTCTTCTATGACCTTTATGTGAGTATTCACCAGGAAGATTGGGAGCAAAGTAGGACAGTAAAGAGACCAGTTCCTCTTCAACAGGCAGTGTCTTTGGAAGGGGAAACACACACACACACACACACACACACACACACACACACAACACACACACCTTCTAGGCATACAATAAATAGGAAGCAACAGCAGGCTATGGCTAGAGGGGAGCAGGATAGCTAAGTGAAATTTTCACTTAAGCTCAGGCATGCAAAATCTGCTGAAAGTCTCATAATGGAGCAGAATAACTAAAAGAAACTCCTCTAAGCTTTCCAAGACTTACTCTGAATAAGAGGCAGCAGCTACTTATGGCTAAGTGAGGAGGAGAAGAGCTAAGAGAAATGACTTGTAAGGTGCAGGTGAATGAGGCCTGCTTAAGACTGAAGGCAGAACTGAGACAAGCCTTATATAAACTCAAAAATCCCAGCCCCTGATAAAGGGAAGGTTCTGATTCTATCTTTCTGTTAGTTCAACCCAGTGATGAACTAAAACTAACTAAAGTGACAGCAAATCCAAGACCCAGCAAGACTACAGACTAGATTGATTCAGTGCTCTATACAAGTGGCTTGATAGAAAAAAAGGATGTTCCTGTTGAAGATCATAAAAATATTTACTTCAGTTTTTTATCTTTTTTGGTTTATATATAACATTTAGCATTTAATAAGAAATTATAGGAAACAGAAAGAGAGATGAAAATGAGACCCATCATTAAGACAGGAAATGGTAAATACAACCAGACCCAGAGATAGACCAGGTGGTGAAATTATCAGACAGGGACTTTAAAATAAGTATAATAAATAAGCTAATGAATCTAGCTGAAAACATGGAAAATATGTGAATAGAGGAGACTTCCAACAGGAAATTGAAAAATGTTGGAAAAAACACAAAAAGAATGCAAGACATGAAAAATAATGTGGTACTAGAAATGAAGAATTATTGTGATGAGTATAGCAGCAGACTGGACACAGCAGAGGATAAAATAACTGAGCTTGAAGATAAGTCAGTAGATATCATCAAAACAGAACTATAAAGAAAAAAAATTTTCAAAATGGAACCTAACATCCAAGATCTATAGGAAAATACCAAGTGATCGTCCGTATTTTTGAAGCCCCAGAAGGAGAATAGAGACAGAATAGTGAATAAATATTTCAAATCATAATAGCCTGATATTTTCCTAAACTGAAGAAATATATTAAACTACAGATCCAGGATGCTCAGTAAATCCCAAGCAAGAACACTACACTGAGTCACACCATAGTCAAACTTCTGAAAATGGAAGATAAATAGAAAAATCTTAAAAGTATCTAGAAGACAAAGACACACTACACAGAGAGGAACAACAAATAAGAATGATCCTTGATCTCTTATCAGGAGCAAAAAAAGGCCAGAGATAATTGAAAGACAAACACATTTACCCTTCTAAAATCAAAACAAACAACTGAAAATCAATGTGAATCTATAGCTTTATAGCCAGTTAAAATATTCTTCAAAAATAAAGTATAAACAAAGCATTTCAGATGTTAAAAAAATGCTAAAAGAATCCATCTTCAGCAGACCGTATTACAAAAGAAAGTGCTTTTAAAAGACCTTTGGGTTGAAGACAAATTATATGAGTTAGAAAACTGACTTAACAGGAAGTAAAAATTTGATTTAAAAAACCTTCAAAGTTATTTCTGTTATGTTTAGGAATATACCCACACACACATATATACAAATATATATACATCTATATGTATACATACATATATAATTATTAATTACATATCTACTGAGTCTATCTGCATGTAATCTAATTGATAGATAAAAATACATATATATTTCTCTCAAAGACTAAGGATTGGTTAATATTTGCAAGGTACTATGAGATTTATATATCCGTAGAATCAAAATATATGAAAACAAGAGCACAAAAGTTAAGACAGTGATATTTCGAAGTATACCATTAGAAAGTTTTTACATTGTGAAATAGTACAATATACTTTAATGATAGATTCTGATAAGTTAGGCAAATATTATAGTCTCTAGAACTGTGCTGGTGACAAGGTAACCACTACCCATATATGGCTATTTACATTTAAATTAATTCATATTAAATAAAATTAAATATTCAGTTCCTTGGTTGCATTAGCCATATTTCAAGTGCTCTTAAGGCACATATGGCTAGTGAGCTACTCTATCGCACAGTGCAGACTGGAATGTTTCCATCATTGTAGAAAACTTTATTAGACCCTGTAATTCTAGGAAAACACTAAAAAATAAGATAAAAATAAATTTAAAAGAATCATAATAAAAATCTTAAAAAGCGAAGATAAAATGTAATTTAAAATTATGTAATTCAACTACCTCTCCCTAATAAAACAGAAAAGGAGGAACACAAATAAACAATAGATGGACAAATAGAAAACAAATATCAATAGGGTAGTATTTTAACAAAACACATCAATAATTACATTAAATGTACATGGAAAAAACACCTAACTACAAGACAGAAATGGTCAACTGGATAGAAAAAAAATCAAATTATATGTTGCTTATAGCAATGAACTGTAAATAGACAGACACAGAGAGACGTTGAAAGTAAAAGGACAGAAAAACATTTAACATCCAAACACCAAGCATGAGAAAGCTGATATAGCTACAATAATACAAGATAAAGTAGGTTTCAAGACAAAAACTATTAGCAGAGTAAAAAAAGCAATGTTATCATAACAAAAGGTCAAATCAAGAAGACTCAATCTTAAATGAAAATACAATAAAACAGCTCCCAATGACATGAAGCAAATACTGGCAAGACTAAAGAAATAGACAAATCTAATTCAGAGCTGGAGATTTAACATCTCTCCTGATAAACATGAAAAGTAGATAGATATTCAGAAAGAATATGAAAGATTTGTCCTAATGGGCATTTTAACCAAACACTCCACCCAGCAAAATACAAATTCTTCCCAAATGCACATGGGACATTCACCTAGACCAGCAGTCCTCAACCTTTTTGGCACCAGGGACTGGTTTGGTGGAAAACAGTTTTTCCACTGGAAGGAGGGTTGTGGAGGTGGCAGGGAATGGTTTAAGAATGAAATTGTTCCACCTCAGATTATCAGGCATTAGAGTTTCACAGGGAGCACACAACCTAGATCCCTCGCATGTGCAGTTTGCAATAGGGTTCACACTTCTGTGAGGATCTAATACCATGGCTGATCTGACAGGAGGCAGAGCCCAGGCAATAATGCTTGCTCACCTGCCACTCACCTTCTGCTGGGTCGCCTGGTTTGTAGCAGGCCAGGGACTAATACTAGTCCACAGCCTGGGGTTGGGGACCCCTGACCTAGACCATCTACTGGGCCATAAGACACATATTAATAAATTTAAAAAGATGAAAATTATACAGATCATGTATTCAGATACATTAAATTAGGAACACTTAATGTACCTAAAAAATGCTCAAATATTTGGAAATTAAACCATAATGCTTTAAATGACCAATGGGTCAAAGAAGAAATCACAATAAAAATCATAAAATATTTGAACTAAAAGATAAAGGAAATATAACATATCAAAATGTGTAGGATGCAGAGGAAGTAATTAGAGGAAAGTGCAGTTTAAAATGCATATATTGGAACATAAGAAATTTAGAAAATAAATGACTCATGAATCTACTTTAGGAAGACAGGGAAAGAAGAAAAATTAAATTCAAAGTAAGTGGAAAAAGGAAATAATTTAAAAAGTGTAAAGATCAATAAAATACAAAACAGATAACAAAGATAATTTTAAAAGTCAACTGTTGTTTCTTTAAAAGTTTCAAACAATTGATAAAAATTGATTTTTTATCAATTGATAAAAAGAGCAGGAAGATACCACAGCAGATTCTGTGGGTGTTAACAATGTAAACATATGTTATCAAGAAACTTCATGACAATACATTTGACAAAGAGATAAACTGACAATTTTTTTTGGAAAACTCAACTGACTAAAACTAAGAAACTGAGGGAAAAAAAGATTTTTTAAGAGCTTCATATGCATTGAAGAAATTGAATTTGTAATTAAAATCCTTCTCACGGGGAAACCCTGGGTACAGATGTCTTTACTGAAGAATTTTACCAACCATTTAGAGAAGAAATAACACCAATGTGACACAATTTTTTTCTGAACATAAAAAAAGAAAAAAAATATTTTCAATTCCTTGTATAACACTGATACCCAAACCTGATAAAGGCATTTCAAGAAAACAAATTATAGACCAGTATTCTTAATAAACATAGATACAAAAAGCTTTAACAAAATATTAGCAAATAAATCCAGCCATATGTAAAATGGATAACCCAAGCAGGGTTTGTTAAAGGAATGTGAAATTGGTTTATTATTAAAATATCAGCCCAGAGATGTTGTGAATGGCTGAACAACTAGTACATTTCTGTGAAGTGGCCAACTTGCTTGGCCAGCTTGCTAAAACATCATCTGGTATCTGCTTTGCATTCTTCTGTTTTCTTTTCCCTCACCCTTTCTACCTTGCAAGCGCATTTCTCATAAAGCATTAAACACTTCAACAAATCAATGAACAAAATTCATCATAAAAACAGAATAAAGGAGAAAAACCATGTGACCACTTAGCAGATGCAGAAAAGGAATTTGACAACATTCACACCCATTCATGATCAAAAACTCTTAACAAACTAGAAATAGAAATACTTCTTCAAACCACAGGTATATCTGGAAAAATCCTACAGCTAATGTCATACCTAACAATGAAAGACTGAGCACTTCCTCCTCAAATTGCAAATGACACAAGGATGTCTGCTCTCATCATTTCTATTCAACCTTTTTCAGAATGTCCTAGTTAGCTCAATAAAACAAGAAAAGAAATAAAATTAGAAAGGAAGAAATAAAACTGTCATTAATGGGCAACATAACAAACAGAAAAGAACACTTTTTCTAATAAACAATGTGGAATTATTCAGTTTTAAATATTCAAATATCCAATATTAAAACTGTTACTATAAACTTTAATGTCATTAGAAAATGTTTATGATACAATAAACATACATGCAACAAAATAAAATAAACATGTTATAAAATTGTATATATATTATCTCAAAATGGAAAGGAATTAGTTCAGATTGCCAATAGGGAAACTCTCTTGGTGGATCAGGATGATTATGTTCTTCCTGTCATAAATTTGTTTAATATAGTTACTGCCCTGACATCCATTTTTAGGCCTGACGTAAGTTGTTTAAAATGCAGTTGTACGCTATTACCTTCAGCTTCAGTTAAAACTTCTCCTCCTTATGTGATTGTAATATAGCCCACTTGTTCCTCATCTCCCTGACCCAAAAACCTAACACACCCCACAGCTGCTAAGATAAAACCTAATGATCAACATCAGAGTCATGTAAATAAGCTTTCCCTTGTGTGTGTGTTTTCTTTAAACTATCCAATCCACAACCCCTGTGGGAAAGCCTAAAGAAAAACACCCATGGATCTTAATAAAGTCCCACAGACTCCCTCTCTTTCTTGCTCCCTTCTACTAGTTGAATTCCCTGCGGGCTTCCTGTAGGCCTCCTGTCAGCACCCCTAGCCAGTCTGGGACTTGTGAGTAATACATTTCTTTGGTTTCACGCATTTTATTTTCGCAGCTTCATTGTGTCTCACCTGACTGACACAGCCAAACCTAATGCTCCCCCAGTGAACGATCTCCTGAAAAGTGGCTATCTTGGCTTATGGCCACTCAAGAGAGAGACCTCAAAACCAAATTAGAAAGAAACGATAACAACGAAAATCATAACACTTCCTCATATGCTCCTTAATTTCTTAATCTTCTATCATGTTCATGAATTATTCTTATAATCAGAAAATTAGGTACTCTTAAAAATATTTTATTTTGTACTCTGTGGGATAATTCCAAGTGCTACCAAGGAGAATCTTTATTTTCTCTATATTATTTCCTTCTTCCTAAAATTTATCAACTTGCTTTATTTATCTTTGTAGTATATGGAGATCATCTTGTAACTATGCAAACTCTGCAGGATTTCCAACATGCCTAAACTATGCTCTGATATTCTGGTCAGTGCTTTCCAGCTTTTTGATGCACAGAGCAGCTCTGCACCCAGCTCCATTTGGGCTCCCTCTAAAGTCCTGGAGGAGCCTGCTCTGGGAGATGACCAGCCCTGGAGTTTTCCCAGACCTACTCCAGAGGCAGCCCCAAAAGACAAAGTATCAATATCTCCCAGAACATTGGATGGCCACTTGAACAGTACTTGTAGAGAAGTTCTGAGCAAGGCTAATCAGGCAGTACTCTGGTGTCTGAACCAGAAGATATAGATCCTATATATTATCGTAATCATGATCAGTTTCAATACCTAGTTGGGAAACTGATTAACTCATGTGTTAACATTATGAAACAAACAATGAACTCTGGACTTGTTATAATTATTTGGACTATTGCTTCCTTTTTTTAAGGTTTGAACCCAAGTATTAAGTCACTTCCCAATACTGTATAATAAGACAATGATAATTAGGCAAGTTTTCAATGGAAAATTACAGTGAAAGTTTACAGTGAGAAATGGATGATTTTTCTCATAATCTTCAATTTTCATCTTTGAATTGAATTGTCTTAGCAAATAGAAATAAAAGGCAATTACATGTGAATTTCAGATCAAAAAATACATTTATGGGCATAACTGTGACCTATTTATTTATAACTGTGCCCCGTTATTTGGGATATACTTATACCCCCCAGATACGCTATTGATCTAAAACTCAAATGTCACTGGGCATCCTAAATTTTATCTGGCAACTCTATCCCTGAGTCAGCTTTCTCCATTCCTACATGGCTCCAGTACATCACGTTCAGTCTTTATATTTAGTGAATTCACTGATTAATTAAAAATGAGAAAGTTCATTTCTTTAGCTTTTTCTTAATGAATTAAGCCTCCTTCAGGTAAGCAAGAAAGACAAAAAAAGTCCTAAGTACAAAGAATAGCAATAAAAAGAAGGGAAAATATAATTTCTGCATCACTCCTCAGAAACATTGCTTGAACTAGTATTCAGAACATAGAGGCTATATAACCGAGCAATTTTGAGCCCAAAGCATTTTCATCCCCTGTGTTTTAGACCTTTCCATGTTAATGGCAGCCACCTAGGTAGTCCTGGGGGTAAATGAAATCATCTAGGCCCAAATCCATGACAATTAGATCACTTCATCTTCTTGCTAATAGTTTTTCTTCCTAGGAATCACCCAGTCACACAGCTGCAGGTAAAGAAGTTTCAGAACACGCCATCGCTGCCCTTTCATTCCAACTGAGAGAAAATGAGAGCAGACAGCTAATACCCCTCCCCAACAGGCTGGATTAAAAGAAAAAAAACAAATTATAAGAGTTACTGTACCAGAATAAAGGAGTTTCAGCAGAGAAATGGTCTTGCAACTTGCTGTAGTTGGCATCAAAGTATGTGTGGAGATCTTCTGTGCCTTTTTGTCTCCTTGAATGTTCCAGCAGCTAAGACTGACTACAAAGCCCTTGTGACTGCAGAACTATGACCCAAGTTTCTGTCTGCTCCTATTTAAAAGTTGGTCATAGAAAGCCAAGACAGTCTGTTTGCCTAAAGCCATGGTCAAGTTGAGGGTAAAGACACAAAGTGATTCTCTCTACCCACTTCTCTACAAGAAAGAAAGTGGTAAAAATGTCATTAGGAATGGCAGGAGTTACTAGTAACAACTTCTGGATTGAAAGGAAGAGTGTGTGGAGAATGAATACAATGGTTTCCGTTGTGGTTTTATTTCTGTGAAACCTCTTGCTGTTCCTTTAATGCTCTTTGACCTGTTGGCAGGTCTGAATGCAGGACTGGAATGCACTTCACTGAGGAAGTAAAGCAAACTTGTCTTCATTTGGCTACCATGGTTATGACACTGTGTGTTACCAACCCAATGATTTGCATTGCAAACCATCACTGGAAATGAGGACAGCAGAACTTGATATTCAGGATGGAGAGATTCAATTCACTGGAAATTCTATTGGAAAATTCAGAGGGAGCAAAACATACACATACATACTCCTGAACCCATAAAGAAGAAGTCCAAATTGTGAGTAAGAACTAACAGTCAGTCTTATCATCCATAGAATTTCACTATCTATGAAGTATTTTAGTTGAGAGATGAGACGATTTCACATTAGGAAGATGAGTAGGCACACTACTGACCTCATTTTTTGAATTAAATTCCACTGTTACATTTGCCATGCATTCTTATATATGACATAATGCTAAAGCACTACCTAAAAATAATGTTTTTCTTGAGACATGCATTTCAACAATATCCTTCATTTTGATAAGCTGCATTATTAGAGTTTAAAATGATGTAAAAGATCTTGTGCATTTCAAATTATATTTCATTTCAAACACAGAGGAACCCCAATATGAGAAAAGATGAATTGGAAGTTCTGAGATTAAAGAGGAGGGGAAAGAGGGGAGGAGGCCTCATCAACTCTTTCCTCTTCCTCTATGACAGCTCGTGAAGTTTCTCTGCTGGGCTCCAAGCATCAATGAGCAAGATATGAATACTTTCCTTCTAGCCCTATAAACTAGCCCTCAGCCTATTCTGGGAGATCTCTCGTCTCTTAAGACTTCTCCCTGCCTTCATCACCAGTGGCTGAAATTCTGCCTCTCAGGAGCCCAGGAGTGTGTCAAGGCTGACATGACAAAACAGCCTCCTTTTCCTCTGTGGCATGTACTGCCTACTCAGCCCTGAGAAGACCACAACTTTGTCTCAGCATCCACCAGGATGTGGTGGCTTTGTAAAAAGGCTAATGACAAAGCATACTTTAACCGAAATGCCATGGCCAGAACTGTACTTGCAAAATGATGACCTTATTTTAATAGCTTCATTCTAGAAGATTTTAATAGACTTGATCTTTAAAATAAAACTGGGCATAGAATTTCATCCACATACACACATAAACAACCTCAATTACCCATACTTTGATTATCCATTAGTTATACATGTATTCATATAACTTATTTTTGTGGGAGAGTGCAGCACTCAGAGCACTGAAGTTTGCATTAGAAATTAGGAGAATAGGACCCTATCAAAACACAGTTCCTACTCACATTACCTTGGGGAAATCAATTTCCTTTTCAGAGGCATAGTTAATTCAGAATAATGATGTGTGCATCATGGGATTTTTTTAAAAAAGAAATTTTCTTCATGAAAATTAATGTGTTGTGTTATATATATAGTGGTCCATGAAACAATGGGTGATTCATAACCAAAGCACTGTAATTCCAAGAAAACTCTTCCAAATAGAACACTTCCCTTTCAGGTCTGTCTGCCAACATACAGATATCATCCTTAGTGATAAAGAGATAGTTAAAATAAGTTGAAGTAATTCACTCTCTAAGAAAGAAGACAAATAAGTTCTAAGACAGCAAAATAATTGCTAAGGGTTTTTGTTTTATTGTTGCTGCTGCTGCTGTTGTTTTTGTTTTGGGAAAAGGAGAGGATTCTATGAAATCTAATAGGTAAGGTGCTCAGTCCAGCTTCAAGGGTTTGGAAAAAACATCCTGGAAATTACAGAGTCTATGTGCGATTCTAAACAGGGATAGAATTTAGCCAAGGAGGCTGAGAGAAAGGAAAAGAAGCTAAAAGGAGGAGGTGCTCCAGTTAGCAGGGCATTGAGGGAGATGACAAAAGGTGAGATTGAAAACCTATGTCATGCATTTTCCACATTTTTAATAAGTAAATCATTCTTATAACCTATTTGGATCTACACAGTTATCCTATAATAGGAAAGTAGGAGTGAGGAAAGTGAGACCCAGAAAAGCTAAGAGATTTGACAGTGTCACAAAGTGAGTTTTTGACATACTGCATACTAGGGCTAAGGTCTCTGAAATCTCTGACATAATGTTTCTACCATTAATGGGAAACCAGGCTAAAAGAAGAGGCGCAGTTTTAACATCTTCTCAATTAACTCAGTAATGTAATTAACTTTGACTGGAATAGCCTTCATAAAGTATGAGTAAGTAAAGGTAAGCCTCTGTCCTTTGCATGGGGTGGGGAGAAGGAGGATGATTCAGGGAGAGAGAACAGCATGTGCAAAGGTGCAAAGGTCTGAGGTCAAGAGAGAGAATAAATTCCACTTGCAAAATTACAAGAACCTCAGCATGCCTACTACATAATAAATGAGGAGTCAATGTCAAGTGATGTAACTGGAAAGGGAAGGAGTAATCAAAATATGAAGGACTTTGCATGCCAATAAGAGGTTTGAACTTTGTTCTGAGGGCAGTGGGAAGTGACATGATCAGACTTTCATTCTGAAAAGATCTTCTTGCTTCAATATGGAGAATGGAATGAATGGAAGCAACAAGACTGAAAAAAGGAGGCTGGGGACCAGGTAAGATATTATGGTGACTGTAATCATGGCCCCAAGAGTAGAAATGTAGATAAGTGAGTTATTTTAGAACTATGTGGGAGAAAAAAAACTGCAGGTCTTACGGACTGATTGCTGTCGGGGGACGCAATGGTCAAAATTGATCTCAGTTTTCCAACTTGTGCAAGTGGTCAATACCATTTCATCTATAGAGCAGGCATTGGAGAAGGAAGTATAATTTGAAAACCATTAAGATAATGAGATGATTATAACGATAGCCACCATTTATATTGGTTTGTGCCAAGCCTCACAGTTAAAGTCTTACAACATTTTCTTACTTAATTCTCACACAAAGTTTAGGTGGAAGTTATTATTAACCCATCTTAGAGATGAGGAAACGGAGCTTCACAGATGTTAAACCATTTTTTCCCCTACAACTAGTCTGACTATGCCTCTCTGACTCGCAACGTAGGCCTATCTGACTCCTAGAGCTCAAAAAGTACAAATGCTTCTTGATTTATAATGGGGTTAACCCCCAATAAACCCATCATAAGTTGAAAAATTGTTAAGTCAAATCATCATATGTCAGAGACCAGCTGTATACCAACTGCGATACACTTTCTAAAGTTATTTTGAGGAAGGACAGCATGTTATTTTAGAGATATCAGAATCTCTCTCAGTTTTCCAACAATTCTAAATAAAAGGGAAGTAGAAGATTTAGTGTGGTTGTTTTATGTTCACCAAACCAAGCCAGAGAATTAGTTGTCATGTTTATTGACAGAGTTTCCAGGTAGGGCCAAGAGCCCTGGCTAGATGAAGAGAGCTGAAGGTAAGCTTTTCTTCCTTTCAATTCATGCACAGAGACTCAAGCTAAGTATTTTTTTTAACATTCCCAGTGAGCCAGAAAGTTACCAGAAAACACAATCTCGATGTACAGTACAATTAAATGATGACTGAGACTGATTTATAGGTTAGTAAGCTACAAGAATAAACAGGAGGCAATTCTTTCCTAAGTAATCTTTAGTAGATAATATGATAAATCTAGCTGTTAAATGCATAGCATGAGATTGAGTGGCCCCAAATTGCTCTATGTTCCACTAGATGGACTTTAAGATAGTGTTTCATTTTAACAATGCTTCTATTGTATTTCCCCCCTTAGAGTTAAATTTGACACATCATGCATGCTCCCCAAATATTTGGTATTCTTTCTCATCACAGTAAGTCCTCCCAGGTCAATTCAATCTTTCTATAGTAAAGATCCAAATCAAATGCTGCCTCTACTGTGTAGGAGTTCCCCATCTTTTCCCCTCATTTTGCTTATGCCTGTTCCAGAACATTTACCACATTGTGCCTGTTACTATACCATGGAGTCTCAACTAGCACTGATTTTTCCCCAAGGGGACCTTTGGCAATGTCTAGAGACATTTTTGATTGTCGCAATGGGGTGGAGAATGCTACTAGTATCTGGTGGATAGAGGCCAAGGATGTAGCCCTACCACAAAGAATTTTTTAACCCAAACATCAAGATTGATGACATTGAGACACCCTGTATTTGACAAAGGAAAAGATGGAAAGGTTAGGACTTAGAGTCACAAGTGCTCAGTGGCAGCTCTGGCACCAGCACTTGCTACCTATGCCATTGGGCATGTCTCCATTTCAGGATTCTCATCAATACAGTGCAGATGCTTCTTTTACAGATGCTTCCTTCACAGAATTATTGTAGGGGTTAATTCAATAATGCATGATAAATGGCCTGTAAACTTGATTGAGTCATCATTTTATGTTTTATGATTGTATGTGTAATAGTGAATGTAATAATAATACTAATTGCACAGTCAGTTTGGATACATAGATCTAGAGCTCAGTAATGAAATCTGGACTGGATTTCACACCTGAACCTGAATCTTACCTTTTGTATTTCATCTCAATAAAGATTTCATATTGAGCTGAATCTCTGAGCTAGCACTCTTCTAGGTACCATTGATATAAAAATAAGATATTCTTCCTAAATTAAGGAACTCTCTTTGTAAGATGAAGATAGACTCATAAACAAATAGTTACAATACTACGTAAAATAAACTAAGATAACAGAGGATAGGTGAATAAAATTTTTTAGAAGCAGGCCAATTCAAAACATATAAAAAAGCTTATGGGCTGCATTATAACCAGCAACAAAAAATTTCCTTTACTACCTTGCTTTACTGATCCCCATGGGGGAAAATGTACATTCTTATGACTTAGATTGCTCACTCTACAGAATAGATGAAAGTCAATAAGAAAACTGAAATTGCCTTTTAACAATGAACATGTTAATTCTGGCCATATAGAAAAGTAACAAAATGGAGGCAGCTTTCTAATCTTTAATCTCGAAATGGGACCACTAATCATGACTCAAAATGGCTGCATGTGCTGTGAATTGCTCATTGCTGTAACTGAGATATAAAATGCTTTCAGGACACAAATGAATGTTTGGGGGAAAGTTTTCTAAGACACTCCAGGCAGCTGGGAAGTATTTTCATTTATTTTGCTCATAGGAAAGGATTGCTCAGTAAATATCTGATAATCTGTGCTGGATTGACTTGACACAGTAATATAGGAAGTGAGCATTGATTTTCCCCCTTTCTCTACCAACCCCACTGCATTATTGGTTGAAAGGGAGAATCCTGGGACATGTCATAGAAAACTGAGTGGACTCATCTTACCTACACCTTGTCTTGGATACTCACCAATATCAGGGTCATTAAGTAGTTGTCATATTACCAACATATACTTCCTGCGCTGTCCCCTGTAGTATTTTCTTCCATGGATTTCCTGACCTAGAATGTCCTCAGTATTGCCTAGGGTAATGATTCCAAGACATTTTAGTCTAAAGAGCTCTTCAATGGTTCAAGAAGAACCAACACTTTTACAACTAACATTTAGGTCAGCAAACCTTAGTAAGAAAAAAGCCCAGGCTTCTGATTCAATCCTAACAAGAGCTAGTTTATATTTTGCTATTCCACACCAGGAACACTGAGCATAAAACAGTCTGAGAGCACTTAACACTCCTGTAGTAGGCTATTCTTACATTGTTATAAATACCCGAGACTGGGTAATTTATAAAGCAAAGAGGTTCAACTGGCTTACAATCATGGTGGAAGGTGAAGAAAGAGCAGGTAGTAAAAGCAAAAGCAAGAGGTGGGGATGCCACACATTTAAACAACCAGATCGCTTGAGAATTCACTCACTATTATGAGGACAGGACCAAGCCAGGAGAGATCCACCCCCATGACGAAAACATCTCCCACCAGGCCCCACCTCCAACATTGGGAATCCCATTTCAACATGAGATTTGGGCAGGAACAAGTATTCAATCTATATCAATCCCTCATGGATTACTATTGGATATCTCTGAGTACCCAATCACCCTCAGTTTAGTTGGGAGTTACTTTAGGGATATCATCAAGGCAGCTCTTCACGTGACACCCTTGTCTTGCAATCAGTTTAAAGAGTCAACTAGTTAAGAGTCAAAGAAGCATTTATATCCATTTCTTCCTAGTATCTACTCCTTAGTTAAATCCATACATCTCAATCCTGTATACAGGAATCAAAATGGCTGAATTCTTCTTTGATTAGTAAGACTAGAATGCTTTTGTCTGCGATTTAGCAAACATACCCTCAACACCAGCAACCTTCTTGTCGTCTTAAAGAATAAATTTGTGTTAAGACAAATTTAGAAAGGAACTAAGCATGGGTATCTACTTAATGCAAGGCACTGTGCTGAGTGCTTTACAAACATCATCTCATTTAAAACTTACATTAGCCCTATGAATCAAAAACTCACTATCTACATTGCACAGATGAAGAAACTGAAGATCCAAGGTTAAATACATTTCCCCATACAATATAGGTGGCAGGATTTGAATACGTACATTATATCTACAAACCCCTTATTTTCTCCCTATTTCATATTTTTGGGAAAAGTAATAAATGTGGCTCATATGCAGTCAAACTAACTCTATTTATACCTTTAAGTTAACGAACACTCAATTGCCATATTATGAGCTACCAAATAAAGAATACGGGAGTTTTGGCTTGCTTTGTTTTTAACTTTCTTATAATTTAAGATTGTGTTCTACACAGCTTGCCATCCCTGGAATTTCTGTCTAATGCCTAGCATCATGAAAACATGCCTAGGATATTCAGGGAAAGACATTCAAATCAGATCATAAGCAAACAGGAGATTTCCATGACAGACTGATACTGGGTAAAAAGGATCCTCGAAAGAATGCATCTGTCCCAACTTTGAGTAATATGGACTTGCTCTACACTGCAGAAGGCAGACAAAAGTAAAACCTCATTGAAACAAAAGTGTGGCTTATTCCTTCATGAGCAACTTTCCTCATAAGTTCCATGAGACGAGCATCTATTATGTTTTGGTTCATCAATGTATCCCCAAGAAGGCTGTATAGCACAGTATCTCACCGTGAGTGCTCAATGGCAGTGAATGTGACCTTCACACTGCAATCTTAGTCTACAAGATGGTGAAGGATTTCAAATAGAGAAGTCAAAGTAATAAGGTGGCTAGCCTAAGGGAGGGGAGTCAGAGAGGACATGTTGTTTTCACATACTTTAATCGTGGGTCTGTGGAAGAAACATAGGTAGAGTCAGACCCATTGGCTGGATCTATAGGGAGCAGCATCGGAGAAATATGAAAAACAACTTCCTAATACTCAGTAATGAGATGAGTAATGAGTTCGCAGTCCCTGGAGGTGCTTAGTTAGAAAAAGACTTGCTCACTAATTTTGGGGTAAGAAAATAAAAATCTTTTGTTGAAACTTCTGGTTTTTGCTTTTTTTCCCATAAAGAGCTTGGAAGTTGTCACTCCTATCCTTATAAAAAGAAAAATTCCTGGGTAACATAGTAAGACCCTGTCTCTACCAAAAAAAAAAAAAAAAAAAAAAATTAAATTAGCCCATGTGGAGGTCCATGCCTGTAGTCCTAGCTACTCGGGTAAGTGGTGGGGGCTGAGATGGGAGGATCACTTGAGCCGGCAAGTTTGAGGCTGCAGTGAGAGCTGTGATCACCGCCACTGTACTATAGCTTGGGTGAGAGAACGAGGCCCTGTGTCAAAAGAAAGAAAGAAGGAAGGAAGGAAGGGAGGGAGGGAGGGAATAAAGGAGGAAGGAAGGAAGGAAGGAAGGAAGGAAGGAAGGAAGGAAGGAAGGAAGGAAGGAAGGAAGGAAGGAGGGAAAGGAGAAAAAGCTGGACAAACTGAAACAACTTTCCTCGGACACATTCCAGAACTGAGGTCTCAGAGATAATCTACATATCATAATCTTGAGTAGCAGGCTCACATGAGACATTTAGCAAGATGGAATGCATTCTAGGTTATGCAATACACCTTAATAAGTTTCCAAGAATAGAAATCACACAAAGTGTGTTCTCATGCCATGATAGAATCAAACTAAAAACCAATAATTGAAAAATATCTAGAAAATCTCAAGATACTCAGAAATTTAATGCACTACTAAATAACATGTGTTTAAGAAGAGATCCCAAGAGAATTAGAAAAATATTTTGAACTTAATGCAAATGAAAATACAACCTATCACAAATTTAAAATGTAGCAAAAGCAACGTTTGGAGGGAAAGTTATAGCATTAAATGCATATTTTAGAAAAGAAGAAAGATCTACAGTCTAAGTTTCTACTTTAGGAAAGTAGAGAAAAAGAGCAATGTAAGTCTACAGCAAGCAGAAAAACTAAAAAGAAATAATAAAAATAAGAGTAGAATCAATTAAATGGAAAACAATGAAAAAAAATCAATGAAACCAAACCTTATTTTTCAAAAAGAACAATAAAATGGACAAATTTCTAGCCAGAAATGAGAAGAAAAGAGAGAAGACAGCCTTTGTAATGTGAAGCCAGGGTTCTTACAGTTGTGGAAATCTACAACTAAGCAAGCAGAAGAGTCTAGAATAATTCATGTAGGAATGGATTAGAGATGGAGACATCAGTATTAACTCATGTTTAACTTAATATAGGTATAAATGATTACATATGGAAGTTTCATGGGTATATGTATATACATGGATTAGCATACACACATATATTTCATCCCTCTATCTGTTGAGAGGGCCTAGAAGCAAAACACTCCACTAGTAATGAACATAGCTGGTATCCAGATCTTGGTTTCTAAAACCATTCTGATTCTAGGTCTAGGGCAGGAAATACAAAAGATGAGCTTATATCACTTTATAGTGCCAGAAAGTAAGAAAAGTGCCAAACTCTCTCTCTCTCTCTCACACACACACACACACACACACACACACACACACACACACACACACACAATGATGTGGTATGTCAAAGAGACACAGGAATCAACTGAAAGAGCTCTTATTGGCCAAAGCTGGGTAGAATAATTCCAAATAATCTATGTAGATACTCCCACCTTCAAGGAGGTAGAGTATAACTTCTCACTTCTTGGGTGTGCGATGTGCATAGTGACTTTCTTTCAAAAAATAAGTATGGAAAGAGGAAAAGCGTAACTTAACAGTGCAGAAACCTGACAAACACTATCTCAGGCAGGTGTTCAGGTTAACATCAATGGAGATAAGTCAGGTTGATAGTGTGTTTTTTTGACATAATTTGATAAAAATGCTATTTTACCTTTGTGGTCTCCCTCCCCCAAACCCATAACCCCAGTGTAATAATAAGAAAAACACCAGACAAATTCCACTTGAAAAAAAAGTCTGCAGTATACTTGATCAGTATTCTTTGAAAATTTAACCATCATCAAAAGCAAGAAAAGTTTGAGAAACTGTGACAGTCAAGAGGAGCCTAAGGAGATGTACCAACTAAATATGATATGGCATCCTGAATGACATCATGAAACAAAAAAAAAAGTTAGGTAAAAACTTAAAAATGTTTAAATAAAGGCGGACTTAGTTAATAATAATGTATCCATATTGGTTCATTGATTATAAACACATGTATCATACTAATTTAAGATGTTAATAATAGAGAAAGTGGGTAGAGAGATCTCTACAATTTTGTCTATATTGAAAACTATTAAAAAATTAAAATGTATTTATTTTGTGGTTGGATTAAAAGATATTTTGTAAACCTACTCCAACTCTGAGATTCAGTGATTCTAAAATAAGATATTTATGATAATGTGCAAAGAAAGGGACAAATACCAGCAGGATAACATAAGATTTATATATATATATATATATATATATAGAGAGAGAGAGAGAGAGAGAGAGAGAGAGAGAGAGAGAGAGATACCAGAAATAGAACCATATATGCATGTGCGTATATATCTATGTATAGATGGAACATCATTATGTAAGGATATATAACACAATGCTAACAGTGGTCATCTCTGGATGATATGATTTCGAACAGTTTTTACTTTCTTCATTTTATATGACTGCATTTTTAGAATAATTGACAGAGGAGACACAGTTATTTCTGTAAAATAACAAGAAGTTAATACAATTTTAGTGTTTAAATTTAATGAGTATTCATGATGAGAAACGCCTGTCTGAGCTATGTGCCCCTCCTCCAAGCTCAACCAATACCCTGTGCTAACTTCAATCATTATACCTTACCAACCATTCTATACACGTATGTTATTTCTCTATCTTCCTTCCTGGATAATGATCTTCTTGAGAACAAGAAATATCTCATTTTGCATCACTACCATGTTGTGTAGGACCTGGCGTCTTGAGCATTTGGGGTACCTGCAGAGCACGCTGCAGGATACAATCTCGGACAAGTCACTGCCACAGTTTTCTCATATGTACAATGAGAAATTTGGGCTACTGTCATCTCTGGGGATTTTTCTAGATCTAAGATTCAAGGTTCTTTGCCTGTTACAATGAATTAGGGAAAACGTCACAAAATAGGAATCTCAGGGAGATTATGTGACTTGCCCAACTTCTTTTGCATCTTCTGGAATCTGATAGAAGATTAAGATTCAGGAAATGTCTGCTCTGTGGGAATTGGTTTAGAAGACTTTTTCTGTAGGTTTTAAATAATTTATTTGCTGTTAAATTTGTCCTTGCAAATTTACAAAAGCCTGAACATATGAGATTGGCTAAAATACAGAAGAATAAAATACAAGGATAATTATTTCCTGAGACCTTGTTAGAATTGTTTTTTAGATTTTTCTACAATACACAGAAAATACCCGTGCGATAAAGTGAGTATATTGCTACATGTGTTTCATTCTAATTATACCGCTTTTTCCTTGGACCTGAGATTAAGGAAGAATGATGGAAAATCATAATTCATGGTTTATGCACTTCAAGGTCAAACTCAAAGGGCCTTCCAACATCATTGACTCTGCCATCTCTCACTCAGCAACATTCTCCAGCTATCCAATTCCTATTCCCCGTGGACCCTGATCACTTGAAACATCGAGTTCACCTAGAAGAGCCTATTATAGTTTATATGTGTTTCCTTGTGCTGGTATAACAAATTATCACAAACAGTAGTTTTAGGCAACACACATTTATTACCTTACGGTCCTGGAAGTCAGAAGTCTAAAAATTAGTCTCACTGGGCTAAAACGTATCTGTTAGCAGGCCTGCACTCCTTCCTGGAAGCTCTAAAGGAAATCCATCTCCTTGCCTTTCAGAGGCTGTCTCCATTCCATAGCTCGTGGCTTCTTCATCTTCAAAGTTAGCAGTGTAGCATCAACTCTCCTGACTCTGCTTCTCTGCTCCTATCATGATGGCTCCTCCTCTGACCCTGACTCTTCTGCCTCTTTCTTATCTGGACCTTTTTATGACATTGGCCCCACCCAAAAAACCCAGGATAATCTTTTCTTCTCAAGATCTTCAACTTACTCACACCTACAAAGTCCCTTTTAACACACACAGTAACATGTTGACATCTTTGTTGTGGGGAGGCACTATTCTGTCTACCATACACCCATCTTTCTCCCATAACTCAGAACAGTGGAGACCTCTTATTCTGAGTTCCAGTATTGAGAGGTGACAATGTGCTAGCAGCCCTCGCTGTCTCTCGGCACCTCCTTAGCCTCGGCGTCTGCTCTGGCCACGCTCGAGGAGCCCTTCAGCCCGCCGCTGTGCTGTGGGGGCCTGTCTCTGGGGCTGGCTGAGGCCGGAGCCGGCTCCCTCTGCTAACGGTGAGGTGTGGAGGGAGAAGCGCAGGCGGCAGCCGGGGCTGCGCACGGACCTCGCTGGCCGGCGCGGTTCCGGGTGGGCGTGGGCTCTGCCTCCCAGCACAGGCGCACCCGGCGCCTGCTGGGCTTGATCGGAGGCTGGGTCCCGTGCGTGGACCGCTATTCCCTCTTCGTGGGGTCGTTGGCCACAATGATGGGTCTCCATCTCTTTCTTGTTTCCCTTCTTTTCCTCTTGGTTGTCTGGGACGAGCTCCCTCTGGGCTGTGGGAATGCCCAGGCTAGGTGCTGGAAAGTCCCGCAGCCACTGTTGGTGAGAGGTGAAGCCGGCTGGGTTTCTGGGAGGATGGGGACTTGGAGAACTTTTCCGTCTAGCTAAAGGTTTGTAAACGCACCAATCAGCACTCTGCCAAAACAGACCAATCAGCTCTCTGTAAAATGGACTAATCAGCGCTGTGTAAAATGGACCAATCAGCTCTCTGTAAAATGGACCAATCAGCTCTCTGCAAAATGGACCAATCAGGAGGATGTGGGTGGGGCCACATAAGGGAATAAAAGCAGGCCACCCGAACCAAAACCTGAAATCTGCTAGGTTTGCTTTGTTCTCTGGGAATGGTGGTTTCTTTCGCTCTTTGCAATAAATCTTGTTGCTGCTTATTCCTTGGGTTCATACCAGTTTTAAGAGCTGTAACACGGTAGAGGTCTGTAGTTTCACTCCTAAAGTCAGCCAGACCACGAAGTGAGACCACAAACCCACCAGCAGGAAGAAACTCCGGACAGGTCCGAACGTCAGAAGGGACAAACTCTGGACACACCATTTTTAAGAACTGTGACACTTAACACGAGGGTCTGTGGCTTCATTCTTGAAGTCAGCGAGACCGAGAACCCACCACTTCTGGCCACAATATCACAGCAACTTCTGAGAAAGACATTTCTGGTACCAGTCACATCTTGTCACAGAGAAGTCACTACTTTGGAGGTTCTGTTAAAAACTTCTGTTGTAGAAAGTGCAAATGGACACATAGGCTCTAATTGAGTTTATCTAAGCATGTACTATTTGTATTCAGACAATTTTTTTTTTAAGTTTATAAGCTTTGGCAAGACAGACTTACATTCAAATCTGGGTGCTGCCAACTATTATCTGTGTCTGTTAGAGCAAGCCGTTTCTCTTCCTGAGCTATGGCATCTCTAACTCAGCCACATTGTCTACTACCCTCCCTGGGATTTCTCTGAGATTTGCGGGATATCAAGGGTGTTTTAAATTAGACAGTAAGAGTCATAATTGAATTTTGTACATGTAGTTGAAATAATAAACAAGATTGTATAATTTGGGTCAGCTTTTTATAGAGTCTAAGGTTTGATATATTAGTTCTTTTCTCTGAAAATATTTTCCATATTTCCCAGAACCAATAGTACACACATACATACATACACATGCACACACACGCAGAAACCTTCAACAAACCTAAATGTGCAATAAGACATCCAGGTGATTATGCACATTATATACTGTGTTTTACAAAGAGGGTTTATTATTAATCTTCTAGCCTTATTCTCTTTCCTTTCCTCACCCAATCCTATGTGTCTCTGTGATTCACTGAAATTCGTCCAAGTTGGGCATTAATACCATATTTATTTATTAACCATTAATGTGGTTAATACCATATTTAATTTGCTGCAAGGTCAATGTTTAATAACCTAATATTTTGTTGGCAAAAAAAAACTATTATGAAAGGTACAAATATCTAGCCTGTTTCTTCTCCTAACACAGTACTTTTATCATCTTATATGAAACAGAAGCTCAGCCTCGTTAAAACTTCACAACATTTTGGAGAGCTGCTTGTTCCCTGCTCCCTTCATTCTCTTGTTCTCATTCTCTCTTCACATTCCCTCCTTCCATCATTCTTTCTGTAGATAAGAAATATATCATTTTGGCTCATTGCAAACATTTTAAACAATACAATGTGTATAAAATTAAGTGAAAATTCATATCCCTACGTTTTCAATCTTACAATGTAATAATCACATCAAGTTGTTGCCAATCCTTGTCCTCTGGGCTTTTTCACGTACTGGACATCATGGTATGTCCAAGTAGATACATTTGACTCTTTTTTGTTTTGTTTTGTTTTGTTTTTTGAGACGGAGTTTTGCTCTTGTTGTCCAGGCTGGAATGCAATGGTGATATCTCAGCTCACTGCAAACTCTGCCTCTCAGGTTCAAGCGATTCTCCTGTCTCAGCCTCCTGAGTAGCTGTGATTACAGGCATGCACCACCACACCCAGCTAATTTTGTATTTTTAGTAGAGATGGGGTTTCTCCATGTTGGTCAGGCTGGTCTCCATTTGACTTATTTTTAGTGGCTACATACTAGTCCATTGCATGGACATACCACAACTTGTTTCTCTCTGTTTTTTCTTTTTTTTTTTTTAACCACTGCTGTAGAAAGCAGAGCATTTCCCTCATTGCCTTTATAAGTTCATGTATTTTTCTAGTGGAGAAGTAGTGGAAAGGAATGAAAAGGTATTCCTATAACAATTTTTTTAAAAAGCAAAACTTTTCCTCCAAACTCTCCCACTTCTTGATCTCTTGCCTTAGAGGAGTTAGGAAAATGGTCTGGTAAAGTTATGAGTTAGCTATATATTATCCAATAAGAATAGATAATTACTAAATCACCACTTTCTTCTCTTCTGTCAATTCCCCTAAAATTGTTACTGAAATGGGCCAGGCTCTCAGGTCTGAACCAGGAGAAGTGAGAGGGAGCTGTGAATGACTTAATAAAGGTACCTGCTAAAAACACAATTGCTTTTATTTTATATATATTATGTAAAATATTAACCTTTATATATTACATAAAATTCATGTTTATAGTATATATAAAGCAATTTATATATCTATTTGTGTATATATATGTGCAAATATGCTATCTAGTCTGGTTGGAACATTCAATTTCATTAGTATTTAACACATCTTATTCATTAGCAACATATATCTGTTAAAGTTGAAGTACCAACATACTATTCTGACTTGTGGCATTTTGCAAATTATACTGGAGCGATATCCTCACACAAAAATATTACTAGCTGAAAACTAGAAATGGAGCAACACCGTGCTTATAAGCTGTACTTACCTGCTGGACTCTCTCTCTCCCTCATTCCCTGGAATTGGCTAGCTCTCAAAACCACAATATTTAATTGTCAATTATTAGCCCCCACAACTCCAGATTAGCTTTTTTCTCCTCTGCCCCCATCCAGGAAATGGCCAATACTCAATATTCCTTCTTACATTTCAACTCCTTTATCACCAACAGCATTTAACATTATTTTATTTGATTCTAACAACTTCAGTCTGATCAATTTCACCTGCATTTAAAGGAAGCCTATTAGCTAGGTTACAATCTAGAGGGAGAGAAGAAGGTAAACGTTTTGTGTCCCTTTTTTGAAATGATCATGGAGAATATTTAGGTTCCTAGAGCACACACATACAAAAGTTTTTGATAAACAGTCTTACCTTCCTTAGTTGGAGGAGGGGACAAGCAATGTTTATCCCTCAAAGCAGATGATCATGAAAGCCCCCTCCAGCAGCCTCTACCCACCTGCCACAAAAGCTCCACTCCTGAGCCATCTGAAAGTTCCTGAAGGAAACAGTGTAGCATTTGACTAATCTTGCATAACATTTTCATAATCCACACCCATTGTCCTAAGGAAAAACCTGTTTTCCTCATCCAAAGGGATCAGGAAACAATCAAAACAGAAGCCTGCGACAGAATGGCACCTTCAGACAACTAAATCAGACTGAAAGAGACTTCCAGCATTCACGGACCCTCAGGATTTTATAAGCTCTACTTCATGCCAGACACTCGTCTGGAAAAAGGAGATGTGAAGATGAACAAATTGCTTTCCTCTCCCCCTAAGAACGTGCAGCCTTTTAGGGCCACAAGTGTAAAAACAACTAGTAACTTCCGTGGAGGAATATTGAGGCCACAGAGGGAGAGGTGATGAGTTATCCATAGGGAATTTGGGAAGCCCTCTCCCAGGGGATAATGCCTGTGATGAGTTTTGAAGCACGAATAGGAACTTTCCTGATGAACGAGGGTTGAATAGGGTTGGGGCTGTGGGGAGGACATTGAAGGCAAACAGAGCACCATATACAAGATGCACAAAATTAGCCAACAGAATGGTACATTCAGGGAATTGTGAAGAAGTCTGTGTGGCTGAAACATAGACTATATGGAAACAAAAGAGAGAGATGAGACTGAAGAAGCAGAAGTGTTGTCTGATGGGCTAACTTATGACTTAGAAAATAATAACTGTGATGGGGGTATTATAATGATTCTACACTTTAGTGTCTGAATGCAGCATATTGTTTGTAATTGAGAACGAGAAGCATTGGTGGAAGTAGTTTAATGTATATCTAATTGTTCTGTGTGCTCAGAAAATGGGTGGTCTGGTTAATCAAATGACCTAGCTTGAGTGAAGACACTGATTACCAACTTCCAAATAATTAGAATCATTAAAATACATTAAATGTTAAGGCTGTCATTACTGCACATTAATATTCCTTTCACAATTCAAAAGGATGTTCAATACTTTAGAACGGTTCAGGCCTGTTATCAGTGTGAATGTCATTCACCTATCATTAGTGTGAGTATCATCCTGCCTAAGGACACAGGCGATTGCTAACAAGGTCTGAGGAGGAGGTGAGCTTAGGGTTCTCCTATTTGAGAAAACCACTTGCGTTTGAGAGTGTTTTTATACCTTCATGTGCTGGGAACCCTCCTGACAGATTGAATTTGGGCCAGTGTAATAAATGAAGCACTATTCTAATAATGTTAATACAAACAAATAATCAAAAGAAATCTCATCTCCCCATGTGATCTCAGCAACATATGGTCTTGCGGTTGAATCTTGGCAAGTTAATTGTCATAAGAACCCTGAAAGGAAGACAGAATGAATTGGTAATTTTATTCCTAGGTCAGACCTCCATCCTTATTTCCCTGTTCCCACAAACTGGCAAACACTTGAAAGAGCAAGTATGTTCTATTGTTAACATTTCTTCCTCCAGCGAAGTCGCATTAATGACTATAATTTGCTCTATTACTACTGGCTTTGAAGTTTCATTAAGTGGTTTTATATCTATTATTTTGTTATGCTTTGTTTTGTTTTGTTTCGTTTTGTTTCTAAAGACCTGTGGGATACCTCGAGCAGGAATCTTGTTTTGTTTTCTCCCCTACATTTAACATGTCAGAAGCTAAAGCTTAAGAGAGGTGACTTTCTTTGCCCAAGGTCACATGACCTGAACTACAACTCATGTTTCTATCTTCAAGCCTGAATATCCTTGTGTAAGATCATAGTGCCTTGAGCACATTTCCTTAAAATAGAGTCATCCAAAAACAGTAAATTGTACTGTTGGTCTCCAGGAAATCCTGACCAGTTTCCATAGCTTCCCAGTGAATATCTTTTTTATAAGATCATAGTGCCTTGAGCACATTTCCTTACAATAGTGTTGTCCACAGACAGTAAATTGTACTGTTGGTCCCCAGAAAATCCTAACCAATTTCCACAGCCTCCCAGTGACTGTTAGATGATCCAGTGCCCATCTTCCTTAGCCTTCTCTAATGTCCTGACCAGATCATTAGAGACAGGTTGTTTAAAACTTGGCTTGCTTCCTTTCACCTTGACTTTGACTTCTCTTGCTTTCACCTAGTTTTCCCAGGTTCTGTCTCTTGGATCTACTTGGACTCCTCCTCTCTAGTAGCAACCTGAAATATCATGTCTCTTTTGGATGGCCTGTTTGTCCTGAATTTGCTTCTTCTATCAGTATTGCTTTTTTGATCATTTCTAGGAAGACTATGGACTACAGGCCATGAAATAAGTGATATCGTAATCTTATTTCTGGCCCAGTGCCATGCTCAGCATCTCAACCTTCCAGTCACCTGTCAGAGAGATTTTGTCACTGGGGGATATAGGCATAAAGCCAACATCCCCCAAATAACATGGACAGGTATAAAGCTTTTCCACTGTACACCAGTAAAGGGGACAGTTGAACCCTCACTGCATCTACTTCCTGCTTTATGAGCCAGAAGCAAACAATAAGACCCATCATCCACTAGGTTAGCACCAAGATGAGCATCATGGGGCAGGTCAGTCCAAAAGGACTATTTACCCAAGGTAGACTGGATGGATAGTGTAAAAATCGAAATCCTAATCAAGAGGAACCAAAGCCATACCTATGAATACAATGTAGAATGTCATGTCTAAGGATCAAGATGAAGGTTCTAAGGAATATGGGGTCCAGTATGGTGGGACTGAGACCTGCTGCTATAGGACCCAGGTCAGGACAGGAGACATGTAAACAATAAGGAGTAACTTGCTTTTGGCTTTGGGATTAATTATGGATGCAGGCATGATACAGAGGGCACAGACAACCAAATACAGAGATCCGTGAGTAGCCATCTGTAAGACAAAGACAAAAAGCAGAAAAAGGAAAGGAAGTACTTGAAAGAGGAAATGGTAGGCAGTGGAAAGGAGGATGAAAAAGAATAGCAAAAACTCTGGTTTAATAAAATCAGGGCTCCACCCTCATCCAGCCACACTGAGCTGGTCACACCTTCCCAGATTCTCTGCTCTATCTTGCCTCCATGACTTTGCATGCACTTTTCCTTCTGCTTGACACTTTCCTGGTTGGTCCACTTGAAAAATTCCTAAGTATTGGTGCAAAAGCAATTGCGGTTTTGGACTGTGAATTTTAAATCATTATAACTAGGCTCAAGCACATCTTTGTTAATCAAAATACGAACTATTCCCATCAACACATTTTTGTCAATAAGAAAATTTGTTTATTCCGGTAGCATAAAAATCCATGCTTCAGGATTCGATGAACTCTTGGAAGGCATTTTCTGCATCTTTCTGGTTGTGGAAGCGTTTTCTCTGCAAAAACTGTTGACGTGCTTGAAGAAGTGGTAGTCTGTTGGTGAGAGGTCAGGTGAATATGGCGGATGAGGCAAAAACTTCGTGGCCAAGTTGGTTAAACTTTTGAAGTGTTGGTTGTGTGACATGCAGTTGGGTGTTGTGGAGAAGAATTGGGTCCTTTCTGTTGACCAGTGCTGACTGCAGGCCTTGCAGTTTTCCATGCATCTAATCTATTTGCTGAGCATACTTCTCAGATATAATGGTTTCGCAGGGAATCAGAAAGCTATAGTGGATCAGGCCAGCAGCAGACCACACAACAGTGACCATGACCTTTTGTTAATGCAAGTTTGGCTTTGGGAAGTGCTTTGGAGCTTCTTCTCAGTCCAGCCACTGAGCTTGTCATCACTGGTTGTCTATAAAATCCACTTTTCATTGCACGTCACAATCCTATCAAGAAATGGTTTGTTGTTGTTGTGTAGAATAAGAGAAGGCAATGCTTCAAAATGATGATTTTTTACATTTTCCCTCAGCTCATCAGGTACCCACTTATTGAGCTTTTTCACCTTTCCAATTTGCTTCAAATGCTGAATGCCCATAGCATGGTTGACCTTGAGTTCTTTGTCAACTTCTCGGTAGTTGTAAGAGGATCAGCTTTGATGATTGCTCTCAATTGGTTGTTGTCAACTTTCCATGGCCAGCCACTACACTCCTCATCTTCAAGTCTCTCCTTTCCCTTTGCAAAACTTCTTGTACCACCACTGCACTGTACGTTAGTTAGCAATTCCTGGGCCAAATGCATTGTCGATGTTGCAAGTTGTCTCTGCTCCTTTACCACCCATTTTGAACTCGAATAAAAAAAAATCACTCAAATTTACTTTTTGTCTAACCTCATTTCCATAATCTGAAATAAATATAAAATAAACAGCAAGTAGTAAGTCATTAGCAAAAAAAAAAAAAAAAGTGAGATACGTGCATTAAAATGATGTGTAACTAACAACATTTATTTAAGAATGTATTCCAATATCAAACAGCAAATTTCAACGACGCAAAAATCGCAGTTATTTTTGCACCAACTTGCCAGGGCTTGGCTTACAGATGATTTTTCTTTATAAATCTCTCCTTGATACCTTACTTGCCAATTTATTTGAGCACTATGTTCCCAACGCTATTCTAATTTAAGCCTCACCTCAACCCCATGTTATACATGCTGCCATTATTCCATTTTGAAGTGGAGAAACCTTAGACACGGAAAGGTTAAGGAACACAACTTCTCTGAGGAATAATCAGGATTCAAACCTAGGTAGTCAGCTCGGGGGTCTGCACTCTGAACTACACTACCCTGTGTGTTTCCTAAGACAGAGTTAATCCAGCCTTACTGATGCCTTTAACCATGCGTTGCATATATTACCGTAATATCACTTACCATACCTCATGGTAAATATTTAAGTGGCTTTCTTACCCATGAAACTTGAAAGTTCTGGATCAGTGAGTCAATAGCGAGTTAATCACTGTTGTTCATAGCCTCGTACTTGTTAACACCAGAAAATGTTCCCCCTGTATTTCTGATCTCAATTAATGACATAACCATTCACTCAGAATCCAAGCCAGAAATGTGGGGATTATTCCAGGCTTATCCTTTCTTCTTCATTCTCATCACAACCAAGTTTTGTCAGTTCTTTCTCCTGAATTCCTGTCAAGTTTATCCTTTTCCCTCCGTCTCCACAGCCACGACCTCTTCACGCCTGAACATTTTTTCCTGAGTGACAGCAGCCAGCTTGTCATTCTTCTTGCTTCCTGACTTCCTCTCACTCCAATCTATCCTCGCAGCTAGTAGTAATTTAACATGCCACTCACTCATGATTGTCACTGTTTCACGGACCCCAAACATTTCTCCTCACACATCACAACCCTGTAGATGCTGCTTTCTCTTTTGGGACAAATTTCTCCTGACTTGTTTCTATAGTTCCCACTCATCATCTGAACACCCAACTCAATCAGTTTACATTACTTTCATTCCACAATTGCTGGAAACTCAGTTGGGCTTCAACGCTACCCATTCACCCACAATGAAACTGTAAGCATTCTTGTTTATTTCTTTCATGACTGGTCTTCCATGACCCTGTTTTGGGTTTTGTTTGGAATATATACCTAGAAATCAGATTTAAGGATTTGGGTAGCTAATTAGTCACAAAGCCTGGAAAATCAAGGATTGCTGTGAATGATGATTCAGATATGGCTACATTTACATTTTTAGTTTGTTTTTGTGCAAATAATATACTTAAGATCCATGATGTTGTGAATGATTAGAGATCCTGGGGTCTCTCTTTAACGGAAGGGGAGACCTCCAACATTTAGACATCCCAGCTAGCCTGAAAGAATGAAGCTCTTGCCATAGCTTCAAAGATGGTCCAAGAGGCCTAGAGCCTTACTTAGACTATCATTTTGTTGTTTGGGGTGTGTAATTAGTTCTTTTGCATTGCTATAAAGAGGTACCCAAGGCTGGGTAATTGATAAAGAAAAGAGGTTTAATTGGCTTACTATTCTGCAGGTTGTACAGGAAGCATGGCCCTGGCATCTGCTTCTGGTGAGGGCTTCAGGAAGCTTTCCATCATGGTGGAAGGCAAAGGGAGAGCAGGCATCTCACATGGTGAGAGAGGGAGCAACGGTGGGGAGTTGGTGAGTGTCACACTCTTTTAAGCAACCAGCTCTCACATGAACTAACAGACCTAGAACTCACTCATTACTGTGGGGAGGGCACCAAGCCATTAGTGAGGGATCCACCCCCAGGATGAAAACACTGCCCACAAGGCCCACCTCCAACACTGGAAGTCACATTTCAACTTGAGATTTGGAGGGGACAAACATCCAAATCGTATCAGGTTGGGAGCATAAGGTGGGTGTGAGTAACATCAACCATCAGTGGTCCACCTTATTACCATAAGGAGAATTTTATGCCATAGCTGACTTGAGTAATCTGGGTGCATTTCTGTTGATTCCTCCTTATGGCATCACTGTTCCTACTCATCTTCACAGGTCAGGCCATTGTCTACTCAGGAGGGTTTAGGCACACTTAATTTCATTCAGTTCAGCCACATTGCTCTCCAGAAGGGTGTTGTATTGTCCACACTCATATGGGTAGTGCAAGAGAGATATAATTTCCCAAGCCTTGCTAATTTTGGGTGCACTCTGATTTTCATTCGGATGGGTATAAACTGATATGTTTGTATTGTTTAAATGTTATCTAATTATACCTTGAGTAATGAGGTTGAGAATCTCTTCATATACTGGTTATCATTTCATGCCCACCTTTCTTTGAATACTATAGTCACAACTTTTGCCTGTTTTTGTACTGCATTCATTTTTGTTTCTGATTGATTCATAAGAGTCCCTTGTACTTTCCAGATTAATCCCTTGTTGGTTTTTAAAGGTGCAAATATGTTTTCCTAATCTGCCACCCATATGTTAATGTAATCTATAGAGCGGTATATTGGACAGAGGTCTTTAATTTTGATGTTGTCAAAAAACAGTTTTGCCTTATAGTTTGTGCTTTGGGGTTTTTATTTAAGAAGTACTTCTGAGGGAGGAGCCAAGATGGCCGAATAGGACCAGCTCCGGTCTACAGCTCCCAGCGTGAGTGATGCACAAGACGGGTGATTTCTGCATTTCCATCTGATGTACCGAGTTCATCTCACTAGGGAGTGCCAGAGAGTGGGTGCAGGTCAGTGGGTGCGCGCACCGTGCATGAGCTGAAGCAGGGTGAGGCATTGCCCCACCCGGGAAGCACAAGGGGTCAGGGAGTTCCCTTTCCTAGACAAAGAAAGGAGTGACAGATGGCACCTGGAAAATCGGGTCACTCCCACCCAAATATTGCACTTTTCTGACAGGCTTAAAAAACGGCGCACCAGGAGATTATATCCCGCACATGGCTCGGAGGGTCCTACACCCACGGAGTCTCGCTGATTGCTAGCACAGCAGTCTGAGATCAAACTGCAAGGTGGCAGCGAGGCTGGGGGAGGGGTGCCCACCATTGCCCAGGCTTGCTTAGGTAAACAAAGCAGCTGGGAAGCTCCAACTGGGTGGAGCCCACCATGGCTCAAGGAGGCCTGCCTGCCTCTGTAGGCTCCACCTCTGGGAGAAGGGCACAGACAAACAAAAAGACAGCAGTAACCTCTGCAGACTTAAATGTCCCTGTCTGACAGCTTTGAAGAGAGCAGTGGTTCTCCCAGCATGCAGCTGGAGATCTGAGAACGGGCAGACTGCCTCCTCAAGTGGGTCCCTGACCCCTGACCCCCAAGCAGCCTAACTGAGAGGCACCCCCCAGCAGGGGCAGACTGACACCTCACACGGCCAGGTACTCCAACACACCTGCAGCTGAGGGTCCTGTCTGTTAGAAGGAAAACTAACAAACAGGAAGGACATCCACACCAAAAACCCATCTGTACATCACCATCATCAAAGACCAAAAGTAGATAAAACCACAAAGATGGGGAAAAAACAGAGCAGAAAAACTGGAAACTCTAAAAAGCAGAGCACCTCTCCTCCTCCAAAGGAACACAGTTCCTCACCAGCAATGGAACAAAGCTGGGTGGAGAATGACTTTGACGAGCTGAGAGAAGAAGGCTTCAGATGATCAAATTACTCCGAGCTATGGGAGGAAATTCAAACGAAAGGCAAAGAAGTTGAAAACTTTGAAAAAAATTTAGAAGAATGTATAACTAGAATAACCAATACAGAGAAGTGCTTAAAGGAGCTGATAGAGCTGAAAACCAAGGCTCGAGAACTACGTGAAGAATGCAGAAGCCTCAGGAGCCGATGCGATCAACTGGAAGAAAGGGTATCAGCGATGGAAGATGAAATGAATGAAATGAAGCGAGAAGGGAAGTTTAGAGAAAAAAGAATAAAAAGAAATGAGCAAAGCCTCCAAGAAATATGGGACTATGTGAAAAGACCAAATCTACGTCTGATTGGTGTACCTGAAAATGATGGGGAGAATGGAACCCAGTTGGAAAATACTCTGCAGGATATTATGCAGGAGAACTTCCCCAATCTAGCAAGGCAGGCCAACATTCAGATTCAGGAAATACAGAGAACGCCACAAAGATACTCCTCGAGGAGAGCAACTCCAAGACACATAATTATCAGATTCACCAAAGTTGAAATGAAGGAAAAAATGTTAAGGGCAGCCAGAGAGAAAGGTCGGGTTACCCTCAAAGGGAAGCCCATCAGACTAACAGCAGATCTCTCGGCAGAAACTCTACAAGCCAGAAGAGAGTGGGGGCCAATATTCAACATTCTTAAAGAAAATAATTTTCAACCCAGAATTTCATATCCAGCCAAACTAAGCTTCATAAGTGAAGGAGAAATAAAATACTTTACAGACAAGCAAATGCTGAGAGATTTTGTCACCACCAGGCCTGCCCTAAAAGAGCTCCTGAAGGAAGCACTAAACATGGAAAGGAACAACCGGTACCAGACACTGCAAAATCGTGCCAAAATGTAAAGACCATCGAGACTAGGAAGAAACTGCATTAACTAACGAGCAAAATAACCAGCTAACATCATAATGACAGGTTCAAATTCACACATACAATATTAACTTTAAATGTAAATGGACTAAATGCTCCAATTAAAAGACACAGACTGGCAAATTGGATAAAGAGTCAAGACCCATCAGTGTGTTGTATTCAGGAAACCCATCTCACATGCAGAGACACACATAGGCTCAAAATAAAAGGATGGAGGAAGATCTACCAAGCAAATGGAAAACAAAAAAAGGCAGGGTTTGCAATCCTAGTCTCTGATAAAACAGACTTTAAACCAACAAAGATCAAAAGAGACACAGAAGGCCATTACATAATGGTAAAGGGATCAATTCAACAAGAAGAGCTAACTATCCTAAATATATATGCATCCAATACAGGAGCACCCAGATTCATAAAGCAAGTCCTGAGTGACCTACAAAGAGACTTAGACTCCCACACATTAATAATGAAAGACTTTAACACCCCACTGTCAACTTTAGACAGATCAATGAGACAGAAAGTTAACAAGGATACGCAGGAATTGAACTCAGCTCTGCAGCAAGCAGACCTAATAGACATCTACAGACCTCTCCACCCCAAATCAACAGAATATACATTATTTTCAGCACCACACCACACCTATTCCAAAATTGACCACATAGTTGGAAGTAAAGCTCTCCTCAGCAAATGTAAAAGAACAGAAATTATAACGAACTATCTCTCAGACCACAGTACTATCAAACTAGAACTCAGGATTAAGAATCTCACTCAAAACTGCTCAACTACATGGAAACTGAACAACCTGCTCCTGAATGACTACTGGGTACATAACGAAATGAAGGCAGAAATAAAGATGTTCTTTGAAACCAATGAGAACAAAGACACAACATACCAGAATCTCTGGGACACGTTCAAAGCAGTGTGTAGAGGGAAATTTATAGCACTAAATGCCCACAAGAGAAAGCAGGAAAGATCCAAAATTGACACCCTAACATCACAATTAAAAGAACTAGAAAACAAGAGCAAACACATTCAAAAGCTAACAGAAGGCAAGAAATAACTAAAATCAGAGCAGAACTGAAGGAAATAGAGACACAAAAAACCCTTCAAAAAATTAACGAATCCAGGAGCTGGTTTTTTGAAAGGATCAACAAAACTGATAGACCGCTAGCAAGACTGATAAAGAAAAAAAGAGAGAAGAATCAAATAGATGCAATAAAAAATGATAAAGGGGATATCACCACCAATCCCATAGAAATACAAACTAGCATCAGAGAATACTACAAACACCTCTACACAAATAAACTAGAAAATCTAGAAGAAATGGTTAAATTCCTCAACACATACACCCTCCCAAGACTAAACCAGGAAGAAGTTGAATCTCTGAAGAGACCAATAACAGGAGCTGAAATTGTGGCAATAATCAATAGCTTACTAACCAAAAAGAGTCCAGGACCAGATGGATTCACAGCCGAATTCTACCAGAGGTACAAGGAGGAACTGGTACCATTCCTTCTGAAACTATTCCCATCAATAGAAAAAGAGGGAATCCTCCCTAACTCATTTTATGAGGCCAGCATCATCCTGATACCAAAGCTGGGCAGACACACAACCATAAAAGAGAATTTTAGACCAATATCCTTGATGAACATTGATGCAAAAATCCTCAATAAAATACTGGCAAACCGAATCCAGCAGCACATCAAAAAGCTTATCCACCATGATCAAGTGGGCTTCATCCCTGGGATGCAAGGCTGGTTCAATATAAACAAATCAATAAATGTAATCCAGCATATAAACAGAACCAAAGACAAAAACCACATGATTATCTCAATAGATGCAGAAAAGGCCTTTGACAAAATTCAACAACGCTTCATGCTAAAAACTCTCAATAAATTCGGTATTGATGGGACGTATCTCAAAATAATAAGAGCTATCTATGACAAACCCACAGCCAATATCATACTGAATGGGCAAAAACTGGAAGCATTCCCTTTGAAAACTGGTACAAGACAGGGATGCCCTCTCTCACCACTCCTATTCAACACAGTGTTGGAAGTTCTGGCCAGGGCAATTAGGCAGGAGAAGGAAATAAACGGTATTCAATTAGGAAAAGAGGAAGTCAAATTGTTCCTGTTTGCAGACGACATGATTGTATATCTAGAAAACCCAATTGTCTCAGCCCAAAATCTCCTTAAGCTGATAAGCAACTTCAGCAAAGTCTCAGGATACAAAATCAATGTACAAAAATCACAAGCATTCTTACGCACCAACAACAGACAAACAGAGAGCAAAATCATGAGTGAACTCCCATTCACAACTGCTTCAAAGAGAATAAAATACCTAGGAATCCAACTTACAAGGGATGTGAAGGACCTCTTCAAGGAAAACTACAAACCACTGCTCAAGGAAATAAAAGAGGATACAAACAAATGGAAGAACATTCCATGCTCATGGATAGGAAGAATCAATATCGTGAAAATGGCCATACTGCCCAAGGTAATTTACAGATTCAATGCCATCTCCATCAAGCTACCAATGACTTTCTTCACAGAATTGGAAAAAACTACTTTAAAGTTCATATGGAACCAAAAAAGAGCCCGCATTGCCAAGGCAATCCTAAGCCAAAAGAACAAAGCTGGAGGCATCATGCTACCTGACTTCAAACTATACTACAAGGCTACAGTAACCAAAACAGCATGGTACTGGTACCAAAACAGAGATATAGATCAATGGAACAGAACAGAGCCCTCAGAAATAACGCCACATATCTACAACTATCTGATCTTTGACAAACCTAAGAAAAACAAGCAATGGGGAAAGGATTCCCTATTTAATAAATGGTGCTGGGAAAACTGGCTAGCCATATGTGGAAAGCTGAAACTGGATCCCTTCCTTACACCTTATACAAAAATCAATTCAAGATGGGTTAAAGACTTAAATGTTAGACCTAAAACCATAAAAACCCTAGAAGAAAACCTAGGCATTACCATTCAGGACATAGGCATGGGCAAGGACTTCATGTCTAAAACACCAAAAGCAATGGCAACAAAAGCCAAAAGTGACAAATGGGATCTAATTAAACTAAAGAGCTTCTGCACAGCAAAAGAATCTACCATCAGAGTGAACAGGCAACCTACAAAATGGGAGAAAAATTTTTCAACCTACTCATCTGACAAAGGGCTAATATCCAGAATCTACAAGGAACTCAAACAAATTTACAAGAAAAAAACAACCCCATCAAAAAGTGGGCAAAGGACATGAACAGACACTACTCAAAAGAAGACATTTATGCAGCCAAAAAACACATGAAAAATGCTCACCATCACTGGCCATCAGAGAAATGCAAATCAAAACCACAATGAGATATCATCTCACACCAGTTAGAATGGCAATCATTAAGAAGTCAGGAAACAACAGGTGCTGGAGAGGATGTGGAGAAATAGGAATACTTTTACACTGTTGGTGGGACTGTAAACTAGTTCAACCATTGTGGAAGTCAGTGTGGCGATTCCTCAGGGATCTAGAACTACAAATACCATTTGACCCAGCCATCCCATTACTGGGTATATACCCAAAGGACTATAAATCATGCTGCTATAAAGACACATGCACATGTATGTTTATTGCGGCATTATTCACAATAGTAAAGACTTGGAACCAACCCAAATGTCCAACAATGATAGACTGGATTAAGAAAATGTGGCACATATACACCATGGAATACTATGCAGCCATAAAAAATGATGAGTTCATGTCCTTTGTAGGGACATGGATGAAATTGGAAATCATCCTTCTCAGTAAACTATCACAAGAACAAAAAACCAAACACCGCATATTCTCACTCATAGGTGGGAATTGAACAATGAGAACACATGGACACAGGAAGGGAAATATCACACTCTGGGGACTGTTGTGGGGTGGGGGGAGGGGGGAGGGATAGCATCAGGAGATATACCTAATGCTAGATGACGAGTTAGTGGGTGCAGCGCACCAGCATGGCACATGTATACATATGTAACTAACCTGCACATTGTGCACATGTACCCTAAAACTTAAAGTATAATAATAATAAATAAAAAATAATAATAAATTTTTAAAAAGTGGTTTATTTTGAGCCAATATGAGTGACCATGGCTTGGGGAAACACAAAGTGTGATGGAGGAAGTCAGGTTATAATGTGGTTTTGTACATTTCTGGGAGACAGGAATTGCAGGTAAAATAATAAATCAATACATGAGAGTTATATATTGGTTTGGCCCTAAAAAGTGGGACATCTCAAAACAGGAACTTACAAGGCAAAGATGGCTTTTAGGGATTCTTTAGTTGGCAATTGGTTGAAAGGGTTAAGCTTTATCAAAAAACTTTAAGTCAGCAGAAAGGAATGCCCAAGTTAAGATAAGGCGGTTTGTTACCTGGCATGTGATGCCAAACTAGGGTCAGATTGGAAGTAAGCCACACTACACTGGACCAAAAAAATCTGTTTAAGGAGATTTTATGGCTTATAAGGTGTTAAGTTTTCCCAGACCCATTGAAAAGGATTTTGAGCCAGGAAAAAAGGTCAGAGTTCAGTCTTCACAAGCTTTCAGTACTGTGTGAATTTTTCCTTCCTCAGCCTCAAACTTCACCAATTTTTTTATGGGATGGAACTTTTCAGAGTGTACTCTGCTAAAGTTCTGCCCTTTATATGTCCTAATTGAGCTCTGAGATTTATCGTCCCTGCCTTAGAATTGAAAAGTGGAATGTGGAAGGAAGACTGAAGGATAAAGACAGTACTAATCTTTTAGGTACTGGTCCTAGTTCTTAAGTCTGCAGGAGATGATAAGGAATGAAAGAAACACCTACTATTTCGTTAAATATTGAACCAGGGCATGGCACAAACTGATCTTTTTTTAAGTATTATATTGAGTATGGACGCATTAGAAATCCTAACAGTAACGTGTCTATAAATTCCAGTTTCTAATTCTGGGAATTTTCTCTTATTCTGCTTCCTTATGAGTATTTTAGTGAGAAGCTGGGAGAATCTGCATTGGGAGCTACTTACCAAGCAGCATTCTGAAGAAGAATTTTATAATGATGGTTGTTAGTAACCCTTTCGTAAAGATGGTCAAAATCATCAAATCATCATGCATTGATCGGTAAGTAACCTTAAGTATTGTCCAGTCCAGTGCATATACCTGAGATATGGATCTAAAATTTTAGAGAAGACTCTAAAATTTCACTCTCAGCCCCTCTCTCTACTCCTTGCTATAGGTCAGGGCTGCATCTGCAATGTCTCAGGGAAGTTGGGTCCTGATTGTCCTGACAGCTTTCCTCAGGGATCCTGGTGCATTCTGTCACATCTCACAGTTGCATCCTCTGTTCACACCAGGAAATGAATTCGTGTCTCTACCTTTCCTTTCCTCCTCATTCCCCCTCCCTCCCCAACTCCCACCACCCCCAGCAAAACATGCTAATCTCTGACAAAATTATTTCCCATTCATAATTATTTCCATTCACACTTGCAACATTCATATGAGAAAGGGTAAGAAGAAAAGTTGAGGCAGATCCTTGAGCTCAGTTGTAGGAAAAGCAAGTGAAGTGACACATTTGTTTATCTGTGTACATTTCCATGTTCCTCTTCTCAATTAGACATGGGGATGGTGCTTAGGTTCTCAGGCTCGTGTGCTCTCTGTGTGTTCTTTCTGTCTCTCTCTCCCTCATTCTCTTTCTTTCTCTCTGTCTCTGTGTCTCATACACACATACATACACACAAAGAGTTATTAAGGATTGCCTATCCCTGTCATGACCTTGACTGTCTTATCAGAGCAGAATAAAGTATCCAGTGGATCGTAATCCAAAGTGCACGGGATGTTAATATATCTTACATGGAAGCAAAGAACAGTCTCTTAAACAACAACGAATGGTGGTAGAAAGAGGCATGATGGCAAAATACATTTAGGAAATGGTGATTAAGCAGGAACAGTCCTGGTAGCAGGACTATGCTAATATGCCTTGAGATGCTCCCAACCAGGGTGGAATGAACAATGCTTCCTAATTTATTGAACCATGAATACCTCACAGGGATTGGGGCTTTTGCCCAGGACAATCATTTTTCAAAGCAGTGGACTAAATATCTTCCCCAGTTTCCCCCAAACCTTCTATATTTTTGGACTTTAGAATGAGAAAGAGCTGCATTTAAAACCAGATTAAGCTACTTGCTAGCTATGTGACCTCTGGCATGTTGTTAAATCATGCTAAGCTTCAGTTTCCTTTTCTACAAGAATTTAAATAATAATATGTGTTTCATTGGTTATTGTGAGCATTAAATGATAAAAATTTCACTCAAGTACCTAGTAGAATGCTTTATTCCTTTTCCCTGAAGCAAACATTTCTGATTAAAAATTTTCAGATATAATAAATTTGGTTGACCCTGCTCAACACACAGATGTCCAACAAGCAGCTAGTCTTTGAAGAAAATCTCCCATGCTCCCTCAGACCTCTATGTATTTGCCAAGGTGCCTAGACACTTCATATACTGAACATTTGTGCTACAGCATTGAAAACGATGCTAAAAGGTAGAGGCCCTGGTGAACAATAACAGCACTTATGGGTGTCAGCTTCTCAGATCAACATCTACAAACCCACAAGGCCCCTACAGAGGGAAGTGGCTGAGAGATCCTCTGTGTGGGGCCAGCACTCGGGGGCAGATTTTAAATTCTTACTCTACAACTCACTGGGTGGGGATAGGGTGACCAGTTCTTCCTTGTCCGCCCAAGTCATTCCTGATTTCAGCATTGAAAGTCCTGCATTTCAGCAACCCCTCAGTCCCAGGCAAGAGGGAAAATTGGTTCATCCTAGATGGGGATCTGAGGCCCATCATTAAACTCCTGAAGTCTTGGTATCCCATGTGAAGATAGGGGTCTAAGCCAAACAACCTCCAGCAACCATTCGGGGGCTCAACTTTGATGTTCTGGGACTTTTTTTTTTTTTTTTTTGAGACAGAATCTGGCTGTTGCTGCCCCAGCTGGAGTACAATGGTGCAATCTCAGCTCACTACAACCTCAGCCTCCCGGGTTCTCACAATTCTCCTGTCTCAGCCTCCAGAGTAGCTGAGATTACAGGCGCCCGCCACCATGCCTGGCTAATTTTTGTATTTTTAGTAGAGACAGAGTTTCACCATGTTGGCCAGGCTGGTCCCCAACTCCTGACCTCAGGTGATCCACTAGTCTTGGCCTCCCAAAGTGCTGGGATTACAGGCGTGAGCCACCGCACCCAGCTGGGACTTTTTTTGTTGTTGTTGCAAACTAGAAAAGAATTCAAGTTTGTCAGGGCTCAGAACACGGTACCCCAAAAAGGATGGTGCTTTCGTATGTGGAATATTTTTAGCTGAAGGAGATTGGAAACATCTCAGAAGCAAGAAATTCTCTGATCTTCTCCTCAGACATACACCTCTTTCTCTTTTCCTCATCTCTCCCTGAAGTTGAGTCATAGAAACTAGAACTCCTCCCCGCTAAAGCAAGCCATAAAACCTGGGAAGGTAACTCTCTGACCTCCTCTTGTTTCCCTTGAAGGTTCTCATGTGACAGGCGTCCTACTCCATTCCTGGGGAGCAGTGGTGGGGAAAGGAATATCATACGGACATGCAGGAAACAGTCTGAAGAAACAAGCCTTGCAAAATTCCCCCCAGTTTACCATTAGATCATATCCTTTTTGTACAATCACATTTCTCTACAACTATCTGCTTCTTTCATCAGACTTAGCATAAAAATATAGTTTTCCCTGGGTGTTGGAGTCTTCATTTCTGTTGGCCCCTGTGCCACCTAAAACTTTGTACATAAATTTATTATGCTTTTCTCTTGTTAATCTAGCTGTTGTTTTAGCGGTGTCAGCTGTGGACCTTGTAATGGGTGAAGAAAAGATATTACTTTTTCCTCCTTACATGTTCTAGCAGAATTTATGAATATAGACAGGATATAAAGTGATTTACTTTCAAGAAAACCTCGTTGGCTTGTGCTCATCAGCATGATGGTTTAGAATAAAGCCTTGATCCTATGACGACTGCTCTGTGACACTGGACAATTCCCCTAGCCTTTGCATACTTTGTTTATGGAGACTGATTGATGTATAAAACTCTTTAGCGTACTACCTAGTACCTTGTAAGTACTAGATTTTAAAAGTATGTATGTATGTGTTATTATGTACTCACTGATCAATCAAATATTTATTGAGCAATAACTGTGTGCCAGGCACTGGGGATACAATTCTTGCTCTCATTATATGGAAGTGTTCACTGAGAAGTCCATGCACAGTTTGAATAGTATTAGAATATCCAATCTTAAGGTTGCTATAATTCACTCCCTACCATCCAATGATTGAATCCACTTCACATATTACCCCAAGGGGTCTCCCAGGCTCTGCAGGACATGTGAATGGAAATGGGGATCACTCCACTTTCCAAGACAGCTGATTCAAATGTAGAGGCTATGGTGGTGGTATCATCTCCCTGCCTTCAAGGGAATCCATACCTCCAACACTGCAGATTTTGCCTCGCAAAAATAACTGGCATGTGCATGTCAAATACCCTTGACCCATGTTAAAAATCACAGCCAGCATATTCCTTCCTATCTTTTTTTAACAGTAATTCATAGCCAAGACATTATCTTTACCACCTTTCCTTTTGTGTGGTACCACTAGGGACCTCTGCCCTTCTTTTGTGTCAAATAGAGCTGATGCCACAATTTCTGACTTGATTAACTACAATGTCCACATGGCTGTTTGATTAACTGCAAAGTCCGCTTGCCCTCCTGCACAGCAAGGACTTCCCGTTATCATCATAGGATGCAGCAGAGAGTGTTTATGCTCACATCAGCGGTGAGGTCCGCTTCCCTAGGGGACAAGGTAGCTGTTTACTGCTGTGGAGCCAGAACAACAGAAGGAGAGCCGTTGTCCTTTGCTTATTCAGGGTCCTCATGGCCTCCATCAAAAGGAGCCCCAGGATTTCTATCTTCCCCTTTAGTGAAGGTATGGAAAAGCTAAGGTGGAGAAACAGGGTAGACATGCTAAGGATCTGGAAAAACTTTTTTTTTTCCATATTTGGAAGGGACAAAGATTATTCAAAATATTTTTTATGAGCACAAATGTTGATGTGCTGCATCATCTCCTGTCTTCTTTTTTCTCTACACTCAGACTCAGCACCCACTGGTGGCCAAGAACTTAGATCAAGTCTCTTTTCCTTCCCTTACACTTCCTCATTTCTTCTAACAATGATTGGCCAAACATTAAGGTTGGTTGATTGGGCAAATGAGATTTAGGAAGATTTGAGAATTTCAGGGCTGTTATCTCATAGGGCCAATGTGACTATCAGTGACTGGGATCAAATTCTGGTTTGCTCTTGGCTAACTATCTCATCTTGAATTGTAGTTCCCATAATCTCATGTGTCATGGGAGGGGCCCAGTGGGAGGTAATTGAATCATGGGGGTAGTTACCCTCATGCTGTTCTCGTGAACTCTCGTGAGTTCTCACGAGATCTGATGGTTTTACAAGGGGCTTTTCCCCCTTTGCTGGGCAATTCTCTTTGCTGCCACTATGTGAAGAAAGACATGTTTGCTTCCTCTTCTGCCATGATTGTAAGTTTCCTGAGGCCTTCCCAGTCCTGCAGAACTCTGAGTCAATTAAACCTCTTTCCTTAATAAATTATCGAGTCTTGAGTGTGTCTTTACTAGCAGAGTGAGAACAAACTAATATCCCCTCTAACACTCTCTGTTTCCTCACCTTCAAAGTGGGGGTAATGAGAGTACACTTCATAGAGTTGACCTAAATTTTAAATATGGTAATTGGTGTAAAACACTTAGAATGGGACCTGCCACTCAGTGAAAGAGTAGTAAATACATGTGCTTAATTCCTCCAAGAAGCTAGAGTTGAATTTGGAATCTCTTATCCTTTTACCTATATGCACCAGCTGCTTTCCCCTTTTAAACCTCAATAACATTTATAGAAGTTCATGGGCATGATTGATGCTGAGCAAATAAGTGTGGCCTCAAGGTCAGGATGAGGTTAGAATTAAGCCAAGATCACTAGGCTGCCTCCCATACCTCTCGAGTACAGGGCAAGGAGCTTCTGCCTGGCCTGGGCTCCCCTTCCTCCTCACAGCTCAGAGTGGACTGTTATTTAAAAATCTAGCTTATTTTGGGTTGATACTGTCTCCAGTCTCATAAAGGGGATGTGAAGTGGCTTATAAAATGAAAGCATGCAAGTGGGACAAGAGGAGGAGAACTAACATTTGTGGAGCACCTATTATGTGACAAATACTTCCATGTATATTGTGATATTTTATTCTCAAAATGACTCTGGAAGCTGTGTTTTAATAACCCCATTCAAGAGAAGAGAGAACAGTGGCGTGAGAGAAATGTTACTTGCCTGAAATAAAAAAGAAACTGTGTTCCAGAGTGAGGCTTTTTGTGGTTGTTGTTGTTTTTCTTTTTCTTTTCTTTCTTTCTTTTTTTTTTTTTTTTTTTTTTAGAGACAGGGCCTCACTCTGTCACCCAGGCTGGTGTGCAGTGGCGTCGTCGCAGCTCACTGCAGCCTCAACCTTGCGGGCTCAGGTGATGCTCCCTTCTCAGTCTCCCAAGTAGCTCAGACTACAGGCATGTGCCAACATGCCTGGCTAATTTTTGTATTTTTTGTAGGCATGGGGTTTCACCATGTTGCCCAGGCAGTTCTCAACCTCCTGGGCTCAAGTGATCCACCCACCTCAGCCTCCCAAAGGTCTTAAATTTAAGTCTGAGTCCAAAGTCCAAATTTTTGTCACCGACCAAGCTGCCTGACCAACTAAAAGATACTGAATGAAGCCATGCCAATTGCTAGAAAAGACTGAACTGTGAGGAGCCAGGAGAGCTGTATTTGTGCAGCTATTATCTCTTAATCCTGACACTGTCCCATAAGAGAAGTGTTTGTTGTCTCGTAGATGAGGATACTGAGGTTCAAAGAGGTTAGGTGACTTGCTCCGTAGGCAAAATGGAACTTGGTCTCAAAGCCAGTCCCCTTGAGAGCTGTTTCCTGGATCAGTGCTACTAAAAAGTTATATAGATTACTCCAGGAAAAAATCTGTCACTGACAAGGAAAATCCACGCATGGGAGGCCTCAACTTCCTTATCTGAGACAAGAAAATAACACTTCTCTCATGGGAGAGTGTCAGGATTAAGAGATGATAACTGCACAAATAGTTTTAATCCCTAAAGCACTTTATATGAGCATAAAGGATTACTAGTACCATTGCCATTGTGGTGACTCATCTGGGAGTCTGGGGGCAACAGCTGTTACACAACAACAGGAGCTCCCTTTTTGCCAAAAAGATAAGGAACGTGTAGAGGAAGTGGCCAAGTCCCCACTTTCAGATGCAAATAGAAAAGGAGTGGCCTCAGTTCATCATGGAAGAACTATTCCTGTTGCAATGTGCAAAGAACAATGAGGAAACAAAGAGGCTTTGAGGAAATGGCATAAATGAGCATGCCTCAGCCCAGCAGTCTGAGTTCTTCAGAATGCAAAAATTTGACTGGTGATTCAACCAGGGGCAGGAGCAACGGGAATTTCTCCTCATATACTTACAGTTCAGGTATTCATTTGATGGCATCCTTGATCATATTACCTCTTACTCAATTACTCTGCCATCATTGTACATGCAGCAGATATTTAACAAGTATTTGTTATGCTCCAGGTTTGGAGTAAGGGAAGTGAACAAGGCCAACAAAGTTCCTGGCCTCATAGAATGTACCTTCTAGTAGGGGAGGATGAACAGGAAACAACCAAGCAAATAAATAAGAAGAGGGTTTCAGGTGATAGTAAGAGTTATGGAGAAAACACAAGATGGTGGAGTTGAATCCAACAAGGGATTGGTGAAAGTCCTCTGCATCCTGAGGAGATGGGAGCTAAGCAATGGGCAGGAACTTGACCAGTGAACTGGCAATGCTCCACTCGCCCCATGCATGTGCCTTCCCTGCTCTTCTCTAACTCCACAAATAGCACCATTGCCTGGATCACTTACCAGCTGGTTTCCAGTGACTTTGGTCAATGAGAGACTCCAGGAGGCAGGAGGAGGGACAGGTGAGGACCTTGTTTCTCCTCCTCTTCCCTGCTTAGGAGTGTTTGGAGAGACTGTGGCCCTCTGGGACTGTAGCTCCCATTGAGTGACCCCTCCTCTGTGACTCCAGCTCTTTCTGGGCTCCAGTGGCATAGGTCCTCCCACTGCTACCCTAGGCCCTCTGACCATAGAGGGAGTAATGGCTTCTCACTGTTGTTACTCTCTGGGCTCTCTCCTTTCCTGGTTGTTCCCTTAACCCTACCCACACTTCTATCCCTTCATTACAGTATCTGCCTTAAAAACTGTGGAGTAGATTCTGCTTCTTGCTGGAATCTGGACTCATACCCCTTGTGAAGGAATAGGGATGAGCATTCCAGAGAGGAAACTATTATTTTATGGACAAAATAAAGAGGATAACTAACCTTTGTGTATTTTTTTTATAGATTATGAAGCATTTCCATAATGGTATCTCATTTAAATCTCATGACAACATAGAGAGCTTGGGCAGGTGTTATTCCTGTTTGTTTATTTATTTATTTATTTAGATGGAGTCTCACTCTGTAGCCCAGGCTGGAGTGCCGTGGCACGATCTCGGCTCACTGCAACCTCCACCCTCCGAGTTCAAGCGGTTCTTTTGTCTCAGCCTCCTGAGTAGATGGGATTACAGGCGCCCGGCTAATTTTTTTTTTTTTTTTTTTTTTGTATTTTTAGTAGAGACAGGGTTTCACCATCTTGGCTAGGCTGATCTTGAACTCCTGACCTCGTAATCCACCTGCCTTGGCCTCCCCAACTGCTGGGATTACAGGCATGAGCCACCACACCCGGCCCGTTATTCCTGTTTTACAAACAAGGTACCAGAGGTTCTGAGAAGTAAATTATTCACCAGATGCTATGAGTGGTCAATGCTAGAACCTAATCTCAAACCCAGGTTTCTGGCTCCAAGCCCAGGTTTCTTCCCCCGACACTGTGACCTAGCAGGCAGGTGGTAAGGAGAATCTAAGGACACTTAAGAGACCAGCTTACCAGTTTCAGTAACAGCTTATGGGATCTGTCACAGACAACAAATCACCAACTAGACTCTAGTTTAGTCATAGGTCACATGGATAGGAAACTCCTCTCAAGCTCAAAAGTGATCAAGACAACTATCAATTCTAATTATGGGGAAAGCCATATGATTAAACCTCACAAGTTGACACTTTTGTTTCAGAGTACCTGCATCTCCACCTTACTCAAAACATTTCTTTCTCCTAACAGGTATGAATTGTCACAAATCACCTATTTCAGAGGAACCAGAGAAGCTAGAAGTTTATAAGAATCATTTGGCCTGGTGCGGTGGCTCATGCCTGTAATCCTAGCACTTTGGGAGGCTGAGATGGGCACATTGCCTGAGCTCAGGATTTTGAGACCAGCCTGGGCAACATGGTGAAACTCTGTCTCTACTAAAACACAAAAAATTAACAAGGCATGGTGGTGCGTGCCTGTAGTCCCAGTTACTGACTGAGGCTGAGGCAGGAGAATCGCTTGAACCCAGGAGACAGGGGTTGCAGTGAGCCGAGATGGCACCATGCACTCCAGCCTGGGTGACAGAGTGAGACTCCACCTCAAAAAAAAAAAAAAAAAAGAATCATTTGATTAAAAATTATTAATAGAACTTTAAAATTCAAACAACTACCGTATGTTAAATTTATTTTGAACTTAAGATTTTTGTATAAATAGTTTTCATAAAGTGGGTCATATCTTCATAATTATAAGGCTGCCTTTATGAGCAATAGAGTATAGATCTAGGATTAACAGAAGAATTTATTCTTAAAAGCAAAGCCACAGAAAAATCCAATTTTCAGCAGTAGATCATTCCTTCTAAGATGTCCAGAAGCCACCGTCCAAATGAACTTATCATTTGCAGTTTAAAATATCTACATGCACCTCTGCAATACACCAATAGTTAGTCCTCTGGGGGTTTAAGAGCCAGATTGAACATCTGGATTTTGCAGCAAATCCTAAAGGTCACCAGCTTCAGTGTGGTGGAAGTAGATGGATAGATGGGCACATGACAATATGCAGCCACTGGGACAAACTGCTCCTGCTGGCCCAGGCCAGCCTCTGAAAGCTTAGATGCATCAGACCACATGGATGTCTGCTGAAGGATGAATTGTTATATGGCTTTGGAAAAAGTCAGTGTTTCCATTTCTTTCTCTCCCACTTGGCATTTTGGAGCCTGCTGTCAGGATTCACACCGATTTTTGGCTTGGTTTCTAAAGGCTTTTATTTTTTTTCCTACTACAGTTGAGCTTAAAGAAAAATAGCACAAAGAAATTGTTCAGAAGAAAGAAAATTATGCTCCAGATGGTTTTAAAGAACTCTAAACTGACCCAGAGCCCAAGTAAAGGCCTTTCCTTTATAAAACATCGAGGAAAATGGTATTGCTTTCATTTGGTCATAAAAGCAACAACTGAAATTGCCCTGTACATCCATAAGAATGCACCCTAGCATGTGTGTATATGTGTGCACTTGTACATCTATGAAGAGACAATACATATGTCCTATCCCAGGGACCTCATAGAATCTGTGGAGAATACCAACTTACAGTCTTCCAATTCCTTAACTGCTGCTCTGATAAAGGCCATCTCAAAAAATTGAGAGACAGTCAAATTCAGTTTCCCAGTAGTAGAAGTTTCTGACAAACATGCTTTGGAAAACATGGACTTTTCTTCAGCATATTTAAAATATGTCAGGGAAGATGAAGTCCCAGGCAATGTGGGAATATGGGAAAGGGTGATCCCTGGAGGTCGTGAGGAGACTGGGAAGCTGCATTTTTAACATGTTTTTAATTACAGATCACAGAACCTGAACTCAAACAGGCTTAAGCAAAACAGTAAGTAATATGGACTTATCAGAAGGTTTCTGGCGTAATGCACGGAATGAAGGAAGCAGGGCAGCATCCCAGGGCCAGAGCCTGGGACGGGAAACTCACCACCATTCCA